>NC_000002.12:80417625-81042625 GCF_000001405.40 Homo sapiens | reverse complement strand
TGAGGCAGACAAAGTAGTCCACAGCAACCATCTAAACGCACAGAGGTGTTTGAAAATTTCCTTTGTCTTTTCTAAGAGGAAAGGAGACACTCTGTAGCTTTCCTCCATATAAATAGGTTTAGCTAGTGCTCTCCTGAAATGTGTAAAAAACCAATTTGAAACAAGTCAATGAGGATGGACAGTATTTTCAATTTTCCTTCTTTTTCCTTTGTATTTACTACACATGGGTACGAGAATATTATTGTTGCTCTATTTATGTACAAGTAAAATAGAGATTGTTGCAGACATCTTCAAGAATATCCTCTTTATTAATTTCTTTACCAGAAAACCAATTTCTTGCATTCTTCTCAGTGGTTAAAATTCTTTATGTTCTAAGGTTCACTTAAATATGGTTCTGGGAAATCTGGGGAGGAAAGATGCTCTGTTTACTACATGCAATTAAAAGTATGTTAAACCCCCAAGTCAGAAACTGCAAGTCATAAATCCTAGTAATAATCATCATAATATTTCTTGATGCTTCTGTAAACAATAAGACAGTTTCAAAAAGAGCTTACAGAGTAAATGAACAAACATATTAACAGCATTAACTGTGATGCTTAATAGATCTTGTAATAAATAGGGTAAGACTAGATGCTTATTTAACCATATATAGAAGATAAAATCTTTTTAAAAGAATATTTATTCAGAATTGAGATAGAATCTCAAAACCAAGAGAAAGGTCAGGTAATACACTGGAAATATATCTCAGTATAGAACCACATCGTGTAACCTGTGTCATATTTCAGTAGATACCCATTACCCTTTGACCCTCTACTACTGCTATTCTTAACACTTTGTCAGGGACATATTGTTTCCCTTCAAGTTTATTCTCAGTTTTGTTACTGTTTTCTTCAATAGAGTAAACTTTATTGAGCACCATCTAGGTGTGAAGCCTTATGGGTATCAACAAGGACAACAAACATGTCATAGATTATACTTTTGCCGTGGAAAAGCAAGCAATTCTACAATTAAAGACAAAGGAAATACGTGATTCCCTCTAAAACCAGAGAGTATAATGTATTATGCAGACCAGGATGCTTTAGAGAATGAAAGACTAAGCCATTATTATTCTGGAGTAAAAAGTATAAAGTGTGACTGATCAGAGAATCCAAGATATTTGATCATCAACTTGTGTCAAATTCTCTGGGATAATGTTTTGTTTTATTAAGAATCACATGTGCTTTTCTCAGTATCCTCAGCTTCTAGGGCTAGCAAACTTATCGCAGAGTTAGTAGAAGGGCAGGCATAGGTGTGGCTCCTTAAATGGCATCCTCCTGGAATTATAGAGAGGAGTTAAGCTCATCTATTGTATAATATCATTATTATATATATAAATAACTCATGCTTTGAGAGGAAAAAAAAGGAAAGCACATCAATGATTAGTTATTTTTTATATATATCCAGTGGTGAGGTACCAAAAAATAAATAAGCTACCAGCAATTTCAATAAGGTTAAAATTTGCTTATTTATTTATTTTTGCTCTGAAAAAATAGGAGTAATAGAAATCTTCTGACAAACTTGACCCCAGATCCCCAGTGTTATCAACTTCCTCTCTAATAATGAAATAACCAGCATGAATAAAAAAACTTCTTTTATGACAATTTCAGTTCTCACCAAACTGCCTCTCACCTGAACTTCACCAAACTTTGCTATATTGTTTCATACTTGGGATCTTTTTCACTTTTTTTCTTATGTTTCTTAATAATTCAAATATAAGCTCACTGAAGTAAGTAATAAGACAAAAAGATCGCACGAATTTTTTCCTCTGCAAATAGTGTGTCTGGAATTTATTCCTTCTGGTGGGTTCTTGGTCTCTCCAACTTGAAGAATGAAGCTGCGGACCTTTGCAGTGAGTGTTACAGCTCTTAAAGATGGTGTGTCTGGAGTTTGTTCTTTCAGATGTTCAGATGTGTCCAAAGTTTCTTCCTTCTGGTGGGTTCATGGTCTTGCTGACTTCAGGAGTGAGACCACAGACCTTCAAAGTGAGTGTTACAGCTCTTAAAGGTAGTGCAGACCCAAACAGTGAGCAGCAGCAAGATTTATTGTGAAGAGCAAAAGAACAAAGCTTCCACGTGGAAGGGAACCCAAGTGGGTTGCCGCTGCTGGCTCGGGTGGCCAGCTTTTATTCCCTTATTTGTCCCCACCCACATCCTGCTGATTTGTCCATTTTACAGAGCACTGATTGATCCATTTTACAGAGTGCTGATTGGTGCGTTTGCAATCCTTTAGCTAGACACAGAGTGCTGATTGGTGCATTTACAATCCTTCAGCTAGACACAAAAGTTCTCCAAGTCCCCACTTGACCCAGAAGCCCCACTGGCTTCACCTTTCAATCCCCCCTCTAAACAGGGGACCCCAGCTGCTGTTGGGATCTGGGTGATGACCGCTTTAGCTACTTCCTGCTGGATAGGGGCAAAGGAGGGGCCCTGCAGTTGTAGTGTCCTCCAGAGGGGAACTCTTTAGGTCAGTGAAAGGGCCAGCGGGTGAGTCCAGGGGTCCTCAGTAGAAGTTGTTAGTTGAGCTCATTTGGGGTTCCATTTGTAACACCATCTGTAGCTTGATGGCCTTGATCCTAGAGGAAACAAATTTGACAAGGAGGTTAAAAATACAGGGCCCAAAGGTGAGTAATAGCAAGATGGCTGCCACGGGACCTAGAAAGGGGAGAAGCCATGTTGCCCAACTCCAGAGGTTGGTATAAGAGTTTGAAAGGCGTCTGATTTCAGAAGCCTTTTCCTGTAAATGCCGGGTGGCATCTCTTACTATCTCTGACTGGTTAGTGTAAAAACAAAACTCTTCCCCTAAGAAGGTGCAGAGTCCTCCTTTCTCAGCAGTGAGGAGGTCTAGACCTTGGCAGTTTTGGAGAGTCACTGCTGCCAAAGAGTCTATTTGGGATTGTAGAGTAAGGATAGATTTTGTTATTTCTTGCAAACTGTCTGAGAAATCCTTTAAGAGTGTGTGGTAGTAGAATAATACATGTTACACTGTTAACTTTTAGCAAACTTTACTTTAGTTGAAAACCTTGTAAGTTTGCGATTTCAATTATTCTTTGCTATTAATAAGACCTTGTTCAGTCCATATTAACTTATAATTGGTATAGATAGCTCCTTCCTGATTCTGTAGGTACTTTAAGGTTTGGCTGAGTGGAAACAGCTCACATGTTTGAACAGACCAATTATTAGGCAATTTTCCTAACTGCTTCTACAAGAGTTTTCTTATCACTTACTGAATACCCATTATGTCTTTTTCCCTTAATTGCCTGGGAGGAACCATCTATCATCCTGTCCTGAAGGGAGGTCTTCCTAGGTGTGGTCAGACCTTTGTATCGTAATTAATTAAGATTTAGATCCCCTGTTAGGAAACCTGCTGGGTTAAGGATTTTTGATAAGAAGGCTACAGGTTGTCAGTGGCCTCAGTGCTTTTGGGCTATGCCCTTATTTACACTGACAACAAGGTGGTATTGGAGTGTTATAGGGTCACGGAGAAGACCTTCAATTATCAATTATAGGTTTTAAATTTACCCTGGCTTTTAAAGGAATAGGGTACACTGTTTTTTCTTTACTACTTCCATCTCTCTTTCTTTCTCTTTGACTTCTTCTTTGTCTCTCTCTTTCTGACTCCCTCTTTGCCTCTGTCTCTTCCTCTCTCTCTGTCTGTTACTTTCTGTCTCTTTCTCTCTTTTCTTTCTACTAGTCTTTCCCTGCCTTTGCCAGCCACTTATGCTGTTGTTCTCCCCTGTTCTTCCCCTTTTGGTGGCTTTGGCAGCGTAAGACTGCCACCTCTTTGGGTTTTTGCACTGCATGCAATAACTCCATGGTTTCCTTGTGATATTTAATGGGGGTTCCCCCAGAGGTTAGGACCTCCCTTTCTTTCCCATTGTAGCATGGACATGTAGGATTAGATAAGCATACTTACTATCTGTAGAAAAGTCTCCCAATTACAACTGAGGAGGTGGGAGAAATACCTGGTTACAGGCTGTCCCAGGATTCCTCAGATGGTAACGGACCTTGAGGACAGCTGTCTGGGACAGGAGATTAACAGTGAGAAAGCTGTGCCAGTGTCCAGGAGGAAGTCAATTTCCTGGCCCTCAATGGTTAAACATACCCAGGGCTCAGTAAGGGTGATGACATGAGCTGGTGCTTGAGCTGGGCACCCTCAGTCCTGTTGTTGGATCATCTGGTTGGGGGCTTCTGGCACAAAGAAACTTTGTCCTCTGGGGCAGTGTACCTTCCAGTTATTGCCTCAGCATAGTGGACATGGGCAAGGGGGCAGCTGGTTTCTCATTGGATAATCTTTCTTAAAGTGTCCTTGCACACCACACTGATAACAAGTCCCACCAGGTGATTGGTCTGCTCCATTTTCTATCCTCTTTGAACCACCAAGGTTTTTTTGTCTGAGGGCCATGACTAAGGCTGCAGCCTTTCTCTGACCTTGATTTTCCTTTTCAGCCTGTTCCTCTTGGTCCCTATTACAGAACAACGAGAGTGCCAGGTTTAATAATGTCTCCCGATTTTGTTCAGGGCCCAGGGCTCACTTTTGGAGCTTTCTCCTGATATCTGTGTCTGATTGGGTAATAAACTCACCTTTTAGGATCAGTTGACCCTTGAGGGAGTTGGATCACAGAGGAGTATATTTCCTTAAGGCCTCCCATAGCCGCTTGAGGAAGGCAGAAGGATTTTCTTCTCTCCCTGAGTTATGGTGCACATCAATAAATAATTCATGGGTTTTTTCCTAATTCTCCTTAGTCCTTCTAGAACACAGGTCAAGAGATGTTTGTGACTCCAGTCCCCATGATCTGAGTCGGGGTACCAGTGGGTTTCCATACTGGGGATGGCTTGCTGACCAGTAGGGAATTTGTCCCTTTCTTCGGCTGTCATTCTATCATTTACTTGACTAAGATACCAGGTATCTCCAAATCCTCTGGCTGCAGCTAAAGCCACATTCTTTTCATTAAAGGCCAGGGTTTGATCTAACAATAGCATGACATCTCTCCAAGTGAGACAGAAGGTTTGCCCTAGACCCTGTAGGACATCTATATACCTATCATGATCATCTGAAAGCTTCTATGGGTCTGCCTTGATCTGCTTTAAATCAGAGAGGGAGAAGGGGACATGTACCCAAGTTGGGCCAAATTCCCCTCCCCCTACAGCTTGAAGGGGACATAACCAATAGTCCAGGGGTTTTTGTAGTCCCTTGGAGATTTCTTTGCTTGTTTCCTTCTGGGCAGGGGAGATTAGAGGAGGCTTATCATTAATAGGAAGGGGAGCTATAGGGAGGCTAGGATATGAGAGGTCCTCTTGTGGGATATAAATTGCAAGCTTTGCATAGTTGCGGAATCTCCTTCAGTGAAAAGAAAGCTTGGACATAAGGTATTTCACTCCATTTGCCTTCCCTCTTACAGAAAAGGTCAAGCTGCAGGATAGTATTGTAATTTATACTTCCCTCAGGTGGCCATTTCTCCCCATCAGAGAGAGAATATTGGGGCCAGGCTGTAGTGCAGAAAAAAATGAGCCACCTCTTTTTCAGGGTTTGTGGGTCAAATTGGTCCCAATGGCTTAGCATGCATTTGAAGGGCGAGCCTGTTGATGCCTGAGTGTTTCCCATCTGAAAGACAAAACTGCTCGTAGTTTTGGTTTGTTTCTACCCCCGGCCCAAGAACCCACAATGGTCCCTGGACCCTGCTGATCAGGATAGTTGCACTCACTGATGCAGCAGCAGAAACACCTCTTGCCCAAGAACCTGCAATGGTCCCTGGACCCTGCTGATCAGAATAGTTGCACTCACTGACGCAGCAGCAAAAACACAAGGTTTCCTCCTAGACCACAAGGAGCACCGAGGAAGTTCAGATTTAGTGGCCCTTACCGATGCATTCTCGAAAAGCTGCACCCTTGCCTGTCCTACCAGATCATGAAGAGGACTGAAAAAAATCGGATTTAGTGGCCCTTACTGATGCATTCTCAAAAATCTGTTAGAGTCCTAAACATTCTCCTGTTAGTATTGGGACTTTACCCCTGTCCTATAAAGATGTTATGCCCCAAAAATGAAGTGGAGGGCCATACCCTGAGGGAGGTAAGGGATCTCCAGAGTTGGAAGAGTGATGCCTTTTGTCCTCACTTATATGAATAGGAAAGATACCATTTCTGAAGATTCCCATATCCTAGCTTCAGGAATAGCTTTTGTTAGGCCTGCTAGATATGAGGAGGGATCCTAAAATTCCAGATAGTCCCCCACCCTGATGGGGCTTTGGGCAAAAATTATGTCTTTCTGATTGGTGAGCCCGATTGCCTAAAGAAAGTAACAGTGTCCTGAAATTTATACTAGAAATCATTCTTATAGGAGAAACTAGAAATGCACCAGAGATAGGGAGTGGATTTTAGAAGCAGGACTAGCCTCGGAGAACAGAAGCAAGATGAAGTTTGTCTGACAAGCATTAGGACCCAGGAGGCAAGGGTCAGGATAAACAGGATACATGGGCGAGTCTCGCTTGGGCGACATGACTTTGAGAGTTCTGCTCATGGCCATAGGGTCAACCAACTTGTTCTTGGGACCATGGAGCTGAATGGCTTTACTATCTGTCGACCCTCAGCTCAGCCCAGAAGTACAGGAAAAGCAGAAGCTGGTTCCAGTCAAACCAACGCTCCCAACTCCCAAAGAGTCAGGGGTTGTTAGAGAACACTTTCCCAGAAAGCCTGACAACCATGTCTTTAGTCCAGCAGCCAGGCTAGTCGCTTTTAACTGGCTGACAGGTGCCCAGGATTTAGCCCCCAACTTCTAAGGAAAAATAGGACAGAATAGCAAGCAAAAGGGGTCCGATGATACTCACCGCTTGGTGATTGTCCCTCCATGGTAGCCAAAATGTGTCCGGAATTTATTCCTTCTGGTGGGTTCTTGGTCTCACTGACTTCAAGAATGAAGCTGCAGACCTTTTTGGTGAGTGTTACAACTCTTAAAGATGGTGTGTCCAGAGTTTGTTCCTTCAAATGTTCAGATGTGTCTGGAGTTTCTTCCTTCTGGTGGGTTCGTGGTCTCACTGACTTCAGGAGTGAAGCCGCAGACTTTTGCAGTGAGTGTTACAGCTCTTAAAGGTAGTGCAAAGCCAAACAGTGAGCAGCAGCAAGATTTATTGTGACGCATGAAAGAACAAAGCTTCCACAGAGTGGAAGGGGACCCGAGCGAGTTGCCACCACTGGCTCGGGTGGCCAGCTTTTATTCCCTTATTTGGCCCTGCCCACATCCTGCTGATTGGTCCATTTTACAGAGTGTGGATTGGTCCATTTTACAGAATGCTGATTGGTCCATTTTACAGAGTGTTGATTGGTCCATTTTACAGAGTGCTGATTGGTGCATTTACAATCCTTTAGCTAGACACAGAGTGCTGATTGGTGCATTTACAATCCTTTAGCTAGACACAAAAGTTCTCCAAGTCTCCATCTGACCCAGAATTCCAGCTGGCTTCACCTCTCAATAGTATATTTTATTCAACATGCAGACATTTAATTCTTTCCAGGACTAAAAATGAGCAGCCAAAATTTACAAATGACTATCTATTCTTATACTGTAGTAAAATAAAGAATCTAAAGAAGAGTTTACCTATCCATAAATTGAAGCTTTGGTGTGGATTGCATCATTCAGATTATTCTTTAGAACTAAGTGCCCATGAAATCAATTTTTACATTCAAACAAGCAAGAGGGGCTTCGTTTGGCAAGATGAAAAGCTACTTTACTTCTATGATTCTATGATATTATAAGAGAATATGTAAGATAAATATGATCCCCAGTTCTTGAACAACAAACATGCTCAGCAGGTAAAAATACATCAGCTATGTCAGCCCTAAAGTTGTGCAGCTTCTCTCACCCTTCAAGAAATCTTTTGCTGGGGGAGGAGGCAGAGTAAGATGGCCAAATAGAAGCCTCCACCAATCATCCTCCCTGCAGGAACACCAAGTCTGAAGTTTATCTACACAGAAAACAAACACCTTCATAAGAACAGTAACAAAAAAAATCACAGTACCTGGTTTTAACTTCATATCTCTGAAAGAGGCACTGAACAGGGTAGGAAAGACAGTCTTGAATTGCTGACACCATCCATCCCCCATCACCCAGAAGTGGCTGCATGGCAGGAGGAGAGAATCTTTGTACTTGGGGAATGGAGAGTGCAGCAATCGTGACACTTTACCCTGGAACTAAGTGCTGCCAACACCAGACAAAACTCAGTCTATGTCTATGGCAGGAGCATTTAGACCAGCTTTATCCATAGTGAAATTGCCGATTCCAGCAGTCGGATCTTGAGCTTCAGCAAGCCTCACCACAACAGCTAAACTGTCCTGGGTTACCAAATAAACTTGAAAGGCAGTCGAGGCGACAAGGACTGCAATTCTTAGGCAAGTTCTAGTTCTGGGGTAGGCCTGGAGCCAGTGGTCTTGGGGAGTACACAACCTAATGAGACACCAGCGATGTCAGCTAGGAAGTGCTTATGTCACTTCTTCTCCAACCCAGGTAGTGCAGCTACAAAAGAGGCCACTTCCTTCCACTTGAGGAGAAGAGAGGGAAGAGTAAAGAGGACTTAGTTTTGCAACTTGGATACCAGCTCACCCACAGTTAAATAGGGCACTGGTCAGAGATATGAGGACTCCATTCTAGGCCCTAGCTCTCATATCACATTTCCAGACAAATCCTAGGGCAGAAAGGAACCCACCGTCCCAAAGGGAAGGATCCAGTCTTGCCAGGATTCATTACTTGCTCACTAAAGAGCCCATGGGCACTAAATAACCAGAAGCAGTAACCAGTTAGTAAACTCCACAGGCCTTAGGTGAGTCTCTGAGATATGCTGTTGTCTGGTGTGACCCAGCACATTCACAGCTGTGTTAGCTGTGAGAATAGACTCCTTCTGGTTGAGAAATGGAGAGGTAAGAATAAAGGGTACTTCGTTTCGCAGCTTAGGTAGCAGCTTGGCCACAATGGGGAAAGAAAACCAAGCAGGCACTTGGGGTCCTTGATTCCAGATATTGGCTGTTGGGTGGCATTTCTGGATTTACCCATGGCCAGAGGGGAGCACAACACCCAAAGAAGTGAGTTCCAGACCTGGCAGCAATAGCTGCAAGCCCTTTTCACCTTAAGTGAACATCAGTGGTACTCTGGCCGTATTTCGATGGGTAATACTGATAGTGTTACCCATGGTGGTGGTGGTGGTGGTGGAGGACATGGGGAGAGACTCTTCTGCTCTAGAAAGGGGGAACAAAGAGTGGAAAGGATGGAATCTTATGGTTTTAGTGCCAGCTTAGCTGCAGTAGAATAAAATACTGGGTGGATTTCTATGGTTTCTGACTCCAGGTTCTGGCTCCCAGACAGCATCTCTGGATCTACCTGGGGTCTAGGGGAGATTGACACCCTGAAGGGAAGTACACAAGCCTGTCTGGCTTCACCACCTTCTGATTTTACAGCCCTAAGGCCTTGAGAAAACATAGACAATAGCTAGACAGTTGTTACAGTGGGCCTTGGGCAAGAACCAGTGCGATGGGTTTAGATCTGACCCAACAGAGTCTCAGTGGTGGTGGCTACAGGGGAGCTTATGTCATGACTTCACAATTTTCAGGCAGCTCAGCACAGAGAGAGGGAGACTCTGTAAGCCTGGGAGAAAATGAAAAAATAGAATAAGAATCTCTGCCTTGTAATCCAGAGAATTCTTTTAGATCTTATCCAAGATCTAAGTACCTAGGTACAAAGACAGTACCTCTACAAGTCTACAAGAACTATATATAAGACTAGAGTGACCAAAATTTGCATCACAACATCTAATTCCATTCAAATACCTGCAAAGCCTTCCCAAGAAGAATGGGTATAAAAAAGACCAGACTGCAAAGACTACAATAAATATCTAACTCTTCAATGTCCAGACAATGATGACATTCACAAGCATCAAGACCATCCAGAAAAACATGACCTCACCATATTAACTAAATAAGTACCAGGGACAAATCCAAGGGAGACAGAGATATGTGACCTTTGAGACAAATAATTCAAAAGAGCTGTTTATTGGAAACTGAAAAAAATTCACAATAACACAGACAGGGAGTTCAGAATCCTGTCAGACAAAATAAATAAAGAAATAGAAAAAATTAAAAAAATCAAATAGAAATTATGGAGCTGAAAACTTCAACTGACATACTGAACAATGCATCAGAGTTTCTTAATAATGGAATTGGTCAAATTAAAGGAAGAATTAGTAAGCTTGAAGGAAGGGTATATAAACACCATCAGAGAAGACAAATAAAAAATGAAAAACCAAACGAAGCATGCATACAAGATCTAGAAAATAGCCTCAAAAGGGCAAATCTAACAGTTATTGGTCTTAAAGGTGAGACAGAGAGAGATGGGGTAGAAAGTTTATTTAACAAGATAATATCAGAGAAATTCTAAAACCAAGAGAAAGATATAAATAACCAAGGAGAATAAAAGGCTATATAGAACACCAAGCAGATTTAACCCGAATAAGACTACCTCCAGGGCTCTAATACACAAACTCCCAAAGTTTAAGAATGAAGAAAGAATACCAAAAGCAGCAACAATAAAGAAACAAATAACCTGCAATGAAGCTAAAATATATCTTGCAGCAGACTTTTTAGTGGAAACCTTACAGGCCAGGAGAAAGTGGCAGACATATTTAAAGCACTGAAGGAAAAAAAAACTTTTACCCTAGACTAGAATATATAGTGAAAATATTCTTCAAACATGAAGGAGAAACAAAGACTTTCTCAGACAAACAAAATCTGACGGGTTTCATTAACACCTGGCCTGTCCTATAAGAAATGTTAAAGGGAGTTCTTCAATCCAAAAGAAAAGGATGGTAAGGACCAATAGAAAATCACTGGAAGGTACAAAACTCACTTTCTCTTGTAAGTACACATAAAAACACAGAAAATTATAACAACTATAGTTGTGGTATATAAACTAGTCATATCTTGAGTAGAAAGACTAAAATATATGAAAAATTGTAACTACAACAAAGTTTTACAGTATAATAAAAAACAAATGGATACAACAAGAAGTTAAAAACAAAGAAATGAAGTCAAAATGTAGAGTAGAGTACTTTTTGGTTTTCGCTTGGTTCATCTGTAAGTTTGTTTATGCAATCAGTGTTAAGTTGTCAACAGTTTTAATAAAATGGGGTATAAGATATTATTTGCAATCTTCATGGTAACCTCAAATCTAAAAACATGCAACAAATAAATGAAAACTAAAAAGTAAGAAATTAAAACATACCTTCAGAGAAAATCACTTTCACTAAAAGGAAGACAGGAAGGAAGAGAAGATCACAAAGCAACCAGAAAACAAATAACAAAATGGCAGGAGTAAGTCTTTACTTATAAATGATAACATTCAATGTAAGTTAGACAAAACTCTCCAATAAAAAGACAAGGAGTGACTGAATAGATTAAAACAAAACAGAACCTAATAATCTGTGGCCTACAAGAAACACATTTCACTCATAAAGACACACATAGACTGAAAAAAAGCGATGGAAAAAGATATACAATGTAAATGAAAACTTAAAAAGAGGAGAAGTAGCTATACTTATATCACACAAAGTAGATTTCAAGACAAAAATAATAAAAAGGCCAAAAGGTCATGATATAATGATAACAGAGTCAATTCAGCAAAAAGATATAACAATTGTAAATATATGTGCACCAAACACTGGAGCACCCAGGTATATACAACAATATTATTACAACTAATAAGGGAGATAGACCCTAATACACTATTAGCTGTAGACTTCAACTGCCCATTTTTCAGCACTGGACAGATCATCTATATAGAAAATCAGCAGAGATACATTGGACTTAAGCTGCACTATAGAAAAAATGAACCTAATAGCTATTTAGGGAACATTTCATTCAATGGTTGCAGAATGCACATTGTTCTCCTCAATACATGGGTCATTCTCAAGCATAGAGCATATGTTAGGCCACAAGGCAAATCTTAAAAAAATAAAATCAAAATATAGAAGTAGTATCAAGCATCTTCTCTGACTTTAAGGTAAGAAAACTAGATATCAATAACAAGTGAAATTTTGAAAACTAGGTCAGCATATGCAAATTAAACAATATTCTCTGGAATGGCAAATGCAAAAGAAGAAAGAAGAAAATTGAAACACGACATACCAAAACATATGGGAAACAGTAAAAGCAGTATCTCATAGGGATACATTATACGTATAAGTGCCTGCATCAAAAAAGAAAAATTTCAAATAAAGAACCTAACAATGCATCATAAAGAACTCAGAAACCCGCTGGGAGGAGAAGAGAAATAATAAAAGTCAAAGCAGAAACAAAGAAATTGAAATGAAGAAAACAATACAAAAGATCAACAAAAAGAAAAGTTGTTCTGAAAAGATAAACAAAATTGATAAATATTTCACCAGACTAACTAAGAAAGAGAGAAGACCCAAATAAATAAAATCAGAAATGAAAAAGGAGACATTATAACTGATACTGCAGAAATTCAAAGGATCATTAGAGGCTACTATTAGGAAGTATATGACAGGAAATTAGAAAACCTAGAAGAAATGGACAAATTTCTAGACACATACAATCTACCAAGATTGAATGGTGAATGAATTCAAAACCTGAACACACCAGTAACAAATGTAATCCAGCATACAAACAAAACCAAAGACAAAAAACACATGATTATCTCAATAGATGCAGAAAAGGCCTTTGACAAAATTCAACAACTCTTAATGCTAAAAACTCTCAATAAATTAGGTATTGATGGGACGTATCTCAAAATAATAAGAGCTACCTATGACAAACCCACAGCCAATATCATACTGAATGGGCAAAAACTGGAAGCATTCCCTTTGAAAACTGGCACAAGACAGGGATGCCCTCTCTCACCACTCCTATTCGACATAGTGTTGGAAGTTCTGGCCAGGGCAATTAGGCAGGAGAAGGAAATAAAGGGTATTCAATTAGGAAAAGAGGAAGTCAAATTGTCTCTGTTTGCAGACGACATGATTGTATATCTAGAAAACCCCATCGTCTCAGCCCAAAATCTCCTTAAGCTGATAAGCAACTTCAGCAAAGTCTCAGGATACAAAATCAATGTACAAAAATCATAAGCATCCTTATACACCAATAACAGACAAACAGAGAGCCAAATCATGAGTGAACTCCCATTCACAATTGCTTCAAAGAGCATAAAATACCTAGGAATCCAACTTACAAGGGAAGTGAAGGACCTCTTCAAGGAGAACTACAAACCACTGCTCAATGAAATAAAAGAGGATACAAACAAATGGAAGAACATTCCATGCTCATGGGTAGGAAGAATCAATATCGTGAAAATGGCCATACTGCCCAAGGTAATTTATAGATTCAATGCCATCCCCATCAAGCTACCAATGACTTTCTTCACAGAATTGGAAAAAACTACTTTAAAGTTCATATGGAAACAAAAAAGAACCCGCATTGCCAAGTCAATACTAAGCCAAAAGAACAAAGCTGGAGGCATCATGCTACCTGACTTCTAACTATACTACAAGGCTACAGTAACCAAAACAGCATGGTACTGGTACCAAAACAGAGATATAGATCAATGGAGCAGAACAGAAACCTCAGAAATAACGCCGCATATCTACAACTATCCGATCTTTGACAAATCTGAGAAAAACAAGCAATGGGGAAAGGATTCCCTATTTAATAAATGGTGCTGGGAAAACTGGCTAGCCATATGTAGAAAGCTGAAACTGGATCCCTTCCTTACACCTTATACAAAAATTAATTCAACATGGATTAAAGACTTAAATGTTAGACCTAAAACCATAAAAACCCTAGAAGAAAACCTAGGCATTACCATTCAGGACATAGGCATGGGAAAGGACTTCATGACTAAAACACCAAAAACAATGGCAACAAAAGCCAAAATTGACAAATGGGATCTAATTAAACTAAAGAGCTTCTGCACAGCAAAAGAAACTACCATCAGAGTGAACAGACAACCTACAAAATGGGAGAAAATTTTCGCAACCTACTCGTCTGACAAAGGGCTAATATCCAGAATCTACAATGAACTCAAACAAATTTACAAGAAAAAAACAAACAACCCCATCAAAGAGTGGGCAAAGGACATGAACAGACACTTCTCAAAAGAAGACATTTATGCAGCCAAAAAACACATGAAAAAATGCTCACCATCACTGGTCATCAGAGAAATGCAAATCAAAACCACAATGAGATAACATCTCACACCAGTTAGAATGGCAATCATTAAAAAGTCAGGAAACGACAGGTGCTGGAGAGGATGTGGAGAAATAGGAACACTTTTACACTGTTGGTGGGACTGTAAACTAGTTCAACCATTGTGGAAGTCAGTGTGGCGATTCCTCAGGGATCTAGAACTAGAAATACCATTTGACCCAGCCATCCCATTACTGGGTATATACCCAAAGGACTATAAATCATGCTGCTATAAAGGCACATGCACACGTATGTTTATTGCGGCACTATTCACAATAGCAAAGACTTGGAACCAACCCAAATGTCCAACAATGATTGACTGGATTAAGAAAATGTGGCACATATACACCATAGAATACTATGCAACCATAAAAAATGATGAGTTCATGTCCTTTGTAGGGACATGTATGAAATTGGAAACCATCATTCTCAGTAAACTATCGCAAGGACAAAAAACCAAACACCGCATGTTCTCACTCATAGGTGGAATTGAACAATGAGAACACATGGACACAGGAAGGGGAACATCACACTCTGGGGACTGTCGTGGGGTGGGGGGAGGGGGGAGGGATAGCATTAGGAGATATACCTAATGCTAAATGATGAGTTAATGGGTGCAGCACACCAGCATGGCACATGTATACATATGTAACAAACCTGCATATTGTGCACATGTACTCTAAAACTTAAAGTATAATAATAATAAAATAAAATAAAATAAAAAAGAAATCATAATAAAAAAAAGTCTCCCAGGCAAGAAAAGCCCAGGACTCTATGGCTTTACTGCTGAATTTCACCAAACATTTCAAGAAGAACTAATATCAATCCCACTCAAGCTATTCTGAAAAATACAGGGTGAGAAAATATTTCTAAACTCAATCTGCAGGGCCAGTATTACTCTGATACCAAAACCAGAAAAAACATCAAAGAAAAAAAAACTACAGGCCATTATATCTGGTTGACAATGATGCAAAAATCCTTAATAAGATATTAGCAAATAGAATTCAGCAACACACTAAAAAATTCATTCACCATGACCAACAGGGATTTAACCCAGAAATGCAAGAATGATTCAACATATGCAAATGAATCAATGTGATACATCATATCAACAGAATGAAGAACAAATCCATATGACCATTTCAATTCATGCTGAAAAAGCATTTGATGAAATTCAACATACTTTCAGAATAAAACTGGACTTAAGTTTTATTCTGAAATAAAAAAACTAGGTAAAGAATGAACATAACTCAGTGTAATAAAAGACATTTATGACAAATCCATAACTGGTATTACACTGAATGGGAAACACAATGTTTTCCTTCTAACATCTGGAACATGAACAGGATGACCATTTTTACGACTGCTATTCAACACAATAATAGAAGTATTAGCTAGTGCAATCAGATAAGGGAAACAAATAAAGGGCATCCAAACTGGAAGGAAAGAAACCAAATTATCTTTATTTGCAGATGATATAATCCTATATTAGGAAAAACCTAAATATTCCACCAAGAAACTATAAGAGAAGCAAATTCAGTTTACTTGAAGGATACAAAATTCACATACAAAAATCAGCAACATTTCTACGTGACAGCAATGAACAATCTGAAAAATAAATCAAGAAGGTAATTCCACTTGCAATAGCTACAAATAAAAATTAAATACCTAGGAATAAACTTAGCCAAAGGAGGGAAAGATCTCTATAATAAAAACAATAAAGCAACGATGAAAGAAACTGAAGAAAAGAGGCAATTATACTCCCACTTGGAACATTACCCTAATGGCCTAAAAACCAACCCTTGTTTCCCACAGTGGCTACAGCAGGCCCTGCGCAAGGAGAGTCTGAGCTCAGACCCTCCAAACCCTGCCCCCAACTGATGTTATTTCTCTACTCACACCAGTAGCTTAACACAAAAGACATAAACTTTTGGGAGCTCTATGACCCTGCCCATCACCTGAAAAACAAGACTAATTCCCCTGGACAACTCAGGGCAAGCTCAAATACCACTGCCACTACTGCAGCTGGTGCCCTCTTGCAAGTGCCTCCTGGCTGGAGGCCAACCAACTCAGGCCATTATAGCACCTCTTGGCAGAATAACACTGCACCTAGGAAGGAAAAAAAAAATGGCTACTAACACCACTGCCTGCAACACCTTGGCTAACTAGAGGTCCTCAGTCTATCCATGTGACAAATTCATTACTAGCATAAGCAGCATTTGAGAAAGCCCGCACACACTAAGCTTAACTACAATCAAGGAATCACACAGTCTACGTCACTGCTTGCCACCTCCATCAGAGTAGGTGCTGGTATTCACTGCTTGGAGATCTAAAGACAGGTCATATCACCGGATCCTTCTCAGACATTTCCCACCAGCAGCCCAGAACCTGGTAGTCTCACTGGATGGCTAGATTCAGAAGAGCAATAACGAGCACTGTGGTCTGGTTCTCAGAGTACCACATCAAGAAATCACCACATGGAACAAAACAATCTGAACAGCAGGATTTCAGCCTCAGATCTTTCTGCTGGTGGAAAGTTTCTTATAGTGGAGACACAACTGTAGTTCTGGGCACAGTACAAAAAGTACCCCAAGTGCAGATCTACCCCAATAGGCAGGCAGCTTCTATGATTATGGAAGGCCTTGGAGAAGAGGTCCGTGTTTTCTCTTGGCACACCACTGTGGACACAGCTAGGGTGTCCCCCATGGGAATGCAGCATGGATGCACCTATAGACAGCCTTCCTGGAAGAAGGCAGGGTGATTGCAGCCACATAGGAGGAGCACTCCCCACATTCAGGCCTGTAAAAGAGGCAGAGTCTAATTCTTCCCTGCGTGGAACATCAATCTTCCTACAGATGAAAAGCGGTGCCTGTCTGATCTAAATAGCTGGGACACGGGGGCAGATGTGAGGCCATGAGGTAGATCATTTTCTTGCTGGCCTGGCAGGGGAGCTGAGGTAGCTCCCATTCTTCACTCTGATAAAACCTCCACACATCTAATTGAGAACTCCCCCAACTACCTTCATCAAGGCCAGGACCCCTGCCAGCCACTGGGTATTATATCTACCTACCTGCCTTAGCTACAATCAGTGCCTATCCAGGGATATATCCCCTATTGGCCTGAAGCCCAAATCATCAATTCAGTAAGTAAAATACTGGGGGAAAACTAAGTAAATAAATTATACACCATAAGAAAATGAGATAAGCTTCCCTGACATTCCAGCCCCATAGGAGACAGTGAACTCATTCACACACCAAATACACAACTACTACAACCAGCATCTGGGAAAGCCAATGCACAAACACTCTCTATAACGAAGGAACTCATATAGAGTCTTTACTCCTAAAAGCATCAAGAATCAAATTAGGCTAAAATAAACTATTAACATCAAAATCCTATCCTTAAGTGGGAAAGAAAAGAAATGTAAAAATACACAGTCCAATCAAAAATAAATTCAAGAACAATTTGAAGAAATAGTCTACCCAAATGAGAAAGAACCAGAAAAGTAATTCTGGTAATATGCCAAAACAGGGTTCTATAATACCGTCAAAAGATCACACTAGCTCCCCAGCAATGGACCAAAACTAGGAAGAAATCTCTGAAATGCCAGATAAAGAAATCAGAAAGTTGATTATTAAACTACTCAAGGAGATACCAGAGAAAGGTGAAAATCAACTTAAATTTTAAAAATATCCAGAATATAAAAGAAAAATTTTCCAGAGAAATAGATATCATAAAGAAAAAAACAATCACAACTTCTGGAAATGAAAGACACACTTAGGGAAACACAAAATGCAGTGGAAAGTTTCACCAATAGACTAGAACATGTAGAAGAAAAAATTTCAGAACTTGAAGACTAGACTTTTGAATTAACTCTATTAGACAAAGACAAAGATAAATGAATTTATAAAGAATGAACAAAGTTTCCAAGAAATATGGGACTATGTAAAATGGCCAGACTTAAGAATAATTGGTGATCCTGAGGAAGAAGAGAAGTCTAAAAGTTTGGAAAGTTTATTTGAGGGAATAACTGGGAAAAAATTCCCTGGCCTTGCTAGAGACCTAGACATCCAAATGTCAAAAGAATCTTAAGAGACGCAAGACAAAAGCATCAGGTAACTTACAAAGGAAAACATGTAAGATTAACAGCAGATTTCTCAGCAGAAACCTTACAAGCCAGAGGGATTGGGGTCCCATCTTTAGCCTCCTTAAACAAAAAAATTGTCAGCCAAGAATTTTGTATCTAGCAAAACTAAGCCTTATGAATGAAGGAGAGATAAATTATTTTTCAAGCAAACAAATGCTGAGAGAATTTGCCACTACCAAACGAGCACAAGAAATGCTAAAAGGAGTTCTGGATCTGTGAACAAAAGCTTGATATACATCAAAATAGAACCTCCTTAAAGCATAAATCTTACAGGATCTATAAAACAGTAACACAATGAAAAAAAACAAAGTATATAGGCAACAACCGTCATGATGAATAGAACAGTACCTCATATCCCAATATTAATGTTTAATGTAAATGGCCTGCATACTCCACTTAAAAATACAGAATGGCAGAATGGTTTTAGAAAAACACCGATTAAATATCTGCTGTCTTCAAGAGACTCATCTAACACATAAAGACTCACAGAAATATAAGGTAAAGGGTGGAAAAAGATATTCCATGCATATGGAAACCAAAAGCCAGCAGGAATAGCTATTCTTATATTAGACAACAGTTAAAAAAAAAAAAGACAAAGAAGGACATTATATAATAAATAGAAGGACATTATATAATAATAAAAGAACTGGTCCAATAGGAAAATAGGACTAATATATATCCTAATGTATATGCACCTAACACTGGAGCTCCCAAATTTATAAAACAATTACCACTAGACAGAAGAAATAAGATAGGCAGCAATACAATAGTAGTGGGAGACTTCAGTACTCCACTGACAGCTTCTGACATAAAGACAGAAGTCAACAACAACAACAATAAAAGGACTTAAACTCTATTTACAGTACATTCTTCCTCAAAACTGCAGAATATATATTCTTCTCATCAGCATAGGGAGCATTCTCTAAAATAGAACACATGATAGATGACAAAAACGTCCCAAATTCAATTGAAATAATATCAAGTGTTTTCTCAGGCCACAAAGGAATAAGACTGGAAATTAAATCCAAAAGAAACCCTCAAAACTATACAACTATATGGAAATTAAATAATCTGCTCTTAAATAATCTTTGGGTTAATAATGATGTCAAGACCGAAATTAAAAAATTCTTTGAACTGAACAATAATAGTGACACAGTCTATCACAATGTCTCTGGGACACACCAAAAGTGGTGCAAAGAGGAAAGTTTATAGCATTAAATGCCTACATCGAAATGTCTGAAAGAGCACAAATAGAAAATCTAGGGTCACACCTCAAGGAACTAGAGAAACAAGAACAAACTAAATCCAAACCTAGTAGAAAAAGAGAAATAACAAAGATTAGAGCAGAACTAAATGAAATTGAAACATAAACATATAAATGATAAGTGAAACAAAAAACTGGTTATTTGATTAACCAAGAAACAAAGAGATAACATCCAAATAAGTTTGATTAGGAATGAAACTGGAGATATTATAACCAATACCACAGAAACACAAAAGGTGATTCAAGGCTACTAAGAACACATTTCTGTGCACAAACTAGAAAATCTAGAGGAGATGGATGAATTCTTGGAAATATATAACCCTCCTAGATTAAATCAGGAAGAAATAGAAACCCTGAAAGACCAATAGTAAGCAGCGAGATTGAACCAGTAATAATTATTTAAAAATTACCAACAAAAAAGGCAGAGAAAGAATGAAGGCTCCCTAAATAATTCTATGAAGCCAGTATCATTCTAATACCAAAACGAGGAAAGGACTGAAAAAAAAAACCCAGAAAACTACAGACCAATATCCCTGATGAACACAGATGCAAAAATCCTCAACAAATACTAGATAACCAAGTGCAACAGCATATCAAAAAGTAATACATCATGATCAAGTGGGTTTCATACCAGGGATACAGAGATAGTTTAATATACAATATCAATAACATTGATATTGATGTATTAATAAATGTGATGCATCACATAAAGAGAATTAAAAACAAAAATCATATAATCATTTCAATAGATGCAGAAAAACCATTTGATAAAATCCAGCATACCTTTATGATAAAAACCCACTACAAAATAAGCATGGAAGGGACATACCTCAGAGTAATAAGAGCCATATATGACAAACCCATAGCCAACATAATACCGAATGGGGAAAGTTGAAAGCATTCCCCCTTAGAACTGAAACGAGACAAGGATGCCCACTTTCACCACTTCTATTCAACTTAGTACTAGAAGTCCTGGCCAGAGCAATCAGACAACAGAAAGAAATAAAAAGCATTCGAATTGGAAAAGAGGAAGTCAAACTATTGCTGTTTGCCAATGACATGATCGTTTACCTAGAAAACCCTTAAGACTCCTCCAAAAAGCTCCTAGTTCTGATATACAAATTCAATAAACTCTTAGGATACGAATTCAATGTACACAAATAAGTACCACAGCTATACACCAACAATGACCAAGCTGAGAATAGAATCAAGAACTCAATCCTTTTTACAACAGCTGCAAATAAATAAAATACCTAGGAAGGTACCTAACCAGTGAGGTGAAAGATCTCTACAAGGAAAACTACAAAACATTGCTGAAAGAAATCATAGATGACTTGAGTAAATGGAAACACATTCAGTGCTTATGGATGGGTAGAATCAATATTGTGAAATTGACTGTACTGCCCAAAGCAATCAACACAGTCAATGCAATTTCTATCAAAATACCATCATCATTCTTCACAAAACTAGAAAAAAGAATCCTAAAATTCATATAGAACCAAAAAAGAGCCCACATAGCCAAAGCAATACTCAGTAAAAACAACAAATCTGGAGGCATCACATTACCTGACTTCAAAGTATACTGTAAGGCCATAGCCACCAAAAAGGCATAGTATTGGTATAAAAATAGTCACATAGACCAGTAGAGCAGGATAGAGAATCAAGAAATAAAGCCAGATATTTACAGCCAACTGATTTTTGACAAAGCATACAAAAATTGGGAAAAGGATACCCTATTCAATAAACAAATGGTGCTTGGATAACAGACAAGCCACATGTAGAAGAATAAAACTGGATCCTCATTTCTCACCTTATACAAAATTCAACTCAAGTTGGATCAAAAACTTAAATCTAAGACCTGAAACTATAAGAAGATAACATAAAAAAACTCTTTGAGACATTGGGCTAGGAAAAGATTTCATGACTAAGACCCCAAAAACAAATGCAGCAAAACCAAAAATAAATAAATGGGACATAATTAAACTAAAAAGCTAAAAACTAAAATTTCTTTTTCATAGCAAAAGAAATTAATCAGCAGAGTAAACAAACAACACACAGAGTGAGAGAAAATATTCACAAACTATGCATTTGACAAAAGACTAATATCCAGAATCTGCAAGGAATTCAAACAGATTGGCAAGAAAACAAAATAATCTCATCAAAATGGGCAAATGACATGAATGGGCATTGCTCAAAAGAGCATATACAAACAGCCAACAAACATATGAAAAAATGTTCAATATCACTAATTATCAGGGAAATACAAATTAAAACTACAATAAGACACCAACTTACTCCTGCAAGAATGGCCATAATTAAAAAGTCAATAAATAGTAGATGTTTGTTTGGATGTGGTAAAAAAGGAACACTTTTACACTGCTGGTGGGAAACTAATATAACCACTATAGAAAACAGCATGAAGTTTCCTTAAAGAACTAAAAATAGAACTACCATTTGATCCAGCAAGTTAATTACTGGATATCTACAGAAACAAAAGTCATTTTATGGAAAAAACACATGCACACGCATGTTTATAGCAGTACAATTTGTTATTGGAAAAATATGAAACCAATGTAAATGCCCATCAATCAACAAGTAGATAAAAAATGTGGTATATATGCACCATGGAATACTACTCAGCATAAAAAGAAATTAAATAATGTCTTGGATGGAGCTGGATGCCATCATTCTAAGCGAAATAACTCACGAATGTAAAACCAAGAATCATTTGTTCTCACTTATAAGTGGGAGTTAAGCTATGAGGATGCAAGGTATAACAATGATATAATGGACTTTGAGGAATTGGGGATGAAGGCTTCAAGGGGGTGAGGGACAAAAGACTACCTATTGAGTACAGTATACACTGCTTGGGTGACAGGTGCACCGAAAACACTGTTAAAGACTTATCTATGTAACTAAAACCACCTGTTCCCCCAAAACTATTGAAAAAAATTTAATTAAAAAAAGAATAAAAATTGATGTGCATTCATAGGAATTCATGGGCATCATATTTTAGAATTGGTTAATGAAATTTCCATTACAATATCACTCTTTCAAAGGAAACTTAAATTTTTGTTTTGTTTGCAACACAGGGGAGAAGTAGAGGAATTCTCATGTGGTGACTCTGCCTTCAAGGTCTTAACTGCTTGGTGTGTTAAGCATCTATTTGATATCCAATTTGTTGGTCAAAATTTTTCAACAGCTCCCTACTGTTACAAAAAGGCAAAACTATTTTTGTTGTCAGCTACAGCTTATATACAAATTTGCCTGCCAATGTTTCTTGCCTGCCATACACTCTACATTACTCTTCTTCAGTCATGTCAGATTTGTCACTACTTCCTTTCCATACTCTGTGTGCCCCAACTTCCAAATCTTTGCTCAGATTGATTCCTCTTCATAGAATGGAATTCATACCACCTCTCTCCCATTTGTAACTCCGACTACTGTTTCATGATCAAATGTAATCAACCCTCCTCCTATAGCTCTCCTAGAATTTCCACATCAGTCTGATACTCTAATTCATTCAGTCTTTGCATATTAAAAAATAAGTGGATGGCATCTCATCCCAGTATTCATCTTCATGAATATATTATAATTCTTTTGCCAGTATTTATTATTTTCCCATTCCCCAGAAGCAGAAGTTCAAGAACACAGTGTCGGGGTATATTAGCTGCTTAGTATCATAAACAAATAATACACTTTCTACTTCTGTTAGTTTTTTTCTGCTAGTATTTTTCCAGTAGTTTTGGCTATGAAATGATCTTTCTCAACATAAAGAAGAGAAGAAGAAAAGAATTGCCTGCAAGAAAAAATCATTTTATTGTATAGTGAGACCTCACCAATATAAATGCATATGTGTTGCTACATTTTGCTTCACTGTTTCATTTCAGCTGCAAGAAACTAATCTTACTTAAAGATTCTAGAATATCACTTTACATTTTTCTGATATCACAAAATTTTGGAAAGAAATCCCTATCCCTATAAAAATTTATGTTCAAGGTACCTTAAAACCAGCTTTGGCATTGAATATTCCATGTCAAGAAGAAACTTTGAGTAATTAATATTTTTAGTTCAGTAAAAATAAGTTTATCATATTGTCCCCAAGCACAGATTTTAGTAAGTAATTAAAGGAAGAAAAATTGAAGATATTGGATAGAGAAGGAATAGTAAGCAGAGAGAGAAAGGAGAAAAGAAAAGTGGCTAGAGTGAAAAGAAGTGGAATAAAATAAAGGGATAAAAGGAAATATCTAGTTATGAAATAGGAGGAAAACATGTAAGCAGAGAAAGAAGAATCCAAATATTAACTGTTGCATTTTTTCTTAATGTTAAGCTAGCTATTTTTAATTTTCTAAACCCAAAAAAAGTTACAAAATCCATCAAACAAGTTTCACTTGTGGAATGCAAGACCAAAAATATTCCTTAGGTAAAGAAAAATCAGAAAAGCTTAACAAGAAAAAAATAAATGTCTGATGTCACTAATGAGTCATCAAGGTAGTAGGAATGTGCAAGACCAAGATCTGGAAGAACAGAGAAATCAAGCTAGATGTGGGAATTTGTGGTCCTTTTTATGCTTGGTAATTAGCAATTATGGCAACAAAAGTGTTGACTCAGAAGCTAAGATGTTAAATTAATTGTCAATTATCTTGGAACTAGAAAACTAAATTGCAGTTAACAAGAGACCCTGGGTAAATACCTTAACTTTTCAGTAAGACCCAGAAATGCTTCTGTCATAGCTTTTTTGTTCCCACAGTTTGGTAAGCAGGAGAGGACGTTCCAAACCCTTTCATTCCTGCCACTAGCAGCTCGCTAGGCAGAAGGGAGTGGCACCCAGTGGCTTTTTTCACTCCTGTAGTTTGGCAAGTGGGAGAGAGTGTTACAGCTCTTTTCACTCCTGCCATTTAGTGGGTTCTGGGTTCTTGTCCCATGACCAAGAGGAATAAGGTACATGGACACTGTAGACTGAGCAAGGCAGAGTAGAATTTAATTGAGTGACAAAAAAGCTTACAACAGCTAGAAGGGACCTGAAGTGGGTAGCCATCTATGAGGCTGAATCCGGGGTGGTTAATGGGCTTAGAATGGGGGAGTACGTGCTGATTGGTTGATGGGTGGGCATGGAAAAAGCACCATTCAATTGGTTAAAAGGTATCAACCAGAAGGAACCAATCAAGAAGGAGTGGGTAAGATGGGAATAGAAGCTCTCGCCCAAGGTGTGGACTCTATCTGGAACTGGCAGTTCAGTCCTTAGGGTGAAGGTTGAGCCCTGCTGGGGACCCACCTCTGTCTGCCTACAAATTTGTCTGTCTCCTGTTACTATCACTACTTTGTAGGACAAAGGTCAAAACAAAATAAACAACCCTGCCAATTATGAGCACGTCTTTGTATAATCTCAATTCTTGAGAGATAGAGATCATCTGCCCTAGAAAAACTGCCCACCAAAAGCAAAATTTAATTATTAGGGAAAGATAAAATTATCCAGCAGTTAGTCAAAAATTTTCAAAGAAAATGTCCAGCAGTTAACCAATAAACCTAACCAAGGGAGTGAAATATCTCTACAAGGAAAACTACAAAACAGCACTTAACAAAAACTAGCCAGGCCATTAAAAAGAAAATACATAATCAAAATGCAAAACAGTGGTAATACAAGCCAACCAAGTGTTTGGAATATTCTTATTAAGTTAAACTTACACCTACCACAGGACCCAATTTTTTTTTTCTTTTACTTCATTGATTTCCATTCTGGTCTTTATTAGTTCCATTCTTGCACACACTTGAGTTTAATTTTTTTTTTTCAACTTTTTCTTTCTTCCTTCCTTTTCTGTGGTGGGAGGGTATGGATATTTAACTACTCCAGCCCCATTATTGAAAAGACTATCTTTCCCCTTTTGAATTGTTTTTCCACTTTGGTTCCAAAAAACAAACAAACAAAAGCAATACTTGCAAGGGGCTATTTTTGGATTATCTATTTTATTCAATTGATCTGTGTGTCAACTGACACAGTCTTGATTATTATAGCTATACGTGAAGCTTAAAATAGCCAACTTTTTGTTTCATTGACTTTCTGTATTGTTTTCATTTTTAATTTTATTGTATTCTGCTTATATCTTTATCATTTCATAGTTTTTACTTGATTTGGGTTTATGTTACTCTTCTTAAAGCCAGAGCTTAGGTATTTGAATGAAGACTATTTTTTTTTCTTAGTGTAGGCATTTAGTGCTATAAACTTAGTTCATAGCTTTCCACAAATTTTAATATATTGTAATTTGATTTGTATTCAGCTCAGTATAATGTTCCTAGAGACTTTCACTTTAACCCACAGATTATTGAAAAGTGAGTTGTTTAGTTTCCAAGTGTTGGAAATTTCTGGTGCGCCTTTTTTTTTTAATCCATTCTGACAGTCTCTACTTTTTCATTGGAGTGCTTAGACAATTTACATTGAATATGATTATTGACATGGTTAGGTTTAAATCTGTCAATTTCTTATTTGTTTCCTATTCATTCCATCTGTTTTCTCCTTTTCTAATTTCCCTTCCTTCTTTCATATTGCATACTTTCTATGATTATAGTATATTTTCTTTGTAGGTTTGATTGCTATAATTCTTCATTTTATTATGTGAGCATTTGCTTTAAGGTTTAGATTATACATCTTTAACTTATACATATATTATAAGTTTACCTTTACAATATTATACTTTAATTATTTTCCTCCTGCTCTTTGTGCTATTATTTTTGTATATTTTGCTTATATGTATCTTATAAACTCCACAGTGGATTACCAGTATTTTTATTTAACAGTCAATTATCCTTTAAGAGATTTTAAATGTAAGAAAAATATTTTACATATTTACCCACATGTTTCTATTCCTTGCACACATAATTTCTTTATGTAGGTCCATAATTATTTATGGTATAGTTTTTCCTCTATCTCAAGAATTTTCTTTAACATTTCTTGAGTGCAGATACTTTAGTGATAAATTCTTTCAACATTTTCATTTGGTATAGGATTTTAGATTGACATTTTTTCATTCAATACTTTAAAGATATTGCTCCACTTTATTTTCATATGCATTATTTATGAGAAATGTGCCTTAATCCTTATTATTATTTGTTTGCACATTGTACCTTTTTTCTTTTGATTTTTTAAGGTTTTTTTATTTGTTACAGAATGTGAGCAATTGGATTATGATGTGCCTTGTTGTCATTTTCTTCCTGTTTCTTGTGCTTCAGTTTTATTAAGGTTCTTGGATCTGTGGTGTTATTTTTGTTTTTTTATAATGTAATTTGGGATGTTTTTAGCTTTTATTTCCTTGAATAATATTTGAAACACCCCTCTCCTTCAGGGACTTGAATCATACATAGGTTAGTATGCTTGAATTTTTCACACAACTTATTAATGTTATTTTTACTTAAAAAATATTTAGCTTTTTGTCTGGATAGCTTTATTGCCATGTATTCAAGTTTACCAACTTTTCTTCTGTAATATCTCATCTGCTATTAATTTCAATAATTTTATTTATTATCCTAGACATTGTAGTTTTCATCTTCAGAAATTTAAAATGATCTTTTTATATCTTCTATGTCTAGACTTAAGTTTTGAACATGTAGGATGCAGTTATAATAATTGCTTTATTTTCCTCATCTGCCAGTTCTAACATCTGTACAAATTCTACCATTTTTCCAGTTGATCAATTTTTTTCTACCATTTAGTCATATTTTCCTGTTTCTTTATGTACCTTGTACATTTTTTATTGGATAATAAATATAAATTTTATGTTGTTGGGTATCGATAGTTTTGTATTTCTAGAAATATGCTTAAGCTTTGTTCTGGGTACCATTATCTGAAATCTACTTCATCCTTTTGGTGATTATTTTAAGATTTGTTAGGTGAGAACAGAGCAGCATTTAACCTAGCTTTAGTTATTCCCCGTTATTGAGACAAGACCCTTATGACCACTCTACACAATGATCCACTGATTTTCATGTTCTGCCCATCTCGTAGGAACAGGCAATGTTTCTGTTTATTCTGCATATTGATTCATGTTCTCTTTAATAAGTTTGGATGGTTCTTTCCCCATTTTCAAGCTATGTCTTTATACGTGTGCACAGATTAGTCCTTAAGTGAACTACTTGTACTCCCTGAAGTCTCAATTTAACTCCTCAACTCAGGAAGTCCACTAAGCTTTACTTGAGTGCCCATTCCCTGTTTCACCGTCTGCAAATTCTCAAGGTACTAATCCGGAGCAACTGAATAGTTTCCGTTGTTTGTTTCCCATACTTCAGGAATTACTGTCTTTCATTACCTAATGTCTAGTGTCTTTTTATTACCTAATGTTTAGTGTCTTTACTTTTTCCTTTTTTTTCTGTTATTGTTTTATGCTATAGAGTAAATCAGTCCTGGATTTATATCTTGGAAGGAAACGGATGACCTTTTGCCAATTAATAAAGCCATGTAGAAGAGTAGGGCAACGACAGTCTTTTCAATAGTGTTGCTTTAATTGATATTTACCTATACCTCAGACCATAAAAATAAATCAAGTTTGATTGTAAACTTAAATGTCAAAATGGAAACAATAAGGTTTGTATGAGATAACATGAAAGAAAATAGTCATATTCATGGGATAAGTAAAATTGTCTTCAATGTTGCACATAAATCACTGGCCATAAAATAAAAAAACTTATACTTTAGACTATTTTAATATTAGAAAATTTTCCATATCAAAAACATTAGGAGAAAAAAGAAAAACTACAGAGTGCAAGACGATATTTGTGAAATCTCTGAAATTGATACATATCTAGAATTTCCATATATCAATAAGTAAATGACAAATAGCAAAACAAAAATTGAAATGTCCAATATTATTATTTATGTGGAAAATGCAAATTAAAACTCAGCTGAGATAATGCTACATATTCCCCAGATTGACAGTAATGAAAATGACTAACAATACTGCATTTTGGTGCATATGTGAAGCAACTGGCACTATCACACACTGCTGGTAAAAACATAAGTTGCAAACTACTTTGGTGACTTGGCGGTACATACAAATTTTAATGGGCACATAACCCAATAATGCAGTAATTACACTTTTAGGTATATATATTCATGCGAAAAGTATACAGATGTGTGCCAACACACTTGTACAAGTATATTTAATAGATAAACTTTCTTAGTGGCCTAATATGGAATAAAATAAATGGTTATCAACATATGAATGTATACACAAACTGAGGTGTATTTATAGCATGGTATATTACACAGAAATGGAATTGAATTCACAACTCTTGCATGCAAAAACAGATGAATCTCACAAACCCAATTCTGAGTAAAATAAGCCTGAACATAAAACATGTAATCAGTAATGTCTGATGTATATGAAGGTTAAAAATGGGGAAATCTAGTCTATGGTGGTAAGTCTGGAAATGGCTGACTTTGGGGAGAATGAAGGGATTTTGGGTAGGATTTTTGATTAGAATAAGACACAAGATTCTCCAAGGCATATGAGATCTTGCTAACTTTCTATTTCTTATCTTGGATAGACAATATATCAGTGTACTACATTTGACAGAGTTCATTGAGCTATATATTTAAGATTTGTGTTTTTAAAATTTTTCCTGCATGTATGTCATACAGCAATTAATATATTTATGTTTTTAAGAATTGGCACATCGTATAGGCACAGAAAATGAAGCTATGGAGTTCACAACTATGCAGGCGTTCCGATATGATTGAGAAGCCAGAAAGAGAAGCACAAATGTTATAGCCCATTATTCAACCTTCATTTATTTTATTAGGTAAACATGAATCAAATGCCTGTGAATGAAGAGTTTTTGGAAGATACAAAATAGGATAAATGAGGTCACTGTTCTCTAGGAACTTAGTTTAAGCAAATAGCAGCTACATAAAAGATTGTGTTAGGTAAAAGAGAAGCAAAATATGAGCTTTCAGAAAAAAGAAATACCATTAGAGTTGAATACACTGAGGAAACAGACATCAAATAGAGGAGGTGGGTAGATAAGAGGCGATAGTGAGAGTGTGTCAGGGGAGGAATTAAGCTGACCTCAGGTAACAAATTGATGTAAATGTCATACTGAAGATTTTGGATTGGAGATCATGCTAATGAGAGCTAGAATTCACAGATGATGATCTGCAAAACCAAAAATACTTGCAGAATTTGGAAATACCAAAAAGAAATATATTTCTAATTAAAACAGACACAAGGTGAAAATACGCCTGAGATTAATCAAGAACTATTAATTGAATGACAGCTGCGTATTTACCATTTAGGAAGGTGTGCTGTGAGATATAAACATGTCCTCATCAATTCTGCTCAAGAATGATTGATGTTTATGATGTTCGAGATAGTGGGAACTACTTCAAAGGCTTAAATCAAGGTCACAAAAGAGAGGCATAAATAATGCAGAGACAGGAGCATTTTAAGCAAGTATTGGCTAGGCCCAACTGGAAGTAGGAATCAGTGGTGCTAGGGGAATTTATGGAAACATTTATGTGATTTGCTGGAGAGGTCTCATAAATGAGAAGATGTCACTTTATATAAGACATAAGTGAGATTTCCATGAAGAAGGCATTCAGATATCTTTCTCCTAAACATTGATAGTAATGTTATCACTACTTATTTCATATGTTGTTTTAGGTTAAATGAAATGACTGGTGTAAAGTTTCTGTGATATAGACCCTTAAATAAATATCATTGCTATATTTTACAAATACTTTTATTCCCTTAGCACCAAGTAGAATGATATTTATTTTGTATAATCTCCAAAAATAGAAAAACCAATCCAAAAGAATGTACCTCCTTAACTATAGAGAAATTAGTCTATTATTTTGGTATAATCATCAAATGTAGTAATATAATTATCACATTACAATTATAATTTAATTATTGTACTATTATTCTATACTTATGCAACCATTAAAAATCACATATCCATAGGCTATACAGCCATACAGTCAAAAGCTGGAACTGTGGAGCCAAGGTAAAAAGTGGAGTAAAAAGTTCTTTTATTTTTAATATCAATGTTTTTGTAGGCTAGAAAGTAAAAACAGTATGTTCACAATGATTCAATCCAGGGGATAACATTGTGGATTTTTTTTGATTATTCAGTATGATTTTTATTATTCAAATTATCTATTTAATTTAATTTATCTACATTACTTTAAACATAAAAATACAATAAATATTATTATTTTAAAAGACTACAATTTGCCTACATCATGGAGCTTGAAAAGAGCATTAGAAACCCAATTATTTGGTGTTTCTTTAGACTACTTTGGTAAACTTACACATTACTTCTACTTTTCATTCCCAGGGAATGAATTAGAACTAGCACATACTTTAAAATGCATTTTTATTGTGGCACTATTCACAACAGCAAAGACTTGGAACCAACTCAAATGCCCATCAATTATAGACTGGATAAAAAAAATGTGGCACATATACACCATGGAATACTATGCAGCCATAAAAAAGGATGAGTTCATGTCCTTTGCAGGGACATGGATGAAGCTGGAAACCATCATTCTCAGCAAACTAACGCAAGAACAGAAAACCAAACATCACATGTTGTCACTCAAAAGTGGGAGTTGAACAATGAGAACACATTGACACAGGGAGGGGGAACATCACACACCAGGGCCTGTTGGGGGGTGGTGGGGATAGGGGAGGGATAGCATTAGGAGAAATACCTAACATAGATGATGGGTTGATGGGTGCAGCAAACCACCATGGCACCTATATACCTATGTAACAGACCTGGATGTTCTGCACATGTACCCGAGAACTTAAAGTATAATAGTAATAATAAAAAATGCATTCCTTTAAGCAAACAACACAACATATCTGAGAAATATGCAAAGCATCCAAAAATCTATCATAAATGGCACTGTATCACAACATGATTAGCAGCGTATAGACTTACTTCTTTGATATGCCCTTTAAACTAATTAATTAGAATTCTTGCTAACATATGTTCAAATTGAGAATCATATTTTCACTGCAAATATTCTCACAATAGCCATTTGCAAAGAGCTTTTCATTTGCTTCTCCAGTTTAGGCATCAAGAAAGTTGCATTCTACAGAACTTCCAGGTGTGTAAGCTAAAATTAGCTACTCAAATAAACATATTTGAGTAGCTAAAATTAGCTACTCAAATAAACATATGATTATTAGGAATATTTAGAAAGTAGCAATCTATAAAAGAGAGATGAAGATATGTTGACTGAAGACAGAATTTTGTTGTTGTTTTTGTTCAAAAATATCTGCATTATATTTGAGCACCATATATGTGAATTTAAAAATCTACATTTGTTTTGAAAGATAAAAAAGAAAGATAAATTATTTTAGGTTCTTTCTTCTTTATATCCATTCACCATTGTTTAATCAGCCACTTCCATGTAACAAGAATGGTATAAGCATTGGTCATTCTAATCATGTCTTTTTGAATAAGCATTTATATTTCTTTCTGATTCTTTAGTTTATCTCATTGTATGATAAAGTCTGAATATGCCAATATTTTCTTATTTTGTAACATTTCATGAAGAATTTCTAGCATGTTACTTATGAATATTTTCTTGATATCATAGAGTTTACTTAGTCACAAAGTCATTCCCTGAGAGGTCTTCCTCTTATCCATAATTCTTAGTGATGTTTATGAGTATCAAATTGCAAAAAAAAAAACTCTAATTAAATTAGTTTTGGAAATATTGGGACAAACATCATGAAGCTGTTTTTATTGTGTGTTTTTTTCAGTTGCACACATTCTCGGAACTTTAACATCCATCTTGAATATCTAAACAAAAGTCTTGATGTTCCTTCATTCAATAGTTGAGGAAATTAATTTAATTATACATTTTAAAATATCTAAAACAGTATAATTGAATTTTGCTTTGTTTTTGAGACAGGGTCTCACTCTTTTAACCAGGCTGGAGTCCAGTTGTGCGATCATGGCTCACTACAATTTCCGCCTCTCAGGCTCAAACCATCCTCTTACCTCTGCCTCTCGAGTAGCCAAGAATACAGGCGCAAGTCACCAGGCCCAGCTAATTTTTGTAGAAACAGATTTATGCCATGTTGCCCAGGCTGGTCTTGAACTCCTGAGTTCAAACATTTTGCCCACCTTGGCCTCACAAAGTGCTGAGATTACAGGTGTGAGCCACCGTGCCCGGCCAAGAGTATAATTGAATTTTAATGCAAAGGATAAATGCTTAAGAGGATGGATACCCATTTTCCATAATGTGATTATTTCATGTTGCATGCCTGTATCAAAATGTCTTATGTACCCCATAAATATATACACCTACTATGTACCCATAAAAATTCAAAATTTAAAATTAAAAAAAATATATATATGTATATATTTGAAAAAATTAACCAGTGAAGCCAACTAGGCCTAACGTTTGCTTTATAGGGAGATTTTTTTGTGTGTTTTTTTTTTGCTTGTTTAATTATTTCTTATGTGCCATTTGAAGGAATGGTAAACCTATTTTATTTAAACTGTACAATAGGATATGTTCTGGCAACTGTATACAACCTTAAAACTGCAACCACAATCAAATTATAAAATACCACCATATTCCCAACAGATTGTTCATACCCCTTCACAAGCCCTACTTCCTTTTACCCTTGGTCTCTGGCAACCACTAACCTGATTTTTGTTACTATATGTTAGCTTACATTTCATATAAATGAAATCATATGGCATATATGCTTTGCTGGGTTGTTTTTCCTCTCAATATAATGAGTTTGAAACTCACCCATACTGTTGCACATACTGTCAATTTACTTATTCTTATTTCTGCATAGTATTTCATGGTAAAAGTATACCATGTTTTTTTTATTCATTCACCCATTAATGACATTTGGCTTAATTTCGTTTTATGGCTAATGTGAATAAGACCACTATAAATATTTACATATAAGTCGCCATGAAGATAAATGTCTTCATTTCTTGCTTAGGAGTTGAATTGTTCTGTACGTATGTGTATGTTTAAATTTACAAGAACCTACCAAATGTTGACAAAAGTACTTGTGCGATTTTATATTCCTCTCACTATGTATCAATGTTCCATTTTCCCAAATTATAATCTATAATTATTAATTTTAGTAATTTTAATTTAATTTTAGTACTTCTAATGAATGTGTAGTGGTAACTCCTCAGAGTTGTAACTTAACATCTCTTTGATGATCGATAATGTTGAACTTTTTTTTTGTGCTTATTGTCCTTGTGTATGTCTTCTTTTGTAGAGTGTATGTTTTAATCTTCTTCCCACCAAATATTTGTTTTTAAAATTGAATATTTTAAATATTCAGAATTTAAATGTCTTGTCATATATAGATAATATTTTAAACAAATTTCTCTTATTTAGTGTCTGGGCTTTACATATTCTTAATTATTTTTATTCTTTTTTTCTCTCTTTTTTAGATATTCTTATTTTTCTATTTTTAAATGTACTTTCTTTTTTTCATTAATCTTTCTGTTCCCAAGACCATCCAATAATTTTTATTTTAAATACTGTATTCTTTAGTTATAACACTTTTTATTCTTTTTTGTATTTTGTATTTCTATTCTAAAATTTCATATAGTTTTACTCACTACGATAATATTTTACATTGCTTCAATGAGCATATTTATAATACTTGAATTTATTTATTTATTTGTTCATTTTGAATTCCAGCTGGGTCATCTTGAGTTGTCATATTTTGACGGTCTGTTTCCTTAAGAATGAGTCACATTTTTCTGGCTTTTAAAAACGTGATACATATTTGAAACTTTGACATCATGTCGTTATGTTGTTTGCACTCCATATTCTGTTATATTGCTCTGAAAAGTGTTGATGGTTTTATAACAGGAACTTAATTTGCTTAGGCAGAAATTAGGAACTTCCATGCTTCTGGTGTATGATAGATAAAATCTCAGTTCAGTTTCTTAATTCTGTCTCCAAGGGGCTTTATTTTGCCTTATGTAATCATGGTTCATAAATGAAGCTGAAATTTGGACTGGTTTTATACACAGAAATAGGATTAACTCTTCTCCTGCACTCTCCTTGCTGGTGTTTTCCAAACACACACCTGTAGCTGGGCTCTTTCTTGCATGTTTTTTTTTTTTTTTCAACCAGAAAGATGGCTGGTATTTCTATGAGATTCTACCTGCCTGACACTGAAGTTGTTGAGATTATGGCTGCTTTTTTGGTAAAGTTGCAGAAAAGGAAACTTACTCCACACTTCTTGCTTGCTCCAGGTTTAACTAACTCTTCCACTAAAATTGTCTGCTTTTCTTTAGTTTCTAGATTCCTAAGGCATATCCAGAGTTTGTAAAAATTATTTTTGGAAGTATTGACTTATTAGGAATATGTATCTATGTATCACTATGGAGGGCATTTTTAGATTAATTGCAAAGTTTTTAATTGATAAAGGACTATACTGGTTTTCTTTTTAAAAAAATCACTTTTGATAGTTTGTTTTTCAAGGAATTCTTTCATTTTGTCTTGATTTATTATCAAAATATTATTTAAAATATTACCTTATTGTCTATTACAGCAGTGGTTTTCAACTGAACGTGGTTTTGCTCCCAGGAGATATTGGTAATATTCGGAGACATTTTTGATTGTCAGAACTATGGGTTACTACTGGCATCTAGTGGGTAGAGGCTAGAGATGCTAAACATCTTCAAATGTACAAAATAGCCTGCCATGAAAAAAAAAACTATGTAGTTCAAAATAATAATAAAGCTGAGGTTAAAAAAACTCAGTTTGTGGGATTGAATGTGATGTTTGTTCTTTGATTTCCTGTACTACTATTTTGTTGATTTTAATTAATTTTGAAGAATCCAGCTAAAAAGATTCATCAATTGTATTGCTGTTTTGAAAGAACCAACTTTTATTGTATTGAATTTTATTGTTTGTTTTCTATTCCATTGAATTCCATTCTCATTTTTACTGTTTTATTTATTCTACTTTCTTCAGGTCATACTTGCTCTTGTTTCTTTAGGTTTTTCCTAATATTAAAATTTAAAGCTATAAATTTCCCTCTAAGAATGCTATAGCTGCACCTCACAGCTTTTTTACAGATGGGTTATTAAAAAGTGTGTTTTTAAAATTCCAAACATATGAGGAATTTTTTCTAAATATTCTCATATTGGTTAAGTTTGAGTATAATTTGCTTTGGTTAAAGAATAGACTATCATACATTCTACTTCTATATTAATAGACATACTATCAATGATTTGAATCCTTAAAAATTTATTTAAAACAATTTGTATTCTGTTATTGAGTGGGTGGATTGTTTTATAAACATCTTTAGGTCAAGTAACTTGATAGTTTTGTTTCAATGTTGTATATCTTTACTGATTTTATATCTTCTTTATGTACCAATTACTCAGAGAATAGTGTCAAAATACCAACAATAGTTGGAGACTTTTCTATCTTTATTTTAAATTCTGTCAGTTTTTGTTGCATGCATTTTGAAGATTTGTGAGTTGCACTCAGACAGTCAGAACTGTTATGTCCTCTTGCTGAATTGATCTTTTATCATGCTGGATTGCCCTTTCATCCCTAGTAATATTCCTTTTTTTCTGCCACCACTTTATCAAAATTAATATAACCATCATAGCTTTCTTATGTTTAGTATTTGAACAACGTATATTTTTTCCATTCTTTTACTTTTAATCATTCTTTGCCTTCATATTTTAGACAGAATAAAGTTGAATTTACTTTTTAACTAGTGTGAGAAACCCTTCCTTAAATTCAGAGTATCTGGGCCAGTTATATTTAATGTAATTATCAATATTGTTTGTTGTTAAAGATTGATTTTAAATGATAATTTTAAATAATCATGTTATTTTTGTTTTATGGAATATGTCATTTGTTCCATTCTCCCTTTTATCCTGACTTTTTTGGGGAACAATTTTGTATTTCTTTGGATTGCATTTTACTTATTATTGGCCTATTAAATATGTATTTTAATTTAGTGATCACCATGTGGCTTATGTTATGCATCTTTAACTTCTCATAGTCTACCTTTAAATAATAATCATGCCACTTTATCTATAATGTTATGCTTTATAAGAGAATACTTTCAATGCCCTCAGTCAGTAATCAGTTATTTACTTGTTGGTAGAGGAAGAGGAAGTATCATAGAAGTTCCACCTTCATAGGAGTAAGCAGATGGTCTCTTATTCTTTCTTAATTTCCTCTTGTTCACAAATACCAATTAATTTTACAAGGCTAGCTATCATTTATGTTAATGTTTTATTTATTGTTCTATTGTTTCAGAGACGACTGTGTTATGCTTTTCAACCCCAGGGACTCTATAAGCTCTCATTTCAAGAAATTACCATTAATATATTTTCAGACTTCTGGAAGTATTATACAATAACTAAGGATTCATTAAACATCATAATTAAAATAATAGTGAGATAATTTTCTAAGTATTGGAGACCTTAGTGTCCTGTAACCATTGTGTTTACATTTTGTTATGGAAATCACATATTCTAAGAGCATTGGGAATTTGGGGATATGAACTCGTAGCCCTTGCATTTATTCTTTTGTGGTTGACGATTTGTAAATTGACTTAAAACAAAACAAAACAAAGACCACCTGTTTTAATTCTGTTAACTTGCTGCAGGATTCAATCATATTAAAAGATGAGCACAGGGTTCTTCAAACTACGGAAAGCATTCTAGTTATTCAATGTTGTGCACTTAATACTGCAAAAAAAGTTCTGTTTTAAAATCATGTAAAACACTGAATGATAATAACATTAAGAGTTCCCAATAGGGAGGTACTATTGGGAGCAAGGTGGGAGAATAGAAGGCTCCATCAATTATCCCTCCCTACCCCGCAAAGACACCAATTTAAAAAACAACCTCCATAAGAACCAAAAATCAGATGAGCACTCACAGTGCCTCTTTTTAACTTCATATTGCTGAAAGAGGCACTGAAGTGGTAGAAAAAAGAGTCTTGAATCACCAGTGCCACCCCTACCCCACCTCCTGGCAGCAGCTGCATGGCACAGAGAGTTAGTGTGACCTAGGAAGAAGGAGAGCCAGCAATTGTGAGGCATTGAACTCAGTGCTGCTCTTGTTATAGCAGAAAGCAAAACTAGATCAAACTCAGCTGATGCCTACCCACAGCGGGAACATTTAAACTAGCCCTAACCAAGGGGAATTGCTAATCCCAGAGGTTGGAACTTGACTTCTTGGAAACCTCACCACCACGGGCTAAAGTGCTCTGAGGCCACAAGTAAACTAGAAAACCAGTCTAGGCCACAAAGACTACAACACCTGGGCAAGTCCTAGTGCTGAACTGGGTCTAGAGACAGTGGATGTTGGGGAAGACACACCACACACTGAGATACCAGCTGGGGTGGATAAGGGAGTGAGGGAGTGTGGGCATCAGCCTTTCCTTAACTCTCAGCTCCTAAATAAACCACTTCCTTCCACTCCAGGAAAGGAGAGGGAAGAGTAGGGAGGACTTTGTTTTGCATCTTGGATACCAGCTCAACCACAGCAGCATAAGGCATCAGTCAGTGTCATGAGGCTCCCTTTTAAGGCCCCAGCTCCTGGACATTGTTAGACACATCCAGAGCCAAAAGAGAACCTGCTGCTTCGAAGGGAAGGAACCAGTCCTAGCAGAATTTATTACCTGCTAACTGAAGAGCCCTTGGGTCCTGAATAACCAGCAGCAATACCTAGGTACTATGTGAAGGGCCTTGAGTGAGACTAAGAGACTTGCTGACTTCAGGTGAGACTTACCACATTTCCAGCTGTGATGTCTATGGGGCAAGACCCCTTCTGCTTGACAAGAGTGGAGGGAAAAGTAAAGGGGACTTTGTTTTCCACTTTAAGTGTCAGCTTGCCCATGTGGGAGTAAAGCACCGAGCAGGCTCTTGAGGTCCCCATTTCTAGGACTTGGCTCTTGGACAAAATTGCTGGACCTGGCTTGGGCCAGAAGAGCCCACTGCCCTGACTGTTGAGTCTCAGGCCAGGCCACAATCACCAGAAACTGATTAAAGAGCGCTTGAAACTTAAGGGAAGATCAGTGATAGTCTAACAGTGTGTCACATGGACCTGAGGTGATGGTGTCCATGGGATGAGGCTCCTCTGTCTTTGAAAAGGATAGAGAAGAGTGGGAAGCACTGTGTCTTATGGTTTGAGTACCTGATCAGCCACAGTACAATAGAATACCAGGGAGACTTCTAAGGTTTTTGACACTAGTCCCTGGCTTCCTGAGGGCACCTCTGGACCCACCCATGGGCTGGAAGAACTCATTGCCTTGAAGAAAAAGATATAGGCCTGGCTCTCTTTGCTACCTGCTGATTTTGTAGCTCCAGGGCTTTGAGCAAACACAAGTAGTAGCGAAGAAGTTACTGCAAAAAGCCTCATGTGAGACTCAGTGCTGTGCTGGCTTCAGTTCTAACATGGCACAGTCATAACAGTGGTGGCCACAGGGGTCCCTTTGTCACTCCACCGTCATCACTAGGTGACTCAGAACAGAGAAAGACAGACTCTGTTTCTTTGAGAAAAGTAAAGGAAAAGCACAACAGTCTTTGCCTGGTTATCCAGATAATTCTTCCAGATCTTCTCCAAGACCATTAAGGCAGAATCTCCACAAGTCAGCAAGAATGAAAGCATTACTGGGCTTAGAGTCTACTCTAAAGCAGAAGCAGCTTAGATCACAATAACCAAGTCTTTTGAATGTCTGAAAAGCCTTTCCAAGAAGAATAGGTACAAGTAAGCCCAGAGTGCTACAATAAATGCCTAACTCTTTAATGCGCAGACACAATAAAACATCCTCTATCATCAACACCATGCAAGAAAATATGACGTCACCAAATGAACTAAATTAGACACAGGGGACCAATCTTGGATCAACAGAGATATGTGACCTTTCAAACAGCAAATTTGAAATGGCTGTTTTGAGGAAACTCAAAGAAATTGAAGAGAAGAAATTCAGAATTCTATCAGACAAATTTAACAAAGAGTTTGAAATAATTAAAAAGACCAGCAGAAATTCTGAAGTTGAAAAATGCAATTGGCATACTGAAGAATGCATCAGAATCTTTTAATAGCAGAATTGATCAAGCAGTAGATAGAATTAGTGAGCTTGAAGACAGGCTATTTGAAAATACATAGTCAGAGGATACAAAAGAAAAAAAATTAAAAAAACAATAAAACATACCTATAAGATCTAGAAGATAGCCTCACAAGGGCAAACCTAAGAGTTACTGTCCTTAAAGAGAAGATAGAGAAAGAGATAGGGGTAGAAAATTTATTCAAAGGGATAATAACAGAGAACTTCCCAAACCTAGAGAAAAATATCAATATTCAAGTACAAGAAGGTTATAGAAAACCAAGCAGATTTAATCAAAAGAAGATTATCTCAAGGCATCTAAAAATCAAACTCCCAAAAGTCAATGATAAAGAAAGGATCCTAAAAGCAGCAACAAAAAAGAAACAATAACATGCAGTGGAGCTCCAATATACCTGGCAGCAGAGTTTTCAGTGGAAACCTTACAGGCCAAAAGACAGTGGCATGACATATTTAAAGTACTGATGAATAAAAACTTTTACCCTATAATAACCATAAAATTGTCCTTCAAACATAAAGGAAAAATACTTTTTCAGGCAAACAAAAGCTTACGGTATTTAACAATACTGGAACTGTACTTCAAGAAATGCTAAAGGGAGTACTCAATCAGAAAGAAAAGGATGTTAATTAGCAATAAGAAATCATCTGAAGGTACAAAACTCACTGGTAATACTAAGTACACAGAAAAACAGAATATTATAACACTGTAACTGTGGTGTGTAAATTACTCTTAAGTAGAAAGACTAAACAATAAACCAGTCAAAAATAATAACTACAATAAGTTTTCAAGATGTAGACAGTACAATAAGATATAAATAGTAACAAAAAAGTTAAAAATTGGGAAGATAAAATTAAGACATACAGTCTATATTAGTTTTCATTTTGTTTATTTGTTTGTTTATGCAAACAGTGCTAAGTTTTTATCAACTGAAAATAATGGGTTATAAGATAGTATTTGCAAACTTCATGGTAACCTCCCAGCAAAATGTACCCAGTGGAGACACAAAAAATAAAAAGTAAGAAACTAAACGATATCACCAGAGAAAATCACCTTCACTAAAATGAAGACAGGAAGAAAAGAAAGAAGGAAGAGAAGAACACAAAACAACCAGAAAACAAGTAACAAAATGGCAGGAGTAAGCCTTTATCAATGATAACATTGAATATTAACAGAATAAACTCTTCAATCAAAAGACATAGAGTGGCTGAATGGATTAATAAAACAAGACCCTTTGATCTGTTGCCTACAAGAAACATACTTCATCTTTAAAGACACACATAGCCTCAAGATAAAGAGATGGAAAAATATATTCCCTGCCAATGGAAACCAAAGAACAGGAGTGACGACACTTGTATAAGAAAAAGTAGATTTCAACACAAAAACTATAAGAATATAGTTTTTCAACAATATATATATATTGTTGAATATATATATATTCAACAATATATTTTCAATTGTTTCAATTTCAATATATTTCAATTTCAAAATATTTCAACAATATATTTCAAGAATATATATTTTCAACAAAATATCAAGAAAAGAAGGTCACTACATAATGATAAAGGAGTCAACTCAGCAAGAAGAAACAACAATTTTAAATATATATGCACACAATGCTGGAGCACCCAGATATATAAAACAAATATTAATAGAGCCAATGAGAGAGATAGACTTTAATACATTAATAACTAGAGACTTCAATACCACACTTCACTTTCGACATTGGACAGATCTTCAAGACAGTAAGTCAATAAAGGAACACTGGACTTAATATACACTATAGACCAAATGGATCTAATAGATATTTACAAGACAATTCATTTAATGGCTGCAGAATACACATCCTTTTCCTTAGCACAGAGATCATTCTCAAGGATAGACCATATGTTACATCACAAAAAGTCTTAAAACATTCACAAAATTGAAATAATATCAAACTTCCTCTCTGACCACAATGAAATAAAACTAGAAGCAAATAAGAGGAATTTTAGAAATTATGCAAACACATGGAAGTTAAACAAAATGCTCTCAAATGGCCAGTGAGTCAATGAAGAAATTAAGAAAAGTAAAAAATTTCTTGAAACAATTTTTTTTAATTCTGTGTACAACAGCCAGAAACAAAATTAAATACCCAGGAACTAACCAAAGAAGGAGCTCTGCAATGAAAACTATAACACACTGATGAAATAAATTAAAGAGGACACACAAAACAATGAAAGAATATTCCATGTTTGTGGATTCCAAGAATCATTATTGTTAAAATGTTCATACTATTCAAAACCATCTGAAGATTTAATGTATTCCCTATCAAAATATCAATGACATTCTTCACATAAATAGAAAAAAACAATTCTAAAATATGGAACCACAAAAAACCCAGGGCAGCCAAAACTACCCTGAGCAAAAAAACAAAACTGGAGGAATCACATTACCTGAATTTAAATTATAATACAGAGTCACAGTAACCAAAGCAGCATGGTTTTGGAATAAAAATAGACATGTAGACCATTGAAATAGAATGGAGAACCGAGAATCAAATCAAATCCCTACATCTACAGTGAACTCATTTTTGACAAAAGTGCCAAGAACATACACTGAGGAAAGGACGGTCTCTTCAATAAATGGTGCTGGGTAAACTGGATATCCATATGCAGAAGAATGGGACTAGACCCCTATTTCTTGCCATACAGAAAAATCAAATGAATGAAAACTCAAACTATGAAACTATTACAAGAAAACATTTTGGAAACTCTTAAAAGACATCAATTTGGGCAAAGATTTCTTGAGTAATATTCCATAAGCACAGGCAACCAAAGGAAAAGTGGAGAAATGGGACCACGTCAAGTTAAAAACTTTCTGCACAGCAAAGGAAACACTCAAAAAAGTAAAGAGACAACCCACAAAATGAGAGAAGATATTTGCAAACTATCTATCTTACAAAGGATTAATAACCAGAATATACAAGGAGCTCAAACAACTCTACAGGAAAAAATTCTAACGATTCTATTAAAAAGTGAGCAAAAATTTAAATAGACATTTCTCAAAAGAAGACACACAAATGGCAAAATGACATGAAGAGGTGCTTAACATCATTGATCATCAGTAAATGCAAATCGAAATTATAATGAGACAGTTTTCTTACCTCAGTTAAAATGGATTTTATCCAAAAGATAGGCATCAACAAATGCTGACAAGAATGTGGAGACATGGGAACCCTCAAATACTATTGGCTGGAATGTAAATTAGTACAACCACTATGGAGAACAGTTTAGAGCTTCTTCAAGAAACTAAAAAATAAAGCTATCATACAATCCAAAAACCCCACTGCTGAGAATATACCCAGAAGAAAGGAAAACAGCATAGGAAAGAGATATATGCACTCTCATGTTATTTGCAGCTCTGTTAACAATAGCCAAGATTTGGAAGCAACTCAAGTTTTCATTAACAGATGAATAGATTTTTAAAAATATGGTACATTTACACTATGGAGTACTATTCAGCCATAAAAAATGAGATCCTGTCATTTGCAACAACATGGATGAACTGGAGGTCGTTATGTTAAGTGAAATCAGCCAGGCACAGAAAGACAAACTTCACATGTTGTCACTTATTTGTCAAATCTAAAAATCAAATCAATTGAACACATGGAGATAGAGAGAGTAGAAGGATGGTTACCACAGGCTGGGATGGGTAGTGGGAGGTTGAGAGGGAGGTGTGGATGGTTATTGTGTACAAAAAATAGTTAGAAAGAATGAATAAGGCCTAGTATTTGATAGCACAATAGGGTGACTATAGTCAACAATAATTTAGCTGTATGTTTTAAAATAACTAAGTGTATAATTGAATTGTTTTTAACACAAAGAAAGGATACATGCTTGAGAAGATAGATACCCCATTTTTATAATGTGATTATTACATCTTGCATGCCTCTATCAAAACTTCTTCCCATGTACCCCATAAATATGCACAACTACTATGTACCCACAAAAATTAAGAATTTTTTTTAAAAAAGAAACTAAATTAACCTCTGAAGACATCAAGTAAGACCTGATCCCAATGCTTAAGTAATCAGAGCTTAGTTGTACAGGCGTACACATTAAGACATAATTAGATTTCCAGTTTGGATAAGAGGGTATAGATTCATTTCTTTCCATTCCTCCCAACTATTCAGAACTATAAACCTGGTAATACAAGAAGCAACTGCAGGAGAACTCCGCAAAGTGGAAAGTGAAAGGTTAACTAGTTTGTAATCACAAAACAGGAAGATAAACATAGTATCCCATGGCCTTTACAAGCCTCTACCCAACAGAAAGTGGCTACCCAGCCCAAATGTGCCAAATTTCCACTATAGCATTGAAGGGCAGCCCAAGTAGTTCATTCCTCCCCTGAATCAAATAGGAATTCTGTCAGCAATATCAGGGAAGCAAGGAAACATATGCAATGGGGAGTGACCAAGACCCATGCTAAAAATAAGCAACCAAGAAATGTGAGCCCCTTCTGCATAAAGCCTGAGATTCTGCTTTCCCACAAAGAAACGCTGAGCAGTCAGGAAGCACCAGCAATGGGGAGCCACAGCAAGCAAACTAGCCGTATAGCTGGGGAAGCTTCTTTGTTCCTGTAGATATGAGACTCTCCTCACTCATCAAGAGGCTGGGTGAGTGGGTGGCACTGGCAAAGGGGGTCCAGCTGCAATAAGAATCTACCCCAGAAGCACTCTATCCCCTGGGAAGAGGGAGACTCCTTTCTCCACCTAGAGGAACCAGGCAGCCCAGTTTTCGGAGACTCCTTCCTCCTCTCAGGAAGCGCTAGCAGGGTCTAGCAAGAGCCTAGTGCCATCAAATAAACTAAGCAGACAAAAATAGCAGTGTAAAGACTATAAAGGCAAAATTGTTTAAAAACAAACCAAAAAACACAAAAAATAGGAAGTCACAAATGTTGGTGACAATGTGGAGAAATTGGAGCCCATATATTGCTGGCAAGAATGCAAAATGGTACAGCCACTGTGGTATCCATTTTGGTGGTTCTTCAAAAATTAAACATAAAATCATTGCATGACCCAGCAATTCCACTCCTAGGTATATAACCCAAAGAATCAAAGGTGTTCGAACAAAAATGTTATACACAAATATTCATAGCAGCTCTATTCACAATAGCCAAACTGTGGAAACAGTCCATATATCTATCAATTGATGAATGGATAAACAAAATATGGTATTTCCATAAAATGGAAAATTATTCAGTTATGAAAGGGAATAAAGTCCTCATACAGGCTACAACATGGATGAAGCTGGAAAACATTATGCTAAGCAAAATAAGCCAGGCACAAAAGATCATGCATTCTATGAATCGATTTATGTGGAATGTTGAACTGGAATTTTTATAAAGACATAAAAAGTAGAATCATAGTTGCTTAGAGCTGGCTGGAAGATAGGGAGGTGTTTCTGAAATCACCTTCTCTTTGTATAATGAATTATAAAAGGATAATGGATTCTCTTGGTATAATGAGTTACACAGAGAAGTATAAGGGATTCTCTTGGTATAAGGACAGTGCTCTAAAATTGACTGTAGTGATGGTTGCATATATCAGTGATTATACTAAAAACCATTGAAGCACACAATTTTTAAAAATTGGATTGTTGCTAGAACCATAGCCCACAAAATAAGCCTGGAGCTGTGTGCTAAACCTAAGCATGTAACTGCTTATAAAAATATAAGATTTATTTATTTTTGTTGTTTTTGTTATTGTTTTTTGCTTTCTTTTCTTCTTTTTTTTGAGACAGTCTTACTCTGTCACCCAGGCTGGAGTGCAGTGGTGCAATCTTGGCTCACTGAAACCTCCGCCTCCCAGGTTCAAGTGATTCTTCTGCCTCAGCCTCCCAAGTAGCTGGGATTACAGGCACCTGCCACCATACCATGCCTGGCTAATTTTTTTTTTTTTTTTGTATTTTTAGTAGAGATGGGGTTTCACCATGTTGGCCAGGCTGGTCTTGAACTTCTGGCCTCAAGTGATCCACCCACGTTGGCCTCCCAAAGTGCTGGGATTACAGGTGTGAGCTACCATGCCTGGCCTAAAATAAAAGATTTAAATAGAACCTAGAGTCTCCTAATATAATCATCAAAATGTCTACAATACAGGTAAAAGTAACTCATCATAACAAGAAAAGAAAATCAACTAATGGCAATATCAAGATGAATCAGATACTAGAATCATCTGAAAATAATTTGAAAGTAGGCTTCATAGAGGTGCTTTAACAAGCAAATGAAAATTCCCTTGAAACCAATAAAAATACAGAAAAACATAGCAAAGAAAACTAATCTCTGACAAAGATGTTTAAGAATATAGGAACTGAGCTTAATTTTAGGACGTGAGGTAGAAAGGAGTAGAGGCAGATTCTCACTTTCACTCTATAACTTTTTGCATTATTTGAATTATTTTAAATGAGCATAATCTATTTTTTAATAAAATTTAAATTCAATTTTCATAAAATTACCTAAATTCCATTTTGAAAAGTGATTCTAGTATTAAGATTTCTCCCTTTTATCGTGAGTACCTGAGATAATTGTTCATGGTTTTACATTGAAGTCACAAAAAAATGAACTAGTGGCTTTCCTCATAAACAGGTTTATATGTGCCACAATTTCAAAAAAAGAGAAAACCGGTACATAGCTATCACCACGAAAAAAAAAAAAAAGTGGGCTGGGCGCGTTGGCTCACACCTGTAATCCCAGCACTTTGGGAGGCCAAGGCAGGTGGATCACAAGGTCAGGAGTTCAAGACCAGCCTGGCCAAGATGGTGAAACCCATCTCTACTGAAAAATACAAAAATGAGTCAAGCATGGTGGTGGGTGCCTGTAATCCCAGCTACTCGGGAGGCTGAGGCAGGAGGATCGCTTAAACCTGGGAGGTGGAGATTGCAGCAAACCGAGATCACGCCACTGCACTCCAGCCTGGGCGACAGAGCAAGACTCCATCTAAATAAAATAAAATAAAATAGTTCCCAATAGACCTGATAATCACTGCTAACCATCATTTAACCGTTACTATGTGTTGGACAAGTAGGCCTGCTGAGAACTCCCGATGTTATCATCATTCAGTTTCAAGTATGTACATTTTGCTGCATCATATTCAGTGGATTCTCAGCTATATTCTTAAAGTTACTGCACAAATATATACATGTATATTATAGATATACATGACAGAGGAATCTTTGAATCTACAACAATCACAATTAGGAGCTTTTATTTATCCACCTCCAGTACAGTGACCAATTATAGAAAATCTGTTATTAATTGGAACTAATGGCAACACTTGTATTTCTATGTCTCCACTAAATAAATTATAATAATTATATAAAATATTTGAAAGATATACCACAAGACTGTTATACAGAATATGTAAAAAGTTTCCATAAATAAAAAAGTCAAACCAATACAGAAATTGAATAAAGGATAAAAATAGAAATTTTACAATGAAAAAATGTGAATGACATAAGATAATGGTTAAGGAAATACGAGTTAAAAAATGAAGTAATATCAGTTTTCCCTCAGTATAAAGCAACTTTTTTAAAAAAGATATTATCTCATATTATTAATTTTCTTTGAGAGATAGGGTCTTGCCATTTTGACCAGGCTGGTCTTGAACCCCTGGCCTCAAGTGATTCTCCTACCTTAGCCTCCCATGAATGTGGGAATACAGACACATGTCACTGTACCCATTTTATATTATCAAAAATATTTTTAAAGTAATTAGTCTCATTCATTTTGACTTAAAAATAATTTGTTAATAAAAACCCTTAGAAATATGCTTAAAGACCTGAACTGAGATTTTAGCTGTCATACCCCAGAGGCATCAGAATTTGTAATTTCTGTCTAATGAAACACTCTTTAAAGGAAATTTGGCATTATTAAGTCAAGTAAAAATTGTATCTGTGTTTCCTGGATGATTTGTCTAGAGGGAAAATATACGGTGCATATGAGGTGACAATAGAGACTCTAAGCTTTTGAATGAGTATTGGCCAACATCTTGTTTACTTAGAACAGAAAAATTCCTACAAACACAATTTAAAGCATATAGGTTTTCAGTAACTTAATGATTTCTAGATACAAACTGCATCCATCTATGCAACCTCTGACCCAGCTCTGGAGAACTGCTGCCTGGGCTTGCATCCTCTTTGGCCTTGTTCATACCTAACATAACTATCTTAAACTTAACTTCTCTGAACTTCAGCCTCTTTATCTGTAAAATGGGGATATCATAGCAACTTATTCAGAATTATGAAGATTAAATGTGATGCAAAATGCTTAACATAGAGTTTGACACATGGTTAAACTCCAAATACATGTTAATTACCATTATTATTGTGAATATTTTACAGTAATACTTCATTCTGTGCATAAAGATGTACGTGTGGCTGGGCGCAGTGGTTCACGCCTGCAATCCCAGCACTTTGGGAGGCCGAGGCGGGTGGATCACAATGTCGGGAGTTCAAGACCAGCCTGGCCAAGATGGTGAAACCCTGTCTTTACTAAAAATACAAAAATTGGCTGGGTGCGGTGGCAGGCGCCTGTAATCCCAGCTACTCAGGAGGATGAGGCAGGAGAATTGCTTGAACCTAGGTGGCAAAGGTTGCAGTGAGCCAAGATCACACCACTGCACTCCAGCCTGGGCAACAGACTGAGATTCTGTCTGAAAAAAAAAAAAAAAAAGATGCATGTGTAAGCTCCTCTGAAATCATTGTTTACTGTTTGAGAAATGTTAACAAAGTTGCCATCAATAATAGGTCAATAGTTAACTAAGTCACCACGTATCTATGGAAAATTTCATAAAATGTGACACTCGTTTTTGAAAAGAGAGTTTGATCTCTAGGCACTGACTGGAAAATAGCCTCGAAAAACAGGTAAGTGAAAACAGCAAGTAACAAAAACAAATATGTAATATGACATGTATGTGGAAAAAAATATGTGAAGTCATTCACCAAACTGTGATCACCAGTTAGCTGTAGACAAAGGAGAAGGAGTGAAGGGGTTGTAAAAGAACAGTCTGAACGTTACAGTCTGCAAACTTCCGTATAATGATAATCTACTCATATATCAGTTGTGTAATTAAAAAAAATTAAGCCGAAGTCCCTAAAAACTTCTGGTGTTCTTTCTTGGTTTTCTGGTGCCCAGACTGGTTTTACTTGGGCCATGAAGCTCATTTCATGTTATGTTTTTCATTCTTGTCTGATAGTTGTGCTTAGAGTTAACTTTCTCAGCTCTGATCTCTTCCCCAATACAATCTTCAAATACAATTTTGGGCAAGAAGCTTTCGAAGTAACTAATCCTAAAATAACTAACTAGTTGTGGTTTCCTGGGGACTTACCTACTTTCAGCACTAAAAGTTTTGTTATCCTTTACCAGACCTTCTCTTTAGCAATTGCGTCTCTGGTTTCTTCATGTCAGAGATGATAGTAATGATATATTTGCAGAAAATTTTTTTTTACAAAGTAAACATTATTTCCTCTTTGGAGATAATCTTATTTCTCTCACTATTTTATAATATCTATCATGGCATACACTGTATCAATTTGTAGCACAGTAAAATCTGTATAGCTTATGTTCCTCTAGGATTTCACAAGAAAATCAAAGATCTGGAAAGTGGGTACCCTGGGAAGTATATTTGTAAAATGCCTATTCACTGTGTGTTTCTATGCATGCACTGGAGCTAGAATTACCCTAGGGAACAGTATAATAACAGAAAGAAAGAAGACAAACGTTCTGCCAAATAAAAAGAATAAATTTTGCAAAAATAACTTGTAGTAAATATCCACTTCTACTTAATTTCCTCATCTATGATATGCTTTGACATTAATTTGCCCCCCACCACACACACACATACACTCACACACACACACGCATGCACACACCAGAAAACCAAAAAGCTACAGTTATGTTTTCTGGCTGCTTCTTCAAATGGTGAAATGCCAGGTGCAAATGAAGTGACAAGAAAGTATAAGTATGTTTTTTATTGAAGAATATTTGACATTCTGTTTGGTTAGAAGGAGAAATTTATTACACTGTTAAAACATTTTCAGTAACATTTATTTATTATTATTTTGACATCTGCAATAACAGTTTTATTTCTTCCTTTTAAATCATTTTACTTGATGTATATAAATTTAAGATTGTCATAACTTCCTTTTCAATTGATTGTTTTGACTTTATGAAATGCCCCTCTTTTTTGTGGGTACATAGTAGGTGTATATATTTATGGGGTACATGAGATATTTTGATACAGACATACAATGACAGACATCAAATATTTTGATACAGAAATACAATTTTGATACAGGCATACAATACAGATATTTTGATACAGACATACAATGTGTAATAACCACATCAGGGTAAATGGGGTATCTGCTACACCCTTCGTTCTGTTACAAAGAATTGAATTCTAGTTTTTTAGTTATTTTAAAATGTATGATAAATTATTGTTGGCTGTAGTCACCCTGTTATGCTATCAAATACTACAGCCGATTCATTCTAACTATATTTTCCCACCCATTCACCATCCCCACTCTCTCCACTCCACCACTATCCTTCTCAGCCTCTGGCAACCGTCACTCTTGTGGTTTTCCATTGAATTTTATCTCCATGAGTTCAATTGTCTTAATTTTTAGCTCCCACAATTAACTGAGAATATACAAAGTTTGTCTTTCTGTGCCTGCTTATTTCACTTAACATAATGACCTCCAGTTCCATCCATACTGTGGTTAATGACAAGATCTCATTCTTTTTTACAGCTCAATAGTACTCCACTGTGTATGTATACTACATTTCCTTTATCTATTCATCTGTCAGTGGACACTTAAGTTGCTTACAAGTTTTGGCTATTGCGAATGCTGCTGCAGTAAACATAGGAACACAGATATCTCTTTGATATATAGATTTTCTTTTTGGGGGGTATAAACCTAGAAGTGAGATTGCTAGATTGTATGGTAGTTCTATTTTTAGTTTTTTGAGGAACCTCCACACTGTTCTCTATAGTGATTGTACTAATGTCCACTCCAACCCATTGTGTACAAGAGCTCCCCTTTTTTTCACATCATCACAAGCATTTGTTAATGCCTATCTTTTGAATAAAAGCCATTTTAACTGGAGTGAAATGATACCTTATTGTAGTTTTGATTTGCATTTCTCTAATGATATGATTTTGAGCACCTTTTTATGTCCCAGTTTGCCATCTGTATGTTTTCTTTTGAGAAATACGTACTATTCAGATCTTTTCCCCATTTTTAATCAGATTATTAGATATTTTATAGAGTTGTTTGAGATCCTAATATATTTTGGTTATTAATCTCTTGTCAGATAGTTTGCAAATTTTTTTTTTCTATTCTGCAGGTTGTCTCTTCACTTGATTGTTTCATTTGCTGGGCAGAAGCTTTTTAATTTGATGTGATTTCATTTGTCCATTTTTGCTTTGGTTTCCTGTGCTTTTGGGACATTATTTCAGAAATATTTGCCGAGTCTGATGTCCTGGAAAGTTTTTCTATTGTTTTCTTTTAGCAGCTTCATAGTTTGAGGCCCTCGGTTTAAGTCTTTATTTTGATTTGATTTTTGTATATAGTGAGAGATAGGAATCTAATTTCATTTTTCTGCATATGGATATACAGTTTATAGTGAGAGATAGGAATCTAATGTCATTATTCTGCATATGGATATACAGTTTATTCAGCACCATTTACTGAAGAGACTGCTGTTTCCTCAATATATGTTCTTGGCACCTTTGTTGAAAATGAGTTCACTGTAGATGTATTTATTTCTGTTTTTTTTTTTCACTCTGTTGCATTGATCTACATATCTTTTTTAATGCCAAGCTGTTTTGGTCACTATGGCTCTGTAGTATAATTTAAATACAGGTAATGTGATTCGTCCAGTTTTGTTATTTTTCTCAGGATAGCTTTGGCTATTCTGGGTCTTCTGTGGTTCCATATACATTTTAGGATAGATTTTTCTATTTCTGTGAAGAATATCATTGTAATTTTGATAGAAATTGCACTGAATCTGTATAATGCATTGGGTAATATGGACGTTTTAACAACATTGATTCTTCTGATCCATGAACATAGACTTTTTCCATTGTTTGGTGTCCCTGTCAATTTTTTGTATTCATGTTTTATAGTTTTCATGGTAGAGAACTTTCACTTCTTTGGCTAATTTCACTACCTTTGGTTAATAAGGTATTTAATTTTATTTATGGATATTGTAAATGGGATTATTTTCTTATTTCTTTTTTAGATTGCTCACTGTTAGCATATAGAAATGTTACTGATTTTTGTTTGCTGAGTTTGTTCTGTTTCTCTGTTCTAATAGGTTTTTTTTGTGGAATCATTAGGTTTTTTCAAATATAAGATAATATCATCTTCAAACAAGAATATTTATACTTATTTCTTCCAATTTGATGACCTTTATTTCTTTTTCTTGCTTGATTTCTCTCAGCTAGGACTTCCAGTAATATGTTGAGCAACAGTACTGAAAGTTGGCATCCTTGTCATGTTGCAGATCTTAGAGGAAAGCTTTCACTTTTTCTCCATTTAGTACAATACTGGTTGTGGGTCTGTCACATGTGGCTTTTATTGTGCTGAGGTATGTTCCTTCTATATCCAGTTGTTTGAGGGTTATCATGAAGGAATGTTGAATTTTATCAAATGCTTTTTTAGCATCAATCAAAATGATCTTATGGTTTCTTTCCTTCATTCTGTTGATATGATGTATTACACTGATTGATTTGGGTATGTTGAATCATCCTTGAATTCTTCAGATAAACCCCACTTGGTTATAACGAATGGCTGTTTTAGTGTGTTGTTGAATTTGTGGTATTTCATTGATAATTTTTTTATTAGTGTTGATCATGGATATTGGCCTGTAGTTTTTGTTTATTTTTTGTTTTGCTTTTTGCTGTTTTTGTCTAGTTTTGGTATCAGCCTAATACTGGCCTTTTAGAATGAGTTGTGAAATATTGTCTCCTTCTCTCTTTTTCAGAATAGTTTGAGAAGTGAGTAGTTATTAGTTCTTCTATAAATGTTTGGTAAAATACAGCAGTAAAGCCATTAGGCCCTGGGATTTTCTTGCTGGAGGATTTTTTATTTTGGCTTTAATCTCATTACATTTTATTAGTTTGTTCAGGTTTTTTATTTCTTCATGGTTTAATCTTGGTAGGTTGTATATGTCTAGGAATTTATCAATTTCTTCTATGTTTTCCCATTTATTGGCATACAGTTACACGCAGCAGCCTCTGGATCCTATGAATTTCCCTGGTATTGGTTGTAATGTTTCTTTTTCATCTCTGATTTTATTTGAGTCTTTTTTTAATTAAGTAGTTTGCCTAAAGGCTTGTTAATTTTGTTTTGTCTTTTCAAAAAACTAACTTCATTTTGTTTATTTTTTATTTCAATTTTATTTATTTCTGCTTTGATCTTCATTAATTTTCTTCAACTAATTTTGGGTTTGGTTTGCTCTTGCATTTCTTGGTCTTTAACATGTATCATTAGGTTGGTTATTTCAATGTTCTCTACTTTTTTGATGTAAGTGCTTATTGCTATAAACTTTCCTCTTGTGTTGCTTTTACTGTATCCCATAGATTTTTGACCTGTTTTGCTTTATTTTCATTTGTTTCAAGAAATTTTTTAATTTTCTGCTTAATTTCTTCATTGTCCCACTGGCCACCCAAGAGTATGTTGTTTAATTTTTATGTTTTTCTATAGTTTCCAAAATTGTTCTTGTTATTGATCTCTAGTTTTATTCTGTTATGGTCAGAGAAGATGATACATATGATTTCAATTTTCTAAAATGTCTTAGGACTTATCTTTTGGCCTAAAATATGGTCTATTGTTGAGAATGATCCATGTGCTGAGGAGAAGAATATGTATTCTGTATTCTGTAGATCTTGGGTGAAATGTCCTATAAATATCTGTTAGGTTCATTTGGTTTATAGTGCAGATTAATTATGATGTTTCTATGTTGACTTTCTATCTGGAAGACCTGTCCAGTGCTGCAAGTGGGGTGTTGAAGTCTTCAGCTATTATTGTATTGAGGTCTCTCTCTTTAGCTCTAATAATACTTTATTTTTCTTTATTTTCCTTCATGTTTGAAGGATATGTTTGCTTGGTATACTATTCTAGGGTAAACATTTTCTTTTCTTCAACACTTTAAATAGATCATGCCACTCTCTCCTGGCCTCTAAAATTTCTACTGAAGAGTCTGCTGACAGACATTAGAGCTCTTTTGTATGTTATTTGTTTCTTTTCTCCTGTTGCTCTTAGGATCCTTGCTTTATCCTTGACCTTTGAAAGTTCAATTATTAGATGCTTTGAGGTAGTCTTCTTTAGGTTAAATATGCTTGGTGTTCTATAACCTTCTTGTACTTGAATATTGATAATCTTTCTCTAGGTTTGGGAATTTCACTGTTATTATCCTTTTGAATAAACTCTCTACCCTGATCTCTCTACCTCCTCTTTAAAGCCAATAACCCTTAGGTTTGTCCTTTGAGCCTATTTTCTAAAATTTGTAGGCACGCTTTATTCGTTTTTGTCTCCTTTCTCTTTTGTCTCCTTTCTCTTTTGTCTCCTCTGTGTATTTTCAAATAGACTGCCTTTGAGCTCACTCATTCTTTCTTCTGTTTGATCAATTCTGCTGTTAAAACTCTGATGAATTCTTCAGCACGTCAATTGCATTTTTCAGCTCTGGAATTTCTGCTTGATTCTTTTTAATTTTTTAATTAACAATTTAATGGTTTAATTATTTAATTCTTTTTAATTGTTTAATTCTTTATAATCTCTTTGTTAAATTTATCTGATATGATTCTTTCTTCTCTGTGTTATCTTAAATTTCGTTAAGCTTCTCCATAACAATGATCTTGAATTATCCATATAAAAGGTCACATATCTCTGTCTCCCTGGGATTGGTCACTGGTGCTTTATTTAGTTCATTTGATGAGACAATTTTTCCAAGATGGCCTTGATTCTTATGGATGTTTGTCACTGTCTGGGCATTGAGGAGTTATTTATTTTAGTCTTCTCAGTTTGGACTTGTTGTGTGCATTTTTCTTTGGAAGGCTTTCCACATATTCAAAGGAATTTCAGTGTTATTATCTAAGTCTTTGGTCACTGCAGCCATAACTACAATAGGGGGCACCCCAAGTTTAGTAACACTGTGGCTCTTGCAGACTCAGAGGTACTGTCTTGGTAGTCTTGGGTAATGTCAGGGAGAATTCCCTGATTTGGGGTTCTTATTAAGGTACTTCTCCATGTGAATAGTTGTTCAATTTGGTGTTCCGGTAGAGGCACAATCACCGGAGACTTTTATTTGGCCATTTTGCTCTACCTCCCTCTAGGAAGGAAAATTCTGGCTACCATGATGGCTGGCACCAGGGAGTGAGGCCCAGATAGGCAGGCAACATGGTGGCTGGAGGGCAGTCAACATTCGTTTTTATAAAATAAATTTTGGATAAATGTTCACTCTCTTCCTGGAATGTACTTGATACTAAATTTATATAACAAAGTATAGAGAATGGTTGTGGAACTCATGTGAGAGACGCCTAATTCAGAAACACCCAGAAATAATATTTAATCACATTTCTGGGCATCCCATGGCCCTGTCAATTGGATATATAAAAGTAACCATCACAGTGGTCATATGGCTCAGGTATCTTGTTTTAATAAGGAGGCCCAGGTAGGTAAATTAACTTGACCAAGGACACAAAAAATTAGACAGCAGGGCTTCTGCTCCCAGACTATACTTGTTTCATAAAACCACAGAAAAAAGTTGAGTATTAGGTACTCAGTGGGCACAGAGCTCCTGACCTACATAGATTCCTCTTCTTTAATACTTACTCAGAACTTACCTCTCTCAAAGTGCCCACGTTTTAGACTAAGGGTAATGTGTAATTTTTTCCATCTTCACCAATCTTTGAGTTAATTCCTCAGGGTGCTACTCTGTGAATGAATCTTAGCACCTAATCAATTTGTTGTTAAACAGGAGTGCATATCAGAAGTAATTGGGTGCTTTTTCAAAATATACATTCTTGGTCCACATGCCTAGTAGTTTGATAGAAGCCTGATCTAGTTCATTTCAAACCATACTACAAAGCAGGTCACTGCCTCCACTGGCAAATGTGGTTGGCTCCAACAAAAAAGTTGTGAGATTTATATGTAGTTCATGCTAAAAAATATGCTGGATGCTTGAAGCTTCAACAATTTAGCATTTCTGCTCAAAGACCTACTATGGTTTCTAGGCCCTCAAGATGATTTCGTTTCAGTCTTAATGTATTCCTATAACAGATACTTACAGATACTTGACTAAGAGTCAACTTCACAGTAAATGACCTTTTAACTGTCATAAGAATTCAATGTGAGCAAAACTACCCCTACTGAAATTTAAACATGTCAGGACATTTCAGAAAACCTGATGTTATGGCTCTAATAGAAATCAATTTGCATGGAAATTAAGAAGTTATCTCTTCTTTTTTGGCAGAACTAAAATGACTAGCAGAGCTATGGCAGTAGCAGAAGTATTCAGAACCAAAAATGAGATGTCTTCTATGCCTGTAGTGCAAAAACTGAGGAAGACACTCTGCAAGGACTAGAATCTATGGCAGCAAAGTTATGAAGGTAGCGCATTGAAATCAACATATTATTTAAATAGGGCCTGTTAACATTATGGGAGGGGCCTGAATTCTGCTAAGATGTAGATGTAGCTAAATAAAGTTTCCCTCAAAGATGCACACATCCTATCTTGGAACCAGCAAATATGCTATCTGACATGGCAAAAGGACTTTGCAAATACGATCCAGGGTTATCAAGGTGGCCCAGTCTAATAATATGAGTCTTCAAAAGCAGTCTTCTCTAGTTAATCAGAGAAAAAGAGAGATTTCTCATAAGAAGGGTCAGAGAAATACAATGTTTCTGTCTTTGAAAATAAAGGAAGGGCCTGAAACCATCTTTGCAAAGATTGTGACAGTCAGAGAAGTCTAGCATAGCCAACTGCATCTTGCCTCTAGCCTCACTGGCTGGCTGTTCTTGCTCATTCTTGGCTGTAGACCATACTAACCATGACAGGTATTTAGTTTATAGTTTAACTTTGAAGCAAGGATGATAATATTTTCCTAAATTAAACTCCTTCCTTACTCAGGGTCTGAAACTGCCTTTGTAAGACTAATGGAGGGCTACAACATTAGGATTATGGGAGGAGCTTGAATTCTGTTAAAATTGTAGCTAAATGGTAACCATGCATTGTCCCCCAGCTTGCCTTTCTCTAATCCCTTGCCGCTTAGGAGTCATGTGGCCAGAGGTCACAAGATTTGTGACTTCCTCAATTTCTCCTGTAGATAACATCACTATTGTAGAACCTAAGATTTGTCTTTTGAGATGTTTTTTGGACTTTTGCATTCTAGCAACAAACCAATTCCACCTGGATCCAGGACTAATGTGTCAACAAGTCCTATGGCCTCACCTCAGAGGCAGACTCAGCACATGACGACTGTTTTCCACAGCCCTGTAATGTCATCCCCAACCAATCAGCAGCACCTATTCCCTAGCCCCCTGCCCACCAGGTTATCCATAAAATCCCTAGCCTCTGAGTTCTCAGACAGACTGATTTTAGTAATGAACTCCAGTCTTCCACTTAGATGGCTCTGTGTTTATTAAACTCTTTCTCTATTGCAATATCACTGCCTCAATCAATCAGCTCTATCTGCACAGTGGGCAAGAAGAACCCATCCAGCAATTACAGGTCCATAAGACGTGGAATGTAGGCAACTTCTAGAAGCTAGAAAAGGCAAGGAAATACATTTTCTTTTAGAGTATCTGGAAAGGATACAACCGTGCCAACAGCTTGATTTTAGACCAGCGAGAGATCCACATCAGACTCCCAACCTTGAGAAGTATAAGATAATAAATTTACACTGTTCAAGCCACTAAGTTTTAGATACTTCTTTTTTTTTTAAGTTTATTTTTTTTTTTTAAACGGAGTCTCACTCTGTCGCCCAGGCTGGAGTGCAGTGGTGCGATCTTGGCTCACTGCAAGCTCCGCTTCCCGGGTTCACGCCATTCTCCTGCCTCAGCCTCCCGAGTAGCTGGGACTACAGGCACCCACCACCATGCCTGGCTAATTTTTTTGTATTTTTAGTAGAGATGGGGTTTCAGCGTGTTAGGATGGTCTCGATCTCTTGGCATCGTGATCCACCCACCTCGGCCTCCCAAAGTACTGGGATTGCAGGCTTGAGCCACTGCGCCCAGCCGATACTTTGTTTAAAGTATTTAACCAAGAATAAAAGATAATTGGGTCTATCCAGGATTAATTTTGACCAACTACTGGAGATTCCCCTTCTTTGTAAAATAAAACTCCCTGTGCTGTTTTCTAAACTGTTTTCCAAACTGTCTTGAGTACTTTGAATTTAATTGAATTGCTGAGTTTTTTATGCCTGACAGCCCTGACCACAAAACAAGAGAATGTAGTACCAACTCTTACAATTTGTACAAGAGAACACCAGGTGGAACAGCTCTGGATCTCACCCACACTCATGATGGAGTTGAACCGATGTCGTAGATAAGCATAAATGTTTTGAGCTGACCACCTTCAGATGATTACTCTGAAACCAAAGACTGAACTAAATTATTCCTACTAAACTGGGAACATGAGGGCAGGAAGCTCCTGGGTGGGAAGCCACACTGATGACTCTATTAATCTCTATGGCCTGACTAATGTATATTTTGCTTGATGTAAGCTTTTATCCTGGTGGTACAATGTATGCCCTTTGGGACTGTACCTCTTGTATTTACCCTAAATATCGTGACATTGTCTCAGCCCTGGAATGTTTAAGGGCAGCTTTAACTTACTGCCAGAGTTGAGAGGTGCCTGAATTGATGTCTCAAGCCAAGTAAAAAGGTTAATACAGAAACTTAAGGAAAAAGACACCTAGATTTCTTACATCTTTATTGTTAATAGGACCTTTTAAATTGGCTAAATTCAGGAACCACATGGCATGACTGAGGCCAGTACCTCAGGGAGGTTTCACCTTGATTTATGAGATCTCACTGATAATAATTTTACTATAAAGACACCTTGGCCAAGGGCCAAGGAGATAGATTGCAGAAAAGAATTAATGAAGTGGGCCCAAGTCTTCTATTTTTAAAAGGCCTTACAAAGTTGCCATTGCTGGCATCTAGGAACCTGATACTTAACTTATTCCCTAACTGAAAAGAGTAGGAGTAGCTCCATATATCTAGATTACCTAGATTATTTGTACAAACAACGTGGTAACATTTGTTTTACTTCTGAGAGTCTGAAATTTTGTTACGTGCTTGGCTGAAGTGCCTAAATGACTTCCAATAGATTTTGGGTACTGAGTTTCTGATAAGCTTCCCTTAGCAAAAATATTGCACACATATAACTGTATTATAACTGTATTTATTTATTTTTTTTTTACTGCTGGAGAAAGTGATATACTCAATATGCTCCAACACTGGAGGGAGAGAAAATCAGAATGCTATTCATGGATTTCTCCAGGTTCCATCTGTGTCTTTTTCCCTTGCTGATATTGCTATGTTTCCTTTCACTGAAATATGTCTTAGCCATGAGTATAACTATAAGCTGAGTAATATGTGTCCTTCTATCATATCACTAAATGAGTGAGTGACTTTCTGGATCCCTTCACAACTAAAACATGTGTGTGTGTGCATGCATGACCAAAACTGAATTAAATAATGTATATAAAACAATATATATTAATATAAAACTACAACCTACTACATGTATAACTGTAACCTACAATTAGTCTGTTAACTATAACATACATAGCTATATGTTTAATTATATGATATTCTATGTATGTTAAATATAGATATGATATATATTCTATATATGTTATATATTCTATATATGTTATATATATACACACATATATATCTATACATTTGACCCTTGAACAACAGAAGTTTGACCTGCATAAGTCCATTCATATGTAGATTTTTTTCAATGCATACTACATGTCAACCCTCCATATCAGTTTCCCTTTCTCAATGAGTTTTATTTTTGATGAGCTAAATAATTTGACAAATTATGTAAATGATCTAATAAAATAGTTTTTAGTATCTACAAGGTGCCATGCAGTATGCTATGTCATCTGAAAATATGAATACAATTACAAATAGCTGAATAGGTGTGATGAAGGTGTGTATATAGTCATGCACCACATAGTAACATTTAGTACAGCAGGAGACTGCACACAGGAAGGTGGTCCCATAAGATTATAACAGAGCTAAAAAAATTTCTAGTGTCTGGTGACATTGTAGCTGTTGTAAAGTGACATTATAGCTGTTGCAACAAATTACAAGTTTGGGCAATGCTGGCATAAACAAACCTATTGTGTTGTCAGTTATATAAAAGTATAGAACATATGATTATGTACATAATGTCACTAGACACTGGAAATTCTTTTTAGTTCTACTATAATCTTATGGGACCAATTTCATGTGTTCTGTCTGCTGCTGTACTAAATATTACAATGTGGTGCATGACTATATATACACCTTAATCACATCTATTCAACTATTTGTAGTTGTCTTAAGTAATGACATTATTAACAGTTGTTAATAATGACAATAAACAACTGTCACTAGTTTACATCTTCACTGTAGAATACATTTTATTGTTCTTTTGGAGTATACTCTATTTTTAAAAGAAAGTTAATCATCAATCTTCCTCGAGCAGGTCTCTCAGAAGACATTCTAGAAGAAGGCATAGTTATCATGGGAGTTGACAATCTTCCAGTGGGGAAATATATGGAAGTAGAAGACAGCAATATTAACTATCTTCACCCTGTGTAGGCATAATCTAATGTGTGAATTTGTGTTTTCATTTTTAACAAAAGTTTAAAACACGCAAGAATAGAAATAAAATGGTTTAAGTTGAAAATAATTTATAAAATAAGGAAATGAAGGAAAATATTTGCACGACTGTGCAATGTGTTTGCGATTGAAACTGTTACAAGAGTCAAAAATATAAAAAATTAAAAATGTTATAAATGAAGTATGTTACAGTAAACTAAGGTTAATTTATTGCTGAAGAAATTCTGTTTTTGTAAATTTAGCGTAGCCTAAGTGTATAGTGTTTATAAAGTCTGCAGTAGTGTATGCTAATGTCCCAAGTCTTCATATTCACTCACTGACTCACCCAGAGCAATTTTTCAGTCCTGCAAGCTTAATTCATATTAAGTTCTCTATACACATGTACTATTTTTTATATTTTATAACTTATTTTTACTGTACCTTTTGTATGTTTACATATGATTAGATATATAAATACTTGCCACTGTGTTACAATTGCCTACAGTGTTCAGTACAGTAACCTGCTGTACAGATTTGTAGCCTAGCAGCAATAGACTATACCATATAACCAAGGTGTGCAGTAGGCTCTACCATCTAGGTTTGTGTAAGTACATTCTATGATGTTCACGCAATGACAAAATTACCTAATGATGCATTTCTCAGATTATATCCCATTGTTAAGAGACACATGTCTGTATACACATGTATGAATATAGTGGATCTGTATCACACAGTCATTTAAATTCTACATAACAATCTGAGAGAGAGAGAAAGAGATTTAAACACAGGTGCATTTACACATCTTGGTATTCAATAAGATTTGCCTCAGAGCTTATGGGAGATGAAGACATGAATCAGCTCTTCCTTAAGTTGTTCTCTGTTCCCCAAGGCCTTTTATAGAGTGATCATCTCACCCTGCTGAATATCATTTGATAATTTTCATATAAAACATGGCCCCTAGACATAAAGCAGCTTCCTCAACTAGTAATCAAAGCATTTCTTTCAAGGTTAATTTTATCTCTTTGTTATTGTCTCTCTTCATTATTATTTTAGAAATTTACTCTCAAGTAAGATGCTTCAATATGTGTGTGTGGGATATGTATTCCTCACAAGGGAATTCCCGAATTCCCAGAACTTTATATTTAGTTGCAAGACATTGGTACATAAAACATTTAAATAATAATAATAAATGTTTGTATGGTCAATAATGGGAAAATGTTGACTGTGACCTACTGAACTTCAGAAAATAAGGAGAGTTGATATCGCTGTACTGGCCAGCAAAGGCCCTATGGAGAAGTCTAGCACATAAGCTTAGGAGTTAGTTGATGTTTCATGTAAAATTTGCAATTTATATGTTAAATAAATTTGTTCTACTTTTTAACCTGTATTCTACTTAAAATAGGTAAGAGGCTCACGTGTGTCCTGTGCTGTTCTTTGCAAATATCAAATAAACACTATCAGGTAGATCTTCTTATTGCTGTATTTATTATTATTCTCTGTGCTACTTTATTGCCACTTATGTGTGAGGTGGTTAGACTCTGCAAGACTCACATTTGCCCCGTCAGTTGAGAACAGATGTTATGCTCAGGCGCAGACAGAATATCTGACTGCTTATGCCCTGCAATTTATAAATTCTGGAATGATTCTTATACCCCCAAAGGGACCCAGCTACCTCTACAACTGTCACCTCAGTTCATTCTCAAAAATCCTCTAACATTAGGAACTTTTCCCTTTAGCATAAAATTGTGATCTCTTTACTGATCTGATATGAATCACCTTGAATGTCATAAGTTTTTACACTTCAAAGTGAAGTAAGAATTTGAGAGATGGTTTTGAAATTGATGACACAATCAAAAGGTGAAGAGGTGTGAGTACTTGGAGGTAGATATGATCTGACTTTGCTGAAGGAGGAAAAGAAAGAAGAGCAAACTTACGACCTTAAAAAATATTCTGTCTAGCTATGCATTTACCAAGAGTTTCCTTGTTTGAAAACAAATGCAATTAAGACTTTTCAATGGGTACAACTTTAAAAAATCCCTGAAAGATAGCCTGTAATAAAATAATAAATGTCAAAAAGATGAGGGATTCATGAGGAACTCTGAATCTAAATGATACCAACTTCCATTTATCCGAAATGATTCACAGTCAGGATAACCAGACCGTAACAGGTGGCTACTTTTAAGTACAGATGCTAAATGTCATACCTGCAGATGGCTCATCAGTAGAACATGTAAAAAACATCTTAATTATATATTATGAAGCCTTTTCATAAAAAATTAAAAGATAGGCATTCATTATGCTTGTTTGAGTCATATCACTGAGTGCAGATGCTGTTACAAGTTAGCTGGTGCTTTAATCAAAACAAGTATCAGTGGATCAATTTAATGATACGAAAGTTCTGACTTCAAGTTGGAAAGTTTCTGGCAATGCGAATTTCTTACAGTTTCCTGATTTATGGATCAAAGCAGAGAGCTCTCCTCAATGAGAATCACACATTAATATGTGCCCGAATAAAGAAAGGGATACTTGACTAGCAATCCTTAAATAGAAGCATTTCAGCTTGACTTAGAATGCTCCTGGAGTCACATCACACCTGAAGCTTAAAGTGAGAAACATTTAATTCCTCACATGGACTTTGGAATCACTGTGACTGATTTATAAAAGAGTAGAGGTCATTCGTGCATATATAAACTTTATTGTCAAATTATTTTTTGTTTTACCATAATTGGCTAATTTATCCATAGGCATGGTGGGAATGATTTTGCTATTGCTAAATAGCAAGTCTACTCCTGAAGATGGAGATTTAATTCCGTTTAGTATATTATGAAAGTGTCTCAGGCTCTGAATGTGATTTCCTTAAAGGCAGCTCTCCAGACATTTTCAGTCTTAGCAAATCCTCCTGGAACGTGTATGGCCTCAGGTGATACCAATTTGTTAAATTATTATTCTCATTGCCTGATATATTCACCCCCCACTTCATCCTCATGAGGAACAGATGTTCAAAGTCCACCTAGAGTACAGGTGAAGTTCTCTAGATTCATTGCCTTATCCGAAAAGTGAGTCAATAATGAATGTCCTGCTAGGGCATTAGGGCATGTGTGAGTGTGTGTGTTACATCATTGAACATATTTTATAAAACTACAATTTCCATATAAATGAAAGGTTTACTATGATTGGTTTTTATATAAAATCAAATCCAAAGGAACTTCCTCAGAACTCTGAGCAAGCTGATTTGCTAGCAGGAAGCCCGGAGTCAACCCTGCTAGTAATTAAGTGCAAATGCCTGGGAATTTCTGTAAGGAAAGTTCTCTTCTTTCTTTTTGTCCTCCTCTTTTTACTTAAGCAAAAAAAGCAAACAAAATCCTCTATTTTAAATTATAATGATAAAATTATATAACATAATGACATTAAAAATAAAACAGTACAGGAACTAAAAATGGAAAGTAGAAGCACTCCAACCTCCTCATTCCCACCTCCCAGCAGTACCACTAGAAACTGTTTCTTGTATATCCCTCTTGTAACTTTCTTTGCAAAAACAAGCACATATATTTACATATCCATATACACATGTTTATAAATCTTTCCTTTACACATATCACTGTGCATTACCAGAAAAAAAATGCCTGCCAGAATTTAAATTTATTTTTATTCTTATTTGGCAAAATAAATATCAGCTATTTCACCATATTGGCATAAACAGATAATCACCTTATAATTACAAGCAGAGGTAGACGGATATAGAATGAATAGTCTGATTGTCCAAGGAAATGGGGCATAATATGACTTCTTATCCTTTGAAAAGCTACCCCACCACTTTAGCAGTCATGGAACAAGACTGGCTTCCTAGGTCTATGAGAGGCAATCTCTGAAACTTGTACCTTTCTGAAGTTCAGCTTATACCTAGGGAACTTGTGATAAATTTAAAAGAAACCAGCCCGATAATAATAACTGCAACTTGGGGAAGCCCAATTTATCACTGTTGAGGAAGAAAAATTGGCTTCCCTGAACTCCTGAGGCCACAGGAAGTATTCAAATAAGCATGTGTGTATAGTTGTTATAGACAAGCTTTGCCTGTTGAACTGCGCTTGTCCAGGAGTAAAGTGTGATACTAGTGAAGTTAAAAAAAAAAAATCATGTTTTCACTTCTTCTTAAAAATGGATACTCAAGCAACACTTTAGACCAAATTAGCCCAAGCATTCTTAGGACTTCAAGTTGGGGAGGAGTAAAGAGAAGTGAAAGCACTCCAGATGGAAATTCTGGACTTTGATGCTAATAAGATATGAGGAGGGTTGTTCAATTAATTAATATAAACAAAACAACTTTTCTAATTTTCCGTTATGATCTCTCACAAAGGCAACTAGATGAATGTTGAATAAATATTCACATATATGAACAAAATGTGTAAAACACATTTCAGATATCTTAAAATATGGACTTATCTGACTTAAAATATGGACTCCGTGAAGTATGTGAAGTTCAACTTGGGGACACTGAGAGGTATCTCAAAAAGGCAAATATCCTTATTAGAAGCTGAAGTTTATATACTAAGAAACCGGTAAGAATGCCAAATGGACAGCTATGTCACACAAATTAGTACGTCGTAGGCAAAGGAGATGAACAGTGATTTAAATATGAGTTTCAAACTAGAAGTCAAAAGGGAGGATTCTATGAAGAAAAACAGCTACTGCTTATATGAGCAACTCTATTTTGCTCCAGAATGAGTAACAATGGAGATTTATTCATTTTGATGAGTTTTAAATTCTGTTAACTAATTGCATGCATTTTAGCTGGTTTAGAAATTAAAAGTCCTGCCCGTGTTTGCATAACAAATTTGGGATCACATTATATTCAGCGTATTGTAACTTTCTTTTCTCACTTCAAATATCTCTGTTATCTTCTCACATCAGCACATGAATACATAATACTTCTCTGTTCTCAATGGCTGAATAATATTGACATTTTACAAAAGTATCATAAATCATTAACCAATTACTAATTAATGTCATTTCAGTTGTTTTTAGATCTTTGTGAACACTGGCAATGTTGCAAGAACCATGTTCATACTGGTATTTATGTTAGTATAATCCACAGATTAAATTCCCAACAAAAAAATACTCAGTTGGTCAAAGACATGATACATTTTTAACTTGGTAACTATGTCAAATGGCATTTCAAATGGTTTTATTCATTTATACTGCCAGCAATGATGTATGAGAGTCAGGCTTTCTTTGTGAGGATAGTGAGACTTTGCAAATGTGGTCTCAAAGTTATTGTAATGTTACTTAAGGTCAAGGCTACTAATCTCAAGACACCTCTACTTCTGCCACTCTAAAGCATCTATTTAAGTTAATTCTTTCTCAATTTATGAAGAGGCAAAGTTAGCCCAACAGCTATTTATATATGTGTGTGTGTGTGTGTGTGTGTGTGTGTATGTGTGTGTGTGTATGATACATTTTTCTGTATATGACATTTTTTCTGGCACAAATGTCAAGGAGGTGTGTGGTGTACCTGCTGATTCACAGCTCTGTTAGAGAAAAACACTTCAAAGCAGCTGAAAGTGCTGGTTCGATTTCATTTGCACCCCTCTTCCTTCTCCCCTACTTCTCCTTTTTTTAATTTTAATTTTAATTTTAGATTAGAACAATGTCACTTCTCATTCTCCTTAACACATCCGCACACAAATGCAGCTTACACCTTCTCATTTGTGGCACCTCCAGTTAATCCTGCCAATTTGTTTACTTATCACACACATTAGATACTGATATCACCAGGAAAGAAACACTCCTTGGGGAGGTAATATATTTCTAGTGGCTATATAAGCCGGAGGAGAGGACAATTTCAGAATACAGCTAAAACTTTTATTCCTTGGATTAAATTTGGTCAAAGTGACTTCTCTTCCATCAAAATCCATTCAGGATTAGCTGCTTTGGGCATAAACACTGTCTCTATCTCATGCTTTCTTTTCCATCTGTAATCCTCCCCTTTCACTTGATGGTAATTAAAAGAGTAGCTGGCTATCATTTGTATCAAAGAACATCTAAAAGAAATTTGGGGCCGGGCGTGGTGGCTCATGTGTGCAGATCACATGAGGCGAGTTTGAGACCAGCCTGGACAACAAGGCAAAACCCCATCTCTACCAATAATACAAAAATTAGCTGGGCGTGGTGGTGCATGCCTTTAGTCCCAGCTACTCGGGAGGCTGAGGCATGAGAATCACTTGAACTGGGAAGGCAGGGGTTGCAATGAGCTGAGATGATGCCACTGCACTCCAGCCTGGGTGACAGAGTGAGACTCTGTCTCAAAAAGAAAAAAAAAGAAAGAGAAGAAAAAGGAAAGAGAGAGAGAAGGAAGGTTAGGAAAGGAAAGGAAAGGAAAGGAAAGGAAGAAAGAATAAGAAGGAAGAAAGGGAGGGAGGGAGGAAGGAAGGAAGGAGGGAGGGAAGGAGAAGGAAAGAAAGGAAGGAAGAAAGAAGAAAAGAAAAAAAGAAATTTGGGGAAAAGATACTGGGATTGCTGAATAAAGATGATGAGTCTAGAAAAAAAAATCTACCTCTCATTTTCAACTCAGAGTTTTTGGTCTCATTACAGTAACATTAAACTTCTTGCCACATTGGTATATCAGGGATCTGAAACCTGATCAGTAAAAATGAATTCATGATACATTCTTATCATATCTAAGATCTTGGGGACTTACCCATAGATAGACAAAATTTGGGACATTAGGGATTGAATGAAATGGCCAAGTTTTGTGCTCATGTGGAATTTATACTGGGGAGTGAAGGGATACAATTAATACATGGTTGATGCAATTTTACAGAGATAAAATATAAGGTAAATAAAATAGGTTAATATATTTTAGTTCAGATTGTATCGAGAACAACATTAGAGTGGGGATGGAAGTTATCTTTGAAGAGGTCCCATTTGAGCTGTCACCAGAGTTATAAGTCATGTGATAACTTGGAGGAAAAGAAGAATAGGCAGATAAAGCAGCTCTGTGAGGAAAATGAGCTTGGTATATTTAAAACAAACAAACAAACAACAACAAAACATTTGTTTTTCTTTTTTTTTTTTTTTTTCTTATTTGAGACAGAGTCTTGCTCTGTCATCTAGGCTGGAGTGCAGTGGCACAATCTCGGCTCACTGAAACCTCTGCCTCCCGGGTTCAAGTGATTCTCCTACCTCAGCCTCCCAAGTAACTGGGATTACAGGTGCCCACCACCACATCTGGCTAATTTTTGTACTTTCAGTAGAGACAGGGTTTCTCCAGGCTGGTCTCGAACTCCTGACTTAAAGTGATTCACCTCCCAAAGTGCTGGGATTACAGGCGTGAGCCACCGCGCCCGGCCCAAAAAACTTTTGTAATGGCCAGGTCAACTGGAGCATGATGATTAGGGCTGAAAAGGAGATGGTATGACAGAAGGTCAGAGGGCCAGCTCCTGGAAGACCATGGTATGCAGGATGGCTATTTCCTCTTATGAGTATGGACTGTGATATTACCAGTTAAAACTGGAGCAATCTGGTGAAAACCTACTTTTCTCTTGCCTTAGAACATCGTTAGGTTACATTTTTCACAATTTCCGTGGAAGCTTGCTGCCTTTTGATGTTTATCTGACTTATTAGACTTGAGGTTTAATCCAAGCGATGCTGTGGTAACTGTGATGACAGAAATTTGGTCCATTTAGAAAGTCTTCATGTTGTTGGCCTGACACTATAGAGCAAAACATACCAAAAATCTACAAAAACTTAAAAAAAAAAACTTTGATTTTTATTTTAGATTCAAAGGGTACATGTGCAGGTCTGTTACATGGGTAGATTTCATTTAGTGGTAGTTTGGAGTAAGGTTGACCCATCACGCAGGTAGTGAGCCTAGTATCCATAATCAGTTTTCAACCCTTATCCTACTTCCTCTTACCCCTCCTCTGGTAGTTACCAATGTCTATTCTTGCCGTGTTTATGTCTATGTGTACTCAGTGTTTATCTCCTACTTATAAATAAGAATGTGTGGTATTTGGCTTCCTGTTCCTGCATTGATTTGCTTAGGACAATTGCCTCCAGTTGCATTCATTTTGCCACAAAGAACATGATTTTATTCATTTTTATGGCTGCAGAGTATTCCATACTGTACATGCACCACATTTTCTTTATCCAATCTACCATTAATGGGCGTCTAGGTTGATTCTATCTTTTTTATATTGTGAATAGTGTATAGATGAACACAGGAGCGTGTGTGTGTGTGTGTGTGTGTGTGTGTGTGTGTGTTTCGCAGAATAATTTCTTTTCTTTGGGTAGATACCCGGTAATGCTAATTTCGCATTCCTACCAGTTGTGTATAGGTGTTCCCTTTTCTGTATAACCTCAGCAAGATCTGTTAATTTTTGACTTTTTATAGATAGCCATTCTGACGGTGTGAGAGGTATTTCACTGCGGTTTTAATTTGCATTTCTCTGACGATTAATGATGTGGAGCTTTTTTCAATGTTTGTGTATCTTTTTTTTTAATTAATTAATTTATTTTTTTGAGATGGAGTTTAGCTCTTGTTGCCCGGGCTGGAGTGCAATGGCACAATCTAAGCTCACTGCAACCTCTGCCTCCTGGGTTCAAGCGATTCTCCTGCTTCAGCCTCCTAAGTAGCTGGGATTACAGGCATGCACCCCCAGGCCTGGTTAATTTTTGTATTTTTAGTGGAGACGAAGTTTCTCCATGTTGGCCAGGCTAGTCTCAAACTCCCGACCTCAGTTGATCCACCCATCTCGGCCTCCCAAAGTGCTGGGATTACAGGCATGAGCCACTGTGTATATGTCTTCTTTTGAGCCTGCTCATGTCCTTGGCCCACTTTTTAGTGGGGTTATTTGTTTTCTGCTTGTTGAATTGTTTAAGTTCCTATAGATTCTGGATATTAGAACTTTGTTGGATGCACAGTTTGTGAATATTTTCTTCCATTTGTCAGATAGCCGTTTACTCTGTTAACAGTTTCTTTTGCTGTGCAGAAGCTCTGTAGTATAATTAGGTCCCACTTTTCAATTTTTGTTTCTGTTGCAATTGCTTTTGAGGACTTAGTCATAAATTCTTTTCAAAGGCCAAAATCCAGATGACGATTCCTAGGTTTTCTTCCAGGATTCTTATATATTGATGACTTATGTTTAAATATTTAATTCATCTTTAATTAATTTTATATATGGGGAAAGGTTGGGGTTAAATTTTATTCTTCTGCATATCGTTAGTGAGCTATCATAGCACCATTTATTGAATACAAAATCCTTTCCTCATTGCACATATTTGTTGACTTTATTGAAGATCAGATGGCTGTAGGTGTGTGGCTTTATTTCTGGATTCTCTACTCTTTTCCACTTGTCTGTGTGTCTGTCTTTATACCAGGACCATGCTGTTTGGGTTATTGTAGGTTTGTAGTATAGTTGAAGTCAGATAATGTGATGACTTCAGCTTTGTTCTTTTTGCTTAGAATTGCCTTACTATTTTGCTCTTTTTTTGGTTCCAAATGAATTTTAGAAGAGTATTTTTCTAATTCTGTGAAAAATGATGTTGGTATTTTGATAACAATAGGATTGAATCTTTTATTGCTTTAGGCAGTACGGCCATTTTAACAATACTGATTCTTCCAATCAATGAGCATAAAATGTTTTTCCATTTGTTTGTGTTACATGTGATTCCTTTCAGTAGTGTTTTGTAGTTCTACTTGTAAAAACTTCTTACCTCCTTGGTTAGACATATTACTAGATACTTTATTTTTTTGTGTGGCTATTATAAATAGAATTTGTTCTTGATTTGGCTCTCATCTTGAATGTTATTGTTGTATAGAAATGCTACTGATTTTTATGCATTAATTTTGTATCCTGAAACTTTACTGAAATCATTTATCAGTTCTAGGAGACTTTTGACAAAGTTTTTAGGATATTCCAGGTATAGAATCATATTGTTAGTGAAGAGACATAGTTTGACTTTTTCTATTCCTACTGGATGCCTTTTATTTCTTTCTCTTGCCTGATTGTTCTAGCTAGGACTTCCAGTACTATGGTGAATAGAAATGGTGAGGGTGGACCTTCTTGTCTTGTTCCTTATGGGGAGTTCTTCCAGCTTTTGCCCATTCAGTACGATGTTGGCTGTGGGTTTTTCACAGATGGCTTTTATAATTTGGAGGTATGTTCCTTCAGTGCCTAGTCTGTTGAGGGTTTTTATAATGAAGGGATATTGGATTTTATTGAAAGCTTTTTCCACATCTATTGAGAGGATCATATGGTTTTGGTTTTTAATTCTATTTATGTGGTGAATCACATTTATTGATTTGCATTTGTTGAACCAATCTTGCATCCCAGGAATGAAACCTACTTGATTGTGGTGAATTAAGTTTTAGATGAAGTGCTGGATTCAGTTTCCTAGTATTTTGTTGAGAAATTTTGTGCCTATGTTCATCAGGGATATTGGCCTATAGTTTTGTTTTTTCCTTGTGCCTTTGCCAGGATTTGCAATGAGTGATGCTGGCTTTGTAGAATAAATTAGGAAGGAGTCCCTCCTCCTCAATTACTTTAAAGAGATTCAGTACAATTGGTACCAGCTCTTCTTTGTACCTCTGGTGATATTTGGCTATGAATCCATCTAGTCAAATATTTTTTTATTGGTAGGTTTCTTATTACTGATTCAATTTTGGAACTCAATATTGGTCTGCAAAGTGTGTCAAATTTCTTTCTGTTTCAATCCTGGTAGGTTTGTGTATCTGAAGGAATTTATTCATTTCTACTAGATTTTCTATTTTGTGTGCATGGACATGTTCATAGTAGTCTCTAAAGATCTTTTGTATTTCTGTGTGATTGGTTGTAATGTTACCTTTGTCATTTCTGAGTTGTTTATTTGGATCTTCTCCCTTTATTTATTTGTTAATCTAGATAAAGATATATTAATCTTGTTTATTCTTTCAAAGAATTAATTGTTGGTTTTGTTGATTCTTTGGATATTTGGGTCTCAATTTTTTTCAGTTCTGATGTTAGTTATTTCTTTTCTTCTGCTAGCTTTGGAGTTCGTTTTTTCTTGTATTTCTAGTTCCTCTATGTGCAATGTTAGATGGCTACTTTGAGATCTTTCTAACTTTTTGATGTAGGTGTAGGTGTTTGGTGTTATAAACATCCATCTTAACATTGCATTTGCTGTATACTTGATATTTTGGTATATGTCTCTGTTTTTACTAGTTACAAAGAGTATTTTGATTTCTGCTTCAATTTCAGTGTTTTTCCCAAAAGTAATTCAGGAGCAAGTTGTTTATTTTCCATGTGCTTGTGTGGTTTTGCAATATCTGCTTGTTATTAATTTCTATTTTTATTTCACTGTAGTCTGAGAGTATGCTTAGTATGATTTCAGTTTTTTTTGTATGCATTGAGATGTGCTTCATAACCAAACATGTGTTCTGTGTGCAGATGAGAAGGATGTATATTTTTTGGTTGATAAGCAGAGGATTCCATAGATGTCTATTAGGTCCAATTTGTCAAGTGTCCAATTTAAGTCCAGAATTTTGTGCTAGTTTTCAGCCTCAGTGTCACACTGTCAGTGGGGTGGTAAAATTTCTCACTATTATTTTGTTGCTAGCTCATCTTTTTGTAGTCTAGAAGTTCTTATTTTATGAATCTCGGTGTTCCAATATTGAGTGCATATATATTTATGATATACACGTTCTCTTGTTGGATTGAACCCTTTATCATTATGTAACTCCCTTCTTTGTCCTTTTTTTTTACTGCTATTGGTTTAAAGTCTGTTTTATCTCATGTAAGAATCATGACTCCTGCTCTTTTTTCTTTTTTTCCCAATTGCATGATAGGGTTTCTCCAACCCTTTAAGTCTATAGGTGTTGTTACATGTGACATGGAGACATGTGACATGTGACTCCAACCCTTTACTCTGAGTCTATAGGTGTTGTTACATGTGACATTGAAGACAGCAGAGGGTTAGGTCTTTTTTTTTTTAATCCAACTTGCCACTCTGTGTCAAGTAAAGTATTTAGACTGTTTACATTCAAAGTTAATATTGATATGTGAGATTTTGATTCTGTCATGAAGTTGGTAGCTGATTACTTTGTAGATTCTATTGTGTGGTTGCTTTATAGAGTCTGTGGGCTATATACTTAATTCTGTTTTTGTGGTAGGAGGTATTACTATTTTATTTCCATGTTAGAACTACCTTAAGTATTTCCTGTTAAGCTGGTTTAGTGGTACCAAATTCCCTTAGTGCTTGCTTGTCTGGAAAATATTTTATTTCTTCTTCAGTTATGAAGCTTAGTTTTGTGGAATATAAAATTCTTGGTTGGAACTTATTTTCTTTAAGAATGCTGAAAATAGGCCCCTAATCTCTCCTGGCTTGTAAGAGTTCTCCTGAGAAGTCTGCCATTAGCCTGATGGGTTTCCCTTTGTAGATGATCTGACCTTTTTCTCTAGCTGCCTTTTAGATTTTTTCTTTAGCACTGACCTTGCACAATCTGGTGACTATATGCCTTGGTGATACTGATTTTGTATAGTACCTTGCAGGCATTCTCTGGATTTCTTATAACCCAATGTCTACCTCTTTTGCAAAATTAGAAAAATTTTCTTAAATTATTCTCTCAAATGTTTTCTAGGTTGTTTATTTTTTTCTCCTTCTCTCTTAAGAATAACAATAATTTGTGGGTTTGGTCACATTACATAATCTCATTTTTCTCAGAAACTTTGTTCACTTTTTTAAATTCTTTTTTCTTTATTTTTGTTTTGCTAAGACGGCCATCAAGCTCTGAAATTCTTTCTTCTGCTTGATCTAGTCTATTAATAAGGCTTTCAATTATATCTTGAAATTTCTTAAGTAAGTTTTCCAATTCCAGAAGCTCTAACTGATTTCTATTAAATATATTTATCTTCCTTCACTTCCTGGGTTTTTTAGAAGTCTCTTTGTGGTGATTGTCAACCTTCTCTTGGATCTTTCTGAGCTTTCTTGTAGTCCATACTTTTAATTCTTTATCTGTCACTTCTGAGTTTCCATTTTGTTTAGGCAACATTGCTGTAGAGCTGGTATAATCCGTTGGTGGTGTCACTACATTCACATTTTTCATGGTGCCAGAATTCTTGGGCTAGTTACTTCTCATTTAGAGATGCCAGCACTTCTAATTTTTGCAATTATTTTCATTTGGATCAGTTTTTTTTTCTTTTCTTTCTTTCTCTCAAATATTTTTGTTTTCTCTTTCCCTTCTTCCCCTTCCCTAGGTGGTGTGAATGTAGACAATGTTGGGTAGGGCCTATTGGCTTTACTCCTATAGCCCTGAGCACTTTTGCTGTGCAGTTCAATAGATAAGCCAGTAGACGGCACTTATGAGTAAGATCTGTTATGGCCAAAGTGGTCGGGTGTATACTTAATCCTTGTTTACAGGGGAAGGTCTCTGTTGCCTTATACAGTGGGGCTGATCCATGAAGTGTACAGTGATCTGAGCGCCTTGCTCAGCCACTTGGTTGGGTGGGAGGCAGGTAGCAAGTTGCATGTGGATGGACCTGGCCAGCATACCTACGGAACCTCTATGGATGGCAGGCACAAGCACAGTGCCAAGGGTGCTCCAGTGGGTGGCACCACCAAGCACCCAGAAGTATATGCCCAGTCGTAAATCTGGGAAACCTCTTTGGCCTCATGTTCTCTGTATGGGCAGCTGGGGCAGCCTCAACTCCTAATCCAGAAGAGTGGGTGCTCCAGATGCCTGGAGATTGGCCTTGGCTTGGAATGTAGAGGGTCTCACTGCATCACAATCTCTGAAGAGGAAGGGTGTGGCAGCTCAGATTGCTAAATTAGACAAACAGGTGCTCTGAATGCCTGGAGGTCTGCCTGGGCATGGAGTGGAGATGGCCCTCACTGAACTAGAATTTTTGCACAGGAAGGTGCAGCAGGTCAAGCTGCTAATACAGGTGAGCAAGTCTTCTGAAAGCCTGGAAATCTGCCTGACTGTGGAGTGGAGAGTGCCCCACTGCACCACAATCTAAGCCGAGGAAGGGTGGGGTGCCTTAGGTTGAACCAGGTGAGTGGGTGCTCCAAATGCCGGGAGATCTCCCTGGGGATGAAACAGGGAGGGCCCCTCTGCACCAGGATCTCTGCACAAGAAGGTGGAGTGGGTCAGGCTGCTGATCCAGGTGAGCGAGTGCTCAGAATGCCTGCAGATCTGCCTGGGTATAAAGCAGAGAAGGGCCTCTGCATCAGGATCTCTGCACAGGATGGGTGAGGCAATTCAGGCTTGGTGATACGGTTTGGATATTTGCCCCCTCCAAATTTCATATTGAAATGTCATCCCTAACACTGGAGATGAGATCTGGGGGGCGGTGTTTGGGTCACAGAGGAGGATTCCTCATGAATGACTCAGTGATGACTTGGTTCTCACTCTCTTTGTCCATGTGAGAGCTGGTTGTTTAAAAGAGTCTGGAACTTCTTCCTCTATCTTGACCCCTATTTCACGGTATGATGTGCCTGCTCCCCCTTCACTTTCCATCATGATTTTAAGCTTTCTGAGGCCGTATGAGCAGCCAAGTAGATATGGGTGCCATGCTTGTACAGCCTGCAGAGGCATGAGACAAACAAATCTCTTTCATTTATAAATTATCCAGTCTCAGCTATTCTCTTAGAGCAATGCAAAATGGACTAACGCAGGCTGCTAGTCCATGACAGTGGGTGCTCCAGATGCCTGGAGATCTGCCTGGGGTGGAGTGGAGGGGGCCCCACTGCCTCATGATCTCAGGGAAGAAGGTTGGGGCACCCAGCAATGACAGATGTAGGCTGATGATTCTAGGTCACTAAGCTGGCCCTGGCTGTAAGTCTCATCACCCCAGAGAAACTGTAGCTGTAGCAGCTCTCCTCCATCCTCAGGCCAGTGATGGGAGAGAGCACTATTTTACCATCTACTGCTGAGGCACTTTTCACAATTCTGGCTGTGGATACCCCTACTCTACTCAAGAGCAAGCACTCCAATCTATGACCCAAGACTAAAGTGACTGCTAGGTCACCAAAGAATGATTTTGTATGTACCCACATTAAAAATGGTGTCCTGCTTTTCGTCTTATGTTTGGGAAAACGTCTGCAACTTTTCCTGTTGTATTTTCTTCTCAGTGTTTCCAAGCCTCTCCCCAAATTAGCTCCAGGGCTAGGGAAAAGTGATGTGCTCTCCTTCAGTTGGAGTTGCTCAGATCCCACGTGGAAAGGTGGGTCACAGAGGGAGGCTCTCTTACCTATGTGATGTATAGAGGCTTCACCCACTTTTATCAGTCAGATGCTGTCAGGAGGCTATATGCCCATGTTTTCCTCCCTGGGATCTGAGATGTTCTTCACAATTCTGGTGAACTCTCATTTTCCTTCTTGAATTAAACCTCACAGAGTTGATCTTTATGTACTATTTTGCTATTTCCAAGTGGTGGAGGCATGCTAAAAGCCTCGAATCCACCATCTTGGGGGAGAAAAGTTAAATATTTTAAAGAATCTCTCTGAAAACATTTTTCTTTAAAGTGCTGGTAAGGGGCAGATTGAGGAATTTATTTCCTCATTCTCTGTGTTGCCATTTTTTATTGGAACGTGTATCATTAGGGAGAGAGTGGAGGAAAAGCTGAACTGGGAAGTTATTATCAAACATTATTCAATGTGAAAGGTTTTCCCACGATGTTATTTGGCATCATAATGTCAATAAATTTCATACGATCTTTTGAGGCAGACTTTTTTTGGTCCTTTCTATATAATTTCAAGTCAGTAGGAGCACAGAGTAAAAAGATCTAAGACAATGGGTGGCCAGTTCTCTGCCATCTTCTACTGGATACATGTCACATTCACCGTCTCGCTGCTTATATTATGGTCACTACTAATGATACCCTCCTTGGTGAGTATGGGAGCATATCTTTCTGTATATAAAAAGAGGATGCAAGGTAAACCTCCTTATAATGTTGAGTACAACCACAAAGGTATAGAAAACCAAGCTGATTAGCTAATTTTTTCAGATAATCTTCAGGGAATAAACACATATGCTAGCAGGTTTTAAGGCCCTGATCCATATACATTTATCCAGATTGTTATCAACAGTTGCAGTAGAGTTTTTAGGAGGCTGATAGCATACAATCTTATATCACTGCATCTTCCTTATTCTCTGCTTAAAGGCTATTTCCGTCATTATAGGATGTCTCTGTACTGCAATCAACCACAACTTAAAAAAGTAAACGAGTTCATACTCCAGACGGCAACAGGCAATCAACGGGGATGGACATCTCTGGATAAATGCCCCAGCCTCCCTCTCATCTAGGAGGAAGATTCTAGTTGTATATGATTTTTCAAAGAATCCAAAAAAGACTGAAACTCAATTATTCTTAGCTGTAATCCACTCATGAACACACTCTTCGCTGACTTTTCTTTTTCCCTATCTCACTTCTCCTACCTCATCACGTATAATATCTAGGATATCATCTCCATTAAATTATCTGTACACAGGTCTTTCCTTTTTGGAGAAATACAAACCAAGATGCATATTTTAGTCCATGTAAAGTTCATAATCATACTGTGGCACAGCATTATTATTACTTGAATCCCATTTTATTAATAGGTACAGTTCCATTCTTCCACACTGGCCACCTGTCTGCTCTGGGAATACAGGCACATCAAGTAAGCAGTGAGGATTATATGCTAGAATCTGTGTAGGAAGCTACATTTTCTGGAGGGCTGATTATATTGGTGAATAAAATATACTGATATAACATAGATATTCTTTTGTATGTGTGCATTTATTTGTTCAAATATATTTTCTATTTAGAATTTCCTCTCTGCTTTATTCCTCTAGAGAAATTATTCTCACCCTGGAAAAAAATAGGCCAAATAATAATTTTATTGTAAAGTATTCTGTATTATCATTTAAAAAGTTGATAGTTTATCTCTCCCCTTTTTCCTTGAAGATCTTTATTTATGTCTAAATCACATTTTATTATAATTCAGTGCTTTTATCTTTTTCTATATTCTACTTGGTAGAATCTTGAGAGCAAACACGAAGTTGTATTTAACTTTCAAACAATATGGAATTATTCTGTCATATTCACCAACATTTTCACTGATATTAATTCAAAATTGCTTTCAGCATATTAATTGCTATGAGCATATTAATTTGGAGATATGTCAATGTTAAGGCTTTCAGGAAGGTTCATGGGATTGTTTTTCAAGCCTTTACTTAAATGGCTTAGGGGAGTTATATAGTTTTCATTTAAAGGTCCTACTTATTTCTTATAAAGGCACGCTGAAGAACTTAACTATTTGCAATGTCTTCATAATATCATCTAAACATTTTAGTTGGTATATGGGTTAGGAAATCAATTCTGTAACACCAGAAGGGTATCGTACAACTCAATTTGATTTTGTCACTATCTTCAGTTAGCTTCAGATCCCACAAGTTGGTGGTCAAGATCCCTGATAAGACTGGACTTCAGATGCCAGCTGCAAGTGGGATTCTCAGGGTACCTGCTGCCAGAGTGAAACTAGGCGTGTAGAACAGCTGGCCCTCCTCTGCCCTTTAGGGGCCACCTCTGCCTACATGAGCACACAAAGAGGATGTATACAATCCTGCACCTGACAGCACCCCACTACCACCAACACCGTGACTGCAAACACAGTCACCAGTGGGGATCCTCTGCCCCACACCCTGAGCCACGCTGCTTCCTTCAGTGCTGTGAATGCCTACGTGGAGGCTGGCACCTTGGCACCTGCTAGCAACTGCTACAGCTGATGAGCATGCATCCCACCATGCTGCTGCTGCTGCTGCTACCGGCACATGAAAATGAGGACAGATCCCACTGCCACCTCCCTAAAAGACGCTTTGGCTGGTGCTACCTATTGAAGTGCTGTGACCAGAAGTCCAAGAGCACCTCAACCACCCCAGCACAATGAGTTTCAAAACTAGAGCGGCCAGACTAAAATGTCAGGGCCAATATCAGTCCCTCAGAGTTAGAGCACACAGTCCAGGATATGTGAGCTGAGCCTTCGCTGCCTAAAATCTTTCAGAAATGAAGCCAGTTGACTGAACCTGCCTTATACCACAAACCCTCAAGATCATCAAATAAATAAGATAAAAGAAAAACACCCATCCAAAGGGCAGCAACTTTAAAGACTGAAGTACCAGCAGCCTGCAAAGATGAGAAAGATGCACTGCAAGAACTCTGACAATTTAAAAAGCCAGAGTGCCTTCCTTCCTCCAAATAATTGCACTAGCTCTCCAGTAAGGGTTCTCAACTGGGATGAAATGGATGCAATGACAGAAATAGAAATCAGAATTGGATACAAACAAAGATCATCAAGATGAACGAGTACATTGAAACCCAATCCAAGAAAGCTAAGAATTACAATAAAATGATACAGGAGCTGACAGACAATATAGCCAGTAGAGAAAAAAGTGCAACCAACCTGATAGAAGTGGAAAACACACTACAGGAACTGCATAATGCAATAAAAAGTATTAACAGCAGAAAAGACCAAGCTGAGGAAAAATCTCAGTGCCTGAAGACTGGCTTTCTGAAATAAGACAATCACACAAGAATAGAGAATAAAGAATGAAAATGAACAAACAAAACCCCTGGTAACTAGATAACTATGGGATTATGTAAAGAGACCCCATCTATGACTCATTGGTGTCCCTGAAGGAGATGGGGAGAATGGAAGCAACTTAGAAAACGTATTTCAGGATATCATCCATGAAAACTTCCCCAGCCTAGCTACAGAGGCCAACATTCAAATTTAGGAAATGCAGAGAACCCCACTAACATACTTCACAAGAATATCATCCCTAAGACACATAATCATCAGATTCTTCCAGGTTAAAATGAAAGAAAAAATGTTGAAGAAAGCTGGAGAGAAAGGTCAGGTCACCTACATAATGAAGCCAGTCAGACTAATGACAGACTTCTCAGCAGAAATACTGCAAGCCAAAAAAGATCGGGGGCCAATATTCAACATTTTTTTTTTGAGATGGGGTCTCATTCTGTTCCCTAGGCTGGAATACAGTGGTACAATCCCGGCTCACTGCAACCTCCACCTCACAGGCTCAAGTGATTCTCCCACCTTATCCTCCTAAGTAGCTGGGACCACAGGCACATGCCACCACACAGGGCTAATTTATTGTATTTTTGGTAGAGAATAGGTTTGCTTTGTTGTCCGAGCTGGTCTTAAACCTCTGAGCTCAAGTGATCTGCCCACCTCAGCCTCCCAAAGTGCTGGAATTATAGGCATGAGACACTGCACCTGGCCAATATTCAACATCCTTAAAGAAAAGACATTCCAACCAAAAATTTCATATCTGACCAAAGTAAGCTTCATAAACAAAGGAGAAATAAGATCCTTTTCAGACAAGCAATTGCTGAGGAAATCTGTTACCATGAGACCTGTCTTCCAAGAGCTTCTGAAGGAAGCACTAAATATGGAAATGACTGTTATCAGTAACTACAAAAATGCATTGAAGTACTCAGACCAGGAACACTATAAAGCAGTCACACATTAAATTAAATTCCTAATTTAATTCCTAATTAAATTAGGAATTAATTTAATTCCTAATTAATTAAATAAAATAATTAGGAATAGAGCTAACTAGGGTGGTGAAATAACTAGAACTGGAAAAAGCTGTTTTAAAATGTGTATAGAACCAAACAAGTCTGCAGAATATACAGCCAACATCATGATGACAGGATCAAATCCACATATATCCTATCTTTGAATGTAAGTGGGCTAAATGCACCAATTTAAAGACATAGAGTGGCAACTTGGACAAAGAACCAAGATCTAATCGTATGTGGTCTTTAAGAGATCCATCTCACAGGCAATGACACCCACAGGGTCAAAATAAAGGGATGGAGAAAAATCTACCAAACAAATGGAAAACAGAAAAAATCAGAGATTATAATCATAATTTCAGACAAAATAGACTTTAAACCAACAAAGACCAAAACAGACAAAGAAAGATATTACATAATGATGTAAAGGGTTAAATTCAACAAGAAGACCTAGCTATCTAAATATATATGCACACAACACAGGAGCATCCAGATTAATGAAGCAAGTTTTTAAAGACCTTCAAAGAGACTTAGACTCCCACACCATAATAGTATTATGACAGTAATAGACAGATCATCAAGGTAGAAAATTTACAAAGATATTCAGGACCCAAATTCAGCACTGAATCAAATGGGCCTGATAGTCATCGACAGAAGTTTCCAGCGAAGAATAATAGAGTATATAATATTCTCATTGCCACAGGGCACAGACTCTAAAATTGACCACACAATTGGACACAAAACAATCCTCAGCAAACACAAAAGAACTGATATTATACCAAAGACTCTCTCAGACCACAGCACAAAACAAATTAGAAATCAAGACTAATGAAATCACTCAAAACCATACAATTGCAGGGAAATTAAATAACCTGCCTCTGAATGACTTTTGGGTAAATAATGAAATTAAGGCAGAAATTAAGAAGTTCTTTAAAACTAATGAGAACAAAGATACAACATTCCAGAATCTCTGGGACAAAGCTAAAGCAGTGTTAGGAGGGCAATTTATAGCTCCAACTGCCCACATCAAAAAGTTAGAAAGATGTCCATTTAACAGTCTAACATCACAACTAAAAGAACTAGAGAACCAAGAGCAAACCAACCCCAAAGCTAGCAAAAGACAAAAAATAACCAAAATCATAGGTCAACTGAAGGAGATTTAGACACAAAAAACCATTCAGATCAATGAATCCAGGAGTTGGTTTTTTGAAATATTCAATAAAATAGACCACTAGCTAGACAAATAAAGAAGAAAAGAGAGAAGATTCAAAGAAACACAATTAAAAATGACAAAGGGGATATTATCACTGACCCCACAGAAATACATATAGCCTACAGAAAGTATTATGAACAGCTGTTTGCACATAAACTAGAAAATTCAAAAGAAATTGATAAATTCCTGAATGCATACACCCTCCCAAGACCCCATCAGGAAGAAATTGAATCCCTGAACAGATCATAATAAGCTCTGAAATTAAATCAGTAATGAATAACCTACCAACTAAAAAAGGCCAGGACCAAATGGATTCACAGCCAAATTCTACCAGATGTACAAAGAGGAGCTGGTACCATTCCTACCAAAACTATTCCAAAAAATTGAGGAAGAGGAACTTCTCTCTAACTCATTCCATGAGGTCAGCATCATCCTGACACCAAAACCTGGCAGAGATACAAAAAAAAAAAACTTCAAGCCAATATCCTTGATGAACATGGATTCAAATATCCTCAACAAAATAGTGGCAAACTGAATCCAGCAGCACATCAGAAAGCCTATTCTCCACAATCAAGTAGGTTTTATCCCTGGGATGCAAGGTTGGCTCAACATACTGAAATCAATAAATGTGATTCATCACATGTATAGAACTAAAGACAAAAACCGCATGTTTATCTCAGTAGATGCAGAAAAGGCTTTCAGTAAAATTCAACATCCTTCATATTAAAATCTCTCAATAAACTAGCAATCAGGCAAGAAAAAGATATAAAGACATTCAAATAGGAAAAGAGGAAGTCAAACTATCACTATTTGCAGACAGCATTTCCAGATTCTATATTCTAGTTTCTATTTCTAGATTCTATATCTAGAAAACCCCATAGTCTAGGCACAACAGCTCTGTAGGCTGATAAACAACTTCAGCAAAATCTCAGGACACAAAACCAATGTAGAAAAATCTCTAGCATTCCTATACACCCACTGCAGTCAAGCCAAGAACAAAATCAGGAACACAATCCCATTCAGTTTCCACAAAAAGAATAAAATAATTAGGAATAGAGCTAAGGTGGTGAAATAACTAGAACTGGAAAAAGCTGTTTTAAAATGTATATGGAAACAAAAAAGAGCCTGAATAGACAAGGCAATCCTACACACACACTCATACACACACACACACACACACACACACACAAACAAAACAAAACAAAAACAAACAAGCAAACAAACAAAAAAAAAAAACAAAGCTGGAGACATCACGCTACCTCACTTCAAACTATACTGCAGGGTTACAGTAACCAAAATAGCATGATCCTGGTACAAAAACAGACACATAGACCAATGGAACAGAATAGAGGGCCCCAAAATAAGGCCACACACCTAGAACTGTCTGATCTTCAACAAGGCTAACAAAAATAAGCAATGGGAAAAGGACTCCCTATTTAATAAATGGTGCTGGGATAACTGGCTAGCCATATACAGATTAAAACTGGACCCATTCCTTACATTATATACAAAAATCAACTTAAGGTCCATTAACAAATTGAATGTAAAACCCCTAACTACAAAAAGCCTGAAAGACAACCTAGGCAATACCATTCTGGACATAAGAACAGGCAAATAATTAATGACAAAGATGCCAAAAGCAATCGCAACAAACGCAAAATTGACAAATTATATCTAATTAAACTAAGGAGCTTCTGAAGAGTAAAATAAACTATCAACAGAAAAAAACAGACAACCTACAGAATGGAAGAAGATTTTTGCAAACTATGCATCTGACAAAGTTCTGATATCTAGCATCTACAAGGAACTTAAGCAAATTTTTAAAAATCATGTGTATAAAATAATTTCCAAATATTTACCTCCATTTCTGATATGCTCTAATATCCAATTTTTAAACCACTTGTTAGATGCTTCAACTTGGATAATGGTCTATTCATTAAGACTGAATATACCTAGAAATATTTTTTATTTATCTCGCTCTGTTCTGGGTCATTAGTTCCAGATGCTAAAATGTAAACTTTATTCATATTATTTTATTTTTCACTGTAGAGGCTATTCTTTTCAGTCCTTCCTTCATATACAATTTTACCTATTAAGTGATGAATAAAGGACCTACTTTAAGTCATTGTGGAAATAGATAGTCAATCAAGTTGAATCATCTGATAGTCTGATAAGAGTCCTTAGAACAACAACCTATCAATTCTGAAATCAATATCCTCAGAAATGTCCTTGTCCAAATTCTTACCAATATTTTCATAGTCAACTTTGCTTTCATTTATTTGAAATACCCCAATATTTTTCTAATATCTGTCCCCATTTTCCCCTAAAACTTAGTAAGAACCTATATCAACTGCTTTCAACTGAAGAATTATGTCTGACTTAAAAATTGGTACTAAACAAATGATTACAGTCAATGAATCCCCAGAAACAACATGAGATATTCTCTATAGATTAGAATCTAAAAATAGGTGAAATGTAAATAAAATCCTGTTTATATACTGAGAATGGCAAAATGATTGTCCATGATGAATTGTTCTGACTTGTATGAACCTAAGAAAAGGTCATCATTAGGGATGAATTTGGCAGAGATCAGATAGGTATTCCCATTCCAACAATTTAAAGGAAATGAGAAATTAAAAAACAAAAACAAAACAAAACAAGATGGTTGTTTCTATAATACCATTAGATAATAGGGCAGGAGGAAACAAACTTTAACCTCCAACTTCTTGTCTTAAGCCAGGAACTGAATCTGAGAAAGTATATGACATTGCTGTAATAATTTCTGGTCCCTTAAAACTTCAGGCTGACACTCCTGAAAACCAAGGTCACAGAGTCACTTTGTGGGTTAATAAATTACAACTCCAGTTGAATGTACAACATTGTCAGATCTCTTATATGAAAGTTAAGATCCTGACTTTTTAAATAAAGTTATAACCTAATAATTGTAATCAGTGTTTCTTAGAGGACCCAGAGGACTTTTGAAATGCTTTTTAAAAGAGCTGCCTTGTTTGAAAGAGTCGTGACCCTCCTTTCATTACTGTTCACTCGGAGATAAGAATTTACATTCAAAATTGTCTACAGAGTAAAAAGCAGAATCAAAGTTAAGTCCAGAAAGAAATATAGTAATTCACTAACTTATATTGTTCAAAAATAATGGAGGATCAATTTAGTGAATGCTTACTCAAGAAAGTAAGATCTTAACTTGGATTAGACTCAATTTATTGTTATATGTGCACTTATAGGAAATCCTGCATTAAATAAGGTTGTTGAGGCATTTGTCTTCATTTTCAACAGTTAATTAGATTGGTTAATGAAACCTTAGTTTATGGCTAACCAACATAAATGACTTGTAAGGCCAAAGAAAAACTGACATAATGTAGGGAAAGATGTTTAAATATTTGAAAAAGTATTTAAATACTTCCTGTTTTCCTATGTTCTCCTTCACTATATTATTTGACAGTGTTCAGATGACTTAATTTCCTTATCATCAGGAATACATTGATGTGAAAAACAATAAAATATTTTTTAAAACAATTTATATATGTTTTCTGCTGATCGAAAGTGTTGGTAAGAATGTTTATAGTTAAAACTGGATACCTCTTCTCAGTAAAACCGGAAATTTTAAGATTGTGAAGTGGATATAGAAGCAACTAACTCCTAGAAGAAATATGGATCTTATCAGCATTATAGTCATAGCTGATGACAAGTTTTAACTGTGGTGTTTAAATACAGTTAAACAGATATGATGACATAATCGTATTCTAGGAAGTAAATTGATCTGAGCTCTCTAACTGTAGTTAACATATCACAGAGTACTAAAGAAGAGTACAAACAATTCATAAAGGTTTTACTGAATTTACTCATCTAAAACTACTTTGGTTACAACACTCACCGAATTCCCAGATGTGAGTAAGTTCATAGACACTGAGCCTTGAATGAAGTTAGTATGTGATGCTATCAATGAATCTTAATTGACACAATCACCTTGTGCACCGCTATGAGCTAAAGAGGTTTTTCTCACTCTCATCTGATGTTGCCTAGTTGGCCATCTGGTGTATTAGCTATCCATAGGCTCTTGTACTGAGGGACCTGAACAGCAAATGAGAAGTTACCAATTCCACTACAGAATTATCATGTAGGAGGTCATGATCAGCATTAGAAGCATAGAATCATAGGTATTTAGAATCCAACTTACAATGTACGTGAAGGACCTCTTCAAGGAGAACTACAAACCACTGCTCAAGGAAATAAGAGAGGACACAAACAAATGGAAAAACATTCCATGCTCATGGATAGGGAGAATTAATATGAAAATGGCCACACTGTCCAAAGTAATTTATAGATTCAATACTATTCCCATCAAGCTGCCATAGACTTTCTTCACAGAATTAGAAAAAAACTACCTTAAATTTCATATGGAACCAAAAAAGAGCCAGTATAGCCAAGACAATCCCAAGCAAAAAGAGCAAAGCTGGAGGCATTATGATACCTGACTTCAAACTGTTAAAGGTCAGGAAACAACAGATGCTGGAGAGGATGTGGAGGAATAGGAATGCTTTTACACTGCTGGTGGGAGTGTAAATTAGTTCATCCATTGTGGAAGACAGAGTGGTGATTCCTCAAGGATCTAGAACCAGAAATACCATTTGACCCAGCAATCCCATTGCTGGGTATATACCCAAAGGGTTATAAATCATTCTACTAAAAAGACACATGCACAAGTATGTTTATTGCAGCACTATTTGCAATAGCAAAGACTTGGAACCAACTTAAATGCTCATAAATGATAGACTGGATAAAGAAAATGTGGCAAATATACACCATGGAATACTATGCAGCCATAAAAAAGAATGAGTTCATGTCCTTTGCGGGGACATGGATGAAGCTGGAAACCGTCATTCTCAGCAAACTAACACAGGAACAGAAAACCAAACACCAGATGTTCTCACTCATAAGTTGGAGTTGAACAATGAGAAAACATGGACACAGGGAGGGGAACATCACACACCAGGACCTGTCAGGGGGTGGTGGGCAAGCGGAGGGATAGCATTAAGACAAACACCTAATGCATGCAGGGCTTAAAACCTAGATGATGGGTTGATAGGTGCAGCAAACCATCATAGCACATGTATACCTATGTAACAAACCTGCACGTTCTGCACATGTATCCCAGAACTTAAAGTATAATAAAAAATGTAAAAGAATCCTAGGTATTTAGAAGAAAATTAAGTAGATCCAAGATTTCAGTAAAACTCAGCATAAGTATGTGTAAGGGATGAGGATTAAACTACACCTGCTATCAGGGAAAGCTATAAACATTTGCTGCTGCTTCTAGATACCAGAGAATGAACAAAGAGAAATACTAATAATTGTCTTCACTATGAGGAAGTAATATTGCTGACAGTTATTTGTGATAACTATTTACTATTAGTATCATATTTTCATATGCATAACTGTTGTGTGTAATATAACTATGTGCCAGATTAATTTTGAAAATTTTTATTTGATTATAATTCTAAATTTGGCTCCCTACATTCAGTTTTCTGATGCTAGGCTGTCATGATCACATGATTACACTGTAAAAAATAAAAAGAACATTGACTGTAACATTTAATAAATGTTTGCTGAAAAATATATGCCTTTTTTCCCCCTTAGCACAGAAATTTGAAGACAGTTTTCATTTTTTATATCCTATATAGAGTTCTAAGCTGAAATCTCTGGAGGAGATGAGACAAGGGAAGACAAAAAAAAGGTTTCATATCTCATCTGTGCAATGCAGGCTAAATGCAGGTGGACTTCTGATGGGGCCCTGAAGGACAAGGTTGATCTAGTGGGAGTTGGCTGAGACCAAGAAAGGTTAAGAATGAACTCATGTCTAAAAAAATGAAAGAAATCAAAGCTAAGAAGCCAAACATGTTGTCAAATCCAAGGGGAAAACATAACTAAGATTAGACAAGCAGGTCAAAAGTTTAAGGGAAAGTAAGATTCACTTATCAAACATTTTGAATCCATGCAATGTGTTTAGTGTCTGAGGATATCCACACTGAAAAGCTCACATCCTAGTGTTGGAGACACACATAAATAGATCACTATAACACAAAAACTTTTTTATCATAGAAAATGGAACACAGTATTATAGACGCAAAAGGGAGTGTCAGTTAAAGCAGTTGGAATGGAAGATACAAAAGGTTCTCTGAAAAAAAAAATGAAGCTCAAGCTTATACTTAAAGAATACATAGGAGTGAAATAGATAACTGATATCTGATGATAAACTCAGAAACACTCTAGGAGAGAGAGTTAAGATGCCCCAAAGTATAAAATCAAGACACAGAACAAGTAATATTGGAAACAATGAACAAGTAAGTGCTGCTAGATATAGAAGTGCAAGGGAGAATATGGCAAGATGGTGGAGGATAGAGGATGTGGGTAAAGGAAAAAAGATGTTCTCTATTATGCCATGTTGAGAAGCTTAGATAATAGCCTGTAAGAGATGGATGGCAATTAAAATGTTTGGGAGATTTTATTATAGGATAAGTGATTTCCTTTGATCTAGGATTTCCCTTAAATAAACATCCCCTGCCTCTTTCCCCACCTCCTACTCCCTGCTTCCCACTGAGTATAAATGGAATTATCTAATTGAGGAGTTAGAAGGAAAATGATCACCCTCTTATAGGCTATCTCTTGGGTATGCCTTCCTTCTGAGAGTGCCTTCTGGTCTGCTCCTTCACTGAGTGGATGGCTTAGAGTGGCAACCTATGACACTATGCGGGAGACCTGATTGATCAGCTGTGCTCCTGACTGATTGCAGCTGTCTGTCAAATTTAACGGAGTGTTGACCTGTCTCTTACTCTAGATTTGAAGACACTTTCTACTGTCTGCTTTTCTATAATAAATGTAACATTTTGATCTCTAATTGATTTGTTCAGGGAGGGAAGAAAAAAGATAGTGTTTATTGATGTCATAAAACTCTAATACCTTTCATTTTGGATGGTTCACTGGTAGTTGTGCTTAAGGTCAGTTTCAGAATTACAAGGTCTGTCAAAAAACATTAATTACTTCTACATGAGGTGAGGAGGAACAAGAAGTTTGACAATGTGCATAAAAAGAAAAAGGTAGAGTTGAGGAATGCTTAAAGAAGAAAAATAGGGCTCAGTAAATAAGATGTTGCAGTATGGAAAAGAAGGTAGTAAGGATGGCACTTAAGTTGTTAGTTTAGGTGACCATGTGAATAGTAAGACCACCAACTCATAGAATAAATAAGAAAGCTCTAATTTAAGAAAGAAACAATTTGGAATTAGATTTGAGTTTTCTGTGTGATATCTAAGTGTACATGTCTAGCTGAAGTTCGATATATGAGTCCAAGGACCCGCAGGAGATGGCTTGTTGAGAGGTAGTAAGTGAAATCATGAGAGTGTGAGAAGTTACCTGAGAAATAATCTAGAGAGTGAGAACAATAGAGTAAAGACAGACAATGGACCAAAATAACTTTTAAATGGTGTGCGGTAGAATACTATCTCACTTAGAAGACAAAGGAAAACCAAGAAGTTGTCACTGAAGCAAAGGCAGTCACACGTTTATAAAAAAGAAATAAACAAAGATAACAAATTTGCAAAGAGTTTCATTTACAGAGGAAGTAAAAAACTGTAATTAATGTGACAGTTAGTGCCTTACCATGGCATTATAGTTTTAATCTATGTTTAAACAGTGAAATGACCAGATCTCTAAAAAACACAGAACATAATGCAAAATAAATTCAAAAATATTAAATTTAAGATTTTTTTTTTATTCAGGGAGACCATAATGAAAGTGAAAAGACAGGTGACACTCTGGGAAAAGATATCTGAGGCACATTCAGTAAATAAGCATTTAATATATGGTATATATAAAATTATCAACAACAACAAAAGCTTAATGACTCAAAAGGGAAAAACTAGGGGGAAAATGTGAGCATGCAATTACAGAAGAGAAAAGATGAATGGCAGATAAATATATGAAAGGATTCACATGTAATTAGCATGTAAGGAAATACAAAAATAAATCCAAAATAATATAGTATTTCACATACACCAGATTGACAAAAAAAATGATAAAATTAAATATCGCCATGAATAGTTAGCCAATTAAAATATCTTATTTACTCTTAGGAGTAAAAGTTGGTGAAACCCTTTTAGAAATATTTTGATGCTTTTTAGCAAAGTTAAACATGTACACACTCTATGATTCAGCTATTGCACTGAAAAGGACAAAGGACACAAACAAACACTTTTCAAAAGAGGACACATACGTGGCCTCTTTTAGGTGACCATGTGAATAGTAAGACCACCGACTCATAGAATAAATAAGAAATCTCTAATTTAAGAGAGAAACAATTTGGAATTAGATTTGAGTTTTGAACAAGAATATGAAAAAATGCTCAACATCACTAATCATTAGAGAAATGAAAATCAAAATCACAATGAGATACCGTCTCATCCCAGTCTGAACGGCTATTACTAAAAAGTCAAAAAATAACAGATGCTGATGAGGTTGTGGAGAAAAGGAACACATACACTGCTGTTGGGAATGTAAATTATTTCAGCCATTGTGGAAAGCAGTTTGGTGGTTTCTCAAAGAACTTAAAACAGAATTGCCATTTGACTCAATAATCCAATTATTAGGTATATACCCAAAGGAATATAATTGTTGTACCATAAAGACACATGCACATGTATATTCATCACAGCACTATTCACAATAACAAAGACATGGAAGCCACATAAATACCCAACAGCGGTGGTCTGGATAATGAAAATATAGTAAATATACACCATGGAATACTATACAACCGTAAAAAGGAATGAGATAATGTCCTTCACAGCAACATGGTTGAAGCTGGAGGACATTACCCTAAGAAAACTACTAATACAGGAACATAAAACCAAATATCACATGTTCTATTTTTCAGTGGGCGATAAATGTTGAGTACATATGGGCACAAAAAGGGAGCAGCAGACACCAGAGCCTATCTGAAAGTGGAGGGTGGGAGGAGGGAGAGCATCCAAAAACTACCTATAGGGTACTATGATGATTTTCTGGGCGATGGAATAATTTGTCTATCAATTCTGTTGCATGCACTGTACCTATATAACAAATCTGCACATGTATTACTGAATGTAAAATTAAAGGTTAAAAAAAAAAATCTCATTACCTCAGACAAGTCTTGTACCAGAAGATAAGTTTAGATAGTTTATATTAGTGTTTTTATTGCATTATATGTATTTATATATACAATATATAAATGTTTGTATATATAAACAATCCTTATAATTTTCAATAAATAACCGATAAAATGAAATATACAATATATGAATCACACTTGCACATATTGGTATGAGATTAAACATCTTGATAGTGTTCAACAAAATAAATAAAGAAGAAGTACAGCTAAATAACACTTGCATAAATTTAAAAGCCAGGCAAAATTAACATATATTGTTTAGGGATACACAAACAAGTGGTAAAACTATAATGAAACTTCAGGGAATTATTAACTTAAGAGCCAGAAGAGTGACCATCTGATGGAGGGGTTTGGATGAGGCTATGATTGTTGACAGGCACAGAGGGACTTCTGGGGTGAAAGTGATACATGTTTATTAGTCTAGGTGATGGCTACACAGGTATTCTCTTTATTGGTTTTTCTTTAAAATGTAGTTACATATTTCATATACTCTTTACAATATATTTTACTATTTAAAGAAAAAATTTTAAACAAAAATAAATAGGATGCTGGAAGGATGTCACTGCTTTCTTAGCTACATACTTGAAATTATTATAAAAAGTATTTTTAGAAAAGTAATAGTAAACAGAACTTCTGCATTGTATAATCTGACAGATTAGCTCTTGGACAAATCAGAAATTCATATATAGCAACATAATTTCACTTGCATGGCTGAGCTGGAAGGCAAGTCAAAAAGAATCCATGGAGATGAAAAATGAAGCTGGGACTGGAATCCAGAGTGGTTAGCGTAACTAAAGCCAGAACTACTGTCCTACTAACAGCAGTGCAGACCTAGAATGGTCACCACAGGAGGCAGGTGACAAGTCCTAGAGCCAAAAACAAGAAAGGATGGGGGGCAAATTAAGAAACCTGCATCAAATTGGAACTCTCAGAAGGCTATAATTTCAGTGAAAGTCTGAATGAGGAGAACAGAAACAAAATGCAACAAAAATACCGTGACAAAAGACTTCTTTGTCTCTGCCTTTGGGTCATGGTGGGACACTTACATAAGGAATTTTTTCTCTAAAGAGAACAGAAAGTGACTCAAGAAAAAAACAATAAGCAGTAAAGAAAATAATGTCGGAATGCATTATCTACCCTAGGCCTAGTAATTTTATGGGTGGATTCTAGCAAATGCTCAAGCAATACATATAATCTCAATCTTATACAAGTTGTTTCAGAAAAAAAAAATAAAGAAATAAATGTTATCATGGTCTTAACAGATTCATGAAATTTATTTTCTGAAGTTCATCTTTTCTTTATATTTTCAAACTTCCCAAAACCACAAATGTAACCAAAGTTCCTTAACTTGATAAATGCCACATACCCCATGACAAAAAAATTAATGAGAAGTGGTACATGTGCTGTATGTCAGAAACAAGGCTTGGGATTTTTGTTATCACCATCGGATTTCATATTTCCTTTATATTACAATAATTCAAGGGGGTGAGCACGGTGGCTCATACCTGTAATCCCAGCACTTTGGGAGGCCAAGGCAGGTGGATCACAAGGTCAGGAGATCGAGACCATCCTCGCTAACATGGTGAAACCCTGTCTCTACTAAAAATACAAAAAATTAGCCAGGTGTGGTGGTGGGCACCTGTAGTCCCAGCTACTTGGGCGGCTGAGACAGGAGAATGGCGTGAACCCAGGAGACAGAGCTTTCAGTGAGCTGAGATCACACCACTGCACCCCAGCCTAGGTGACAGAGCGAGACTCCATCTCAAAAAAATAAAAAAAATAAAAAATAATAATTCAAGAGAAAAGATGAGGTATGAGGTTTAGGAGGGAAAAGATAAAATGGTGATTATTTTCAGGCACCACAATCATCTATCTACATAGAAAATTCAATGTAATATACATCAAACTAGAAATGTGTGGTGTTCCAGAATCCATATAAACTGTTTCAAGAAGAGAATGAGCAGCAAAATCTAATGCTAGTAGGTCAAGTATTATGAAGTACAGACAATGAATGCTTAATTTGACATTGTGCACCTGATTGGTGTCTTGGACAACACCAATTTCTGTAGAGGGGTAGGGAAACAGATTGAGAAAGGCACAAAAAGAAGTGCACATAGCAGTTTTCTTTCTGTTCTTTCACAGAGTATTATAAATGGGAATAGAAAATTGTGGAAGTAGCTGCAGGAAATATGAATTTTGAATTCTTCTTAAGATGGATGTTATATGCTAATGGAAATAACCAGGGGCAAGGGGTGGCAAGAGATACAAAAGAGAGGGGAACAATACAAAAGTTACAGCCTTAACACGCAAAAGAGAATGATATTCATTTTAAAAGGAATTAATGTAGACTTTATAGGTTCAAACACGTAGTTGTTGACTTTGAGAATAAAGGAGAGGGAATAGGATTGAAAAGAAATATAAAGAGGTGTTCAAATACTTGGACTGTATAAATTTAAAAAAAAACAGAAGTAAATAAAATGGGGTTCTAGGCACAGCGTGGAGATATTTTTATTACATTGAAAAAAAAGGAAAAGAGACAGAAGGAGTTAATAGGTGGAACTACTGAAAATTGGTTAGATCATTTATAAAAAACTCTTCTCTTGCCCATACAGTAGGCATCATGGTCATCTGAGAGTGAGATATGGAAAAGTTGGATAGGGGACTTTTGAACCTACTTCAAGGATTATGAATTTCTAATGACACAGATCTGCTTGGTTTGATGCTTTCCCCCAGAAGTACTTGGATACTCAGTGAAGGACCAGAGAAGTGGTGGGGTTGCTGGCACAGAGCTGCAATTTTGTGGATAACCCCAAAGGGAATCAAGGTATTAAGAGTGTTGTAGAGAGAACAGTTCATATATTAACCAGGGCCAGGGCCCTTCTCTGTCCCGAGCAACAAAGCAGGGCTGATTAGGTACGTTATGTGAGAACATTCATTAATGATATACCAGCAGGGGCACAAGAGTGCAGAACAATAGGGAATTTTGAGTAATATTTTATACTTATATTCATAATCCTGTTTTTAATTTTTATGATTTTAATTGTTGAGGTAAAATAGGCTCAGTGTGAAATGCATGTAAAGATTTTCCCAAATACGTCTGAGAATTATAAAGTCTTTACATTTCTTCTAGTTACCTCTTGCTCCAGTTTTCTTCTTCTAATGAATTCTCCATCTTAGGAATGAATTTCTTTCTCCAGCACATATCAAGTTGTAAATAAACAGCACAACTTAGAATTGTGTAGTATTGCCTAACTGATTATTGCTCCTTTTCTGGGGTGATTTTTCCATTACAGACTTGATTTTTATTTATTTCCTTTTTCTATTTTTTGGTATAAATATTTATTCAACTAGAGGTATAATAATATTACATTTTTGCTAGGAATTTAAATAATTTTAATTTATTGGTATTATAAATAGTACTGTTATCAATATCATAAAAAAAGTCTTTTCAGTCTTCTTTCTTTTTTTAACTTTTATTTTAAATTCAGGGGTACATGTGCAGGATGTGCAAGTTTGTTACACAGGTAAACATGTGTCATGGTCGTTTGTTGTACAAATTATTTCATCACCCAGGTATTAAGCGTAGTATCCATTGGCTATTTTTCCCGATTCTTTTCCTCCTCCCATGATCCACCCTCCAGTAGGCCCCAGTATGTGTTGTTCCCCTCTAACTGTGCATGTGTTCTCACATTTAGCTCCCATGTATAAGTGAGAACATGCAGTATTTGGTTTTCTGCTCCAAAGTTACTTTGCTAAGGATAATGGCCTCCAGTCCATTCACATCCCCACAAAAGACATGATCTCATTATTTTTTATGGCCCCATAGTATTCCATAGTGCATACATACCAGATTTTCTTTAACCAGTCTATTATTGATGGACATTTGGATTGATTCCATGTTTTTGCCATTGTGAGTAGTGCTTCAGTGAACATATGCATGCATGTGTCTTTATAATAGAACCTTTGGGTACATACCCCGTAATGGGATTGCTGGGTCAAATGGTATTTCTGACTTTAGGTCTTTGATGAATTGCCACACTGTCTTCCACAATGGTTGAACTAATTTACACTCCGAGAAACAATGTAAAAGCATTCCTTTTTCTCCATAACCTCGCCAGCGTCTGTTACTTTTTAACTTTTTAGTAATAGCCATTCTGACCGCTGTGAGATGGTATCTCACTGTGGTTTTCATTTACATTTTTCTAATGATTAGTAATGTTGAGATTTTTATATGCTTTTTGGCCCCATGTATGTCTCCTTTTGAAAAGCATCTGTCATGTCCTTTGCCCACTTTTTAATGGGGTTGTTTGCTTTTTTTCTTGTATATTTCTTTAAATTCCTTATAGACGCTGGATACTAGACCTTTGTCAGATGCATAGTTTGAAAAAATGTTTTCCCATTCTGCAGGTTGTCTGTTTACTCTGTTGATAGTTTCTTTTCCTGGGCAGAAGCCGTTTAGTTTAATTAGATCTCATTTGTCAATTTTTGTTTTGGTTGCAATTGCTTTTGGTGTCTTTGTTGTAAAATCTTTGCCCATGCCTATGTCCTGAATGATATTGCCTTGGTTGTCTTCTAAGGTTTTTATAGTTTGGGGTTATACATTTAAGTCTTTAATCCATCTTGAGTTGGTTGTTGTATACGGTGTAAAGACGGGGTACAGTTTCAATTTTCTGCATATTGCTAGCAAGTTATCCCAGAACAATTTACTGAATGGGGTATCCTTTCCCCATTGCTTGTTTTTGTCAGGTTTGTCAAAGATCAGATAGCTGTAGGTGTGTGGTCTTATTTCTGGGCTCTCTATTCTGTTCCATTAGTCTATGAGTCTGTTCTTGTACTAGTACCATGCTTTTTATTTATTTTCTTCTTTTTTTTCTTTTGAAATATGGTCTCACTCTGTTGCCTATGCTGGAGTGCAGTGGTGTGACCATGGCTCACTGCAGCCTCAGTCTGGACTCAAGTGGTCCTCCCGCCTCAGCCTCCCAAGTAGCTGGGATTACAGGGTGTGAACCACTCTACACTTTTCTAAGTGCTACTGATACAAGGGAGTTTTATGAATAAGACTTTCACTGAAGCTTTACCATAATAGAGAAAAACCTACAGTGCAAGCAACCACTTAAAATTTACTAATAAATAGGATAACTCCAAAAATCCATCCACCATTTTTTTCAGTGGAAAATTATCACTGGCCTTGACAAGAGCTGCTTTTGTGCATGATGAGAGGATAAATATAATTCATTAGGTGCTTTACCAAACAGAGAACAACTCATACCATACCTCCACCTTAGAAGCTTTAATTATTCACAGCTAGTTCAACATGATGTATTTTCTGAAACATAATCAAAATCTTACACAGGTATCCCTCCTTCTAGTTTTATCTGAAAGAAGAATGGACAGTATTAAAATTTATTCGCCTGATGTCAAAAACAAATGCACATACAACATGATTTATATTTCTCTTTCTTTGAATGTATATGAATTTCATGTGCATGTAAGTATGTAAAAATGTTTTGAATGAGGTCAATAAACTCATATCATTTGCCAATGTTTTTGACTTGATTTAGTGGTTCTGGTTTAATATGGGTATCTTTCTATGTTAGATTCATATCAACCTGTTGTGATGACTATATAATTTTTAATAATGTGAGATAAAATAATATTTTAATAATTTAGTAACTAAGGGAATTTTTTCCTAGATGTTGCTTCTACAATCATGGCTACAAATAAACTCCTTGAAAATACGTCTGTGAAGGCCTATGCAACACTTCCATTAGAATATGTCTACAAAAGGCAATTTATGGCTCAAATAATATGTTAACTTATAGTTTCACAGTTACTGACAAATGTCTACTTTCATTTTCTATCCGAAACATCTATTCAAATTTACATTCTTAGAAATAATATATGAAAGGATCTGTTTTCTAATGCCCTAAACAATATTGAATATATGTAATGTCTAATTTTTGTTAATTTTTAGCATTATTGTTTTCATAGGAATCCCTTAGATCATGAGAACAAACCTCATTTTATATAGTTATTAAAGATTTACATTTCTACTGTTAATTTCCTTTCTGTAAGTTTGCTAATGTTACTATTAAGTTGTTCAACATTTTTTCTTATTCATTTACAGAAGTTCCTATGTGTTATAAATCTTAGTCCTTCCTATATGTGAAATACTTACAAATAGACTTTTTTCCTTGCAGTCTCTTCTTTGCTTAAGATATCATTCAGTGTATTAAAATTGGAATGTTTACATTACCAATGTGTCTTTTCTTGGTGTTTGGGTTTTGGTTTTTATTTATAAAGACCTTCTCTCTACTGTAATTATATAAAAACAATTTTTAGTAGTTTTCTCATATTTTTAAATTTGCCAAGTTCAAGGTCAATCAGTTCAATAATTAGAAATTTGAAAATCTTAAAAGGTCGGCCGGGCGCGGTGGCTCACGCCTGTAATCCCAGCACTTTGGGAGGCCGAGGCGGGCGGATCACGAGGTCAGGAGATCGAGACCATCCCGGCTAAAACGGTGAAACCCCGTCTCTACTAAAAATACAAAAAAAATTAGCCGGGCGTAGTGGCGGGCGCCTGTAGTCCCAGCTACTTGGGAGGCTGAGGCAGGAGAATGGCGTGAACCCGGGAGGCGGAGCTTGCAGTGAGCCGAGATCCCGCCACTGCACTCCAGCCTGGGCGACAGAGCGAGACTCCGTCTCAAAAAAAAAAAAAAAAAAAAAAAAAAAAGAAAATCTTAAAAGGTCTTTTTCCTCAAATTAGGCTCTATAATTTTATAAACAGAGCAGTTATAAAAAAAAAACTTGCATAAAATTAGACTTATTTTAACCTGGTGTTCACCACTCAATAGTTACATATCTTTGGGCACATTATAAAACCTATGTAAGCCTCAATTTCCATATCTGTCTAACATAAATAATAATTACAATTAACAAATAGATTGGTAGTGAGGATTAAACAAATAATGTATGCATTTAGGCATACAAATAATCAATAAATATTAACTTTGTTCTGTCTTGGTACATTGAATTTACTCAATAAATATTTGAAGTACACTGAGTAAAACTAAGTATTCTTAATGGTTAAATATTTAAGAACCCTAGAATTTTTATTGTGTTCATTTTTTGAATTATGTATTTAAAATTATGAATTTTACCTTTAAATGCATGCCCCAATACATCAATTTGAATAAATCACACTAATGATATGCAATTCCTATATAAAGATGAGTCTATTTCTAGTTGCTCTCTTCTACAACATTGATGTATTTGACATTTCTTGCATGTAAAATACTTTTAAATTTTCAAAGTTTTTACTATTCTCACACTATCCATTAGGAAGATATGAAAGCTAGCACCAACTTAATAGTACACAAAAACAGAGGCCTAAAGAGATTCAATGACTTTCTCAAGTTCATATTATAGATTAATTGATCCATAATTATATTTTATATCCTCTGCCTCTTAGTCCAGGATTCGATTATACTTGCTACACCAGTGGTAACCAAGTTTTGAATCATCAAACAGAGTTTCTCAAACCCAAATATGCATCAGAATTATCTGGAGGGCTTATACAAACCCAGAGCGTTGGATCTAACCCCAAGAGTTTCTGATTAGCAGGTCTAGCTTTTCCAAGAAGTGTCCAGATGACAGTAATGCGGCTCATCTGGGAATTGCACTTTGAGTACCATCGCAGTAAAAGATCCACTCTTGAGACTGTCATGAATGGATAAGGGGACAAGAAGGTGGGGTTTGATGCTTGCCCTCTCTCAGCTTCAACCCAACGAGCTGTACTTTTTTCTGTCATACATATTGGGCTTTCATTGAAGCAAAAACTGTTTGATAAAAAGTTTCTGCTGATTGAAAAATATGTAAACAATAAATAGAAATTTAAAACACTGCCTTATAACAAATACATCTCTTTGTTTCATATTAAAAGAATAGAGAACAGGATTGTACCCAAGAGATCCTTATGCTTTTCTGAGGAATGTCAGGGCCAATAGACTCCAGGGCAGAGTAATATCTTTAGTATTGCACAGTTGGCTGTTTTTTCTTTCTTTTGGTAATGTTTTGTAGAAAGCATCCTTTTATCATTTTTCCAATTTGGATGAAGACTCTTCCAATCTAAAATAACACAACATTCTATTGTTATATCTGATGAGAACCTGGAAGCATCAAAATGACCTAATCGTAGAATGTTTAGAATCAGCCAAGTCAGTATAGTATGAGAGGGAATCTATCCTTAGAAGTCTGCATAAATGCATTTTGACACTGTAGGATACCACATGTGACCGATCCCTATGTGTTGTTTTCCACATGTTTGTGCGTGTGCCTGTGTGTGGTAGTTAAACATTCACAAAAGGCCTTTAAGACAACAATGCTAAGTTACTGTAAATATCAAGCTATCCTCCCTTGGCCCTAGTGTCTTACTTTTTGAATCAGTGGGTTTGGCCTTAAGGTTCTCCCCAATCCCTTTCAGTTGTGTCTGACCATAATCTTGAAAAAAGCACAGGCGGAACTAGGTTCAAAGCCTATCTTCTGGGGAAAAAAAATGAGTAAAATGTTTCTTGACTCTCTTGAGCTAACTCTGTTTTGATGTTCTTCGGCTCGTTCTACCCTCAGTTGTTTTAAAATATAGCTTTTGCAATCAAATACTTTCTTGGTACTATAATAGTTCATAATAAATTGCTATTATAAGAGCCACAGAATAACTTGAATTCACCTGTCCAGAGTCTTTCCTCAGATGTCCCAACGTGTTTTATCTGCTCAGCATTTTGTATGATTCTTAAATCCAAACTCTCTTTCACATAGATAAGAAGTAGATTGTACAAAACAGAACACAGTTCTTTCTGCATCTGTCTCACTCTGTGATTATCCCAGCATGCTGAACTTACGCTTAAGGAGATAATTCTCCTGGGGAAGGGAAAAGTTCAACACAATCGACACTAAGTACAAAGTTGTGCCTTAGAAGCTGTCTTGGAATTCAAACGGGTAGACTTACATTCTAGCCAAGATAGCATTTTGCCAAATATAAAACTAAATTTTTCCTTTCTAGAATGGGAATGTTTCCCTCCTCTTGCCTCAAAGAACTACAGATTGTCCTGACTTACACTGATTTAAGATTTTTTTGATTTTACGATGGTGTGAAAGCAATACACATTTAGTACAAACCATAATTCACATTTTGAATTTTGATTTTTTCCTGGGCTTGTGATTTACTGTACCATACTCTCTAGTGATGCTGGACAGAGGCTGCTAGCCACAGCTCCCAGTCAGCATGTGATCACTACTGTAAACAACCTGTGTGCTACCGTGTACTGCATTGCCAGATGGTTGCCCAACTGTAACAGGCTAAGGTAAGTTTTCTAAGCACATTTACGGTAGGCTTGGCTATGATGTTCTGTAGGTAAGATGTATTAAATGCATTTTTAGCTTATGATATTTTCAACTTTTGATGAGTTTATTGGGACATAACCCCACCATAAGTCAAAGAGCATCTATATATAACATGGGACTCAACAAATGCTTTGTAAACATGAAAGTGTTCCATGAGTGTTAGAAGTGAATTTATTTTTCTTTTTTCCCTTAGAGCATTCTTCCCAAACATGTTCTCTGAAATATTTGTTTGAGAGGTTTTAGTCAGTGATTTGCAGTCTTCATTCTCTGAAATCACCAGCTCTATCAAGGTTTAAATCATCTTATATTGGCAAAATAAGACTTTATGCCTCCCAGTAATGTTTTTCCTTAACTTTGGTCTGAGTAGGGCTGTCATCAAGCAAGTTTTGATCAGATGAGGCAGTGAGGGCCCAACTACAAGAGGAGGAAATATGTGATTAAAAATGTAGGAAATGGAATTCTAACTACAACAAAGCCAAACATACAAGCTTTATATACTAAAATGTAGGCCAATGTCAGACATAAAGTAGGCATTTGAATAGTGTAAAGTAGTGAAATAAATAAAAATATGGTCAAGTCATGAGTTTTGCTCTTGAGAAACTCTTAGTCCAGCCAGGATCACTAACACATGAGAATGCAAGATATGTGATATATATGACGTGATATGATATACAGATAGATGATATAAATAGACATTGATAGATGTAGATATAGCTAGATGGACAATGTCATACAGAAAAATAAATCAGTGTATGAATAATAATGGACAGACAGAACAAAAGTATGAATGGGTTTTGTAATATGAGGGAGAGAAGGCTATTACAAGCCTTACAGGATTAGAGAAGAATCACTGATCTGCTCTGCCTGGATAAATTACACAAGCATTCAGAGAGAGTCAGACTCATTCCTTGGGCAAGCTATGGGTCTTCCTAGGAGGATCCTTAAAAGACTTACTGCAGCTTCCTACACATACCCTCATTCCACTCAGTTCTCTTTCCATTTCTCTCCAACAGAAGAACAAAGAACAGTTAAGGTTTCGGTTGGCAGCATTTGAAATGATAAGTTTATCAGGAAATGGTCTTCTTATATATTGGAAAAAAGTATAAGTCACATATTCATCTACCTAATCTGTCTTTGATGATTTAAGTGTTCTCAGCAAGTTTTTCCTATTACTTGAAAGAAATTCCATAGGGACAGCAGCACTCCTTCTAGTTTATCAGTTTGGATCAGTGTGCCTAACTGTCCACTGATTTGCTAACAGCTTGTAATAAAAATTTTTAAATCTACAACATGGCTTGAAAAAAAAATACCTGCACTAAATCTTTTTCAGTCTTAAAGAAGATTGATGAGCTTTACAAGGTCATAGTCTGACTGCTTATATAATATGTTATGAGATTAATAAGAAAACCCACTCACAAAAATTTCTACAACTAAAGAAAAATGGAAAGTAATTGCTAAGGACAATTCATTTTAGCTCGGTTCTTTAAGTTCAATGTTGCCGCCACCCTCAGTCCATCCTTCCTTCCTTTCCTCCTTTCTTCCTTCCTCTCTTTCTCTTTCTATCTTTTCTTTTATTTTCATGTAACACAAGAAGAATGTTTTAATCAAATTTTCTTAAGAGAACAAGCTTATTGTGTCACCTAACATTTATGGTCAGAGAGAACACTCTCTTTATTGCAAATTTCATGACAATTTACTTTCTTCTCATCTCCATTCTTCCTCCAGCATATTGTATGATGCCTATTCTTAGTAGGTACCCAACAAATATGCATAACATGAATAACTAAATGTCAGATACGATATGTGATATGCACAAGAATGTTCATAACAGTACAGTTTATAATAATAATTTTTAAAGATATAAATAATAAAATACTCATCAACAAAAGGTGAAGTGAATGAATGAGCTCTGCTGTATTCACACAATGAAATTAGTATATAACATTTAAAATAAACTATAGGCACACATGACAATATGGATAAATATTAGCTACATAATACAAAAAGATAAGTCTCAAAAGATTACATATTACCTGTTTTTTGCAAAGTTAAAAAACTAAATTACAAAAAAAATTTTTAAGGGCACTTGTTATGCAATAAGAAACACATACAAAGAAACATAATGGCAAGATGAACATGGGATTTGGGTGATCATTCCCTTAGATGGAGGTGGATCCTGGAGGACAAGTTACTAAAGGATTATTACATAATGAAATAAATATAGAGTATTATACAATTTCAAGCTTTTGTTTGGGGTAGTGGGTTCTAATAATTAATAATAACTGAGTACCTGAATATATATAAAATGTCCATAATGATAATGTGTCATGAGCCAAGGATTATAACTGATTTTAATTCTTGACTGAGGAGATTATAACTGATTTTAGTTCTTGACTGAGGAAATCACATACACAGAAAAATAAATCAATGTGTGAATATCAACAGACAGATAGAACAAATGAATGAATGATTTTTCTAGCATGAGGGAGAGAAGACTATTCCAAAAAAGATGGGTTAGGCAGAAAGGGGAAATAATAAAATATTGAGAGGGAGAAAATCATATTCTAAGGGACTATTGATTCCCTAAGCTACTTGATTTCAATAAACCAGGGCCATGGTCAGAGACTCTAGCCTTAAAGAGGAATGAGAAATTTCTTGAAACATTAGGCCATATTGTTAAATATATTCAATGTTCCATTATGTTATTATGTTGCCCTGGCTGAACTTGAACTTCTGGGCTCAAGCAATTCTCCTACCTCAGCCTTCTGAGTAGCTGAGACTACAGCCACGTGCCACCGAGCCCAGTCTACGTTCTAATTTTTAAACATTATGCTTCCTAAATTCTCCAAGATCATATAAACTTATATATACAATAAAAAACAAAGAAGTTATCTAGTGGGGTACACAAAGAACAAATAAAAAATAGATCTATAAACATATATATAAGCTAGTAATTAGTATTATACAGAGAATCAAAGCAGAGTGATGTAATAGTGACCACATGAGGACATGTTTGTATGTAAATTTGTTTTTCTTAGTTATATTTTTCCAACCATTTCTTTTTATTTTTGATTATTCTCTTCTGTAGTCTAGTTCCATAATGATCTTAACAATCATGGAAAAATATGTTCTTCCCAAATTTCACAATCCAAAGAGATAAAGAATTGATGCATTTTTCAATATTTCCTATTAAAACTGAACTCAGAATGATAATGAGTGCATTTTAATTGCAACCTTCTTAGAGGGCTAGTCTGAACCAAGGGTTACTCTTCTTGATAAATGTACAAACATTTGGGGCAATATTTAGGTGTCAGGACGACTTTTGATATCCTCCTTTTAAGGCGCATTTTATATACACACCTTCTAGAAAGCTAAATATCCACAGTAAATTCTTTTTTTTCTACAAGTTTAAAGACAAAAGTGTAAAAATTCCATACTTGAGTTTGGTCTTATTTTTCCTATTTAGACATTATCAATTTTCCTGATGTATTACCGACCACTTCTTAAATTCAGGTTTTCATGGGCATTTAGGACTGTTACAATAAAAAAAAAAATTAACACTCATACAAGGTATACAGTGACTCCATACTTCAATTTCCATACGTAATCAAGAAAAAGTCTCCCTTAAATCCCATACAACAGGCTCTTTGAACAGAATTTATGTCAGATTCTAGCACGCAATATTCTCTAGCTGGCTCTAAAAGTCCACAGCTAATGGCACCTCAAGTGCTCCCTAATCAGGGCATTTTTCAGTCTATCTGGTCTTATATTTTTAGGGCTTTATTTCCCCATTTCTTCTTTAACTTATGTTTTCTTTCATTGCCGTAACATGATTACACTGATGGTATCAGGTTTTCTGTGATACTCAATAGTTCAATCTCAGGATACTTTGGTTGTGTTGCCACATACTTGCTTATCTACTGCTGACTGCGCTGTTTTCTCTGCCTTGACTTCTAGCTTATAACAGCTTGATTCTCTAATGCAACTCTTCTCCCAGTTCCCACAATCTCTGAACTGAAGAGCACCATCATTTCAGTTATAATCATATCCAAAGTGTTCTACCAACAGTCAGCCTCCTTTCTGACCGGGTATCTAAGTTCTCATCCATCATATTTTCAGCCTTTATTGCTGACCAGGCCTGTGAATCTTGTATCCTACTGCTAAATTTTAGCACATACATTTCCAGGGAATCCTAACCCTTAATGTTAGAATCCCTCCTGTGTCGTTCAATTTTCTTCCTTCTCCCTACTGCCAACGAGATACCAGGCATTTCTTAGTCTAACATTAAATGTTTTATGATTTGGCTCCTACAAATTATTTAATGCTTCATTTCACAAGACGTACCAGAATGAGTATTTTTCTCTAGCCAGGTAAAACTCATTGATTCCAAAACTACATTATCATTTCCTTTCTTTGCTTAGAATTCCTTTTCCTGAAATAATTTCAACTATGTGTGGTTGAGTGTCTTGAAAATAAGAGTTACTCAAGAGACACTTGTTGGTTTACTCCTGTGTTCAATAAATTCATTGGTTCAATAAAATACATATTTACCATGTTTTATAAGTTAAGCAGAAGAATACAATAGCAAACCAAACAAAATCCCTCCTAACAAAGGTACATTCAGTAGGGAGAGACAATTAAAAATAACCTCATGTATCAGATGGTAATAAGTGCTAAGAAGAAAAATTTAACAAGGTAAGGAAATACAGAAAAAAAAAAGAGTACTATTTTATACAGAATGGTCAAACTTCCTGGATAAGAAATGTGGGCAAAGACTTGGATAAAACAGAGGAAGGGCACATAAAAACAAGGATAGAACTTTCCAGACAAGAGAAGCTCATTCACAAAGGTATTAATATAAGTCATTGTACTTGAAAAAAAAGAAGGGTAATGAGGAGTGAAAGGAAGGGTTGTTATTTGGGGAACCAGCTATTGCAGCAGAAGGAGGTCTGTGGTAAGAAAGGATCCTCTTCCCTACCTATCGCCCCCCAGGAAGCAGGTGGATATATTCTCAAAAAGAGAAAGAAAAAAAGAAATATTTGCTTCCACATATAAATAATACCTTAGAGAGAGAGAGAGAGCAAGGAAGAGAGATATTAGTTTGCCCTTAAATATAAGTGGTAACAGAGAGAGAGAGAGAGAGACAGAGACAGAGAGACAGGAAGGAAGGAAGGAAGGAAAGAAGGAAGGAAAAGGAAGAAAGCAAGCAAGAAGGGAAGGGAAAGGATACGGAAGGCATGGGAAAAAGGAAGGAAGGAAAACACAGAAAGAAAACAAGAAGAAAAGAAATAAATTATTTTGCATTCACAAATGAATGTTACTTAATTAGACCTGAAATTCTTGAGTGCCTTTATAATTTCACTCTTTCACTTCGTATTTCAGAATTTAAAAAGAATATGCATAAGTTAATGTTGGCATGAGTGGGCCTATTAGTGAAGGGAATATTAATTTTTATTATTAGTTTGATTCCCTTTTCTCCTTTCCTTTTGAAATGTGTATATATATGTATATTTAGTTTAATAACTATATTGTCCTTCTTTTTTCTTTAAAAAATATATATACACACACACACACATACATATGTTAAGTTACATTAGTTTGTCTACCACATCGTTAAGGTGAATTACTTATAATATAATATTAAACATTTTAGAGTGAAAAGTCAATGGCATTTAGTATATTTAAAATGCTGTGCAACTGCCATGTTCGTCTCATCCCAAAATAGTTTTGTCACCCCCAAAAGAAATCTCAAACCCTTTACGCAGCTACTCATCATTCCCTCATTCCCCCAGCCTCTGACACTATGAATCCGCATTCTGTATCGATGGATTTATATATCCTGAATATTTTATACAAATGGAATCATAGAACATATCCCCTTTTGTCTCTGTTTTCTTTTCACTTGGATTTTTTTTTTTTGGTTCCTCTAAGTTGTAGCATGTATCAATAACGTTATTCCCTTTTTGCAGCTGAAGAATATTTTATCATATGTATATAACATAAATTTTCTCTCCACTCATCTCTTAATGGCCATTTGGGTTACTTTCATCTTTTGGTTATTATGAATAGTGCTGCCAAGAATATTCAGGTACAAGTAAGTATTTGAGTGCCTGTTTTTAATTTCAGGGGGCATATACCTAAAAGTAGAAATGCTGGGTCATATGATAATTCTATGTTTAACTTTTTGAGGAACCCCCAAAATATTTTCCTCAGTGGCAGCACCATTTTTCGTTCCCATGAGCAATGTTAATGGTTCTCTACATCCTTGGTAATAAAATAATTTCTTGATATCTGTGAAGGATTGGTTCCAGGACCTACCCCCATTCTCTTTCCCCCACGACCCCATGCCCAGATACCAAACTCTGGGGATCCACTAGTCTTTTATATAAAATGGCACCACATTTACATGTAAACTATGCACATTTTCTCATATATTTATATCATCCCTAGATTATTTATAGCACTGAATAGAATGCCTACACAGCACTTTAATTGCGTGGACTCAACATAGTGCTTGATGCAGAGCAAATGAAAGTTTTGCTTTTCAGAATTTTGTAGAATTTTTTTTCCAAATATTTTTGATGTGAAGTTAATTGAATCCAGTCCTCTGGTGCTCATAGATTTGGAGAACCAATTGTACTTGTTATTCCCCCTTTTTTTATAAAATCTATATTATTACTGTAGCAATCCTTGGGAATGAGAAGAGGCATTGCATGGTGGTTTTGATTTGCTTTTCCTTAGTGACAAATAATGTTGACCATCTTTTCATGTGCCACTGGCCATTTGTATATTTTTAGAGAAATGTGTATTCAAGTTTTTTACCCATTTTTAAAATTGGGCTGCTTGTCTTTTTGTTGTTGACTTGTAGGTATTTTTTATATATTCTGGATGGCAGACCATTGTCAGAAACACAACCTTCAAATATTTTTCCCCATTCTGTGCATACTCTTTTTACTGTCTTGATGGTTTCCCTAATGCACAAAATTTTAATTTTGATGAAGTCATATATATATACACACATACACATACATATATATGTATACGTGTGCTTGTGCATGTATATATATAATATATATATAATATATACATATAATATTTTTTTGCTCATACTTTTGGCATTATACCAAAAGTCCATTTCCAAATTCGAGTGTATTGAGATTTACTCTTACATTTTCTTTTAGGGGATCTGTGGTTTTAGCTCTTTAAGTCATGGACCTATTTTTATTTCATATTTGTATTTGTTGTAAGGTAAAAGTAAAACCGTATTCTTTTGCAGGTAAATATGCAATTGTCCCAGTGCCAGTTGTTAAAGAGTCTTGGCACTCTTACTGAATCGTCTTGGCCTTCTTGTTCAAAATCAATTGACCATATTCGTATGGTTTTGCGTGTCGACTCTTAATTCCATTCCATTAGTTTATATGTCTACTCTATGCCACTACTGCACTATTTTGGTTACTGTAGCATTGTAGTAAGTTTTGAAATCAGGAAGCATGAGTTTGTAATTCTTTTAAAACATTGTTTTACATATTTAGGGGCCTTTGTATTTCCACATGAACTTGAGGATATGCTTTTTCATTTCTGCAAAAAGGGTCATTGGAATTTTGATATGAGTTGAATTGTATCTGTAGATCACTTTGGTTAGTAATGGCATCTTAACAATATTAACTCCTCCAATGCATGAACATGAGATGTCTTTGCATTTACTTAGCTTTTCTTTAATTTCTTTCCGCACTATTTTGTAGTTTTCAGTGAACAAGTCTTTCACTTTCCTGTGCTTTTTTGTTTCTAGTTGTTTTATTCTTTGAATGCTATTGTAAATGGAATTCTATTCATAATTTTCTTACAGCATTGTTCGTTGCTGGTATATAGAAACAACTGGTTTTTGCATATAGATCTTGTACACTACAACATACTGAATGTTTATTATCTATAGTAGCTTTTTGTGGAAAGTCAGAAATGTTGTATATATACAATCATGTCATCTTCAAATAGAGAGAGTTTTACTTCTTACTTTTCAATTCTTTATTTCTTTTTTTTAGTTAATTGTTCTGGCTAGAATTTCCAGGACAATATTGAACAGCACTCATAAAAATGTGCGTATTTACCCTGTTCCTCAATTTAGCAGTATAGCTTTCGGTCTTTCACCATTGGTTATCATGGTAGCTGCAGGTTTTTCATCAATACCTTTTTTCACATTAAAGAAGATGTGTTTTATTCTTGTTCTCTCAGTGTGTTAATCATGAAAGCGTGCTGAATTTTGTCAAATGCTTTTCTTTCGCCAATAGAGATCATCATGTGGATTTTTCCTTCATTTTATAAATATGAGGTCTTATAATTGATTATTTTCTTATTTTGAACTACTCTTGCATTCCTAGGATAAATCTATATTTATAATGAATAGTCTTTGCCTAGCTTTGGTATCGGTAATACAGGCCTCATAAAATGATTGGAAAGTGCTTTCAACTCCTATATTTTGGAAATGATTGAGAAAATTTGGTGTTAATTACTTTTTAAATGTTTGTTACAATTCACCAATCAAACTCTCTGGTCCTCAACTTTCCTCTGTTGGAAGTTTTTGATTACTGGTTCAATTATTTACTTAATATAGGTCTAAGATCTTCTAGGATCATTTTATGCAATTTGAATACTCCCTGCAGTTTATTTCATCATTTATCTAATTTGTTGGCATACAATCATTCAGAACATTATCTTATAATCTCTTTTAATTCTATAAGATCAACAGTAATGTCTTCACTATTATTTCTGATTTTAGTTACTTGTGTCTTCTCTGTTTTTTTCTTAGTCATTATAGCTAAAGATTTGTCAATTTTGTCTTTTTTTAAGGAGTAAAACATTGGGTTTATTAATTTTCTCTATTGTTTTCATATTTAATTAACTTCCGGTCTAATTTTTATTATTTCCTTCCTTTTGTTAGCTTTGGGCTTAGTTTTCCTTTATTTTTCTTGATCCTTAAGTATAAAGTTTGGTTTTTGATTTCAGATCTTTCTTCTTTTATAATGTAAGTATTTATAGCTATACATTTGCTTTCAGCACTGCCTTCTCTGCATTCTATAGTTCTTCTATGTTGTTTTTATTTTTATTTGTCTCAAAGTATTTCAAATTCCACATGTGATTTCTTCTTTGGCTCATTGGCTAGTTAAGAATTTGTTGTTTCCTTGCCATGTATTGGTACATTTTACATTTTTCTTTCTGCTATTGATTTCTAGTTTTATTCCATTGTAGCCAGATAAGATCTTTTTTTTTTTTTTTTTTGAGATGGAGTCTTGCTCTGTCGCCCAGGCTGGAGTGCAGTGGCGCGGAGATACTTTTTATTATTTCAATCTTTTTAAATTCGTTGAGACTTTTTGTGGCACAAAATATGATCTGTCCTGGAAAATGTTTCATGTGACTTGCAAATAACATATCTCCTGCTATTGTGGGGTGGAGTATTCTATATATTTGTTAGGTCTAGTTGTTATATAGAGTTGTTCAAATCTTATGTTTTCTTCTTAAACTTCTGTCTAGATTTTTTTCTCATTATGAAAAATAAGACATTGAAGTCTCCAACTATTACTATACAATTATCTATTCCTCCCTTGAATGTTGACAATGTTTGCTTCATATATCTTAGGACTCTGTTGTTTGTTGCTTATGTATTTAAAATTGTTATATCTTCTTGATGAATTGACTTTTTTATTAACATATAATGTCATCCTTTGTATGTATATATAATATATATATGTTATATACGTTAATGGGTATATAGTATAAAGTTGTAATTTATGACAATAACAAGGTAAAGGAAAGTGACAGAGCTGTAGGTTAGCAAAATTTTTGTATGCTATTGAAGCTTAGTTGGTATAAATTAAAAGTAGATTTTTATAAATTTAGAATGTTAATTGTAGTCATCCTGATAAACACTAAGAATATGGCTAATATATACGTATATATGTACATATATGCAGATACATATATACGTATATATGTACATATATGCAGATACATATATACGTATATATGTACATATATGCAGATACATATATACGTATATATGTACATATATGTAGATACATATATACGTATATATGTACATATATGTAGATACATATATACGTATATATGTACATATATGTAGATACATATATACGTATATATGTACATATATGTAGATACATATATACGTATATATGTACATATATGTAGATACGTGTGCACATACATGCATATACATATATACGTATATGCACATACATGCATGTACATATATACGTATGTGCACATACATGTATGTACATATATACGTATGTGCACATACATGTATGTACATATATACGTATGTGCACATACATGTATGTACATATATACGTATGTGTGCATGCATGTGTGTACATATATGTGTATGTGTGCATGCATGTGTGTACATATATGTGTATGTGTGCATATATGTGTGTACATATGCACATATATGTATATATGTGCATATATATGTATATGCATATATATGTATATATGTACATATGTACATATATACGTATATGTACATATGTACATATATACGTATATGTACATATGTACATATATACGTATATGTACATATGTACATATATACGTATATGTACATATGTACATATATGTATATACATATATATGTATGCACATATATACATATATGCATATACATATACGTATATGTACGTATGTATACATTTATATATGTATATATATTATATATACATTTATGTATACATATATACATATATAATATGTATATATGTATGTATGTATACATTTATATACTATGTATATATTGTATATAATATATATGTATATATCGTATATAATATACATGTATATATTGTATATAATATATGTATATATTATATATGTATATGTATATATACATATATAATATATACAATATATACATAGTATATACATGTATACATACATATATACATATATACACATTATATATTATATATGATATATAATATATACATACATATATTACATATATAACATATACATAATATATACATATATACATATTATACATATATAATACGTATACATATATACATATATATACACATATATATTAGCCATATTCTTAGTGATTATCAGGATGACTACAATTAACATTCTAAATTTATAAAACTCTAGTTTGAATTTATACCAACTAAGCTTCAATAGCATACAAAAACTTTGCTAACCTACAGCTCTGTCACTTTCCTTTACCTTGTTATTGTCATAAATTACAACTTTATACTATATACCCATTGACGTAGACAGAATTATCATTTTATAAATTTATCTTTTATTATATAGACAATAGAAAGAGGAGTTACAGACCAAAAATACAATAGCACTGGCATTTACATTTACCTACATTGTTATGTTTATGAGGGTTGTTTAGTTTTTTTATATGCCTTCCAATTACTGTCAAGTGACATCTTATTTCAGCTTGAAAGACCATCATTATTATTTCTTGTAGGATAGTTCTATTAGCAACAACATTTTGTTTATCTGGGAATGTCTTATGTTCTCATTCATTTTTGAAACAAGCTTAGTTTTGTTGAATAAAGAATTCTTGGTTGACGCTTTTTTTTCACTTAGCACTTTAAAAATGCCATCCAATATGGTATGGATTTGTGTCCCTACCTAAATGTCATGTTGAATTGGAGGAGGGGCCTGGTAGAAGGTTACTGGATCATGGGGGGTGGATTTCCCCCTTGCTGTTCTCATGATAGTGAGATCTCATGAGATCTGATGGTTTAAATGTGTGTGGCAATTCCCCTCTTGATCTCTCTCTCCTGCCACCATGCGAAGGTCCTCGTTTCCCCTTCAACTTCCACCATGAATGTAAGTTTCTTGAAGCCTCCCAGTCATGCTTCACCTGCAGAACTGAGTAAATTGATCTTCTTTTCTTCATAAATTACCCAATCTCAGGTAGTTCCTTATAGCAGTGTAAAAATGAACTATACACCATCCCACTCCCTTCTAGCCTCCAGGTTTCTAATGAGAATATTGCTGCTAATATTATTGAAGATCCATTTTATATTATGAGTCACTTATTTTTTGTTTTCAAAATTCACTCTTTTGCTTTTCCTTCCAACAATTTTATTATAATATGTTTCCTTGTGGATCTCTTTGAGTTCTTCCTTCTTGGAGTTGAATGTACTTCTTAAAGGTATAGATTCATGTCTTTTATCAAATTCACAGTTTTCAGGCATTCTTTCTTTAAATATTCTTTCTGCCCCTTTATCTCTCTATATTTCTTCTTGGATTTCTATGATGTATATATTGGTATGCTAATGGTGTCATACAAGTTTCATTTTTCTTCATTTTTATGTCTCTCTACTCCTCAGATTAGATAACTTTAATTGACTTGTATTCAAGTTCACTGATTCTTTCTTCAGCCCACTCAAATCTGCCACTGGAACCTTCTAGTGAGTTTGCCACTTCTGTTATTGTATTGTTAAGCTCCAGATTTTGATTGGTTCTTTTTCACAATTTTAATCTCTTTATTGATATTCTCTATTTGTTCAGATATTATTCTCTTAGTTTTCTTTAACTCTTTGAGATACTTAATTTTTTCTAGTAAATCCAATGTCAGGGCTTCCTCGGTTTCTGATAATTTCTTCTTTGTGTCATAGTTTTTTATTTGTACGCTTTGCAATTTTTGCTGAAAACTGGACATTTTTTACATATAATGTAGTAACTATGGAAATCAGATTCTTCTCCCTCTTCAAGGTTTGTTTTTATTGTTTGCTGTGGACTATAACTTTGTTATTTAGTGAGAGTTCCAAATTATTTTTGTGAAGTCTCTTTTCGTTGTCAAGTGTGGTATCTGCAGTCTCTTTTTTTTTTTTCTTTTTTTTTTAGATGGAGTCTCACCTTGTCACCCAGGCTGGAGTGCAGTGGCACGATCTTGGCTCACTGCAACCTCCGCCTCCCAGATTCAAGCAATTATCCTGCCTCAGCCTCTCAAGTAGCTGGGACTACAGGCGCACATGGCCACGCCTGGCTAATTTTTTGTATTTTAGTAGAGACGGGGTTTCACCATGTTGCCCAGGCTGATCGTGAACTACTGAGCCCAGGCAATCTGCCCACCTCGGCTCCCCAAAGTGCTGGAATTATAGGCGTGAGCCACCGTGCCCATCCTTCTTTTTCTTTAGCTTATGCTCTGCTCATATTTTACAGAGGGATTGCGAGAGAGGGAGGGAGGGAGGAAGAAGAGAAGGAGAAGGAAGGGGAGGGAAGTAACCTTCCAATTCTTCACACATTGCCATTGTGGTAAAGCACTCCTTCAACTCAGCCATGTATGACTCTTAGACTGTCCGTCCTGCTTACACTGAGGCTTGGAATCAGGATCACCCAGAGATGCAAGCTTGAGGTCTTCTTGGGACTTTTCTAAGCATGAATTCTGCCTTGGGCATGCATGTCAGTTTCTAAATTCCCTGGTATACATGAGCCCTTCTGAATGCTCTGATTTCTCAAAGAGTATATTCCTAGTATTTCCTTTTAAGTTTTAGGCTTTCTATTGTTTGTCTCAGTTGTAATCTTTTTCCCCAGGTAGTTGTGGGTTGGGTGTTTGCCTTACAATGTTGTCAAGAAATGCCTTCCACTTTTCTGCCAGGAGTAATTTCCATAATTTGCTAAACAAAGGTAGTACATGTTGCCTCAGTCTTTCAGGCAGGCCTTAGAAAGGTTAGAACAGACTAAAACAATTCTTTAAAAGTAAGATCTTTTCTGCTTCCTTAGAAATAGGGAACCTGAGTTCCACAATGAGAATGTAAGCGGCAATCTTGAAGACAACCACCAAGGCGGGAAGGGGATAGGACAAGGGTAAGTAAAAAAGACCATGAAATATTTCTACTATTTTTAAATTATCTTTTTCTTGATTCAGTGTTCAGTTGGTTATTTTAGATCTTTTCCTATTTTCCTGAGTTCTGACAAAGTGGATTGTGGCAGTTTTTGCTTGTGCTTGGAGTTACCTACTTTACTATTTTAGCTGATATCATTCTTAGCACATAAGCTTTTGTACTTCATATTAATCTCTTTCTTATTTTTTCTCTCGGTTCTGGGAGGTTTATTCAAACTAGTAATGTGATTTTTGTTTTGCTTTTTTATTTAGCTTTCAATTTTCTTTTAATTGGGTTTTTTATTCAATAATTATGAATTTCGTCTTCAGGCAATATTTTCCACTCTTAGATTTCTCCCTTTTGCTAGATACAATAACATGTGAAATCCACATAAGACCACTAAATTAGATATTTGCAAAAGGCTTCCTTATGTTTTTGCCACATTGAAAACTGGTCTTAGTTTTTGAACAAGGTAGATTTTTCTTAATCCAAATTCATTCTTATCTTAGAAAAAAATGTCTCATAGATAGTAATATTTTTCTGTCAGTCTTTTATTCTTTTTAGTTTTAAAAACTGGTCTTTTGTCCTGGGTCTTTAAGGTTATCTTATTAGAAAAGTGGAAGATTTTGTAGAAAACCCACCATCAGAAGCTAATTATAATGAAAGTCTGTATTTCCTTAGCTATTTTAATGCTACACATTATACCTCTTGATTTGTCTGATTTTAGTCCAGGAATTTTGTGGTTTTTTTCTGTAAGATACTAGATACAGCTAATGCCAACCATTAGAATTAGCTTATATCTCTTTAATCAAGTAATTTAAGATAACTAAAGACAATGTGGGGAGATGGAAAGACACACACACACACACACACACACATACAGAAAGAGAGAGAGAGGGGGGAGACAGAGAGAGAGAATGTCTATATCTCTATTTGTCTATATCCACACCAACCTTTAGAATTTGCTTATATTCCTTTAATCAAGTAATTAAAGATAATTAAAGATGATGTGGGGAGAGAGAAAGACACACACACACAAACACACACACACAGAGACAGAGAGAGAGAGAAAGAGAGAGAGAGAGAGAGAGAGAGAGAGAGAGAGAGAATCTATTTCTATTTGCCTATATCTACACCGGGAAAAAAATCCTGAACTCTGAAGTGTGAAGAATCACTGAAAATTGGAGAGAAGAAGCACCTCTAAAAGTCACTGTAACTGCTTAGGTGAATGTGGGAACAGATAAATAGTTTCTAAATATACAAAAGGGAGAGAAAGTAGAGTCTACACAAATATAAATTTTTTTAACCAAAAGGTTTTTTGTCCATTGGACTGCCATCAAATAGAAAACATACCAATCCCTCCTTTTTAAAAAAATTAAATGTAGTGAAATCATTTAAAAGAAACTACACTGATAGGAGATTTGGTATATCTTTTTTCAAATGTTTCATAACATTTATTTGGAAACAGGCCATTTCTCATGAGATCTAACTATTATTTTTGCATGCTATTCAAAAATGCACCCAGAAACATACACACAAATACACACTCACATTTTTTTAAAAAAATATGTCAACCAGCATTTTACCCTTTCTGCATGTTCTCAATTATTGGAATATTTGAATGTCCCTATCAGTAAGTTTAGGAGATTAATGTAAAATCTTGGGGCTATGATGACATTGTTTTAATTGTTCCCTGTGACTTTTAGATTTGTGTCAAACGGCAAAAGATCAACTAAAATTCCAATTAAAACACTGTGTAATAAAATCCTGTATAAATGGCTGACTTCATTAAATTCCAGAATTAAATATGTGTTTCTTTTAAGAACAAGGCCTTTGGACTTCATGAAGAGAATTCTTTTTATTACTGAATAAACATGGTAATTTTAGGTACAAAACAGATTTAACTAATTCTAACCCTGAATTACAAAAAACACTGAAGAATCTCTCAACTTGCTCAGTGGTTATAACTAACATTCTCTAGAACAGCTCCAATTTTATGTCTCAGACCCATGGTTTCACTGCATATTATTATCACCTGGGGAGCTTTTATAATTCCTGATGCCCTGCTTGCTCCCCATGCCAATTAAATTAGAATGTGTAGAGATGAGATAAAAGCATTAGAAATATATTGCCAGGGAAATACAATACATAGCAAAGTTTGAGAATCATGGTGTTGATAGAGGCAGGAGGCAGACAAAGGCCTATGCAGATAGGGAAGGGTCCCCGGAGAATCTCCGACCCACCCCACAAGTGTTTATGCCAGATATTTTGTACAGATGAGGGAACCTGCACAGGGGGCTTGCCTGGGCATGCCCACAGCAGACAGAAGCCCACATGCACTGGGGAAATCGGGTGGAGCCACCAGGAATTCATGCCTTATGCAGGGGTATAGCCTGGCCTCTTCAGCTCATTGGTTGTGGCCCTGGTTTTCAATTTGGGAGATGAAAACCTGCTTGCAGGATGCTCTCTCTTTGGTGAGAGTTTTCTTTTCGCTTAATAAATTCTGCTCTCTTCACCCTTCAATGTGTCTGCATGCCTAATTCTTCCTGGTCATTAGACAAGAACCTAGATTAGTGGAGCTAAGGAGCAAAAAATCCTGCATCAGTGTAGTTTCACAAACAATAGTGTAGATAGAAATCATGACATGCTATGTTTAGCTTCATGGCTCCCTCCTCCACTTAATTTGATTCAGTAGGTCAGGAGTGGGCACTTTAGGTGATTTGGATGTGAGTGAGCCATGAACACATTAAAGAAATACAGGTCTAAGACAGTGCTATTCACTCAGTGGTCCTGAGAATTAGCAGCATCAGGATCAGCTGTGAGCTCGTTAGAAATGTAAATGCATTGGTCCTACCACCACCTACTGAAGGAGAATCCCTGAGCCTATGTTTTTGTCAAGCTCTCCAAGTGATTCTTCATGCACTTTATGCAATTTGAGAACCACTGTTTTAAAGCATACAAAGTGTGAAATATAGGCAGATAGTTTTTGATTGGGGCCCAATTCAACCCACTACTTCATATTTCTTCTATGTATAGTTTGGGGCCCAATTCACACACTACTTCATATTTCTTCTGTGTTTCAGATTGTCCACCATGACACTGAGATTATGCCATGTGTTCCAAGATCTCCTTGGAGGTAACAGATTTTGGAGAAAGAGGGTACCAGGGAAGAAGAGATGGTGAACAAAGGACAGGCCATTCACAGGAAAGAGCAACACGCTTGGATTTAGAAGTTCTAATTTCCTTTCCTTCTGTGTCGCTAACTGGATTAATTTGGGTAAATGATTTCACCACTTTTTTTCCAAATATGACAGGAAGTGTAAAAATAAGGCTACATGTGGAAGAACTTTTAAACTATAAATTTTCTATATAGGTATTGCATTTTATTATTATTGCTCAAAGCCAGAAGAGTATATACTTATAAAAGAAAATGCTAATATCAAATGAAGCTATTTTAGGACCATAGCTTAATAATACAGAAAGTGGCAAAGGCAATACTTCTACATTTACTGTAAGAAAAAAACTAGACAAATTGCAAATTAGTGACTTTTTTGGAATCTATTACAAAACTAAGGTTGCAAGTCAATCAATTAATCCTACATCTGGGAGAAAGACTGCCCCTAAGGAGAAAGAAGACAGGACAACCATCTTACCAGGGGGATAAATCCATATAATCAGTAGGATAATTCAACTAAAAAATTTAACAATCACTAAAAACCAACTATAAGCTAGCTTAAGAATGCAAAGTTAGCCAAGACAAAAAAGATCACATGAATAGTCCTAAAACCATTAAAGAAATTGAATTTGTAATTTTAAAACCTTCCCCCAAAAGTAATCTTGGGCCCGGAAGATTAGAATTCTACCAAATGTTTAAATAGCACCAGTTCTATAAATTGTTATTTTAAAATTTCAAAGAAAATAGAAGTAAAAGCTATGTTCGCACAAAAACCTACACATTAATTTTATATCAGTTTTATTCATAACAGCCCCAGACATCTTGGTAAGCAACCAAGATGCCCATCAGTGTATAAATGGTTAAAAAACTGTGGGATATCCACACTCTGGAATACTACTCAGAAATAAAAAGAAATGGATTATTAGTACAACAACATAGATGAATCTCAGTAATTACATTGTATGAAAAAAGCCAATCCCTAAAGATTACATACTGCATGATATCATTTACTTAACATTCTTGAAATTACAAAATAATAGAGATGGAGGACAGATGAGTGGTTGCTAAGGGTTACAGAGTGAGTAGGGGAGGGAGAAAAGTAGATTTGCCTATTAAAGGGCAACATAAGGTATCCTTGTGGTGATAGAAACGTTCTGTATCTTGACTGTCAATATCCCAAATGTCAATATCCTGGTTGTGATATTGTACTACAGTTTTGCAAAATATTACTTTTGAGGAAAACTGGGTAAAGAGTCCACAGAATCACTCTGTGTTGTTTCTTAAAACTGCATGTAAATCTACAATTAACTGAAAATTTAAGTCATTAAAAATTAAGGAAAACACTTCTAAAATCTGTGCAGCTTAGAAATAAGACAAGCAATTAAAATTCATATCAGTAAATAGGTCTCCCAAATCACTGAGAAGACAAACCTATAAAGAAATGTGCAAAGAATTATGATCCAATTAACTTGTGAAAAGATGCTTACCTTATTTAGTAATCAACAATGCAAATTTAAGAAAATGTATTTTATAGATTTATATACTGTGAACCCAAAGAAGAGAAAGAAATGGACATCTATATTTATTGTTAAAAGTATTACAAATCAGTACAACTTCTAGAATGGAAATTTGGCAGTATCTAAACAAAATTTTGAGTGTATAATATGTATACGAATAACTCAGAAATTCTAAACAACTGTACCATATGACCTCTATAAAGCCAGTATTATTGACTGCTCTTTCAGGCATTGTAGGGAGTGATAGGAAAAGAAAGTTAAAAGACAGTCTCTACACTTAAACCTTTGTGTATAATAAGTACTCAAAATTACACTAGATTGAGTTAGTTGGAGAAAAAGGAGCTTTTTGTGAAAATGCAGAATAATTTGTGTTGAGTATTATTTAGCTATACAAGCAGAGATAGAGAACAGGAGATGTGGAAGCAGGGGGATCATATTCTCATGTGCTCAGAAATGTCTCCAAATCTGAATTTCCTGTCCCACTAAAGAATGGAACATGAAGAAAATAAGGTATTAGAAGAAGTTATAACACTGATAAGCTTTGGCTCTGAGGACTGTTGACAATTCAGATAAAGCCAATGAGAAAAGCAGAACTTCATGTGAGAGACAGAACTGGCCTCAAAGCGATACAGCAAAATTCAACTTGTCTAAGCCAACACAGGTCTAGGCAACAGAAATCTTCAGACAGCCATCACTGAGGTGTGCTGTGGGACAGAGTTGGTGTAATCTTTGGAGCAGTTTCTAGTCATGAATACCATCGTGGAGACAGAGGATAAGCTTGTGTTTTATTATCAAGCCTTTGATGAGGATCAAAACTCTATCCAAATGAATTGAAATTCAGTTCCTTTCCCAGAAGAAAAAAACTTTTTTTAAAGACAGAAGCTCATGTGGAGAAATCAAGACAGGGGTTATGAGAAACTCATACCTTTATGGAAATGCAGATGTTAACGGTTACTTTCAGATACTCCCAAAACAAACTAAGAAACAAAAACAATTATTTATGATAAGACTAATTCTAAACCCCACTTTGGGCATTTAGACTAAATCTCTAGAATTAGTTTCAAAACCTGTTTCAGAAAGGTATTAGATGAAAGAATTTCTAAGTTTTCTTCCTGTTATGAATAATTGTTTATGTTTCTCTTGGATCCTATTTTTAACAAGAAAAGAGACTCCTGAGAAAATAATGCATAGAGAAATAATTTAGATAGGAAGGAATTATGAATAGAAAATAATAGTTTCAATCACCTATAGTGATTCCTCGTTGCTTTCAATTTTTGGAGGGAATGAGGGTGAGGGTTTATTTAGTTTTTGAACGTGTAATATTTTCTCAAGATTCAAAATTTAAAAATTATTAAAAACTGTAATAAGAGGCCTGACTCCATATTTTGGATGTATGACTGCTGACTTCTTTTAAGCCTCTCCCTCTTCTAATCCTTTGGTCTGACATCTATTAAATAGATAAGCTAAGAAATCCTGCACATTTCTCCTCCTTTGGTGGCTGCCGGAAATTCAAACCTCACAAAATTCCAGCTCATGAAAACTTCTATCCGCTATAAGGCCTGATCCACTCACTTTGCATCCCTCAAGCCAATCTATGTCTGTTTGTGCCACCTCACTCTCCCTGGAAGTCCCTTATGTGAGTAGCAAGCTTTTCAAACTTTGAGTGTTGAGAGAGGCTGTCTTCTTTTTGTGGAATATCTGAAACAGTGGTGCTATGAGCAGGATGTGTAGATGATATCCACCACTAGCAGGGGTCTTTCTTCTCTTGCTTTGGCTTGATGACTGGCTCTGCTGCCTGCCAGTGGAGCAATCCTTTTGATCAGCTGCTTGCTGGCTAGCAAGCTCTTTGAGCTGTGTTGCTGCCTTCAGGCAAGTTTGTGCCTTCAGCTGTGCTGCACAGTGCTGCATTTGCTGAGCTCTACCCAGTCTTTGTTATGAGTCATATGAAATTGAGGCCCCCTCTTATAGTGGCCTTGGCTTGTGTGTCTCAGCCTCAGCCTGGACCTATTGTGTGTCTCAATTTCAACATACACCGTGGCAGAACTTTATGCTGAGAAGAATGACTCTCATCCTGTGACTCTTGGTTGTGTCCTAACCGGGCACTGGCTTCCATTCTATAGAGTCATCAGGGGAAAGACTGATACCCTATAAAATATGTGGGTTCACTTTGAGCAGAAGAGGAGCTGTTACTAGGTGGCATGCCAAGATCCACACTCCTAAAAGCAGATGGCACAATAAAACCTTACAAAATGTCTTTACTGTTGATGTTACTGCATATGCCTCTGTCATCAAAACAGATATAGATCTCCAAGTTATAAGTAAAATTACCTACGGTATATTTGTGGCACAGTCAGGGAGCTAATTCAACCATTTTAATGGAGGAGGCCCCTAACACTGATGACAATGATGAGAGATTCTCTGGAGAAAAAAAAGAATCTTCTAAATATGAGCTGAGTAGAGACCTTGTCACCCCACAAAAGTATATACAAAAAACAGAGAGGAAGAGAGTGAGAGAGGAAGAAATAAATTTCTAGGTTTTTTTTTTTAATTCCAATCACTGGCTTGCAGACAGTATCTTTAGACCTGCCTTGGGGGAAGGACACAAACCTGACTAGTTTTATGACTTGCTGTTTATAGAGCCCTGGGGTCTTGAGTAAACAAAGGTGGTAGCCTGGTAGTGGTTACAGCTGGCCTTGGGCAAGATCCAGTGGTGTGCCAGCTTCAGGTTAAACCCAGAGTAGTCCCAGCTGTGGTGGCCAAATGGTTGCTTGCATCACCGCATGCCCAGTTCCATGTGGCTCAGCTCAGAGAAAGAGATGCTGTTTGGGAGAAAGTAAAGGGAAAGATCAAGAGTCTCTGCCTGATAATCCAGAGAATTTATCTGGATCCTATTGAAGACTACAAAGCAGTAACTCTACAAGTCTGCAAAAATAATCTTCTTGGGCTTGGGGCCCAAGTCCCCTTTAATACCTGGAAAACCTTTTCAAGAAGGACAGGCACAAAGAAGCCCAGACTATGAGGACTACAATAAATACCTGACTCTTCAAAGCCCAGAAACTGATGAACATCTACAAGCAGCAAAATCATCAGAAAAACATGACCTCAACAAATGAACTAAATAAGTCACCAGCTACCAATCCTGGGGAAACAGAAATACATGACCTTTCAGACAGAGAATTCAAAATAGTTGTATTAAGAAAACTCAAAAAATTCAAAATAAAACAGATAATAAATTCAAAACTGTATCAGATATTTTAACAAATATTACCATAATTAAAAACAAGTAGAAATTCTAGAGTTGAGAAATGCAATTGACATGCAGAAGAATGCATCAGTCTCTTAATAGCAGAACTGATCAAGCAGAAGCAAGAATCAGTGAGCTTAATAACAGGATATATGAAAATATGCCATCAGAGGAGACAAAAGAAAAAAGAATAAAAAATAATGCAGCATGCCTACAGGACCTAGAGAATAGCCTCAAAAGGGCAAATCTAAGCATTACTATCCTTAAAGAGAAGACAGAGAAAGAGATAGGGCTAGAAAGCTTATTCAAAGAAATGTTCACATATCGGGGAACTTGCCCCCGATAGTCACGTAGGTTCTTTACTATTTTCCCTAAGCGTCGGCCGGGTTGAGAAATAAAAGCACAGAGTACAAAAGAGAGAAATGTTAAAGCTGGGTGTCCGGGAGAGACATCACATGTCGGTAGGTTCCGTGATGCCCCCTGAGCCATAAAGCCAGCAAGTTTTTATTAGTGATTTTCAGAAGGGGAGGGAGTGTTCAAATAGGGTGTGGGTCACAGAGATCACATGCTTCACAAGGTAATAGAATATCACAAGGCAAATGGAGGCAGAGCAAGATCATAGGACCACAGGACCGGGGCGAAATTAAAATTGCAAATGAAGTTTCAGGCACCATTGTCATTGATAACATCTTATCAGGAGACAGGGTTTGAGAGCAACCAGTCTGACCAAAATTTATTAGCCGGAATTTCCTCATCCTAATAAGCCTGGGAGCACTATGGGAGACTGGGGTTTATTTCATCCCTACAGTCTCGACCACAGAAGACAGCCACACCCAAGGGGGCCATTTTAGAGGCCCACCCTCAGGGGCCCATTCTCTTTCTCAGGGATGTTCCTTGCAGAGAAAAGAAATTCAATGATATTTCTCCCATTTGCTTTCGAAAGAAGAGAAATATGGCTCTGTTCCTCCTGGCTCACTGGCAGTCAGAGTTTAAGGTTATCTCTCTTATTCCCTGAACATTGCTGTTATCCTGTTCTTTTTTCAAGGTGCCCAGATTTCATATTGTTCAAACACACATGCTCTACAAACAATTTGTGCAGTTAACGCAACCATCACAGGGTCCTGAAGTGACATACATCCTCCTCAGCTGACAGGATTAAGAGATTAAAGTAAAGACAGGCATAGGAAATCACAAGGGTATTGATTGGGGAAGTGATAAGTGTCCATGAAATCTTCACAATTTATCTTCAGAGATTGCAGTAAAGACAGGTGTAAGAAATTATAAAAGTATTAATTTGGGGAACTAAGAAATGTCCATGAAATCTTCACAATCCATGTTCTTCTGCCATGGCTTCAGCCAGTACCTCTGTTCCAGGTCCCTGACTTCCCACAACATTCACAGAACTTCTCAAACCTAAAGAAAGATATCAACATTCAAGTACAAGAAGTTTATAGAACACCAAGCAGATTAACCCAAATACTATCTCAAGGCATCTAGTAATCAAACTCCCAAAGGCTAACAATAAAGAATCCCAAAAGCAGCCAGAGAAAAGAAATAAATAACATACAATGAAGCTCCAATATGTTTGGCAGCAGACTTTTCAGTGGAAAACTTAGAGGCCAGGACATGACATATTTAAATTACCTACAGATAAAAAACTTTTACCCTAGAATATTATATCTGACCAAAACATCCTTCAAGCGTGGAAGAGAAATAAACACCTTTGGAGACAAACAAAAGCTAAGGGATTTCATTAACATCAGACCTGTCCTACAAGAAATGCTAAAGGGAGTACCTCCATCTGAAAGAAAATAATTTTAATGAGCAGAAAGAAGTCATCTCATGGTACAAAACTCAGTGGTAATAGTAAGCACACAGAAAAACAAAGAATATTATAACACTGTAATTATGTTGTATAAACTATTCTTAATTAGAAACACTAAATAATGAACCAATCAAAAACAATAACTGAAAAATTTTCAAGACATAGTACAATAAGAAATAAAGAGAAACAACAAAAAGTTAAAAAGTGGGAGGATGAACTTAAAGTGTAGCATTTTTATGAGTTTATTTTTGCATGTTTGTTTATGCAGTCAGTGTTAAGTTGTCATCTGTTTAAAGTAGTGGGTTGTAGAAAACTATTTGCAAACCTCATAGTAACCTCAAATAAAAAAATACAATGGATACAAAAAAATTAAAAGCAAGAAATTAAAACATACCACCAGAGAAGATTACCTTTACTAAAAGGAAGACAGAAAGGAAGGAAAGAAAGAAGAGAAGACCTCAAAACAGCTAGAAAACAGATAACAAAATGGCAGGAATAAGTCCTTACTTATCAATGATAAAATTGAATGTAAATTAGATGAAAACTCTACAATCAAAAGACAAACAGAATCTGGATGGATAACAAGACTCAGTGGTCTGTTGCCTATAAGCAACACACTTCATCTATAAAAATACATGCAGACTGAAAATAAAAGGATGGAAAAAAATATTTCCTGCAAATGGAAACTAGAAAAGAAAAGGAGTAGCTTGACTTACATCAGACAAAATAGATTTCAAGACAAATCTATAAAAAGAGACAAAGAAGGTTATCATGTAATGATAAAAGAGTCAATCCAGCAACAGGATATAATGATTGTAAATATATATGCACCCAATACTGAAGCACCTAAACATATAAAGCCAATATTATCAGAGCTAAAGAAAGAGATAGGATCCAATATAATAATAGCTGGAGATGTCAACACACTACTTTCAGCACTGGAAATATCTCCCAGAGTGAAGATCTCCCATAATTTGCATTATGGACCAAATGGACATAATAGATATATATAGAACAGTTCATCCAAACAGTACAGAATACAAATTTTTCTTCTCAGCACATGGATCATTCTTAAGGATAGACCCTATATTGGTTCCCAAAAACAAGTTTTTAAACATTCAAAAAAATTGAAATAATATCAAGCATCTTCTCTGACCACAATAGAATAAACCTATAAGTCAACAAAAATAAAAATTGTGAAAACTATACAAATACACAGAAATTAAACAATATGCTCCTAAATAATAAGTCCATCAATGAAGAAAGTAAGAAGGAGATTGAATAATTTCTTGAAACAAATTATAATGGAAAGACAACATAGTAAAACCTATGAAATACAGCAAAAGCAGTACTAAGAGGGAAGTTTATAGCTATAAGTGCCTACATCAAAAAAGAAGAAAAAATTAAAATAAACCAATGATGTATCTTACAAAATTAAAAAAGCAAGAACAAACTGAACCCCAAATTAGTAGAAGAAAACAAATAATAAAGGTTGGAGCAGAAATAAGTGAATTTGTTTTGTTTCGTTTTGCTTTTTGAGACAGAGTCTTGCTCTGTCACCTAGGCTGGAGTGCAGTGGCATAATCTTGGCTCACTGAACCTCCACCTCCCCAGTTCAAGCAATTCTTCTTCCTCAGCCTCCCGAGTAGCTGGGGTTACAGTTTCCTGCCACCATGCCTGGCTGATTTTCGTATTTTTAGAAGAGATGGGGTTTCACCATGTTGGCCAGGCTGGTCTTGAACTCCTGACCTCAGGTGATCAACCCACCTTGGCCTCCCAAAGTGCTGGGATTACAGGCATGAGCCTCCACGCCTGGGCAGAAGTTAGTGAATTTGAAATGAGGAAAACAATAGTAAAGATCAATTGAAAAGCTGGTTTTCTGAAACAATAAAAAAAATCGACCAAACTTTAACAAGACTAACAAAGAAAAAAAAGGAGAATAATCTAAGTAAAATAGGAGATGAAAAAGGAGACATTACAACTGATACTACAGAAATTCAAAGGATCATCAGTGGCTACTATGAGCAACTATATGCCAATAAATTGGAAAATATAGCTGAAATGGACACATTCCTAGACAAATGCCATCTATCAATATTTAACCATGAAGAAATCCAAAACCTAGACAAGACAAATAATAAGTAACAAGAAAGAAGCTGTAATTCAAACTCTCCCAGTAAAGAAAAGCCTGGGGCCTGATGGCTTCACTGCTGAATCCCACCAAATATTTAAAGAAGAATGAATACCAATCCTATTCAACGTATTCTGAAACACAGAGAAGGAGGAAACACCTCCACATTCATTCTATGAGGCCAGTATTATATTACTGTGATACCAAAACCAGACAAAGACACATCAATAAAAGAAAACTACAAGCCAGTATCTCTGATGAATATTGGTGTGAAAATCTTTCACAAACTGCTAGCAAACCAAATTCAACAATACATTAGAAAGATCATTCATCATACCAAGTGGAATTTATCACTGGGATGCAAGGATAGTTCAACATATGTAAATCAACAAATGTGATACATCATATGAACACAATGAAGGACAAAAACCACATGATCATTTCAATTGATGCTGAAAAAGCATCTGATAAAATTCAACATTCATTCATGATAAAAGGCCCAGGAAAAACTGGGTATGCAAGAAACATACATCGACATACTAAAAGCCATATATGATAGACCCATAGCTAGTATCACGCTGAATGAGGAAAAACTAAAAACCTGTCCTGTAAGATCTGGAACATGACAAGCATGTCCACTTTCAACACTGTTATTCAACATGGTTCTGGAAGTCCTGCACAGAGCAATTAGACAAGAGAAAGAAATAAAATTTACCCAAATTGGAAAGGAAGAAGTCAAATTGTTCTTGTTTGCATATAATATGATCTTATATTTAGAAAAACCTAAAGATTACACCAAAAAACTATTAGCATATATAAACAAACTCAGTACAGTTGCACAACCTACAAATAGTAACATTTCTATATGCTAACAGTGAATAATATGAAAAAGGAATCAAGAAAGTAATCCCATTTATAGTAGCCACAAATAAAAATTAAATATGTAAGAATTAACTTAACCAAAGAAGTGAAAGATCTCTACAATGAAAACTATGGTACAGTGATGAAAAAAATTAAAGACACCAAAAAATGGAAAGATATTTTATGTTTATGGATTGAAAAAAATTAATATTGTTAAAATTTTCACACTCCCCAAAGCAATCTACAGATTCAATGCAATCTCTATCAAAATACCAGTGATATTCTTCACAGAAATATAAAAAAAAATCCCAAAATTTATATGGAATCACAAAAGACTCAGAATAGCTGAAGCCATTCTAAGCAAAAAGAGCTATAGTAACCAAACAGCACATTACTGGCATAAAAACATATTCATAGACCAGTCGAATAGAATAGAGAACCCAGAAACAAATGCACACACCTATAGTGGGCTCATTTTTGACCATAGTGTCAAGAACATACACTGGGAGAAAGATAGTTTTCAATGAATGGTACTGGGAAAACTGGACATCCATTTGCAGAAGAATGACACTAGACCCGTATCTCTCACCCAAAGTCATTATAAAAATTTAAATCAAAATGGATTAAAGACGTAAATCTAAGGCCTCAAACTATGCAGTTACTGAAAGAAAATATTGGGGAAACTCCTAGACATGGTCTTGTCAAAATTTTCTTGAGTCATATCCCCACAGGCAACCAAAGCAAACATAAGACAGATGGGATCATATCAAGTTAAAAAGCTTCTGCACAGCAAAAGAAATAATCAACAAAGTGAAAAGACAACCCACAGAATTGTAGAAAATATTTGCAAACTACCCATCAGACAAGAGATTAATAACCAGAATGTACAGGGAGCTCAAACAACTTTATAAGGAAAAAACCCTAATAATTTGATTAAAAAAATGGTCAAAAGATATGAATAGGCATTTCTCAAAAGAAGACATAAAAATGGCAAGCAAGCCTATGAAAAGGTGCTCAACATCATTGATCATCAGAGAAACACAAATCAAAACTACAATGAGATATCATGTCACCCCAGTTAAAATAGCTTTTATATAAAAGTCAAGCAATAACAAATGGGGGCAAAGATGTGAATAAAAGGGAACCTTTGTACATTGTTGGTGGAAATGTAAATTAGTATATCCGCTATGAAGAACAGCTTGGAAGTTCTTCAAAAAACTAAAAATAGAGCTACCATATGATCCAGGAAGTCCACTGCTGGATATATACCCCAAAGAAAGGAAATCAGTATATCAAAGAGATATACGTACTCCCATGCTTATTGCAGCACTGTTTACAATAGCCACGAGTTGGAAGCAACCTAAGTGTCTAGCAACAGATGATTTGATAAAGAAAGAAAATGTGGTATATATACACAATGGAGTACTATTCAGCCATAAAAAAAGAATGAGATCTTATTATTTACAGCAACATGGATAGAACTGGAGGTCACTATGTTAAGTGAAATAAACCAGGCATAGAAAGGCAAACACTGCATGTTCTCACTTATTTGTGGGGTCTAAAATTCAAAACAATTGAATTCACAGAGATAGGGAGTAGAGATATGGTTTCCAGAGGCTGGGAAGAATAGTGTGGAGTATGTAGAAGGTGAGGATGGTTAATGGGCACAAAAAATAGTTATAATGAATGAATAAGGCCTATTATTTGATTACACAACAAGGTGGCTATAGTAAAAATAATTTAATAGAACATTTAAAAACAACTAAAAGAGTATAAATGAATTGTTTATAACCCAAAAGATAAATGGTTAAGGGGATGGATACCCAATTTCCATGATGTGATTATTAGGCATCATATGCCTATATTAAAGTATCTCATGTAGCTCATAAATATATACACCTACTTTGTACCTACAAAAATTAAAAATTAAAAAAATATAGTGGCTTAAATTGTGGTTACATCTGGGGATGCACTAATGTAAACAAGATACCCCCTATAATCTTAGAGGAGTTGCTGAATATAAAACAGAAGAAAAATGATTACACCTCACCTTAACTATCAGAGCTATCACCTTGCCTAAATTGCCTATGATCATCAAACCTATTGCCCTAAAATATTCCTAAATTTCCTGGAGATAGGCTTCTAGAGGCTGGGAGATTGTGACCCTTCCTGATGACTAACTGATAGTCCCAACACAATTTCATGAATTTTCTTTCATTTCACCATTGATTTGTGTTGTTTTCTTGAATAAGTACTAAATTGCCATACGTCTGGATCTATATTGAACTCTATTTTTTCTATTGATATTTATCCGTTCATGACTAATACCACCCAGTGTTAACTACTGAAGCTTTATTGCATACATATTACCTTAATAGGGGTAATACTTAATAGGGGTTGCTCCCATTCTTATTTCTGACTCACAATTGATCCTGGGAACTTGTAAATTTCCTCGATCAAAATAGCTTCCCCCTATAGTTAGAACTACTTCTCTACCTTCTACCTATCAACCCTGCATTGAATCTCTGGAGTGAATCCTGACCTTCAGCCCATGTTTCTTCAAACTTTACTGCATATTAGACTCTTCTGGGCAGCTTTAAGAACTCCAATGCCTATGCCTTATCCCATGCCAATTACATCGGAATACCTGGAAGTAGAAGCCAAGCATTAGAATTTTTTAAAGAATTCATATTCCAATATACACCAAACTTTGGCAACCACTACGTTTAGATTCAAACAACCCAGATGCCCAGATAATTGCTCACTATGTCAACTGTGATGTAAAAAGCTTGTTTGTTAGTTTAGGAGCCCTTGATTTTGTGAAAAAGATTCTCTGTGACACATTTTTCTTTCTGTCTTTCTCTCTCTCCCTCCCTTCCTCCTTCCATCCATCTCTCACCTTGCTCTTATCAATTCTCTGCCAAAGCTGAGAGTCCCACCATCATACATGCTTGACAGTGATCTCTATCTTCTTAGATGCCAGTTGTGCCATCTTACTGGTATTGCTCTTAGACAAACAAGTAAACTACTTATAATTGAATGTTTCTACTAACATCATCATTCATATGTGGGTATATCTCATCTTGATTTCCAAATGTTTCCAGTCTGGCATGACTCAGAGGACACCAAGACCTTAGCCTCAACCTATCCCTGCAGAATTAAATGGGGAAAACTATTGTGATTTAGGTTGTGTAAAGCTTTTATATTATGCCACATAAAAAGAACATTCAAACGAAAAATGCATATCTGAGAAAGAAAATAATACTTTAAGAATCTAAAAAGAATGTCAGAACAAATTCTTTGGAGGTTTCTTTATTTCTTAAGGTCCTTAATGACAGTTAAAATATTTATATTTCCCAATAAAGTTTCATGGTTTTGTTTATAATTGCATTTTTCCACAGTCAGATCTTGGCTGAGCTTCAAAGTTTACTAATTTGTGTTTGGTGTCTTAATTACTAGTGCACTTTGCTGACACTCTACAGAACAGTTCTGACTCTCCACATTTGGTCAGCTTCCCTCAAAAGGTAAATATGTCAAGTAAAAATGAAAGAAAAGAAGCCCAAATATAGACATTTTTAACTGAAGCCAAGTAATTGCAACAGCTGTTTATTTTTTATTTGCTTGTTTTTAATTAGAACAAGGAAATAAAATTCAATTTCTTTAAAGTTAGTCTTAATTGCACTTCCTCAAATTTATTCTCCCTGATTTTTATCTTCATGCAATTAAGTAGTTTTGTGATAATTCACAGTGGTATTGTTGGCTTTTATCTGTTGTCTACAGTTTAATTTTATACACTTCTTTTACATTAAGGGATTTGAATTTTGTTTTATGGGTATTTATTAATTTTTTGTTCTTTTTACTGGTTGAAAATATTCCCACATTCATTATTTAGGGAAAAACATGGCAATACCAAATCAAAGAAGATGTAGCTCTTCCTATGGCCATGTATCACTTCTCCCTTCCCCCATGTTTCTGTTCATACAATAAGGTTGTGTGAACAGCAGCCAGCATCAACTGGTGCTACTGAGTCACCTCTGGCAGCAGGATCATGGATAGCCCATTCTCCTAATCATTTACAGAGAAATGCTCTTGGCATGGCATATAGATTGACATATCCAGTGTGCTAAAGTTTCAGGAAAGAAACCCATGTATCCAATGACCATTCTGCCTTTCAGACTATATTATGTGATTCCTGTTAATATAAAACAGAGCCTCTTATACAACATCCATCAATGTATTTCCCATGTCCCTCTACTTCAACAATTTAAACATAGCTCTTTGAGAAATTATTTGAAAATAGTGGTATCATCTCTGTATATCAACATACTTAATTTATCTCTGGTCCTGTATCACATCTTACATTCAATGCACTCACCTTCATTATAATGAGGACCTAAAGACGCGGATAATTGAGAAAACCACGAGCTTTACAGTGAAGCAAAAATGACTCCCATTTGAGCCATAGCATTTAAGATCTATGTGATTTGGACAAATTACTTAAAGCTTCTGAGGTCTAATATAATCATCAATAAAACAGGTATATGGTACAATCCTAGCTGTGTTATTGAGATGATTATATCTAACAGTGATATTTAATTTTTTCAGCAGAATACTTTATAAAAATGAAATTATGCACAGAACTTTTTCACAGAAGCCCAACATTGAAAAGCAGATTTCAAAAATGAATATCTTGATAAAAACTTGTTTTGTTGAATTATTAGTTAAAATCTTAAGAAAGAAAACATGAAGTATAGAGAAAATTACTTTGAAAGTTCTGGAAGTCTCTAGATGAAATAGATAGACTCATGTATTCATTCAAGACTTTTTTGAATGTAGTACCATGTGTTTATACTCTAATAGGTGCTGGAGAGCCTGTAGTGAGCAAGACAGAACAAATCTGTCCCCCAGGGATTTTATACTCTAGTCAGGGAGAATTACAGTTAACAGATAAGCAAATGTATTTATGAGATCTATCTGAGAGTGATAGGTTTTTTGATGAAAATTAAAACGAGGTAATGTGATAATGAAGAGGTTAATTTCTGAAAGGATGGTAAGGTAAGGCATCAAGAGATGACATTTGAACAGCAACATTCTTAAAGTGAGGCAGGTAAGTTAATATGTGGAAAAAAATGCTCTCTGTCAATTTTGGAGAAAGGATGTTCAGAGTAAAGAACAACTCATATGTGCTGATGCAGAGTCATTGTTGACTCATTTCAGTTAAACTAAAGAAGACACTGAGACAGGAGAGGAGGAAGCCAGAAGGGAGTGATAGGGAATGCAATCAGAGTTAGTTAAAGGCTGCAGCATGCAGGGTCTTTGTAAGCCCATGATAAGGGGTTGGAATTTTATGCTAACTCATTGAGAACCTACTGAGGTATTTTCAGAAGAGAAGTAATGAAATTCATGTGTTTAAAGGGTTACTTTTCCTATGTGAGAAGAGTCTGTAGGACACAAGCATAGAAGAAGATATACCTCTATCATACTACTCTAGTAGGAGATGATACCAACTTGGAGCTGAGTGACAGCAAGGGAGGGCTGTGAAGTGCCATTTGAGACATACTTTGATGGAAGAACCAACCAAATTTGCAGATAAATTGTATATGAGCCCAAAGATATCTCCAGCATTCTGGGCCAGAGCAAAAGAGAAGGAAGAAATGGCATGGAGCGGTAGGATGTGGGTTAGGGGAGCCACGGTTCTTTTCCAAGATTATTACAAAGAAATCTTCAGTAAAGAGAATTTTTGAGAATTCTTCTACATGTTGCCATGTAACACCCATAGGGAAGTGTGTCACTGGAGAAAAGTTAAATATTATGGCACGAATCTTCATACAAGACTGTGGTTATGTTTGCCTTGGGGAGAAAGTGTCGAGCTAGAGACAGAGATTATGAAGTCATTTGCCATCATATGTTTTGCTTTCCTTTAGTATAATGTTGTCTCCAGAATTTTTGTTTAGGAGTTTTAGATACAATGGTCTTATTGCATAAGATAACAGGAAATTTTTCTTAGAAATGCTTTGAATGTCAAGATAAAATGGGAAAAACCCTGATAGATCAACAGAAACACTTGGGCAAACACCTCCTTAAATTAATTCTTTACCTACATTATGACCCAGCATTATCTATGCAAGAGAAATGCTTACTTAGTTTATCAGGAGACATCTCTGCTAATGTCTTTAGAGCTACTGATCAAATACAGAAAACTTGAAGTTGCACAAATGCCTGTCAGTGGGAGAGTAGACAAATAAGTTGTGGCGTATCAAACAATGCAATATGTTCTAGGAGTCAAAACAAATGAACTACAGCAACATGCAATGATATGGACCTTCATAAGACAACATTAAGGGGGAAAGCAAAATCCCTAAGTGGCCCGTAAATATGATACCCTCTCTCTAAAGTGTGAAACAAATAAAATTTAAAAATATTTTTAGAAGAAAATGAAACTTTAAACAATAAAATCTCATTTAAAAGGAAAGCAAGAAGGACAAACATAGGATTCAGGATGTGTGACCCCTATGGATATGGGGATGCAGGAAATATGTCCATGGGAAGCATAGGATTCAAGGCAGGCTACTGTCAAGGTCCTAGCTTTTGTTTAGAATGGTGGGTCCATAGATATTTCTTACTTTTTAAAAATATCTAACTATATATCTTAAAAAGCTTTTTTTTTTAAAAAAAGGAGAGGTCATTTGTGGACCAAAAGATACAGTATATCGTGTATAAAAAATTAGGATTTATTGGCTGGGCACAGTGGCTCACGCCTGTAATCCCGGCACTTTGGAAGGCCAAGGTGGGGAATCACGAGGTCAGGAGAATGAGACCATCCTGGCTAACATGGTGAAACCCCGTCTCTACTAAAAAATAGAAAAAATTAGCCGGGTGTGGTGGCGGGCACCTGTAGTCCCAGCTACTCGGGAGGCTGAGGCAGGAGAATGGCGTGAACCCGAGAGGCGGAGCTTGCAGTGAGCGAGAGCGAGATCACGCCATTACACTCCAGCCTGGGCGACAGAGCGAGACTCCGTCTCAAAAAAAAAAAAAAAAAAAAAAAAAAAAAAAAGAAATTAGGATTTATCTAAGTCAGCACCAAGTCCCTTATAGAAAATGCAGGTGACTTACCTTGACCAGAGCAGCAGAATTCAAATGTTTTTAATTACACAGGCTTGTTTATGAAATAACATTACCAGGCACACCAAAAATGTATACTTCTATTGGTTTACAAATTTTAAATAATTTGTGTTACAGGATTATCTCATTGAACACATGTAATATATTTATAACACTATATTACCTTAAAATCAACATTTTAAAATAACTAAAAGATAAAGATCTTAAATGATTTCCTTATTAACACTAAAAAAGCTTTTTAATAGACTATATGAGAGATCTATCAAGTTAAAAAGCTTCTGCAAAGGATTCAATCAACAAATTGAAGAGACAACCCACACAATAGGAGAAAATATTTGCAAACTACCCATCTAAGAAGAAATTAACATCCAGAATATATAAGGAGTTCAAATAATTCTACAGGAAAAAAAATCTAACAATCCGATCAAGAAACGGGCAAATATCTGAATAGACATTTCTCAAAAGACATACAAATGACAAACAGGCATATGAAAAGGTGCTCAATATCACGGATTATCAGAGAAATGGAAATTGAAACTATAATGAGATATCATCCCACACCAGTTAAAATGGCACATATCCAAAAGACAGGCAGTAACATATGCTGGCGAGGATATGGAGAAAAGGGCACCTTCATACACTGTTGATGGAAATGTAAATTAGTACAACCACTATGGAGGACAGTTTGAAGGTTCCTCAAAAAACTAAAAATTGAGCTACCATGTGATCCAACAATCCCACTGCTGGTTATATACCCAGATGAAAGGAAATCAGTATATTGAAGAGATACCTAAACTTCTACATTACATGCAGCTCTGTTTACAATAGCTAAGATTTGAAAGCAACCAGAGTGTTCATCAGCGATGAATGAATGAAGAAAATGTGGTGTATATACACAATGGAATACTATTCAGCCATAAAAAAGAGTGAGATCCAGTCATCTGCAACAACATGAATGGAAATGGAGATCATTGTGTTAAGTGAAATAATCCAGGCACAGAAAGACAAACATCACATGTTCTCATGTATTCGGGAAACTTAAAAATCAAAACAATTGAACTCATGGACAGAGAGTAAAAGGATGATTACCAGAGTCTGGGAAGTGTAGTGGAGGGATGAGAGGGCAGGTAGAAATGGTTAATGGGTACAAAAAATAATAATTACAAAGAATGAGTAAGATCTACTGTTCGATAGCACAATAGGGTGACTATAATCAATAACTTAATTGTACATTTTAAAATAACTTAAAGAGTGTAATTGGATTGCTTGTAACTCAAAAGATAAATGTTTGAGGTGACAGATACTCCATTCTCCATGATGTGCTTATTTCACATTGCATGTCTATATCAAAAATTCTCTTGTAACCCATTAATATATACGCCTACTATGTACCCCAAAAATTATTTTAGAAAATTAAAATTAATAAAATAAATAAGTGAAACAAAATTAGATAGTGGTGATGGTAGTACAACTCTGAATATGCTAAAACCACTAAATTACACACTTGAAGTGGGTGAGTTTTATGGTATTTGAATTAAATCTTAATGAAGTAATCAAAAAAATAGAATATAATTCAATGGTTATTTAATTCCAGAAAATTTTCATGTAACCCTTTAGATTACTTTAAATTGAAGGTATGTTTCTAAGTCCAATATATTGTAATACTTTATTTTAATAACTATATATTTGAAAATGTACCTCTCATTAAAAATTAATCAAAATGAAAAATTGGGTCACTGGTTCATGTCATGAACTGTATTCTGTAATCTTATCCACTAATTATGCAAAGATGTGTATAAGCAAACTCAACAAGCAAATCTACCTTATTATTATACAAAGTTATTCTTGAAAACTAATTGAAAGTTTACAACTTTTATTTTTACACAGATTGAAAATTATATTCCAAAATTCTTTGTGAGGACAACTTTGGAAGAATGTATAGTTCATATATCTATATTGTTTTTAGAGGCAAAAGTCAAATAACAATAAATATTTCCAATTATTTTTGTCTTTTCCATGTTGAAAAAGTTATTTTTCTCTTACATTTAAAGCATCTTCTTTACTATGAAGTGGCATACTTTGGCTTTCTCTTTCAAAAATTTTGCTAGATAGAAAACTGTTGAAAATGCTTGTCACAGGTATTTTATATGTGATTGTGCATGTGTGCATATATATACATAGTGCTATATACACACAAATACATACATGATAATTTATATGAAGATAAAGTATGACACATATATGCTTTAAAAAGATATATCTGTATATTATTTATTATATAAATATAGAAAAATATAAATATTATATAGAAAATAAATATAATATATAAATATTAAATATAAATAAATATATATATTGATACCTATAACATATTTTATTATATAATATTTATATTGTTTAATATTATGTACAAATATATAATATATACAAATTATATCTTTTATAATATATTTACATATATAAAAATGTTATATAAACATTATATAAAATTATGCAAAAGTATATTTATATTTTATATATTTATATTATATAGTATATAGTATATATTATTTATCATTATATATTTATAATATATGTTATATATTATGTATATTATATTATATATTACATATATTTATAATATATATTATATATTTATATATTACATATATTTATAATATATATTATATATTTATATTATATAATATGATATATAAATATATTTATATGTCTATATATGTTTATATATAATATATATTTATATATCATGTGATATATATATAAATATATATCACATGATATATAAATATATATAATTTTTTTTTCTTTTTGAGACGGAGTCTCGCTCTGTCGCCCAGGCTGGAGGGCAGTGGTGTGATCTTGGCTCACTGCAAGCTCCGCCTCCTGGGTTCACGCCATTCTCCTGCCTCAGCCTCCCGAGTAGCTGGGACTACAGGTGCCCGCCACCACGCCCGGCTAATTTTTTCTATTTTTTAGTAGAGAGGCGGTTTCACTCTGTTAGCCAGGATGGTCTCAATCTCCTGACCTTGTGATCCGCCTGCCTTGGCCTCCCAAAATGCTGGGATTACAGGCGTGAGCCACCGCGCCCAGTCATATAATTTATGAATATTGTATATTTATGTGACATATTACATAACTATTATATATTTATTTAATATTACATATAATATTATGTAATATACATTTATATATTATATATATGTGTGTCTATTCTATTTATTCTCCACAAATATATCTTCTTAAACCTCTACAATACCTCAATACTTTGTACCTAATTAATCAATGAACTCATGTGTGGAACAAAAGATTTTTCAGGTCAAGTACTCTAAAGATGAAGGGTTTATGGAATCTTCTTTAAGAGCTTGTAAGATCTCATAGAGCTTGTAAGATCCTTACTTACCTGGTTCCAGCCTCCTTTCCAAGCTGTACTTGGAGTCTTTTCTCTCTCATAGATGTGTCATTTAGCTAAACTTCTATATTTTTTATTTATTTTCCTGAACATGATATTCTTCATAATTGTTTCTCTCTAAGAAACTCTCACTTATTCATCAATACTCAAAATAAATGACACCACTTTTCTGAAATCTTTCTTCATAGTTCTCATGCTTAATTATTTTCTTGTGGTCTGTGTATTCTCAGTCACTGACTAATTTCTATGACAGTACATGTCACAATATATTATAGTTTTCAATTCATATAACTGCTTCCTCTGATAGGCTGTGATTAACCCAGAGGAACTAAAACTTTTTAAAATATGTACTGATCTTATTTAACTCCATACTTCTTCTACAGGTACATGGTAGGAATTCAATAAATTCTTGTTAAATGAGTAGTGAATGAACAAATGAGCAAATGTTTAAATAAATCAGTTAATAAATCAATTTAAAAGGCACATTGAATTATAGTGAATATTCTAATAAAGTTAATTTAATTTTAGCAAACCTGAGCTCTGGGTCTATGCAGATATTTCAAAATGGTACCAATAAATTCTTTGCAGTCATCCCTTTTCAACAAACAAGCAAAACAGTCTGTCTCATTTCAACTTCTTATCAACACATGAGGAGTAGAAATCAGTCGGTAATTCCAAAGATTGAAACATTTAAATATAATGGGAGAAATTAGTGCTAGGCTGTATAGGGATGTAAAATGCACATGGCAGGAATTGCTAGTATCAGGAGCTATTTTTCACATAGGGAACATCCAACAAGCATCTGGTAAATGACATCAGGAAATGACTGACAAATTCCCAAGAAAGCTGCAGAAGGAAATAAGATAACTACCTTATGATTTTTTATGGGAAATGAATGATACAGTTTTTTTAAGGGCTTTATAAATTTAAAAATATGACAAAATGCAAAAAAATTGGGGAAAAGTTTTAGCAGGACAACAGAAATAAAGATCACCTCTTGAAAAGGTTTTGGAATTTAAGTGGGTAGTAGTTAAGCTGGACCTGGAAACATGATTCCATACTCTGGAGCCACAGACATAATGCATCATGCTTGTAAAACTGCTTCCATGGTAAAACATGATGGATGTCAGGGGAGCTTTCATTTGGTCATAATGGCTAACAGCTGAGCTTAGGAGATTCCCATTTTATGCCATTGTTTAAGATTTCTTAAAAAAGTTAAAAGTCCAAAAGACCTACATTGCTGTTTTATTGAGAAACATTTGATTTACTCATCTTCAAAAATAATGGGTGATATTGTGTGCTCAGCCATGACATTTTTGTCTAATTTAATGTATTAAGCAATGATACATCCAACCTCAGTAGGTGATCATCATGGACAACTATGGATATTAATGGATAACCATAATCATTAAACTAATGACATCCGTCACCACCAGCCATAAGGGTAATGAATGAGTTACAAGATGAAATTTACATCACCTTCATAATGCCTGGTCATTAGGAATTAGTGGTGACATAGCAGGATTAAGAATATATCTCAGAAGCTTGAAAGATAAAACATCAGATAGTGTTTGTTCTGATTCTCCGTAACATTAATAGAATTAGGCAATTCAGCTCTCAAAGTGGATTCGGTGAGGAAATATTCATGAACCATCCAAGTCAATAGATTCAACCCATCTTTTGTTTTTTCTCAGTAGCAATTTATACCAAGTGAAAAATTAGAGTGTAACAATGAGCCATCTGAATATTAAAGTTTGTTCCACATAACCTGCCATTCCCCTCTGCCTTTTTAGCTGTCTTCACTGCTATCTGTGCAAGCAAGATACATTAAAGATACAATGTAACAAGAGGACATAGTCAATGAAAAGCAGCTGTCATAATCAACAGTCATCATCATCACTATCTTCATGATCAGGCATTTATTCCCCAGTGCTTACTGATCTATTTTGCCTATTATTCTCCAGTGCTTATTGATCTATTTTGTCAAAGTAAGCACAATTCTAGGCACTGGAGAAAGAAAGAGTGCTGATCAACACTGAGTAAAAGAATAATCAATAATATATGATGTATAACACCCATTCCCTGCTCCTAGGACTTAGCCTTCCAGACTGCCTTACTTTGCCCAGTATTAAAACTAAACTCCCATGTGCTGTGTCTCCTTCTGTCAAGGCCTTGACCTCTTCCTTCTAAGGTGATCAAGAATTAGCTTGATGTAATATTCATATGCAATATCTTTCTATATTTTGATAGAATCCGCTGGGAATAGAGAATATTTTATCATATATCCAGGTATCCGTGAATTCTGAACTGAATCAAGAAGATACAGTTCAACAGAAATAAACGTGAAGTTCTAAGTTCAGATAGCAAACATAAAAAGATGATAGATGTCACTCTTCTAGAGTGCCTGTTTGTTTTGACCACCTGGAAGCTCAAAATAAGCTATGTGGTCAGTTCCCCTAATATTGATACAGAAGTTAAGAAGAAATCACTTATGCAAAGTGAGGGTAGGGAAGTCCTTGGTAAGGCTTTTCTTTTTAATAAAAAGAAGCCTCAAATCATCTTCTAACAAAGAGCAGCCTATAAAGTCGAGCTGCAGACATAGACAAGCAAGCTGGGAACTTGCATGGTGAATGCTGGCAGGAACTAAGGACTAGACATTTTCAAGATGGCAGCTCCATCTTTCCTTCTTTTTGCAAGCCACGTGTACAGGAAGAAGTAGACAAGATGGCTGATCAACTGGAAAGCCCATCTGCAAAATAAGATTAGCATGGGGCGACCAGCCTTCTCCAAGAACTATGTAAATGTCATACCTGATCAAACCAGTGTGTGAGCTCTATGTAAATCAGACACCACCTCCTCAAACCTGACTATAAAGTTCAGAGCATCCACCACCCAGCTGGTCCTTTCCATTCAGAGACCCCTCCCTCTACAGAGAGAGAGCTGTCTCTCTTTCTTTTCTCTTCTGCCTATTAAATCTCTGCTCCCAAACGCTTTGTGTGTGTCTGTGTCCTAAATTTTCCTGGCGGGCAACTACGAACCCCAGGGTATATACTCCAGACAATGTAGCTGCTTCAATATCATTATTAACTTCTCCCTCTGAAGGTGTTGTTCATTTTTTGTTGTGTTTTTTTGTTTTTATCATTTCAAGTTTTGTATTTTAACTCCAAATAGAATTTTTTTAAAAATTTGTATTGATTTTGTAATTCTACATATTTTGTTATGATTGTACTCAAGGTTTTGCAAGCAGGTGTAACACAATTGAATATTAAAAATAAAATACAGAACTAAAATAACTTGGATTGTCAGTCATGCCTATGTAAAATCATATGGTTAAAAATTAATGGCAAGTTGATGTGAATCAAAGTATATCTAGCTTTTGAAAATTAGTATGAGTCAAATGATAGAAATACCATGATAAATCAGATGTAATACTTTCACTGGACTTTATTGTGCAGTGTATTTATACACTGTATCAAACCATATTTGACTGTTAACTATTGATAATAAATTCTTATAATCAGAGGAGTAACATGAATCAAAAGCTGCCTTGAGGTCTTCTTTGCAACCCCCACAGAGGGTTCTCCATTTTAAATAAAGATTCACAAAGCAGTAAGGACAATCCATTGAATCATGCGTACATAAAACACATTCAGCTGATGTGTACCCATTTAATATGCCATTTCATATGATCTGCCTTCTTGCTGCTTTTGAATTTCCTAGACATAATGGGGTTAGTAATGTTTATGAATTATTCCAAAACTTTCCAACACAAGCAGAGCATGCAAACACACAAATATTCAGAGTAAAATGTCCAACCCCGAGCTAGGGTACTCTTTCTAAAGTGGAGAAAGAGTTGATAAACTGTACTCCCAAGAAAGCCCTCATAAAAGCCTCTGGAGGCTAAAATAGTATCAGCAGTAAATTTGTTTGTTTTTGGCTTTGATTTTGATTTTAAATTAAAAAGAAGCTAACAGTAGATGATTAGATGGACTAAATGTTTGCTAATTTGTCCAAAATTTAACTTCATAATGTGATATACAGATTGACTTTTTCATAAATAGTAACTCCCTTTTTTTTCCTACTACACTTAAAAAAAGATTTAACTTCTTCAATTTGATTTTCTGAATTCTCCAAGATCTGACCTCAGTGAAACTACTTTATTGCACATTCTCACACAATATATAACTGGGATAAAAAGATGCATCTACCCCCTAAATTGTAGAAAGTTTTAACATACAATGTAACAAAAGGACATAGTCAATGAAAAGCAGCTGTCATAATCACCATAGTCATCATCATCATCATTATCTTCATTATCAGGTATTCTATTATTCCCCAGTGCTTACTAATCTCCTTTGTCAAAGTAAGCACAATTCTAGGCACGGAAGAAAGAAAGAGTGTTGATTAATACTGAGTAAAAGAACCATGATGTTAATGATACATTGTATCATACAAAAGAATGACTTTAATATTTTGTGACTCTTGACCTTTCAGAGAGAAAGGTGAGTCACAAGAAAACCATCTAATATTAATGGTTACCAAAAACAAAACAAGGCCGGGTGCAGTGGCTCATGCCTATAATCCCAGCACTTTGAGATGCCTAGGCAGGCGGATCACCTGAAGTCGGGCGTTCCAGACCAGCCTGACAAACATGAAGAAACCCTGTCTCTACTAAAAATACAAAATTAGCCAGGCGTGGTGGCGCATGCCTGTAATCCCAGCTACTCGGGAGGCTGAGGCAGGAGAATTGCTTGAACCCGGGAGGCAGAGATTGCGGTGAGCTGAATTTACACCATCGCACTCCAGCCTGGGCAACAAGAGCAAAACTCCTTCTCAAAAAAAAACCTCCTCAACTCTTTTCAACACTGAGCAGTCCTGAGAGACAGCATCACAGAGTAGTTAGGGCTCAGACTTGGTGCCTATTAACCTAAGTTTGCATGCTGATTCTACCACAGGCTATCAGCGTGCCTGAAGCAAGTTTTGTGCTTTGTCTGTGCCTCAGTTTCCTATATCAAATGGTTAGACTTTGAGTATTTCGAACTTTACAATGGGTTTAGTAGGATATAACTCCATTGTAAGTTGAGGAGCATCTGGACTTACAATGGTTTAACCTATAATTTTTCAACTCTACAATGGGATTATCAGAGTATTAAATGCATTTTTGACTTATGATGAGTTTATCAGATGTAACCCCGTTGTAAGTCAAGCATTTCTACCATAAAATGGGGATTACAATAATGTTCCTACCCCACAGGGCTGTTGTGAGGATTAATTTGGTAAAATAATTGAAACAAGCCTGGTACATAATAAGTGTATGTTATTTTGGTAATGATAATGATAATGGTGACAATGATGATGATGGTAAAGTAAGAATCTAACTTTAAATGATGACTTGCAAGGTTTTGAATCATAAATACAAATCCAATTACATTTACTAGGCTGAAATTACTGAGACAAATTAATGAGTTTATATATTTGAGTCAAGATTAAAATAATCACTTTTTTTTTTTTTTGACAGAATCTCACTCTGTCAGCCAGGCTGGAGTGCAGTAGCACAATCTCTGCTCACTGCAACCTCCATCTCCCAGGCTCAAGTGATTCTCCTGCCTAAGCTTCCTGAGTAGCTGGGATTAAAGGCATGTGCCAACACACCCAGCTAATTTTTGTATTTTTAGTAGAGACAGGGTTTCACCATGTTGGCCAGGCTGGTCTCAAACTCCCAACCTCAGGTGATCCACCCGCCTTGGCCTCCCAAAGTGCTGGGATTACAGGCGTGAGCCACCGCGCCCGGCCCACGAAAATATTTCTAAGGTCAGCCTTTAGTTAAAAATGTATTACTGCCGGGCGCATTAGACAAGACCTCAAAACATAATACATAAGAAAAATAACTCAAATACATGGAGCATTCAGTTTGTGACAAACACTGTTTGAATATTATAATTTTTAACTCTAACATTTGCAACAACGCTATGAGATAGGTCCTATTATCACTCTATTTTTGCAGAAGAAAAGACTGAGGCATAAATAGCTAAAGTAACTTGCCCAAGGTCATACAGTTTGTTAATGACAAAACCAGTCTTTGAACTGAGAAACCAGGCTCCAGAGCACATGCACCTGGCCACTGATTAAGATGTTCTACTTAAAGTGAGGTGGTATCAGTAACCATACCATCCCATGTGCCTGTGCCTGAAAAAAGAAGACCATAAGACAGAGGTAAGTTAGTGACAATGAACAAGAAAGAACATTCAAATACGACCAAAATAGCGGTATTTTCTTTAACTACATGTGGTTACAGTTTTTCTCAATTCCCTAAAGAAGGCAAACACTGTTTGGATTAGTAGTTTGTTGTATTATATAATCCCGAGCAATTTAATTATATAGTTTATCATTCTTATTCTATGGGGTGTGTTCAATTATTCTCAAGCAATCCTTTTATTGTCATCATAAAGTCCATATTAATAAAACTGTGTCTGGTATTGTAACAGATGATCAGACAAATTTTGACAATAGTGTTGTCTGCAGTGAGCAAATTGGCAAAAACTATAATCAGCAATTAAAATATATCTGTGGTAATATCTTTAAAAAGATATAATCTTTCCTTAGTGTGTAAAATATATTTCTCGCTGTCCTTCCTTTTCTATTTCTCTCTCTGTCTCTCTCTCTCTCTGAGACATGTAGTTCCTGCCATCTGGCAGGGAAGTGGCAAAGGGAAAGCAGAAATTTGGAAAGTCAAATTTACCCATAGATCACCGAATTTCAATTATATTCTTCCCATATTTATTAAGCATCCAGTAACTTTCAGGAAGTGTTATCCTAACAACACTGTTCAAGTACACAGCCTGTTTTCACCAGCAAAAGCACTATAGTTCTGATGCTGTAAGTAGTCCACCAAGTCTGAAAAGAGAAGAGGATCCAGACTGAAGTGCACGTCCGTACAAGGTACAACCCATGCAGGTGATTTGGGTAAAGAAAATAATCATAAAGCAGATTTCTGAGTATATACATGTATTTTCTATTTTCGATAACTGTATGCAAGTTATTTTTTATCTGATGGGTATTAGAAGAAGTGTAAGGACTGTTCTTGGTTAGGGTAGGGGAAGAAGCAGGGGAAAACAGGAGAAATAATTCAACTTACCCAGCTGCTTCCTCTGTTTCCCTTTGCTCCTCCTACAAAAGACGACTTGTTCCTTGGGGATTTTCAATTAAATAGGAACTGAATACATTAACCTTTTCTGTATACAATACATTTATCAGAACAGCCTTGGCATGCCCTTGGATTCCAGCACTGGGCTCTGAGGAAAGCTACTATGATATCCAGCAAAAATAGGTTCAGGTGATGGTTGGAAAGCCTGCACTCATGTGCATAAGTGAAACAATCTATTTTAAAAAGGATCTTTCATAGGTGCAGTTTTGAATTTGAGAAATGTACCCGAACTATGTGTTTGTTTGACTTTCTCTAAAATAAGATTATACTAAGTAGTCTGCCATCCACATTGTAACTACAGTACACATGTGTAGAGCTTTATTGATGACACAGTAGTTTCACATTTATTATCACATGTGATCCTCACAACAACCCATGAGATACAGCAGGGAAAAGAAGGGGGAAAAATAGAAAGTAGTATTAATTGAGCATTTACTGTATGCTACACCTTGTCTTAGGAGCAAGTATTTTTAACATTCCTATTTTTGTAGATGTCAAGACCTAGAAATGCTAAATAATCTCCCAGTTATATGGCCTCTCAAGGTGGGCTTTCTCAGGCATTGTGAGCAGGACAATTCTTTGATATATGAGATTTCTCTGGACAATGCATTTGGGGTTTCTTGCTGCACACATTAAGCAATGTTACCACTCCTCAATCAATGCGATCTCCAGAAATACCTTCACCCATTTTCACGTGCCTCCAGTTAGGATAGGTATAGAGAGAGGCACACACATACCACCTCTGTTTCAAAACTGAGAGTACATCGTGCATTTCCTGATTCATAATAGCTTTGCCTATGCTTACTGGAGAGCCTTCCTTACGTTTCTGTAGTAGTATGAACAGAGTCGCCATTTTTGTCATGCTAGAAGAGTTCAGGCCTTAGTCCATAGCTAAAAATTTGTGTATGTGTATGTATGAAGAGCATGGTTAGGGGCTGACACTGTGGTAGGTGAATGGAGTAGGAGGAGAAAGGAAGTTCTGGATAGGTCAGTCTGGCATGGATAAGGACTTTGAATCTGATTCCAAAAAGTATGACAGCATTTGGTCATGGTGTCAGTTTGGGTCCAAGATACCAAGAAAGAATTAGAGAGCCAAGAAATAGGGAGAGCACACTCACTTGTAGTGAAGGCTGTGCCTCCCCAGTCTACAAGATTAAAATTAAAAATATAAAAATAGAGAGAAAGGTTGAAACAATGAAAAAAGAGAGCAAGAAATTCATTGGGGGAAATGCCTGTGAAGGTAGAGCTGAAAGAACAGGAGTAGGCAGGGAAAGCTTCAGACCAGAGGCAGGTCTCCTAAGATGGGACAGGGCATGGTGAGGATGGGAGAGGAAGTGCTTAAACCACAGGGCAGTCCTGAGAAAGTGTCAGCCAAGCAGGCGCTGGGCCCAGAGCAATGCCACCTGTTAGAGGATCCTCACAACAGGCATAAATGACTCTGCTTAAGTCCCTCAGCCACTGGCTGGGAGCAGCCACGGCCACACCCCCTCGGTGTGAATGCTGAGACATCCGGGAGGTTTAGCACTGGAGGCTATCAGCGAAGAGCCACTCATAGCAGGCTCTCTCTTGAAGGAGGATCTGTGCAGACACCACCATAGCTGCCACTGTTGTGTTCGAGAGAAAGCGTCAAGAAAGGCTGCACCTAATTATAGGTCCTCAGGGGAAGGAAGAGAGTGAGGCAGGAAGGTCATTAGGCAGTGCTGTGGAGACACTAAGCCTGCTCTGTCTCAACAAATAAATGATAGAGGAGGGTGATAAGAAAAGTCTTAATGGTCATGCACATGCAAACAGGACTAACCGCCAAAATCCCCGCTCTCTGTCCATCTGCACATATAGGACTGGCCTTATATGATGGCAAAAGACACAGTCAGATACCTGGGAGGGTTTGAGAAACCTCAGAAAGGGAGGACATTGTCCCAAACTAACTCCTGCACTGAGATCTTTACCTTTTCCTTGCAATGTTTGCCTTTTATTAAACTGTCTAAGGTGACACCTACAGCCCAACTCCATTTAAGAATATCTTTCATTTTAAACTCATTTAACGATGCACTTAGAAGAATTTCCCAAAAGCATTTGATGCAACATGTGACTGGCATACATGTTAAGAATGTGGAGCAGCCTAGTGAGACTCTGTAAATAGCAAATGGTAGTATTCTTGAAGCAATAGGGAGGGTCATGCATAATAATAATACCTATAGCTGAAAAACTGGATACCTGTCAGTAGGGGGAGAAAGACATGGAAGGGTTGCATAGGAAAAGGCATCTGGAAGAAATGAACACAAATGTCATTTATCACATTCTTGCTGAGATCCGATACTATATATAGACTATGCATAGAAGCAGAGGCCAAACCAATGATTCTCGAAGTGTGGTCCCCTGACCAACAGCCCCAGCAAAATCTGGAAACGTCTTAGACATGCAGATTCTTGGGCCCCACTCCAGACTCCCTGAATCAGAGATTCTGTGCTGGAGACCAAGAGTCTGTTTGCACAGGCCTTCCTGGGGATTCCGATGTACCCTCAAGTTTGAGAACAACTCGTCTAAACTGTTTCCGCAGCAACTTTCACAACCTTACATCTCTGCCTGTGTTGGTGTCATTTGGTTTCCGAGCTTTCCCTTTCCTTTTCCCTTTAGATTCACTTATCTCACACCCTCATTCCTTGCATCTTATTCTCAACCTCCACCCTCCCACCCCACCATACACATGCATATTCCGGGACCATACACTTGATTTTTTAACTTTCCTTATATAGAATATGCATCCATCTGTCTTCCGAAAAAGTGCACAGGCTCACTTCCCCAATTATTCTTGCAGTCTCTACTCCAACCTCATCAAACAGGCTTCAACAATAGCCCATTTCCCCAGACATTAGGAAGCAGTAGTTGACCTTTCCCTTATTAGTAGACACAGATCACATCAGTGACTAGAATGTACCTTCATATTTTGATGAGTACCAGAAGTGTAGGAACTGTTTCTGGTCTAGGCAGGAGGGGGAGGAGGTGGCCAGGAATTGTGTTAAATCCATTTCTTTTAACACCTGTGTTTTCCCAAGAGGTGAGTAGGTATATAAGGTAATCCTCAAAGGGCTGCAGCTGCTGGAAAGGAAATGAAACACTAAGAGAAACATTCCCACAAACAGGAGATGGAGTGGGGTCCTAGCATTTCCAGGTAAATTCAGAATTCTTTATGTTGTAAGCTAGATGACAATATAGTTCATGCGTTTTCGTTTTTTATTCCTTTTTTGTTCTCTGCTGGTTTTCTTCAGTGTTTAGTGAAATCTTAGCCTTTTCTGGATGTTAGACAAAACCATAAGCAGGCTTGGTGTAAATACTTGGATAGACTATTTAACCAAAAGAGCATATTTGGGGACCAGTGTGGTTTTGGCTGCAATAAACACTGTGAGAGGCCTGAAATTGGTGGTAAACCTTGTGGAGAATAGTAAATTCCCCTTAGCCCATTTGCCTGTGGATTCTCTTTCATGCTCACCGCATCTAGGAAATTCTAAAACTGATGGAAATTTGAGTCCAAAATATAATTTTAAGTCATTTACGTGGTTTGCATGAGGCCTATAGCATGTGTTTCAAATTAGTCCTGAAAAGCAACATTCAGGACTGCAAAAAATACAGTCATGAATTGTTGGCTGAAATTACCTCCTTAACTTAGCTACAGGAGCATAATTACTCACGTCAAGGAAAGCAGAGCAGACATGCAAAAAACTTGCTGGGAAAAATGCACCATTGAGCCCTGGTAGACTGAACACTACTAAATGGCTTTGTCGAATCCAATTTTGATGATTATTTAGCAATCTCCTACCTGCAGCATCAAAGTTCCCAAGGCAGATCCTAAATGGAAGGATATTTGTAACAAAAAGATATAAGGCTCCAACTCTCATTTTTGCCAAGCATTAATAAAAATCGAATTAGAAGCAAGTGCCTTGAAAGGCTACTGGCAACGGTATGACTATAGTAACAACATGAATCTGATAAGAAGAGGGCATGCTCTTCTCTCTTTTTTTCTTTTTTATTATAGTAATAATATAAAAACCACTTAAAAAAAGTTTTGTAAAAATTTTTTTCCACATTCTAATACACTTAGAACAGATTCTAATTTTTTCACATTGCAAGGAATACACAGATATGAAAGGAGCCACCATGATTAAAAGCTGCACAGCTATCTCAACCCACAATAGAAATTCTGAACCCAAATGCCCTTTTCATTATTCTTAATGAAATGCGACTTCATTTTCCCACACATTTGAAATTGTGTTAGCAGAGAGTTCAAACATGTAAATGAAGCCAAACAGGCAAAAGAATCCCTCCATTCTCTGTTTGCAAAGGCCATGTGAGGACAGCAGCTTGTGCCAAGTGAACACACGGGAAGAAAAAGAGGGGGATGTTGGGTTATTAACTTTTTACTTCTCAATCTTTTTTTGGAGTTAGGCTAGGGCTATTGCTGAGTTTATTTTCCTATGCTTCCATGAGTCCAGTTAAAACTGGTTCTAGGTGGTATTGAACCAGCTTTGTTTCAGAAAGACTGCCGTTTTCAGACGACACCCCTTCAGGACCAATGTCAAGGTCCTCGCAGATGGTTCTGGATTCTACTATTTTATTACGTTAAACACACACATTGTGTTGTTCCCAGAGGTGCAGTCGAAATATCACTGGATTGGCCATTGGAAGACCTGCATGATAAGTTCAGTACAAATTTTCCCTTATCTATTCTCTTAAGCAAAAAGGATGTAAAATAAACAGGCAAATGCTTCTGTTTATTAGCCTTCTGCAGGTAAGCAGCACCCTACAATCTGATCACCATGTTTATTCTCTCTCCCATTTCTTTGCCTCATTTCTCAGTGTGAAGGAAGTTTGGTGTGACAGGCAGGTAGAGTTAAAGATGCAGAATTGAGTTTGGAAGAAAGATTTAGGCATAACTAACTCCTTCTACATGAGGCCATGCACTCCTGGCTTCTAACTCCAGTCTCCCATATGCACTCTTGACAGAGCAGCCTTGTTTATTTTCCTTGATAATGTCAGTATCATTCCAACCATAGTGTTTTTATCCTTACTGAAATACTGTGCTGGGAATGTTCTTTGCCCAAATATTCATGTAGCTGGCTTATCCTCCATTGTTCATTTCTGAGCTTTGATCTCACCTTCTGAGAGAAGCCTATCTGATCCACTTATCTAAAATAACCCCTCCACACATGTATACCCTCTCTATAGCCTATTATCTCTTTTCAATTCCTGCATGGTACCTATAATTCTCTAATTTTATTTTGAGTATTTATTTGTTTCTTTGTCCATTGTCTGGCTCTCTTTCCCTAATCACAGTAGAATGGAACCAACATCTGAGCAAGAATCTTATCTATTCCATTCACTGCTGTATCCCCAGGGCCTGGAATAATGTAAAAGTATATCTCCCTCATCATTTAATTCTATATTTTACCTTCTATTCAGTTGCTCACAATATGTAGATAACAAATGAATTGTTAGAAGCATTAAAGATGATCCTTGCCCTGGTTTGCTTGTATCAAGTTGAGGAGGCTTGTATTAAACATACAGAATACTTAATAGTAAAAGATTTAAATAAAATTTCAAGACAAACAAAATCAGAGAGCCACCACAATGCCTAATGAGGGAGTAGAGCAAAAATTGGGTCTTTTTTCTTCCAGGATGAAAAGACCCTTAGGAAATTTTTTCCCTTGTTTTATTTTTATAGGAAAATGGAAAATAAATTAGTATTTTCCTGAGAATGGATTTCTTCACGTCTTTGAACTTTTCCTTCAGCTTCTGCAACACCCCTTAGCTTATTACCTCCATTAAACTGAAAGCACTAATGAGGGCTGACATTCTCAGTGCCATTTTAAAGATATTAGAAATTACAGGATTCGGATTTTTCCACCACTTTCTTCTTGCCACATGAAACATTTATTTATTTGAGTTTATTCTTCACTGGCCTGAGAAATCAACATTTGGCACCTTATGTGATGTAACCTAGGGCTTACTTAGAAGCCTTTTTTTTTTTTTTTTGAAACTGAATAATGTGAGGTTTATGTCACTCTTGGATTTCCAATGCATTAGACACTTTCCAGGTATAATAAACATATACACCACAGTTTCCATCTGAGGGAACCAGTGCACTTAATAATTGTTCTACCTCTGCAGAAGTTAGAGGTGGTTCCTTATGAACAGGTGCAGACATGTTCTTTGCAACATGTGATGTTGACCTCTTGCCCACAGTTGATTGGATGGGACCAATTTAATTGCAGGCGTAATGTTCACAAGGTAACTGGCTTAGATTCAGTAACGTAAAACGGTGACTCTTGCTTTCTGCTCTAGGCTGCAGTGTCCCTGAGGATATATATATACATATAAATGTGAGCCAGGAAGATCTCAGGAGACCTGCTCCAAGATTCCAGAATCTTTGATGGATCTGAAAAATCTGAAAAATGACTGTTTATATATTTTACAGCAATCGGTGTCCACTTCTGCTAACAGGATAAATAATTTAATTTGGAGCAGGATAAATATTATTTTATTTGTGGATCAAGATATTATGTGGCTATTCAGAGGTGAGGCCTAGAGCCTAGACCAGAAGAGATAGTTTGAAAGAAAGAGGACTTGATTAATACAGCATAAAATTCAAAACACTACTAGGGAAAGGGTAACCTATTAATTATCTTACTCCAGAGGGAACTGGAGAGAGGGTTTTTAAATTTTTCTTTTTCCTGCTTTGAATCTTAAAGTAGAAGAAGATATGAAAGCAGAGACTAAAGAGGATCAGATAACATGCCAGAAGGGTCTTAGAAGAAAAACTCACCCTTAGGAATTTTCTGTGAAGGTAGATTTCTGACTAATGAACTCTAGAAGCAATTCTATCTGGTACTAAATTCTAAGTTAATTTATTTTTTCATTCTTCCTCTGTCAGTAAATCCATCTATTGCTGTCAAGTCTTCAGCAAAACCTACGTAGGTAGTAAAAGTTTGTATTAGTAGTACCACCTTCGTGGCAAATGATTATAGAAAGACCTCAGCAACATGGAGAAACCATGGGTCAGTATGACCCAACTCAGTTTAGCCTAGAGCAGCTGTGCAGTAATCCCAGGAGCATGTAACATCGCAGATGTGAGCAGTCTGGGAGAAGGAGATGAGCCCAGAGGGGAAATTGAACTTCCTGAAATCATGGCATGGAGAAGCAATTATTTACCTTGAAGTTAAGGAAAAGGGTAATCAAAGGAGGTAAGGCAACTTGGAGAGAGTCAGTTTACATATGTGAAAGTGCTTTAGCATTCTTCTTACAGAAGTATTTTAAGGATTATCAATCCTTCAAAGATGAACTGAATGATTCCAAGCAAGGTATCAACATGGTCACTTTTTGAGTAAAATTTGTATTTACATGTGCCTAAGACCAGTATCCCTTCACAATGGTTTTACCCTTCATTCTACTTTCTCTCTTATAGAAGTGACAAGGGAGTAGAATGGACATCCTTAGGTTATAGCTAAGGGAAAACTGAATTGGGAATATTACTATACTATGGAAAAGCATTTTGAAACGTTTTAACAAAACGATGATGAGATTAGAAATCCTTTAAATATATTGTAGCAGGTACTGCGGAATTTCACCAATATCCCCCTAGGCCTTAATATTTACAATCTAGAGTTGATATCACGCTACCACAATTTGCATTTTTCCTGGGATCTTTTACTAGTATCCAGGGGAATATCGACACTTACCCTCTTACCCAAGAAAAAGCTCAAAAATCACTGAGGATGTTGGTAAATCAATTCTTCAGCTCTCACATTCCTTATAATGCAGGCTGTATATTTCTGAGACACCTATTTACACTGTCTGCCCAAGTTCCCAAAGTAGTTTAAGCTTAGTCATCTACAGTGATTACTTGCTTGATAATCTTCCCTCTCACTGCCGGTCTGTACCTCCCTGTCGCAGTTTCCCACTATTAACTGATACTTCCAGGGATCATTTCCCAAATGAAAGTACTTACACTCAAATCTTGATTTCATGTCTGCTTCTGAGAGAACTCAAACTGAGATGAGTACTCTCTTTTGTCTTTTTTTTTTTTTGAGACGGAGTCTCACTCTGTCGCCCAGGCTGGAGTGCAGTGGCTCCATCTCGGCTCACTGCAAGCTCCACCTCCCGGGTTCACACCATTCTCCTGCCTCAGCCTCCCAAGTAGCTGGGATTACAGGTGCCCGCCACCACGCCCGGCTAATTTTTTTTATATTTTTAGTAGAGACGGGGTTTCACCATGTTAGCCAGGATGGTCTCAATCTTCTGACCTTGTGATCCACCTGCCTCGGCCTCCCAAAGTGTCTTTTGTCATCTTTAGGTCTATTTTCTTTCAAAAAGGTGAAAAAGTTTCAGGTAAAAATATAATAGAATGTAAAGCATATTTCATCATAGTGCCATGATGACCAAAAAACCAACAGAAATTATTCTGACACAGAGAATTGAATTGTAACAATATTTTTCAGATTATAGCAAGAACGGTATTTCTTAAAGAAGTGTTATATTTGTAATAGAAATGATAGCAGACTGTTGGATTTCTAGTAATATAATTAATGAAGAGGATTTAATCTCTTCATTAGAAAACACATTAAAAAATAGAAAATTTTTATTTGTTTAACACAGGACACGAACAGAATGGAAGACTAAGAATAAACCACCACAATGAGGACACTGGTGGCTTATCGGTTAACAAGCATTATCAATTCAAATAGTGCTGAAGATGAACCATTGCATAAGAAAATTTGAAATGCCCAGAAATTTTAGTTTCTTCACGGGAGAGGCAAATCTGCCATGATCCCTGAGCGTCACTGCATATTCTTACTGGGTACACCAAAAATGCAAGGCCCTGACAACTCTATATGGGGCATTTCTTAGAGTTCTGTTTGCAGTGAGCAAACTTGAGGGATGAGGTAACGTTTTCCCTTGCACAAATAGCAGGCTTGCTTCCATTTACTACAAAAGTGGTGAGTCCCTGAAGTTTATAATACCTCTCCTATAACACAACACACAGCATGTGCATAAATCTATGATAAGATCTTTGTGTGACCTCTGTGGAGGGTATGGTGAACCTGCCCAAACCTGTACAAACCTACATTTATCTCTAGCTACTGTTTTTGATATGACTAATAAAGTTCTTTATCTTTTGTCTCTGACCCATAGTCTGTGAAACAGTAATGGTAACTTGTTCGTTTATAAGGAAAGCAAAATCTCAGACCTGAACAGCTTTTGCCACTTGCATGTCAAATAAACTTGACAGAACTGTTCTCAAATGTTTTAATGATTTAAAAAATTGGTGTGGTATTCCCAAGCAGGAACTATGATATAGAAAAAAGCTTTTCTAGTCTATCAATACTAAAAAATAAATTTAAATCAATTATACTACAAGAAAGGCTACAAGAAAGGCTAAGTTATTCTGTTCTCTATAGAGCATGGTTTAGCAAATTTGTTAAGTGTGAAGATAATTAAAGAGTACAAACACGAACACAATAGGAAAGAAAACAGTATTATTGAAGTGTGTTTTAAGCACATTTAAACGTGTGTTGTAAACATGTTTATTATAAACATGAGTTTATTAATGAAAATGCTAAATCAGTTTTCTAGATTTTGTGAAATTTGTGACAATTGCTAGCTTTTGTAAATTTGCTATTTGTTGCTATTACTTTTTTGTTCTAAATGAACATTCACATCTTGATTTTTTATTCAAAATTTTGATTTCCTTTTCCAAAAATGGTCCCCAGTGATTCTATAAGCTTTAAACCCCAAACGTACATCTGTCCTTATTCTCAACATTTGTTTTCAGCCTTTAAATTTTACAATTCAGCAATTACACCTTTTAACCTCAGCACCTTTACTTTCCTGTCCAAAGTAAGACTTGTTTATATTAAGATAAGGGTAACCGAGGATCCCTGGTTTCCTGGTATTCACTGTGAAAAAGCACCCACTTATAACTGTTTCGCCTTGAGTTACTGCTGTTTAGAAAAGTCCCAGGAAGAAGCCCAGCCCTAGCAAAACAAAAACTGGTTAGATCCAGAGATGCCTGACTTGGAAATGAACTTTGGCAAACTCTCTATATTACCATACTAAAATCCTCACCCAGGAAGGAACTTACTAGCTATTTTTTATACATGAGATGTATTAGAAGCATGATGCATGACTGCATTTGCACTGCCAGTATTTCACCCCTACATACAGTGACTCAGGTAATCCACCTAATAAAAGCCCTGTTTTCACCTTTGTTCAGGAAGGCACTGCTTTGGGGGATTATCTCAGGTTTCCTCCTTCTTGTTGCAAGTAATAAATTCCTGTTTTAAATCCTCCTTGGATATGGTCATTGGAATGTCACCTGCCAAGTTGTCAATCAATGAACCCACCCATTGTGTGGGTAATATAATAATTGCTAATAAATGAACTACTCTTTTCTTCACTTCCACCCCAAAAGGTATTTACATGAAAGAATTTTCAGTTGCCTTAGATCAAAGAGTGAATATCTTACGCTACATTTCAGTATTAGCAGAGCCTCTCTGTCATACAGCATAGTATAATACTTACTACAAAGATGCAAAAGGCTGAATTACCCTGACATTAGCCTAATAGGTTAAGAACAGAATCATTAAAAAAATGAAATGGCCCAGGCACGGTGGCTCACACCTATAATCCCGGCACTTTGGGAGGCCGAGGCAGGCGAATCACGAGGTCAGGAGTTCGAGACCAGCCTGGCCAACATGGTGAGACCACAGTCTCTACTGAAAATACAAAAATTAGCTGGGTGTGATGGCAGGCACCTGTAATCCCAGCTACTCAGGAAGCTGAGGCAGGAGAATTGGTTGAACCTGGGAGGTGAAGCTTGCAATGAGCCAACATCATACCACTGCACTCTAGCCTGGGTGACAGAGCAAGACTCTGTCTTGACAAAAAAAGAAAGAAAGAAAAATGAAATGCCTAGAATAGCGGTCAGCAAACTACAGACCAAGATTTTGTAAAGTCTTTAAGGTAAAAATAAATTTTAAATTGTAAAGGGTTGTTGTAGAAGCAGAAGAAGAGGAGGGGTAAGAAAGAAACAAAGAATCCATGACAAATATTATACATATGTAACTCTCAAGGCCTAAGGTATTTACTATATGGCTCTTTACAGAAACATTTTTCCAAACTGTTTCCTAGAATAGGCACACACTGGGCCATCAATGTCACAGACACATTTTGGTTTATACACATTGAATCCAGTAGATATGAAATATATTACTTAAGGACAACTTTTACTGAGCTTCAGACCCCAGCCACATACATAAGCCAGCCATACCTCATCTTGCCAATTAATTCTTAATGCTTTGTCCCCCTCTGTCTCCTGAGGTTGGCCATTTAAATGTATTAAAATTAACAGAATCAAAACAAAATTAATTCATTTCATAAAGTACTTATATATGATTAAATCTATGATCATTCTTAACTCAGAAAAAAAAATTGAGAGTTCTAGCCAAATAATTCATGTAAATTGAACATGCTAAATGATATTGGAATAAAGACAATATAAATTACTTTCCTTTTCATCTATCACCAAATATGTTTCTTTCATCTGAGTGCAAATATTGTAATGAATAAAGTTCTGCACAAAAGAAATGCAATTTTTGGTTCTAGAAATAAAAGAAGGAAAGAAGGAAGGGAGGGAGGAAAGGAAGGAAGGAAGGAAATAATTTTTGGGATATATTTTTTCAAATGTATCTGTGCTAAGTTGTGCCTAGAAGGGAGCAATAGGATACAAAAGAATTTAAAGCTGAGAGGAGGCCAATTTGATATAGCAATAGCTTCTACCGTGTTTTTGACATATCCCTACTCAGTCTGGAGCTCATCACCCTGCAATCGGGATAATAAAGCTCATTGTTATTGTTAGAAAAGTCTGCTTTATTCAAATAGGAATCTTCTGTAACTTTTTCTCCAGAGCTGTGAGAAAAACTTTTATTACTTAAAGTCCCTAAGACTGCGGAACTTTATTATGGCAGCCCTGGGAAACTAGTAGATGTCCCAGGCTAAGAGATGAACTTTCCTCCAAGTATTTCCTACAGTGCAGTTTCCAGGGAATGTGCTCCACGGAGTCATCTCTACTTTGCCATTGGTCCTCTTAAATGAACGCCCAAGATTTGAACGGTGAACTCCAGGGACGGTTGACTTCTTCTATCCCATCCATGGTAGAGAGTCAAATACAAAATAAAATTAGGCTTAATGGTGCTTGAGAAATAGGTGGAGAAAAAGGAAAACCTAATCTCAGAGAAGAGGCTTCTGCCAAAAAGCAAAAAAAAGTACAAAAGAGTGGGGGAATAAACACAAAAAGCACAAATAAGTTGCCTTAACAACATTGACATTCACATGATATAACAAAAGTGACTATAGCTCTCACATTGTTATGATTACAAAAGCATTATACAGTTACAGACACTTGAAAGAAAACCTACTCCCACTAGAATAACGACAAAAGAGGGTGTGAGAGAATACCAAATTTAGTTGTCTGGAGAAATGAATCCCTAACTGTTCTTTATAGCAGGGGTCAGCAAACTCTTATATCGGGTGAGATAGTCAATATTTTAGGCTGTGTAGGTCATAAAGTCTCTGTTGCAACTACCCATCTCTGCCAACGTAACATAAAAGCAGCCACATATACTACAGACACAAAAAGGTGTGGCTATAATGAAACTAATCATGGACACTGACATTTAAATTTCATATAATTTTCATGTACCACGAAGTATTATTTTTCTTTTTTTTTTAGCTATTTAAAAATACAAAATTAATTCTTAGCTTTCAGGCCATAATTTGTAAACTCCTGCCTTAGATCCTGAAAGGGAATTAGATAAACTAGATTAATACAGCTCCAGGGTAAACCGGACTGAAAAATTAGTGTGATGCATGGCAGGAGCATGAGTGTTATAAAGACAGGAAACAAAAGAAAGGTGTTTGATTCTATAAATTCACATATTCGAGACTGCACGCATGAGGGCTTCTATGTTCTAAGCATATCTGTTATTTCTCCTATTCTCAGGGATTCTGCAGTGAAAATAAATCAGGCTCACATTGCTTCACCTTCTTCATCTGTGGGACTCACTGCTGAACTGAGTGGTGGCAGGATGCTTTCTCTTGAAGGTAGTGTGATTAAGAGATAACACTTGTAGTGGCTGGGGTAATGTGTTGTCTCAACTGCCCCTTATTACTGCCCGAGAGGTTTGAAGCTGTCTCAAGAAAGGCACTGACATAGTTTGGATATTTTTCTTCTCCACATCCCATGTTGAAATGTGATTCCCCATGCTGGAGGTGAGGCCTTGCAAGAGGCATTTGGGTCACAGGGGCAGAGCCCTCCTGAATGGTTTGCTGACCTCCCTGTGGTAATGAGTGAGTTCTCGCTCGGTTAGTTCACATGAAAGCTGGTTATTCAAAGGACCCTGGCACCTCTTTCTCTCTGTCTTGCACCCTTTCTCACTATGTGATATGCCTGCTCCCGCCTTTGCCTTTCACCATGATTGTAAGCTTCCCGTAGCCTGACCAGAAGCAGATGCTGGTGCCATACTTGTACAGCCTGCAGAATTGTAAGCCAAATAAACCTCTTTTCTTTATTAATTACCCAGTCTCGGGTATTTTTTTTATAGCAATGAAAAATGGAGTAACGCAAGCATAGGAAGGGGCTTGTCTGTAGTCTATATATCAAGAGTCTTTCTGATATACCAGGAAATAGTACATTATAAAAGAAAGCATGAGTCAAATTTGGGTTAACATTTTAGTTTTACTGATTATGAATCATCTGATTTTGCACAAGATAATTAACCTACCTGATCTCCATTTTCCAATCCTAAAAATGGGAATAATTGTAATGTCTACTTCACTAGACTGGCATGGAGGTGAATGATATGACATATGAAAACTGCCTAGCCCTCACTGAATGTGTAATAAAAATTGAAACATCTATCGCTCCTTTTCTCCTTGCTTCAGGTTTCTTTCCTAATAGAAAACTCCTTCAGTTTGCTTCAGATCTGGTCCTCACATACGTGTTGTCGTTGTTCTTGTTGTTGGTTTATTCCACCAACTTTACTCTTTGTGCTGTGCTCAGTGCTGGACTAGCACAGATGAAAAGTACTGTCCCTGCTCCCAAGAAAGTCACTGCTTGTAGATGGAGGCAAAAGAAAGAGAAAGGGAAGCAGCAGACATGTACGCCATAACTTACCATCAATATATCAACGGTAGAGTAAACACATCTAGGGAACACAGAAAGGAGGTGCTTTGCTGAGACACAAGGAAAAGAGAATGGAAGAAATAGAGAAACAAAAATTTATTGAGATCCTGCTATGAGCCAAGCATTCCAGCAAGAGTTTCAGATATGTTAGCTCACCTAAATAGTAGATTAGGGCACCCAAATATCTTGACTTTTTATCTTCTGAAGAATATGACACTTGAGCTGAGCTTAAGAGAGTGCTAGGGATATGCTAGAAGGACAATAAGAGTGGCTAGAACTTGAGATCACAATAGCACAGTTTGCTAGAGGTCACCATGTTTGGTGTGTGTGAAAGAGGGTGTTGACTTTTTAAAAATACAATATTTAAAGTATACAAAATTTATTATAAAATAATAGAAGAAATGCCTATGTTTCCACCATTCAATTTAAGAAACAAAACTCTGCCAGACAGTTAAATCCTTCTTGGTTGCATAGCGAATCTCAGGCCAGCTCTTCATTCCTTACAGGCTCTCAGAAAGTATTTGGATGACCACAATGGTCAAAGGCACATTGATAGAACAGGGCTCAGGATCCCTCACTTTCATGTCAACTCTGGCTTTCTAGATATGTTTTCAAGTTGTGCAGCTAAAAGAAGCTTTAAACATATCCTTTTAGCCTAATACTGTGAAAAGCCACTTTAAAAGGTGAAAAATCTCTTTCTTTAGAGGTCATTAATAATAATATAGAAATCCTGATTTCCTGGCATGGTTTATGCATGGAGCTGCCTGCAGACAGGGCTTTGGTCTAAATGATTCTTCCATTCATTTCTCCTTATTTTAATCTTATTACTAAATCCCTAGGACTTAATGCCCTTCTGTTTGCTGTGAGAGCAGGCAAACTGAAGGGTCAGATAAAAATGGAAATTCCTCGCCTTATTTTTTTTTTACTAAAAGAGAAGAAAAAATATTAAATAGGATTTCATTTATTATAGTAAAAAAACCCTATACAGTGGAGTCATGTCTACATGAGAAAAGAAGAATGAAGAATTGAAGTTATTACCTAGATCATTCAAGCACTCTTCAAATAACGTTTTTCTGTTCTCAATTATCAAGTTATTTCAAGTCAAAATAATTTTTGGTCACATTTAGCTGGCTGATGGCTTCAAGTCTTTATTTGTTTAATGACAATTAAGTTAATTTTTGTCTCTAATTTAACTAAAAGACAAATGTACTTTACTTTGTCATTAAACTAAAGGGTATGGACATAGTCATTGCAGAAATAATATATCTTCAGCACTTAATTTGCAATTGGCATGGCTGGCCATGTTATAATAAATAATGGAGTGCTTACTTGCAAAATAGTTCCCTTCAGACAGAGGTATATGCCCTACAGCCCCATTTTTCCTGGGCCCAGATTGTAGGAGTTCACAAGGGAGGAACTCTCTGTCAGCAGAAGGAGGCTGTGAAATCTATTTTAAGTTGTTAATTAAAGGCAACATTTGGCCTTATGGTGAACCAAGCACCTGACTTCTACAAAATAAGCACAGTGAAGGAATGCTCACCAAATATATGATAACTACAGATCCTGAAGGCCAGAAGGATGCTTAGTTTCTCAAAAGTTTATATGAATTTTTTCAGGCCGTTTGTTCTGATGTTGACTCCAGAATGTTACCCACGTCCACAGGAAGTCAATTCTAGGGATGGCTGACGCACTTTCTACCAGCTTTGATCAAATCATTTTGGTCTGTTAAGATATGGGAAAATACATTGGGTTAGGAACTAGGACAACCAGGATTCAAGCCCTGACTTGATTGGGTGACCTTGAGTAGTTTATTTAATCACGAGCATCTATGGTTTCTCTTTTGCAAAGAGGGCTTAAATTCCTTTCTTATAAGCTTGTTGTAATAATTAAGTAAGATATGAGCCGTGCCTAGCTCTCAGTAAAACCCTGGGCAAGTTAATTAGTTCTCTGTGCTCAATTACTTCGTCTTTAAAATGGGGATAGTAAAATGATGAGTTCATGTCCTTCGTAGGGACATGGATGAAATTGGAAATCATCATTCTTAGTAAACTATCGCAAGAACAAAAAACCAAACACCGCATATTCTCACTCATAGGTGGGAACTGAACAATGAGATCACATGGACACAGGAAGGGGAATATCACACTCTGGGGACTGTGGTGGGGTGGGGGGAGGGGGGAGGGATAGCATTGGGAGATATACCTAAGGCTAGATGACGATTTAGTGGGTGCAGCGCACCAGCATGGCACATGTATACATATGTAACTAACCTGCACAATGTGCACACGTACCGTAAAACTTAAAGTATAATAATAAAAAATAAAAATAAAAAATAAATAAATAAATAAAATGCGGATAGTATTAGTGCCTAGCTCAGAAAGGTTCTATGAGGATCAAATTAGTGTGTGTGTGTGTGTGTGTGTGTGTGTGTATGTGTGTGTATATATATATATATAGAGAGAGAGAGAGAGATCTAGATATATTAGTGTGTGTATATATATATATATACACACACATGCATATATACATATTTTCCAAATATATCTGAAATGTATATATCATATCTATAAATACCTCAAATGAATCTGTCATATAGTAAGGGCTCAATAAAGGTAGCTAGAATTTTGTGGTAAATTATTGTGAACACTGCATATAATAAATTATTTTATTATTATTAATAGTCTTGGTCTAAGAAAAGGAAGACTGAGATTGTACTTCTAGGTCAGCCAACAACTAATTTTTTAATCTACAGCAATGAACTCCTTAGTAAATGTTGCTCAAATAAACCCTGAGTTCCAAAGAACTATTACTCCCCTTATCTAATACGGACATGTCAGTTTCATAGGTTGAAATGGGTAGCCGTGTGTGTGTGTGTGTGTGTGTGTGTGTGTGTATGTGGTGTATGGTGTGTGTATGTGGTATGTGGAGGATGAGGTATGTGTATGGTGTGTGTAGTGCACGTGTGCTATGTGTGCTCTATGATGTGTATGTAAGAAGTGGTCCCGAAGAGCAGCCATAGAAACAATTCATTCTGGTACAATTCATTCTGGTAAGGGCTACATCTAAGAAAGATTTTAAAAATGTAAACACTATTTGCAAGGAGATAAACTCTCAGACTAGCAGAACTTCATGCAGATACTAATCAATTTCCTTTCCAATGGAATTCCTACTGTCAGAAATAGGGAAGTACTGTTAACCCCATAGTCACAGCACCAAAGTCTCCATTGCACCACTTTAAACACTGGCAATAATTCAGAAGTCAGAGGATTTAAACATTTAATTCCTAAAGAAAGATTACCCTCTAATCTTCATATATAACTCAGAATTGGTGGAGATATTCCTATAGCCTCTCCTTTAGTCATAAGAAAATTCTTTGATGGTCATAAAGTTTTATATGATGGCTCTACATCATCTCTGAAAATATTTTTCATGTATTCAAAGGCATATGGTTTCCCTCAGTGAACACCCAAAATGTTCACAAACTAGAGAATTTCTTTAATACAATTTGAAGCAGGTAGCACCCTGCCTTTTCTGCCTTCCAAATCCCATTTTGCTTCTTAGACTTTCCTTTACCTTTTCTGTCTCTTACAGTCAACATTAGGGCCTTCTACCTGCTGGGGAACCACCCACTGTACCTCTCTCTACCAGTGCCTCTGCCTCACCCCGGCCCTGCCTTGGCCTGGCCCTCTCACACTCAAGTTGAGCACTTTTCTCCAGTTGACTCTACTAAATGAGCTCTATACTTTATCCTCGTCTATATAATCTACTAATGACCCAGAACAGCTATTGCACCTAGATACCAACCATATATTTTATCTACATACTACTCACCATGCTGCATACTGTCAGGCCTCTGAGCCCAAGCCAAGCCATCGTATCCCCTGTGACTTGCACGTATACGCCCAGATGGCCTGAAGTAACTGAAGAATCACAAAAGAAGTGAAAAAGCCCTGCCCCGCCTTAACTGATGACATTCCACCATTGTGATTTGTTCCTGCCCCACCTTAACTGAGTGATTAACCCTGTGAATTTCCTTCTCCTGGCTCCGAAGCTCCCGCACTGAGCACCTTGTGACCCCCGCCCCTGCCCACCCCATCTCCCTTCGCTGACTCTCTTTTTGGACTCAGCCCACCTGTACCCAGGTGAAATAAACAGCTTTATTGCTCGCACAAAGCCTGTTTGGTGGTCTCTTCACACGGACGTGCATGAAATTTGGTGCCGTGACTCGAATCGGGGGACCTCCCTTGGGAGATCAATCCCCCGTCCTCCTGCTCTTTGCTCCCTGAGAAAGATCCACCTACGACCTCAGGTCCTCAGACCGACCAGCCCGAGAAACATCTCACCAATTTCAAATCCGGTAAGCAGCCTCTTTTTACTCTCTTCTCCAACCTCCCTCACTATCCCTCAACCTCCTTCTCCTTTCAATCTTGGCGCCACACTTCAATCTCTCCCTTCTCTTAATTTCAATTCCCTTCATTTTCCGGTAGAGACAAAGGAGACACATTTTATCCGTGGACCCAAAACTCTGGTGCCGGTCACGGACTCAGGAAGGCAGCCTTCCCTTGGTGTTTAATTATTGCAGGGACACCTCTCTGATTATTTACCCACGTTTCAAAGGTGTCAGACCACGCAGGGATGCCTGCCTTGGTCTTTCGCCCTTAGTGGCAAGTCCCGCTTTTCTGGGGAAGGGGCAAGTACCCCAACCCCTTCTCTCCTTGTCTCTACCCCTTCTCTGCTTTTCTGGGGAAGGGGCAAGTACCCTAACCCCTTCTCTCCTTGTCTCTACCCCTTCTCTGCTTTACTGGGGCAGGGGCCAGTACCCCTCAACCCCTTCTCCTTCACCCTTAGTGGCAAGTCCCACTTTCCTAGGGGGCAAGAACCCCCCAATCACTTATTTCTGCACCCCAACCTCTTATCTCTGTGCCCCAATCCCTTATTTCCACACCCCGACCTCTTATCTCTGTGCCCCAATTCCTTATTTCCATGCCCCAACCCTTTCTCTGCTTTTCTGGAGGGCAAGAACCCCTCACCCCTTCTCTGTGTCTCTACTCTTTTCTCTGGGCTTGCCTCCTTCACTATGGGCAAGCTTCCACCTTCCATTCCTCCTTCTTCTCCCTTAGCCTGTATTCTTAAGAACTTAAAACCTCTTCAACTGTCACCTGACCTAAAATCAAAGCGTCTTATTTTCTTCTGCAATGCCGCTTGACCCCAATACAAACTCGACAGTAGTTCCAAATAGCCAGAAAATGGCACTTTCAATTTTTCCATCCTACAAGATCTAAATAATTCTTGTCATAAAATGGGCAAATGGTCTGAGGTGCCTGACGTCCAGGCATTCTTTTACACATCAGTCCCTTCCTAGTCTCTGTGCCCAGTGCAACTCGTCCCAAATCTTCCTTCTTTCCCTCCCTCCTGTCCCCTCAGTCCCAACCCCAAGCGTCGCAGAGTCTTTCTAATCTTCCTTTTCTACAGACCCATCTGACCTCTCCCCTCCTCGCCAGGCCAAGCTAGGTCCCAATTCTTCCTCAGCCTCTGCTCCTCCACCCTGTAATCTTTTTATCACCTCCCCTCCACACCTGGTCCGGCTTACAGTTTTGTTCCGTGACTAGCCCTCCCCCACCTGCCCAGCAATTTACTCTTAAAAAGGTGCCTGGAGCTAAAGGCATAGTCAAGGTTAATGCTCCTTTCTCTTTATCCCAAATCAGATAGCGTTTAGGCTCTTTTTCATCAAATATAAAAATCCAGCCCAGTTCATGATTTGTTTGGCAGCAACCCTGAGACGCTTTACAGCCCTAGACCCTAAGAGGTCTAAAGGCCGTCTTATTCTCAAAATGCATTTTATTACCCAATCTGCTCCCGACATTAAATAAAACTCCAAAAATTGGAATCTGGCCATTAAACCCCACAACAGGACTTAATTAACCTCACCTTCAATGTGTACAATAACAGAAAAAAGTTGCAATTCCTTGCCTCCACTGTGAGATAAACCCCAGCCACATCTCCAGCACACAAGAACTTCCAAACGCCTGAACCGCAGCAGCCAGGCGTTCCTCCAGAACCTCCTCCCCCAGGAGCTTGCTACATGTGCCGGAAATCTGGCCACTGGGCCAAGGAATGCCCACAGCCCGAGATTCCTCCTAAGCCACGTCCCATCTGTGTAGGACCCCACTGAAAAGCGGACTGTTCAACTCATCTGGCAGCCACTCCCAGAGCCCCTGGAACTCTGGCCCAAGGCTCTCTGACTGACTCCTTCCCAGATCTTCTCGGCTTAGCGGCTGAAGACTGACGCTGCCTGATCGCCTCGGAAGCCCCCTAGACCATCACGGACGCCGAGCTTCAGGTGACTCTCACAGTGGAAGGTAAGCCCATCCCCTTCTTAATACGGAGGCTACCCACTCCACATTACCTTCTTTTCAAGGGCCCGTTTCCCTTGCCTCCAGAACTGTTGTGGGTATTGACGGCCAGGCTTCTAAACCTCTTAAAACTCCCCAACTCTGGTGCCAACTTAGACAATACTCTTTTAAGCACTCCTTTTAATTATCCCCACCTGCCCGGTTCCCTTATTAGGCTGAGACACTTTAACTAAATTATCTGCTTCCCTGACTATTCCTGGACTACAGCTATATCTCATTGCCGCCCTTCTCCCCAACCCAAAGCCTCCTTCGCGTCTTCCTCTCATATCCCCCCACCTTAACCCACACATATGGGACTTCTCTACTCCTTCCCTGGCAACCGATCACATGTCCATTACCATCCCATTAAAACCTAATCACCCTTACCCCACTCAACGCCAATATCCCATCCCGCAGCATGCTTTAAAAAGATTAAAGCCTGTTATCACTCAACTGCTACAGCATGGCCTTTTAAAGCGTATAAGCTCTCCTTACCATTCCCCCATTTTACCTGTCCTAAAACCAGACAAGCCTTACAAGTTAGTTCAGAATCTGCGCCTTATCGACCAAATTGTTTTGCCTATCCACCCCATGGTGCCAAACCCATATACTGTCCAATCCTCAATACCTGCCTCTACAACCCATTATTCTGTTCTAGATCTCAAACATGCTTTCTTTACTATTCCTTTGCACCCTTCATCCCAACCTCTCTTTGCCTTCACTTAGACTGACCCTGACACCCATTAGGCTCAGCAAATTACCTGGGCTGTACTGCCGCAAGGCTTCACAGACAGCCCCCATTACTTCAGTCAAGCCCAAATTTCATCCTCATCTGTTAGTCATACTACTATTCATCGTTCTCAACTACTCATACATGCCCTGCTCTTGTTTACACTGCCGGTTTACACTGTTTCTCCAAGCCATCACAGCTGATATCTCCTGGTGCTATCCCCAAACTGCCACTCTAAACTCTTGAAGTAAATAAATAATCTTTGCTGGCAGGACTATGCTGAATCTCCTTAGGCACTCTCTAATCAGATGTCCTAGGTCCTCCCAATTCTTAGTCCTTTTATACCTGTTTTTCTCCTTCCCTTATTCCATTTAGTTTTTCAATTCATACAAAACCATATCCAGGCCATCACCAATCATTCTATACGACAAATGTTTCTTCTAACATCCCCACAATATCACCCCTTACCACAAGATCTCCCTTCAGCTTAATCTCCCCCACTCTAGGTTCCCACGCTGCCCCTAATCTCGCTTGAAGCAGCCCTGAGAAACATCGCCCATTCTCTCTCCATACCACCCTCAAAAATTTTCGCTGCCCCAACACTTCAACACTATTTTGTTTTATTTTTCTTATTAATATAAGAAGGCAGGAATGTCAGGCCTCTGAGCCCAAGCCAAGCCATCGTATCCCCTGTGACTTGCACGTATACGCCCAGATGGCCTGAAGTAACTGAAGAATCCCAAAAGAAATGAAAAGGCCCTGCCCCGCCTTAACTGATGACATTCCACCACTGTGATTGGTTCCTGCCCCACCTTAACTGAGTGATTAACCCTGTGAATTTCCTTCTCCTGGCTCAGAAGCTCCCCCACTGAGCACCTTGTGACCCCCGCCCCTGCCCACCAGAGAACAACCCCCTTTGACTGTAATTTTCCATTACCTTCCCAAATCCTATAAAACAGCCCCACCCCTATCTCCCTTCACTGACTCTCTTTTGGGACTCAGCCCACCTGCACCCAGGTGAAATAAACAGCTTTATTGCTCACACAAAGCCTGTTTGGTGGTCTCTTCACAGGGACGCACATGAAACATACTGTCTGTAAGAACCAGCCCTAAGCACTGGCAGCATAGACTCACATTGAGATGACTTTTCAGCCCTGTCCTCAAGAAGCTTGAAATTTAGTTGAGGAGATCGGAAACAAATGAGTTAAATAGTTTAGAGAAATGAAGAAAACAATTGAAAAAGAGAGAATGGAAAAGAATAGAAACACTTGTCTCTAAGTTTCTTACGAAGAATAGTTGGTATTTAGGAGGCTTCTCTCAATAAAAAAAGAAACCAACAAAACTATGTTATTAATGATAATATTAACCAAAAAACCAAACTCTGTAAAACACTTTAAAGAAGTTTATTCTGAGTCTATATGAGTGACCACAGCCCAGAGAAACACAAATCCAAGAAGCCATTAACAAGTGACACAGCCAAATTACATTTTGGCTTTATATATTTCAGGGAGGCAGGAGTTAATTACAGGCAAAGACATAAACCAATACATGGAAGGTATACATTGGTTTGGCCTGAAAAGGTGGGCTATCTTGAAGTGGGGCTTTCAGGTTATAGGTGAATAGAGAGATTCTTTAATTTGCAATAGGATAAAGGAGTAAAGCTCTGTCTAAAACTTGAGTCAGCAGAAAGGACTGTTTTAAGTTAACATAAGGATGTTATGTGGCAAGGATGATGGCCTGCAGATGGAACTTGACTCTTGACTTGCATGCCTTAGGTCTTGTGTATAATTTGTAATCTTATTGCCACAAAGAGTCTCTTTTGTCAGCCTTATGATCACTGTTTTAACATTAATACTAGTCAGTAGTTGTGCCTAAACTCCAAAAGGGAAGGGGCATAATGAGGTGTGTTCCATCTGCTTTCCTTCAGGTCCAGGAACTCACTTTTTATGGTTTCTCTGGGGTCCCCTTTGGCTAAGAGAAGGTCTGTTCAGCAGGTAAGGGTTTTCAATTTTAAATTTAGTTTACAATAATTTTCAATTCAGTCCAAAAAGCTCTACTCAAACATGAAATGCCTATAATCTAACACTTCTGTATTATTTTAGCTATACCTAATCACCACAAAACTTTGCTAAGGAAAATATATTAGAAATGTTAAATGGAAATTCCTAATAACTAAAAACATGAGTACCTAAAAAATGTTAGCACTTCACTGGAAAGTAGGACAAACAAGGGCTTCTCCTCAGAGTAAGGAGAGCAAGTTATTAACTACAGGAATCCAGGGACCTATTCACTTCCTATCTGCATAAGAATAAGAGAAAGCTTCTTTTAATTTGCATAAAGAATGACACTTCTAAGGTCAATCACTCCCCAGGTGATCAGAACTAGAGAAAAAAGAACAGAAAAGATTGCCCCTTTGAGGGTGTAGGAATTCAACGCAAAAGAACAAGTTATTCATAAGTCAAGTGCTCCCCAAATATGGAACTGCCGGTGAATGTAATAAATAGTTGTGCCCTCATCTGTACAATGAGGGTTCTGAAGGAGATGATTTTTAATTTTCCTTTCAGCTCTCCTATACTAGTTCTTTTTGCAGAATATTGCCTGAAATAGTTGATAATTATTTATCTATTGCAGGGTATTTTTGAAATAATTGATATAGATCGTCCACGCTGTATGAGTTGAGAATAAGGAGCCATCCTATTTATATATTATTCCAAATGTATTCATGGGCAAGGAGGGGAGTGAACTGAGTCCTGTGGGGGGTCAACAGCACGTACATATTTGGAGTGGAAGCTACAAGGAATTTCTGTGAGGGCAACCCTAGGAACCAAGGCTTGGGGAAACTTTGAAGGAAAATTGAAACTGCAGCAGAGAACCCAAGAGAAGTTGCAAGAAAAGAGCCTGTGGAGGTATCATCCCATCTGCTTATGGGAGAGCTGCTGATAAGAGAGAGATCTTGCCAACATTATAGATGGCTTTGCACTACAGAAGTCAGTAATGTGACAATTTCAAATACAGGAGGCAATTCAGACCATTTTTCTTCCTCAAACTACACCATACAAGGCATGCTGTTGTTAAAAGATGATTTTTAAAAAGTGGTAAAATCATGATTTCCATACAGATAGGAAAATTAACATATGCTAAAGACTTTATGTAACTCTATTAATAAGGCAACTGGTAAGATATTGCAACTAGTTCAACAGGCATTTTAGATCTAGAATACTAAAATGAATACATGAATGGTTTCTACTACATTGCAAAGGGAAGACTGTTGACAGAATGTGCATGTTCATAGACAAGAATTCTTTTGTATTGTTATCAGCTGCAATTCACAGAAATGTAAACTAGCTTAAAGATAATGAAAAACTAGAATCAGGTAACCTAAAAAGGTAGGATCTTAACAATGCATAGTTTCCTTTGAAAACTTTGCAACTCTGTTTTTAAAATACACTCTGTTTACAATACTGGAACCTCCTCTGAGAAGCTCTTATTTCAGTTCTCTGTCCATAGACCTAGGTCTCCAGCATATAGTTTATAATATCAAGACCAGAATTGCTAATGATTTTCAATTACCCACTAGTTTCTTTATTTTTCAATATAAATATAAATATAAAAATTTATATTTTTATAAATATATGTAAATATAAATATAAAAGTTTTAAATATAAATAAATTTCAAAGCTTTTTGGGAAATTGCTCTGACAGTAAAACAGAGCAGACAGACGTGTGTTGGATAACAGATCCCATCAGAAACGGAGAAATAAGGCCAATTGGGGAGAAGCAGGAAATAAGGGAAGGGCAACCATGATGAATTTGTAAGGGAGTAAGGTCTAATCTGGAACTGGAAGGATGAGTATCCAGGAGGGAAATCAGGAAAGCCAGCTGGGGCTAAGCAAAGAGAACAAAGTTTTAAAGGTCCCAGAGTAAATGAGATTATGGACCAAAGGGGGAATTTGTATAATGTTGTTGGTATGTAGACATAGCTGAGGAATAGGAAGAAATAACAAAACAAAACAAAACAAAACAAGGTCAAAATGAAGCCATTTTTTTAAAAGCAAACCATATTCAAAACAGAGGTCTTTCTAATTATAATTGAACTAGTATTTTTCTAACATATGACACTGATATTAAGGGACATTTTCCTGGAGGAGTTATGGAAGAGATGAAGGAATCACTGGCATTGATCATTTAAATGATCCAAAATAAGCAGTCAATGTTTGCAATTCAATAAAACCATTGGACAACTCGAGGGAAAAAAATCAATTCAATTATTTAACAGAATGTGGCCTGTTATGTCTGTTATAAGATGAAACCCTTAGCTATTTGCTTGAAAATTAAATAAAAAGTCACATCTAGATTTAAATTGTCTAGACTTACTAGATTTCTGAAGTTAAAAAAAAATGCTAGAATTTTTCTAATAAATAAGAAACCTGAGGTACCCAGATAGTAAGTAGTTACTAGACTTCTAGTCTCATACATCTATTGCAAATTCTGTCTACTACCAAGGAAAACACTGCATTAAAGAAGTTTAATATTTTTGTAGGGGATCTCACAGTCTTAACCATTTTCATGTGACTATATACCTCTAAGTCAAGAAAGGCTATGAAACATTCCCTATGTGTTTTGACTATTGAATAAATAGAGGAACTAATGTTCTTGAATGCACACACACATATTGGAAAATGTTTCATGCTATGACCTTATTTATGCAGTCAGATTTGTTCTTAATTTTCTCATATGTGCATTGATACTAGTTGTCTTCTGCAAACAAAGATCATAATAATAAGTATCAATTAATAAGTTGGTTATAGTAGTGTTACCGGGGGTCCTTGCTCACAGAGCTCCAAAGATGGTGGCAGGCTGCTTCCAAGATGGCGGCAAGCCTTGTGTTCTCTGACCTGGTGTTCTTGGCCTCAGGGATTCCAAGGAATGGAGTCTTGGGCCATGCAGTGAGTGTTATAGCTCTATTAGAAGCCGTGGGTCATGGAAGAGAACCGTGGAACCCAGTGACTAGTGTTCAGCTCCATTAGGATGAACCCGGGCACTTAGGTGTGCAGGAACAATGGCAAGCCTTTAGCCCGATCGGGAGCGGCAATGGATGCCTTGCTGGATCAGGAGCGCAGGGGACACCCTGCTGGATCCAGAGGGATGGGAGTCAGCAGCGGGTCTGCAACGGTGGCAAACAGCAGTGGTGGATGTTGAGCGACAGCTCAGCTCGAGCGGTAACAAACACGGACCAGAAGAGTGCAGTTGCAAGATTTAATAGAGTGAAATAGAGTGAAAACAGAGCTCCCATACAAAGGGAGGGGACCCAAAGGGGATTGCCTTACTGGCTAGAATGCCTGAGTCTATATCCCGATCCTTGTCCCTCCCGCTGTGCTCTCAGGCAATAGATGATTCGCTATTTCTTTACCTCCTGTTTTTGCCTAATTAGCATTTTAGTGAGCTCTCTGATTGGCTGGGTGTGAGCTAAATTGCAAGCCCTGTGTTTAAAGATGGATGAGGTCACCTTCCCAGCTAGGCTTAGGGATTCTTAGTCGGCCTAGGAAATCCAGCTAGTCCTATCTATCAATAGCAGATTAATATTCTAAGAAATATAGCAAATTAATAGTAATGTACAAAAATAGCACTAGTAACCCCCACCATCAGGGCTTTTGCCAGGAATTACAGCCAAGTTAAGCAAACAGGCAGCCCTGAACTTCAAGCCATGGCTGATCAGAGTAAAAAATAAAGAACAGAGATTATGGCAAAATAACATAAAACACTCACTTTTCATCAATTTGTAAAATCAACACATGCCTGGCCCCCGATTTGTCTTCCATTCTGATTGGTTTTTGTCCTTTAAGAATAAGAATATTGAATACAACCAAAATCATTTATTATGTGCCAGGCACACTTTGAAGCACTTTTCATCCAATTAAGCATTTATTCCACAGAAGAGTCCTATGTGTTAAATGCAAACATTTTCAGCTGTATTATTATATATAGATGGGGAACCTGGTGCTGAAGTAAATTGCTGATTGTGGACCCAAGATTTAAAGACTGGGAGCCCTGTCCTTATATATAACATTGTTCCCAACTAAGCCATCTTCAAACATGATACCCTTATCACACCTCCAGAAAAGCAAGCTAAATCTCATTCACACTGAAGTTGAGAGGATTAACCATGACCTGAGGTTGGAAACCAATACCTTAAAGCCCTCATGTAGGGAGAAGGCTGAATCAGCCCTCAGAAACCCACGGCAAAGGAGAGGATTTCTTATGGGGAGGTCTGGTTGTGGATGGGATAGAAATATACAGGGATAGAGAGAAAGTGCCAGAGATGCCTTTTGTTCTTAGAATTAAAGTTTTATAGGAATTGCTGCTCTCTTCAACACCAATAAACAAGCCAAGGAACTCAATTCCACTTTTTTTTTTTTTTTTTTTTGGTTATAGACAGACCTAGGCACTGCCCTCTTCCCCAAGCCAGCAGGAAATAAGCACACAGCATTTCTACTTTCCATATCTAATCGTGATGTTTAGGCTGACAGCAAAAGTGCCAGGTACTGTCAGTTGTGATCACAGTCACCAAACTGGAGAACATGGACTGAGACCCCGACATTGACCAAACCTGAGACTGAGACAGCAGCTGCTTCACATCTCTACCACACAGATGCAGATGCAGTTGCAAAGCAGTAGTACTCGGGAGTGAAAGGCAGTCATGCTCCTCTGGTTCATCTCGCATCCTGTGTTGTCCACATTGCACCCCTGTCCCTTTCCATTTATCACGCCAGTCTTGACAAAGAGGCATGCTGTTTTTTTCCCTGCTTTAACCTGTTTCAGAAATGCTGACCTTGCGAAGGTAAGTAATTCTCACATCTTTTTCTTAACATTTAATTTTTTTTTTATTCCAGCTGACAGAGCGAAGTGTTAGGTACAAACTTAACAGATACTCAAATTAGTTGTTCCTAAAATAATTTCTTGCTAATTGGGCAATTATTTTATGTTATATTGATGGGGGGAAAGGATACATGGCACTTCAATTATAGGGTAAAATAATAAAAAAAGTCAATTAATACTTGACTTCAATATTCTTTTATAAAACAACCAGGGCTGTGTGTGTGTCCTCTTCATCCCCGCTCACACCCACTGTAGGATGAAAAATAGGGGAATGGAGGTGTGTTCAGACTCAAGAATATACACTGGGCCCTAGAATAAATAATTGATGATCTTAAAAAGAGCATATCTACAATGGAGAGAATGAACAAACACTTGCTTGGTTTATAGATATCTTTCCCTGAGATTTCAAACATACTTTTTCCTTGCTTTTGATTTCTTGGATTTTTTTAAAACAATTTTCATGGTGTTACTGAATATACTAGTTTCCTATTGCTGTTATGAAAAATTACCAAAAACTGTGTGGTTAAAACAACACAAATTTATTATCTTACAGTTCTGGAGGTCAGAAGTCCTAAATGGGTCTTACGGCTAAAATCATGTCAGCAGAGCTACATATCTGGAGGATATTTTCCAGATCCTAGAGGCTGCCTACATTCTTAGGCTTAGGGCCTTTTCCTGTATCTCTTAAACTCATCTCTCCAATCTCAGCTTCCATTGTCAAATCTCCTCTTTGATTCTAACCTTCTAACTTCCTCTTAAAATGACACTTGCGGTTAAACTAAACCCCCACCCAGATGATTCAGAAAAATCTCCCATCCTCAAATCCTTCACTTAATCATATCTGCAAAGTTTACTTTGCCATGTAAGGTGACATATTCACAAATTCTGGAGATTAAGACAGGGATATCTTTGGAGACAATTATTTTGTTTACCACAGTGACTTCCTTTCAGTTTTCACCAAAAAAATTGCTCACTTATTTTATGCAATGTGCCAGTATGCTCTCCCATCTATCTATCCTCCTCTTCTGCTCAGCTCTGTAACATAGAAAGCTATACCTCCAAGCCCCTCTGCCATTCTAGCTTCTAGATAGGTTTTACTATAGATTGGGAAGCAATGGTGTAAAATTAAAGGACTTGACGCAGGGAGAAGTCAAGATATATTTCCCTTTCTCTCTGTTTCCTGTGGTGTGTCTTGGTGTTGGCTGCATCTCCTCCACCTCTGAAGAATACCCCCATTATGTACTCAGATGATATCAGCCGCCCCTGCTTTTGCTAGATAATACTGTTGTCTTCCTTGCTGTAGGATTTGTGGCACCTTCTTGAGTGTTTATAATCTCTTTTATCCCCATCTTAGTATGACTTCTTAGCTCTTTCATTACCTGTACTAATCTTGAGTTAAATACCTCAGAAACAGAGTCTTTTCTGTTTTACTAGCCAAACCCTGACTTCCATGCTAATCCAGGCAGAGTCTAAATCAGTGAATTTACTCAGGGATTAATCACCCCTGAGAATGGGGGCCATGGAGACTCTGCTTCCCCCTTACACACAAAGCTGGGAAACATCACCCAGGCATGCATAGAAGCAGTACATGGCAAGGCTCAGGCTCCTTTGTATTTATGCCGGTTCTTCCTTATATGTCTCTACAATCATGCTTGTAAACAACACATGAAATAAACATGCTATATTTTGATCTCTTATGTCATATTCTCTGGATTCTGCAAGGTGGCTCCGAAATACCAGAGCTGGTTTACCACAGTTTAAATGAAATCACTTCATCTGATGGCTGTGTGGGAAATGCTGGAGTCCTGTCTCACCTCCGTGGGTCTACCTACTTACCCAGTATTTCCTCAACTATAATGGGCATAGGGATCACTCTGAAGGGAAAAAAAAAGGCCCTCGTGGATGTTGAAAGCATCTTTTTCATTAAAGTCAATGCCAAAGTTCTCCAAGGCAAGCCAAAGCAGCAACTGAGGTATATGATTATGCAACATCCTCAACATGGAGACAGACATTTTTAAATTAACTCTGACTTCCTGGCCTAATTCCCTCTCTTCTGGTATCCATACTGGTAATTTGAAGCCTTGTAATGTAACACTTTGTAGAGCTAGACTTTAAAGGGAGGGGACTCCTCTAGTTAGTGGTCTTTGCTTTAGCCAGAGAGTCAAATATGGCACATGCTAGGATTAGGAATACTGAGCTTTCTCTGATGTCTACATTATCAGCAAAATTAAGGGTCATGGTACAACCATAGTTCCTGTCTTTTTAAACACCATCTGAAAGAAGTTAGCCTTTACTAATAAGTTGTAAATCTGCCTAAAATTGTCATTTCCCAAGGGTACTCTGGCAAATAAATATATCTTATCAAAATAGTAAATCTTTCACTGAGTACAGGAATACCTTATTATATTGCACTTCACTTTATTGCACTTCACAAATATTAGGGACTTTTTCCAAATTGAAGGTTTGTGGCAACCTTACATCAAGTAAGTCTATCATTGCCATTTTTACAACAGCACATGCTCAATTACTGTCTGTGTCATATTTTGGTAATTTTCAATATTTCATACATTTTCATTGTTTTTATATCTGTTATAGTGACTAGTGATCTTTGATGTTGGTATTGTAATTGTTTTAAGGCCCCACAAACTGCACCTATATAACATGGCAAATTTAATAAATGATATATATCTTCTGACCATTCCACCAACTGGCTGTTTCATCATCTCTCTACCTTGTCTCAGGCCTTCCTATTATCTGAGGTACAATAATATTGAAAACAGGCCAATTAGTAACCCTACAATGGCCTCCACAAAATGTTTAAGTGAAAGGAGTCATCTCATGTCTCCCACATTAAATCTAAAGCTATAAATGATTAAGCTTAGTGAGGAAGGCACATTGAAAGTTGAGATAGGCCAAGAGTTAGGTCTCTCACACCAAGCAGCACAGTTGTGATGGCAAAGGAAAAGTTCTTGAAGGAAATTAGAAGTGATACTCCAGTGAACACTCAAATGATAAGAAGAGAAACAGCCTTATTGCTGATATGAAAAATATTTTAGTGATCTGGATAGAAGATCGAACAAGCCAAAACATTGCGTTGAGCTAAAGTCTAATGCAGATCAAGGCCCTAACTCACTTCAACTCTATGAAGGCTGTGAGAGGTGAGGAAGCTGCAAAAGAAAAGTTTGAAGCTGGCAGAGGTTGGTTCATGAGGGTTACAGAAATAAACCATCTTTATAACATAAAAGTGCAAGGTGAAGCAGAAGGGTTGATGTAAAAACTGCAGCAAGTTATCCAGAAGATCTAACTAAAATTATTGGTAACGGTAGCTACACTAAACAACAGATTTTCAGTGTAGACAAAACAGCTCTGTATTGGAAAAGCTGTCATCTAGGACCTTCCTAGCTAGAGACAAGTCAATGTCTGGCTTCAATATTTCAAAGGACAGGCTGACTCTCTTGTTAGGGGCTCATGCCGCTGGCTGATTTCAAATTAAAGCCAATCCTCATTTACCATTTTGAAAATCCTAGGGCCCTTCAGATTATGCTAAATCTACTCTGCCTTTATGCTCTATAAATGGAACAACAAAGCATGAGTGACAGCACATCTGTTTATAGCATGGTTTGCTGAATAGTTTAAGCCCATTGTTTAGGCCTACCGCTTAAAAATAAATAAATAAAAAAGATTCTTTCAGAAGATTATGTCATTGGCCATGCACTTTGTTGCCCAAGGTCTGTCATGGAGATGTACAAGGAGATTAGTGTTGTTTCCGTGACTGCTAACATAGCATACATTCTGTAGCCCAGATCAAGGAGTAATGTTGACTTTCAAGTCCTATTATTTAAGAAATCCATTTCATAAGGCAATAACTTCAAAAGATAGTGATCCCTCTGATGGATCTGAGCAAAACTGAAAATCTGGGAAGGATTTACCATTCTAAATGCCATGAAGAACATTTGTGATTCATGGGAGAAGGTCAAAATATCAACATTAACAAGTGTCTGCAAGAAGTTGATTCCAACTCTCGTGGATTATTACCCTGAGGGGTTCAAGACTTCAGTGAAGGAAGTAACTGCACATATGGTAGAAATAGGAAGAAAACTAGAATTCGAAGTGGAGTCTCAAGATGTGAATACATTACTGCAATCTCATAATAAAACTTGAATGGATGAGGAGTTCCTTCTTATGATTAAGCAAAGAAAGTAGTCTCTTGAAATGGAGTCCTCTCCTGGTAAAGATGCTGTGAACACAGGTGAAATGACAAGAGTAGATTTACTATATTACATAAACAGAGTTGGTAAAGCAGTGGCAAAGGTTGAGATGATTTATTTCAACTTTGAAAGAATTTCTATTTTGGAAAAAATGCTATCAAACAGCATCACTTGCTACAGATAATTTTTTTTTTTTGAAAAGAAGAATCAATCGATGCAGCAAATTTCATCACTGTCTTATTTCAAGAAATTGCCACAGCCACCCTAACCTCCAGCAACCACCACCCTAATTAATCAGCAACCATCAACACTGAGGTCAGACCCTCCAACAACAACAGGATTATGACTCCTGAAGGCTTAGATAATTGCTAGCATTTTTAAGCAATAAAATGCTTTTTATGTAAGGTGTGTCTTTTTTGTTAGACATAATGCTATCACATACTCAATAGACTATAATACAGTGAAACATAACTTTTATTTTTCTTTTTTTTAGAGACAGTGTCTCACTTTGTTCTCCAGGCTGGAGAGCAGTGGCACAAGCATAGCTAATGGTAACCTTCAACTCCTGGGCTCAAGCAATCCTCCTCCCTCAGCCTTCTGAGTAGCTAGGATTATAGACATGTGCCACCATGTCTGGCTAATTTTTAAAAATTTTGTAGAGATGGAGTCTTGCTGTGTTGCCCTGGCTGGTCTTGAACTTTTGCCCTCAAATGATCCTCCTGCCTCAGTCTCCTAAAGGCCCAGGATTATAAGCATGACCACTGCACCTGGCTAATGATAACTTTTAAATGCACCGGGAAACCAAAAAAAAAAATACATGCAACTCACTTTATTGTAATAGTTACTTTATTGCAGTGGTCTAGAACTGGACTTGCAATATCTTGGAGGCATGCCTGTATATCTTTACATCATCCCATATTTCTCGGAGGTTTGCTTCATTTTTTTTAAATTATTTTTTTCTTTACTTTTGTCTGATGGTTTGATTTGAAGGAATGGCTATCAAGCTCTGAAATTTTTTAAATTTTGAAGCTCTGGCATTTTTGCTCTGAAGAATGCTAGCAATCATCTAAGCCTTTAGGAGTCATAATCTTGTTATTGATGGAGGGTCTGACATCAATGTTGATGGCTGCAGTGTTCACATCTGTAATGCATTATAAGAAAAATATCTCAGAGATAAAGACTCACCCTCCTTGCCCATTTTTAGAAATCTAGTGATTAAAGGTGGAGGAAGAGGAGAAGAGGCAGGGGGAAAGTAGGAGGAAAAAGAAGACATATAAACAAAATAGATCATGGATAAATAAAGATGGCTGACTAGATGTAGCCAAGAAATGCCTATCCCACACAGATAAAATGAAACATCAAGTAAATCATCACACTTTGAAAAGATCTTTGGAGAGAAAACATTGAAAGTCAATAGAGAGGCAACACAGACACTGAGGTTGAAGAGGGAGAAAGCTGGGAAGCCTGTACAGAGTCACCAAGTGGCTGACTAGCTTCTGCTTCAGAATAGGACCTAAGGAAGGGGTGAGTGAAAGAACTCTGAGGCACCACCCTACCACCACGGACCTCTGGGATCTGAGCTACAAGAGATCTCACAACCCACATAAACATTTGAATTGTCAGGAGGTACTGCCCAGAGAGCAGGCAGAGGCAGAGCTAGAAACTTCATGGAGCCCAGGTTTCACACTCAGGGCAGCTGCAACAAAATGCAACCATAGGTGCCCATCCCCCAAGACTCTCCATCTTGCTCTGAATGACTCTAGCCCCTGCTGACTGCTAAGCTTGGAGAAAGCATTACTGACTTTCCCATGGAACCATAACACAACTGATCAACACAGCCCCTTGTCCTCCAGCCCATCCCACAGCCTGTGCCTGGCCACTCCTACAAGAGCATGCACATGGAACAGCCTCCACTCCCCTGCCTAAGGGCTTCACCTGCACCCTGGGAGCAGTTCCGCACCTCCAGCACAGCCTCTGCTCAACCCCAAGGGACCAGAGGACAAAGCTGAAGGCCCAGTCTCAATCCACCAGGGTTTGAGCACACATTCAGCAGTACTGAGCTGGGATCTGTGACCTGAACATGAATCAGGGAGGAGCCGACACCCTCGGAACACTGAGAAGAGTGAGGCACAGGTTTCTGTGCTGGTACGAGAACTGGGCATGCCTCCCACTGCAAGACTAGTCCAGTAAGGGCATAGCCTGTCAGATGGCTGCAGCTGCCACTTGAGAGAGCCCTGTGGCTCAGAACACCTAACAGCTCAGGTATCTGGGTGCAGAAGTCTTGGAAAAAAATCTAGCTGGCGGGGCCTGCCCCAGGGGCAGACACTGGAGGGAGGTTCAGTTGGGGGAGTAGAAGCTAGATGGTCCCCACATCTGTCTGCTGGGCAAAAAAACATGAGCCACAGGTGTCACCAGCTGCACACCCATGACATCATCACCCTGCACAGGGAGTCATCTGCCCTTGACCCACTGCATCAACAGACCACTCACAGACATACTCCACAATCTGCTCTGATTCTGCCAACCATAGAGGACCAGTAAGTCTCCAGAGAATTGCAGATCTCCTGGTGAAAATATCTTTGGCTCAGGCTTCCCCTAAGGGAGATGGGTCTGCAGGCTTCCAGGGCCTATTTTGGGGCTGAGGAGACATGGCCACAGTTGCAGTGAAAGGAGGGGTCTCACTTAAGGCAAAGGGATAATCTCTCTCCCCCAGTCCCCCATCTCCCCCTCCCCAAAGCACTGCTGTGAATACACTGAAATATAAAAGAGGCATGCAGTTGAGTAAGAGCCTATCTGTTGGCCGTTATTCTTGAATACCATTTACTGGATTGCACCCTGATTACACCACTAAACAGAAATAAATTATTTCAACACACATCACCTATGAAACTCAGGTCAGGAAACTAGCCACAACTAAGAAACCAGTACAAAGCCTTGGCCCTCCAAAAGCACCCAGAAATAAAGCTGATCAACTATACTCAACATATACCACAGTCAAATCTTCAAAGGAAAAAATGGAATATAAACCAAAAAGCCCCATCCAAAAGACAGTAATTTCAAAAAGATAAAGAAACACCAGCCCTCTCAGATGATAAATAATCAGGACCAGAATGCTGGCAATTCAGAAAGTGAGTGTTTTCTCTCCTCCAAAGCATTTCACTAGCTTCCCAGCAGTGGAACCTAACCAGATTCAAATGTCTGAAATGAAAGACACAGAATTCAGAATCTAGATATCAGAGAAGCTCAATGAGATTCAAGAGAAAGTTGAAACCCAATCCAAGGATGCTAATAAAATAATACAAAACTTGAAAGACAAGATATTCATTTTAAGAAAGGACCAAACTGAACTTCTGGAATTGAAAATTTTACTACAGAAATATCAAAATACAGTTGGAAGCCTTAATAACAGACTAGACCAAGCTGAGGGAAAAATTTTAGAGCTCAATGACCTGTCCTTCAAATTAACCCATCAGACAAAAATAAGGAAAAAAGAATTCTAGAAAATGAACAAAACCTTGGAGAAAGGTGCTGTGAATGCTTCAAACTTATTGCTAAAGTAAATTAATATGGAGTCCAGGACTGAAGAATTCTGGAGCAGATAAAACTAATTAGGCCTCAAAAGTCACCTTAAACTTGTTACTACAGATTTGCAAACAGAAGTAAACTTAAACTCTTTCTTGAAAATGCCTACATTAAAGAAAAATGAAACTTAAGTCGGGCCTTCTAGCAGGATAAGCCAAATAAGGAAAATGTGTAACTATGCATCAAATAGTGGCTTCACTTTCATGTTTACACTATAAAAGCCTTCCCCTTGCATTTCCTTAGCACAGACCCCAACCACTTTGGGTTTGGAATTGCCTGATTCATGAAGTACTGTTTGCCCAAATAAATTCTTTACAATTTTAACTTTTATTATGCCTTAGTTTACCTTTAAATATGACCCAGTATCCATTGCAAAGCTTGAGGAGAGCTGGTACTCACTGCAGTCAACCATCTTCTTGCCATGGTCTTTCACTATATCAAGTTTCACAGTATAATCTTGTATGCAACTTTCAACATTCAAACAAGAAAACAAGAGAAATTTTGTCGCAGCTGTTCCAGATAAAATAGACAAGCTGGCTTGTCTATTTTGAGAATTTGACTTTGAGAGGCACAAAAGAAAACCAAGTTACCTGAGAATTTGTGACAGATTAACCTCATTCCTCTTATTTGCAGTAACGAGTCTCCAACTTAATGTCACACTTGGGCAATTACCCACAAGCATCACAATATTGAATGGAATAGTGTTAAGGAAACTTGAGCTGAGAATATTGCCTTTGCTGATTGATTTAAAGTGGAGCCATACAAGTGAAGCCAAGGGAATGAGTGCTCTCCAGTGTTGCATTTACATCCCAGAACACTGTAAGCCTGTCTCAGCCAGTGATGTTTAAAACCTGAAGTGAGCATGTAGAAACTGCAGAAATATTGGTTTTATATATAAGGATAAGAAACTAGAAGGTGACTATCTAGAATATAGTAGGCACCTAAAAAGTGTTTGTTGACTTAATTTACAAATAAGTTTAAAATTTTTTTTTCTTTTTTTTTTTTTTTGAGACAGGGTCTTGCTCCGTTGCCCAGGCTGGAGGGCAATGGCACAATCTCTGCTCACTGCAACCTCCGCCTCCCGAGTTGAAGCGATTCTCGTGCCTCAGCCTCCTAGTAGCTGGGTTTACAGGTATCCACCACCACACCTGATTAATTTTTGTATTTTTACTAGAGACAGGGTTTTGCCATGTTGGCCAGGCTGGTCTCCAACTCCTGACCTCAGGTGATCCACCCATCTTGGCCACTCAAAGTGCTGGATTACAGGCATGAGCCATGGCACCCAGCCATAAGTTTATAATTTAATGATACTTTATTAGAATTTTTCATTTCCATTCATTCATCTGTATATTTTTTATTTTTTCCATTTGTACTAAATAAAACATTTTAATCTAGAAAAAATGTAAAAAATAAGGAAAGAAAAAGAAAATGACTTACAAATCTATCATACAGAGATAACCACTGTTAACATTTTGTTACGTTTCCTTCTAGGGTTGCATTCTTGTTCGATAACAAACTATTTTTGTTTTTAACAACTGTGAGTGAATACTATATTTGAAGGTCCTTTAGAAAATTCATTAGAGAAGGCAATTTATTTCACATTATTTCCCTTTTTGAAATTTTTTGTTTATTCTTGTTTGTTTCAATTTTCAGAAAAGTTTGTAGTAATTTTATCGAGTTTGAAAATTATGACATCTGGATGTAGTTGAGAATTGTACTTAATTTACAAATTAATTTGAGTTATAATTGCATTTTTATACTATGAAACCATTCCTTGAGGGAATGTGTTATGAAAACAAAAGGTGTAGCTATTGGTTGGTCCGTATTTCTAATGGGTTTTCTAGAAGAAAAATATATGGTTGGCATGTATTTGTCATTTAAACACTAATTATATATGTCTATATCTATCTACCTATCTATCTATATATATAGTGTGTGTGTATATGTTTATGTGTATATTTAATCAATAGTTTTGCTCCAAAGCAAACATGTTCATATTATGACTAAGAATATTGACTATTGGGCACATTCTAACAGACAGATCAACAGAATAATACATCTTTGTTGGTTTTCTCCCACCTATAAAGCATGTGCCACTTACAACTTGGCTGTTTTTGCCACTATGTTGATTGAGGAGCACCAAGTCACTCAATAATGATACACACTAGGCTGGACATGGTAGCTCATGCCTGTAATCCCAACACTTTGGGAAGCTGAGGTGCGAGGATTGCTTGAAACCAGGAGTTCAAGACCAGCCTGGGCAGCAAAGCAATAACTTGCCTTTAAAAAAATTTTTTTAAAGGTTAGTAGGACACTGTGGCATGCACCTGTGTCCCAGGTACTTGGGAAACAGTGGGGAAGATCGCTTGAGCCCAGGAGATCAAGGCTGCATTGGGCTATGATCCTGCCACTGCAATGTAGTTTGGGCAAGAGAACAAAACTGTCTTAAAAAAAAACAACACACGCTAGATTTTAGTTTACCAAGAATTCCTACCTCCATGAAAGTGATGAGAGACTTGACATCTCGTCTTTCAGTGTATGATATTTAATAATATGTCCACTGGGAATGTAATATAAATAATTTGAAGGGACTTTTAGTCAATCAGTGGTAAAAGAAAGAAGCAGCAGCCTCAGAAATTATCAATAAGAAAAACTAGGAACACGCTATGAACACACGTACCTTTGGGCATAAGGGTGTGAATAATTTCATACCCAGGCCTTTATTTCAATAGCGTGTTCACTCTGCATGTGTTTCCTGCTTGGGTCAGAGGCTGATTGCTAAGGAATCCAGGCCAAAGTAAGCATTTTATCAATTCTTTTCCTTCAAAACATGTGACTATTTCTCTTGCTATGTGATTTTCAAAGCAAAAAAGTCCATAGCTGTTTACATAGCTAAACAAGCAGACATTTATTATTCTTAACCTAAAGATGTGTGTGTGTGTTTTTCCAGAGTGTAATGGCTTTTGAGTGATGCCCCCCCCCACCCTTATATAATGTTCTCTTCCTGTCGTTTGTCTTATATGTAATTGTAGACAAATCTTGCATCAGAACAGCCCTCAGAGTCTACTCAAGTGTATGTTATTCCTAAACTAGTGCTCTGATAAGGACCAAATATTTGCATCTATAGCCCTAACTCTGATGACTAACAGTTTCTTTGTTTATGTCAGCTAGATGTTAACTGGGAGAATGTCACTTGAAAAACATCTGGCTATTTTATCAACTAAACAGTAAAATTACTTTTCTAACTACTTAACAACAAGAAATATTAGATAAAAGTCTGTTATTGGTTAAATTTCAAGTTTTAAGGAAAGTCTAGAATTGCCTGCTGCCTTTTCAACGTAATGAGCATCTGTAGTGAGCATCTCATTCTATGAGTTAAGATGATCAGAGAACATAGAAATTGTAGGGTAAAAATGCATCTAGTTTCTTCTTGCTGAGGCATTTCTCCTACATCTCTTTGGCCTAGGGACCAAGTAGGCCAAAAAAAAAAAAAAAAAAAAAAAAAACACGAAAGACAAAAAACAAAACAAAAACCAGGATGCTTGCATGGAGTGCAGCTTTTTAACCTCCCAGGTTTCATAAGGATTCTCCCAAACGTATCTGTACTCATTTCCTTGCTTTTTCATTGGCGAGATAGAGAACATTGCTGTTTGGTAAATGTAATGAGTATAACTGGGCATGCTTGACTCAGCTAAGCCCTTCTCCTTGAAAGTGAGTCAAACTCAGAAAGGGAATATTTTTGCCTGCTTCTCCAGGGACCAGCTCTTATGTGGGCTTTGGATGATCATGTCTCCTTTGGTATATCTGCCTGCTCCTGGTATTCAAGTAAGTGGCCCATTTGGCTTCCACAGCAAAGTGACTGTTTCTTAGCCTTTCTGAAGAATGATGCTGATATTTAATCTCTTAGCTTTCCTACTCTTCATGTCTCAGCATGTTCAGAACCCAGACAGGGAAGAGAAAAAAGGAACCTAAGTTATTTTTGAACTCCAACAGTGGATGTCCAATGCAAGCCACTAAAAAAGCTAATGTCAAAGATTACTATGAGGGCATAAAGGCCTGTGCCCCAGAGCAAGACAGTGCCATATGCTAAACATAGGGAATAGGTCTTGCCAAGAGCTAAGTCCGCAGATACCATATCTTCCCCCTTTGCTTTTTAGTCTTATCTCCCCACATCTCAGCTGTCAGGAATTTTCTTCGTCACCCTCCATACAATATGAGACCAGTGATGAAAAAGTATTTCAAACAACTTATTTTCTAACCAATTTACCTATCAGCTAATTAACAGATCAACCCTGGAGAGTATCAGGAAACTATTTAAAACCATTGCCAAATATTAGTGCCTAGCTCTAATTATAGATAAGCAGATTATATACATCATTATTTTATTTAGAATTGGCTCTGCTTCCTTTCTATGCCATTGATAATCAAATAGCATTAATCGAAGCTTTAAAATCCAACAGAAATCCTCAAACATGTTCTGCTTTTTAAAGATTCACATTTTTACAAGTCAAATTTCCATTATGATCAACCATTTCTCAATTGTGTATTTTGTTTCTAATGATTTTAATTTGCCCTGTATACATGAATTTTCCAGAATTAGCCCTTTTGCTGAAGATATGTCTTTCTCTATGAACAAGTTCTAGTCATTGAAAATAATATATCAGTTGAATAGCTGGCCATTAAGATATAAAATATCTGCAAACAAGACCTGGGTTACCAACAAACCCTATCAAATCCAAGAAATTATGATAAAAGTAATAACTCCTCCTATGATAATAATTAATAAAATATTTGTATTATACTGTTTATGAGTCAGGCTTGTTGTAACTGAAGTATATGAATTAGTGAAAGATTTATGCAGAATCCAAATAACGCTTACATTTTAATAAATTGCTGTTTAGGAAGTCCAAAAATTAATTACTTGACATGCTGTGTTCTTGGATAAAAATATTCAACACTCCAACTATGTGAATTATTTCTAAATTGTTCTAAAAATTTATGTAATCCAAACAAAAATACTAATTTTTTTTAATAACTGGAAAGTGATCCTAAAGTTTATATGAAAATAAGGCAACATAATTTAGAAATTTAACATAATAAAATATAATCAGAGCTAAGATAATTAGGACAATATAGTACCGGTGCATAAACAGACAAACTAGAAAACCTAGAAATAACGTCCCCAAATATATTGGATTTTAGTAGAGATAATATGGATAATTTATTATCATATTGAGAAAATTTGGCAACCATCTGTTAAAAGAAATAGATTTTTTTTCTTTTTAATTTTTTTAAGAGGGAATCTTGCTCTGTTGCCCAGGCTGGAGGGCAGTGGCATGATCTCAGCTCACTAAAACCTCTGCTTAATAGGTTAAAGCAATTCTCATGGCTCAGCCTCCATAGTAGCTGGGATTACAGGCACACCCATCATTCCTGACTAATTTTTGTATTTTTATTAGAGATTGGGTTTCACCATATTGGCCAGACTGGTCTTGAACTCCTGGCCTCAAGTGATCCGCACCCTTGGCCTCTCAAAGTGCTGGGATTACAGGCATGACTCACCATGCCCTGTCCCAAAAAATAGATTATTACCTCACATCTAAAACCAAAAAAGTTCTAGGTAAGTCTTTGTATTTAATGAATAAAAATAATAATAATAACCTAAAACAACATAAAAGGAGATAAAGAATATGTCTATATAGCTTATACCAGATAATAAATTAAATTAAATTAAATAAATTAAATAAATAAATTAAATAAATTAAATAAATTAATTAAATAAATTAAATTAAATAAATTAAATAAATTAAATTAAATAAAATATTTAATCTCATAATAAAATTAATTTTTTAAAATAAGATGTTTTAAATGTATAACATTGACTTGGTCCAACCTAAGGGAAAACAATTCAGCACTCTATCAATATTAAAAATGTGCATAGATTTTGAGCTACACTTCCTTGTCTTATGTTATCTGGTACAGATAGCATATATATGTAACAAATTACATTTGAATCAGATTATTCATTGTAACCATTTCTATAATATCAAAAAACTTGACACAGGTTAGAAGTTGGGCTCTGAGATATTTACATGATGTGACTAAGTTTTATAAAAATGGTTTATCAAAGACTAAATTAAATGCCTTGTATTGTTGAGAATTAGTAAGTGAATAATTTGCTTTAATATCTTAAACTTTTACCTGGGTACTGAAGCATAATGTTTCTTGAAATCATGTGATAATTAAGATACTCAGAACTTCTTGACTTTTCTCTAACTGGTTATTACCTCACAGACTGCTCTCTTGCAAGAAGAGTTGTCAGTAACTATCCCCATCAACTAAAGAAAGTTAATTTCTTTTTAAATATGTGTTCTAGAAAGGCGAATGCACTTACTCATTTATATGTCGGGTATACTTTACCATTTCCCAAAATGTGTTCCACAGAACTTTAGTCCCACAGGACCAAGCAAAGTCCTACAGGACTGAGCAAAGAGGGCTACAGGATAAAATAAAATGTGAGATCTATTACATAAACTTACTCTTGAAGTTTAGTTGGACACATTTGCACATTAAAGGCACTGAGGAGTTCTGCAGCAAGGAAACTAGCACAGTTGTGTTTAATTTTATCTTTTCTAAAGTTACCTGGCAATAAAACCTCTTTTTCTTGATAACAATAAATTTTAACAATCTGTGTAACATACTCATTGGAAAACCTGTTTAGTCTGCCAGATTTGTTTTCAGCATCCCAGGGGGATAATAAATGAGATAAAGAATGAGTGGATGCTGAAGCCTTGGTGTTTAGGACATCCAGAGCAGGAAAGGTGAAGCACATGGGGCAGGATCCAGGAGTCAGGGTCCTTGGGATGGGAGTGCAGTGGGGAAAGGAGGACCCAGAGGATAAAAAAGACATCACCAAACCATGAGATATTCAAAGAAGAAAGAAAGAGTGCAAAGAAAAAAAAAAAAAGAAAAAAAAAATTCTAAGGCCACATTTTATCTACTTAGCTAGATTAATAGTGTAAAATTACTAGAGGCAACAATCACACAGGAATAATAGGTAAAATCCTTGAGGGTAGTCAAAGGGTCTCCAAATTGCTTTGTAAGAGGATCTTCTAACTCACCCACAGCACTGTGAGGTTCTAAACAAGTGCTGACCTTGTACTTGACATTGCACTCATATGGCCATGGCTCCAGTAGTAGCTGGAGTGCTGCATTCTTTTTAACTACTGATTAAGAATCATGGAATTTAAGACTGTGAAGATCTGGAATGGGCAGTAAAGTACATCGTATTTAATGCCTCATTTCTGAGTGAGGAAACCAAAAAGGGAAAATAAAGAAGTGTTTGGCTAAAGGCATTCCATGTGTTTAATGTTGGATCCATGACTGGTTAAGAATTTAAAGTTTGAAATCAGAAGAGCATAGATTTAAATGTAGGGTGTGTTAAACATGTAACACAGGCAAGTTATTATTCACTCAGCTCTAGGACTTTTTTCCTCAAAATGTTTCAAAAGTAATGAATGAGATAAAATGGGTAAAATGGATAGTACATTGTTGCCAGATAGTGAATAATAAATGGCAGCTTGTCATAGTAGTGATTATTGTAACAGTAACATCACAGAAGAAAAGAATCAAACAAATTGCAAGTTCAACTTGAAGAGCCAAGAGGTTCTTCATTTTGTCTCTTTGTTTCATTTATTTGAGTCACTATCTGTATTAGTCAGAGTTCTCCAGAAAACAGAACCAATAGGATGTATGTGTATGAATATAAATACAAATCTTTTTATAAATGTATATTTTGTATATATTTTATACATTTTATATATATATATATAGAGAGAGAGAGAGAGATTGAGAGAGAGATTTGTTATAAGAGAGTCGTTCACATGATTGTGGATGCTAACAAGTCCCAAGACCTACAGAATGAGTCTGCAATTTGGAGACAGAAGAGTCAGTGGTGAAGTTCCATTCTGAGTCCAAAGACCTGAGAAGGAGAATGGATGGTGTAGTCCTTATCTAGAAGACTGGCAGGTTCAAGACCCAAGGAGAGCCAGTGTTTCAGTTCAAGTCCAAAGACAGGAAAAAGCCAATAGCTCAGTTTGAAAGCATTCAGGAGAATTCTCTTACTCAGAAGAAAGTCAGTCCCATTTCTTCTTTTTCTATTCAGGCCTCCAACTGATTTAACAAAGCCCACCCACATTAGGGAGAGCAATTTGCTTTACTAAGTCTGCCAAATTAAAAGTTAATTCCATCCAAAAACACCCTCACAGAAGCATCCGGAGCAATATTTGGCTAAATATTGTTCACACTGTGGCCCAGTCAAGTCGACACATAAAATTATCTATCACACTATCTCTCAACTTATAATGAGAAATCATAACAAGTTTCCTATGATTCACATAGAATCATGAAAGCTGCTTCATTCTTATCATTTTTTTCATTCACTTACCTATCCATCTATCCATTCACATATCAGTTAATAAGATTTACTAATCATCTCTTACTTTTAGGCACTTTTTTGGCCCCTCGATTTATTGTCTCAAAAACAAACAGGAAGAAATAAAATGGGCTTTTCAAGGATCTGTCAGTGACTTCAGGAACCAAAAGGAAAAATTATTTGAGAGAATTTCTTATGTTTGCCATAGGTACAGAAAATAATCATTGGGTTTGATGAAAGCCTAAAAAGTCATTTCTTCTCTAATTCTCTCTCTAAGGCAGCTTGTAGCACAAGGCAATGAAATGCAATATAACACTATGCATAACAACAAATCTACTGTGCAGAATGCCTCTGAAATGAACCTGGACTTCCATATCACAGACATTTTCAGGGTGTTAATACAACATATGCTCTGCTAGGTATTTTCCCTTAAACATTTATACTGTGCCTCATAGTTAATAAATGGAATTTTAATGTTGCAGAACTTTCTGTAAATTATGCAAATCTTAATCTTTTGTGCATATGGATGGGTACTTCTTGAGTTCACCTTGAATCTCAAACCCTATGAATAATAGTATTTTATTTTGGAAAATGAATGAGAGTGTACAAACCTAGCGTTAATGATATAAAAAAAAAACTATGCCTTAATTAGAATCAGATCATTTTTACATCCTGACACATGTCTGCGTGAAGTCCTGGTCAGCTGAACTGTGGGAAAAGAGGATGCTCTGGAATTGATCCCTGTGATTCAATTATAATTGGCAATTGCCCTTGTCATCTGTTATCTGGAACTCTGCAACCACCTCTGCTGTGACAGCTGGCTTCTTGTAAGGCTCTACCAAGAGGGGGAGGTAGAGGGAGGCTCAAGGCTGGCAGAAGGAGGGACTGACTCCTCCCGGTTTGGTTTTTTGCTTTCTGCCCTTGTCAGTTGTGCTGAGCAATGTTTCTTTATTCCAATAGCAGCAGTTCCTTCCCTAGCAGCATATTAATTCAGTTTGCAGGTTTTTCCAGCACTTGCAGTACCAGCTATTTGTGCTCACTGAGAGAAACCAGCACCAGGAGGCCAGTAACTCCTCCTCAGAGATCTGCACCCCAGCCCAATGAGGCCCCTCCTCCAAGGTCCCCTCTTCAAAACACAGACACCATCCAGAACAGTATTTGGCTAAATATTTGGGTATACTGTGGCCCAGCCAAGTCGACACATAAAATTATCTATCACACTATCTCTCAACTTATAATGAGAAATCATAACACGTTTCCTACGATTCACACAGAATCATGAAAGCTGCTTCATTCTTACCATTTTTTTTCATTCACTTACCTATCCATCTATCCATTCTTGGCTACTGCTGAGTAGCCAAGTAGTGTCTTCCCTTTGGAGTTCTGCACCCCATCCCCAAGAGGCCCCCTCCTCCAAGATCAGAGACACCAGCCCCAACTGAGAAGCAGCCCCTCCTCAGTGGTCTGAGTTTAGCTTCCTCGAAGAGTTTACATTTTAATAATTCTCATATCTTCTCTTTGTTACCTTACTCCTAGTGGTGGAAGCTGTTTCCTGCAACTGCTTCCTCATTGATACCTTGATGTCCTCTTACTGCCTTTTCAGGTTCTTAGTTAATATTGTACCTAGTTAAAAATCCTTTATATTAAGGCCTCTCAGTTAAAATTAATTACTTGTGTGGTTTCTTTCTCCTGACTGGATCCTGACTTAAAGTTTTACTCATCTGGCAGAAATAAAAAAGATGTTTTTTCTTGCTCTACTCACCTTTCCACTCACATACAGATGCCCAATCCTCTCATGCTTTTCTCATCCTGCCTCCTGTCTTTATGTGCTTTCAACTGGATGTTGGATTGGAGACTACAAAAGCAATTCATTTGCGAGCCAGAAGGACCTGCTAATAATATAAATATCATGCTAACCCTTTCAGTATTATATGTAATCTAAAATGGGAAAAGCCTTTATTGGAAGAAATATATTTTAACAATTGAATCTGAGTATAAATAATAGGTATATGATCAAGTGGAGCGAATGTTTTAGATAAGAGTTAGAAGAAAGAGTCTTCTTGCGATTTGAAGTCAGATACAGTTCTGAATGTAGCAAGTATTTAATATACACTATGCAAAAGCATAGGACAATTTATCTCCTTATTTACCACAATAAATGGTCTAAGCTCCAAGACATGAGAATTGCTAGGAGAGCAGATTTCTGGACTCAAACCTTTAGAGATTAATACAGTGGTTCTTGCAATCTGCAGATTTAATTAATATTCCAAATGATTCTAATTTAGGTCGTTCATGAATTACAGGATCATAATTATGAAATGAAGACAGAAGAGGGGGACAGACTTTGAAATCAGGAATGGGTTGGGATAAAAATGTTCTTCAGATGTATATTTCTGATCTGAGAGTTTTGCCTAAGTATTCAATGATAATTGTGCCTGTATCAATTTCTCTTCAAATTTCTAATAGCTTTAAGATATATAAATATAAATATGTATACACGAATGTGTGTATATATCTGTTGGTGCATAAAGCGTTATGTCTATTGATTGTCAGAACAGTCTCAAGTATTTTAATGAGTCCTTTCCTATTAATAACATCTCAATGAATCTGTTAATTCTACCAAACCAGTGAATCACTGAGATGGTGATACAAACGTATATTTGTTTATTAACATTATTTTCAACATTTTAACATTGACATCTCAATAATATTGAAAACTGAGGGAATTTTACCATGAACATTTAAATATGTATCACCCAGACTCCACTATTAACAGTTTACTCTCTTTGTTTCATCAGCTTTTTCCTGCCTCAGCTGAGTAGCTGAAACCACAGATGTGCACCTCTATGCCTGGCTAAATTTTTTATTTTTATTTTTGTAGAGATGGGGTCTTGCTATGTTTCACAGACTTATCTCAAACTCCTGGCCTCAAGCAATCCTCCCACCTCAACTTCCCAAAGTCCTGGGATTATAAGCATGAGCCACTACAGCTGGCATAAAGTTCTGAATGTAACAAGCATTTAATATATACTTATCCTGGATAATGATCAAGGGCTAGAATATAAAATCGTTGTGTTGTCTTCTTATTGTGAGTGGGGAGTATCACCTCACTCCTCATACAGCATGCATTCATCTAAAATCTACCCTGAGTTTTCTCCCAAACTTTTAAAGAAATCACTGAATAGGGACTTCTTAACAACCAGCTTGCAAATCTGGCATTAAACAACCTAATTTCCTGCCTTGAATCTCATCCACCACACAAATATTGAATAAATCCAGTTGGAGGAGAAAAAAAGACTCATGGCTTCTTATCTGGATATAGAATATTACCAATTGCGCATGTGCCAAGAAAAATGAAAATCTTTGTCCCAAAGATTGTCAGTTAAGGTCGAAAAGCTAGTGACTTCAGGTCATACACATTTTATTTTCTCCTCTTGAGATACAGTGTTCTATTTATTATATTGTCAAGAAAGATGATAGAACTTAAAGAATCCAGGAGCTCCTGTAATATAAGAGAATGATCTTATAGTCTAGGGGTTGGCACTAGCCTATACACTAGACTGTACTAGGTGGTGTACAGCTATAGAACAAGGTAAACAAGGAGGGGCCGGGGCCAAGCTGAACAATGAGTGTAATGGCTGGGGTGGTAAGCAAGCAAAGGAACAAGATGAAGGACAATTCATGTGCAGAAAAATGTGTGTGGCTGCAAGTTATGGGATGAAGTTGATATCAGAATCCAGAGTACCTAACCATACTTGAAGGTATAGGAAAGTCTAGTGCCAAATAGGCTGGTCAAAATAGGTAACAAGGAGTTTTAGCTTGGCAGGACCACAGGAAGTTTCAGAGCCTGACAGTAAAAATGTTGAGGATGACCATTTCAAAATTTAGTCCTACCAAAAAGAAATAGGTAGAAATTAAGGAACAATAACAACAACAACAAAACAAGTCTAAAACCAGAATACTATAAGCATAATACCAGTGCTAGGACTATAAACAAGTATCATACAAATATGGTCTTAATTGATTACCACAAGAAACTTGTAAGATTGGTATTCTCATAGTACCCATTTTGCAAATTAGGAAATGGTGATTTACTTCAGTAATGTGCCCACAATTAAACTTGGTGGCACAGCATAAATTTGCCTAGATCTGCTCGATACTAAAGACCACATGTTTAACCACTGTGCTATAGTGCTCATTCCCAAAAGCATGACTGGGGTATGACTATGTAATTACCAGGACAACTTCCAGCTACCCTCTGCTATTCATGAAGGTTGTCTTTTCAGGTGTGGGCAGTGGAATATTATACAGCAGCAAATAGAGTTGCTGCTGATTTTCCAATTGCTGTCTGTGGCAAGTGTTTCTAGAAGAGCCCACCGAATCCTAATATTGGGGAAGGCCCAGCAACGTCTACAGAAGCACAGTCAGAATTAACGAGGTTGTATTTAGAAAATAAGCCCTCTTTTAATTCTGAAAATTGAAAATAGAGAACTTCCAAATAATGAAAGATAACTGGCAAGACATAAGATCATGCACTTATTCTATTGATCTAGCATCTCGAGTTTGACAGAAAGTTGTTTCCAGACATTTACATAATGGAACATTACCAGAAAATAATAGCAAATCCTTATAAAAGTAGTTTTGAAGTGAGCAAAATGGTACAACCTGGTATTACAAGATAACTAGGTCTAAGTTTCTGACATTGATTTTCTGAAGGAGAGAGCCACTTGAAAACACTTTCAGTGTGTTTTGTGTGGAAGTTTTAGAAGAGAAATTTACAGTCATCCCCCCAGAAAAAAAAAAATATCTTAGGCTTTTAGTCAGAAACGTCATTGTTAGCAGGCTTGATGCAACTTGACCAGCCTGACATGTGCAGTAGCTTATGGTATCTCCACACAGAGTTTGTAATCCCACAGAGGAATCCACAGAGTCCCTTAATCCATGATCCTAGACCTGCCACCAAGGAACATGTATTGCTCCACGTTGCTCCGACTCTGGAGCCACATTTTAACATGTTCTTCAGACGACTGGAGGGAGCAAATAAAGACTGAAAACTCTTTGGCCTAATAATCTGATATTAGTGTTTTTTTAAAAATTGTGTTTTTGTTTTTAGATACAGGGTCTCATTCTGTTGCCTAGGCTGGAGTGCAGTGGCATGATCACATTTCTGACATATGAATGAAAATAGAAAGTCTAAGATTCTTCCAATGAAGCATTCCTCAAAGTAGTAGGGAGCTGATGTATAACCTAAGACTTTTGGGAAGAAGCATGAAACAGCCACTAAAATTGTGCAATTTTTATGTACTCTGATGTTTTGTTTCAAGATATATATGCTGTTTTAATATTCTACTCCATCATGTATCTGAATTTGTTTATTCTATAGTATTTTATTTGTTTTTTTCATTTTAAAGTCAATATTTTAGAATATTTAACATTTTAGAAAATAAATTATGTGTGTCCTTTGGATTGACATATTACTTATTATAGTCCCCCAGGAGTATATGTACCTGAGTGTGGAGCAAGAATTAAGGTTCTCTTCTTGGTTGTTGAAAATAGGACAGAAATTTGAGTTTGCTCCTTTGTTCAGCTAGGGTTCAGTAATCCCCACAAAATCTATGGCCATAAATGGAATTCTTTACCCTAACCAGTTGATATGCAAACATGTTGACTCAATCACTAGGGAAGGAAAGTGAACAAACGTGGATAGATAACGCAAATCCTGTTCTACCAGAAAAAAGAAACTTCATTTCACATAATCCTCTTCAGAACAGAGTAGACATCTTTCACGATTTTATACACTTAATTTGTAAAAAAGTACCTTGTTCATAGCTGATAGCAGTTGATCACTGATTGCTGGTGATTGATTATTGGTAATGGATCAGCAGCATTACTCTCTGTGATGGTTAATACTGAGTGTCAACTTGATTGGATTGAAGGATGCAAAGTATTTATCGTGGGTGTGTCTGTGACAGTGTTGCCAAAGAGATGAACATTTTAGTCAGTAGTCTCGGAAAGGCAGGCCCACTCTTAATCTAAGTGGTCACCATCTAATCAGCCCCATTGTGACTAGAATATAGAGCAGGCAGAAAAATGTGAAAAGACGAGATTGGCCTAGCCCCAGCCTATGTCTTTCTCCTGTGCTGGATGCTTCCTGCCCTCAAACATTGGACTCCAAGTTCTTCAGTTTTGGGACTCGAACTGGCTCTCCTTGCTCCTCAGCTTGCAGGAGGCCTATTAATAAACATATATATATATATATATATATATATATATATATATATAGGAATATATATATTCCTATTAGTTCTGTCCCACTAGAGAACCCTGACTAATACACTCTCTCATTTACCATTTAAAAAAAATTTAATATTTCACCTTGCTTCCTTCTGTTCTGCTAGATTTATATCACCCATTTAAATAATTCTTATCTTTCAAGGATCAATTCAAGTCCCACATTTTCAAGGAAACATCTAAGTGAGAGTTCCAAAGTTTAATATTTTCAAAAATAAAAAGTATTTTAGAAAAACAAACTCCAATTCAAGCTGGTTGGTGATATTGTTGGTAACATTGTCAGTGTTACAAATAAAATGTTACTGGCAAACAATGGAGGGGGAAACCAGGTAAAAGGATCCAGAAAGGCTTCAATCGTGGGTTGGTCTTTGAGATGCTATCCTAGAATGATAGGTAGAATGAAGATTTGTGGTAAATATTAAGAATGTGGGATGAGGAGAAGAAAAGAGCAAAGGCAAAAGAGAGCGACAGAAACCAAACAACAACAACAAAAACCCATCAAGATATTTGGTCCAAAAACGTCAGAGAGAAAACCATCCTTTTTTTTTTTTTTTTTTTTTTTTTAAAGACAGAGTCTCGCTCTGTCACCCAGGCTGGAGTGCATTGGCACAATCTCAGCTCACTGCAACCTTGGCCTCCTGGTTTCAGCTGATTCTCCTGCCTCAGCCTCCTGAGTAGCTGGGATTACAGGTGCGTGCCACCACACCTGGCTAATTTTTGTATTTTTAGTAGAGATGGGGTTTGACCATGTTGTTCAGGCTGGTCTTGAACTCATGACCTCATGATCTGCCTGCTCGGCCTCGCAAAGTGCGGGGATTACAGGCATGAGCCACCATGCCCACCTGGAAACCATCATTTTTTGATCAGCTTAGGTGCCAATCTCTGTACATATGGAATTCAGTTAATTTTTAAAACAGAACTGATTGGTATTGGTAGGTGATAGTGATATAGTTTGCAGATTCTTGTGACAAAAATACTGATATTCAGAAAGAATAAGGGATGTATATGTCATACCTCAATAAGAAGTTTTTACAAATTGTAAAATGAAAATATTGATATATGTTCATTTTATACATTATTATGTATCTCTTACATCTCAAGGGTTTCTGATCAGAACACTGGGAAGATCTTTTCTGGCCCAGGTATTCAGCTGGTTAACAGCAATTCTCAATAATCCCATGCTTACTCCACAAAGTCTTCATTTACTTCTGGGCAGGAAATTGACATAGATGGCTGGTCATGGACCTCTTAAAGTTTCATCAGCAATCATAACTAAAACGTTAGCTTTCCACAAAAGTTCATGCTACATTTTTTTCCTGGCCATATGGTTAGACTGCTTTTCTTGAGTTTGCAGAGTCTTTGTGGGTAAGTTGTGGCCTAAGCGCTCAAGTGGTATTTGCTTCTTCAAACAGCCACAGTATTGCACAAACCATATATTGATGACACCAGAGCTTCCATCAGGGTCCCCAGTTGACTTAGTGAGTAGAGATATCTCCCGATTTGAGACACATACCGTGGACAGTTAAATGAGTAAGAAATCAACTTCTCTATTTTTTAAGCCAGTGAATGGTTTTAAGTCTCTTATTATCACATATTAGGCTTTAAACTAACCAATGAAACCATCCTACTTGAAAGCAGACGAAAACATTGTTTTTTTTTTTTCAAAATTTACACTGGGCTAGCCAAAGAGAAGTAAAGAAGCAAATTGAGGTGCTCTCCTAAATAACTGTATCTACATCATTTTCAGGTTAAATATTAGGTAGATATAAATTATTTATCTGTAAGTTTCGATTTCTCCCACTTTAATTTGGTATGTGGGCACCACCTCACCTACAAGGTGAGACATTCAGTAAAGATAAAATGACATAGAATAATCTCACAGAAAGAGATTGAGAATATTGAAAGTGACTTAAAATTATTTTAATCCTATTATACATCTAATTTGGCATCATCTCTTCAAATACACCTAGCTGGAAAATTTTTAGTTACTGTTTACTCTCCACTGGTAATAATGAAATAGTTCTTCAGTGATCACCAAAGGCTTACCATTAAGAAATACTTGTATAATAAGTTTTCCTGGTCTACTGGTGAATTTCCTTTTGGAAAGTTATATCACATGCTGTTATAGATATTATTTTAAGAAATATTATTCTTAGAGTTATACTTAAGGAGACTTTTTTCCCTGAAATATACAATCATCACCCTCCCTCCCAGCAGGTGGAAAGTTTTCATTAATAAATCTATTATGAGAATCATGACAGAATAGATTTATTAAAATAAGTATGTTAATTTTCTACGACTTTGGCTTGCATCATAATAAGTGAGCTCTCCCTTTCTTTTATCTTTAAAATGTGCTGAGGTAAGGTTATCTCTCTTTGACCTTTCTTAAAAACTTTTCCACTTAAAATAATCTGTTTAAATTTTTTTTTTATAAATCAGACATGTCTTTCCAATTATTCGGATCTATTTTCCTGTCATTTTCCCCATTGAGAGCTGATTCCTAATTAGACGTGAAAAAGTCGGTCAGTCACACCCTGCCTCCTCCCTGGTTTCCTGTGATCTCCTTTTGTAGGTTCCTGGAGGTGTTTCTGAACCTGGTCCTGACAGTGTGAATGAATGATAATTGGAACATCTAGATGATACCACATTTGAGTTGTCCAGGAGCCCATGATGCCTGCGCATCATGCAGGATCTGTATCAGATAAGGATAGGCATTTGGAGGAGAGTTTTAAAAGGTGCTATTTACAAGAGTATGGCCAAGATTTAAAATGGCAGCCACAACAAGACAGTGCAGTTTCCCGAAGCTACACCTAACAGAATGGCCACTTCTAAGTCTGAAGAGCAACGAGAGCAGGCAGTTAATAAAATATGGGACTAAAACATAGAAGCTGTACGTAAAAGGGCCTCTGATAGGGGTTGTGACTTTTGGTAGAAAAACATTGCCAACTCACTCTAGCCTGTCAAGGAAGGAGCTGAGGAAAAACACTCTGAACTCACATTCAACCCAACCTCCAATCTCCTACCACTACCTTCCATTGGACAACCCCAACATGGAGTGAAAGGGTGAAGGAACCCATCAATGAAGCCCTCATTATCAGACCCAGAGCAGGTTGGAGAAGTGTGGAGTGGTAGAAGTGTAGACTACTCTAGAGAAACAGATAGGAGATGCTCAGCCCAGATAGCACAGAAGCACAGCACTAGAAATACAAAGATGAATCTGTGTATATGCAAAGAAACCTAAGACTAGTGACCAGAGAGAAATAACATCTGGAGAGCATACTCTATTTCAGCTGATAGCATTCTTGTTTAAGTGAACCCTCAAAGTGGCTTTGTGAAATATTATTATCCCATTTTACACTATTTCAATAATTTAGCCAATGTCACAATACCTATGTCACAATTTGAACCAAAGTTAACTGCTTTAAGGTCATCCTGCCTTACAAATTAAAAGGAGTAAACCAGGCTCAGACAGACCCAACAAGCTGACAGTAAAGACCAAAATGAACTATAAAAATAAAATAAAAATAAAAATTAAAAAAAAGCTGGGTGTGGTGGTGCATACCTGTGGTGCCAGCAACTCAGGAAGCTAAGGCATGAGGATCACTTGAGCCCAGGAGGTTGAGGTTGCAGTGAGCTGTGATTGTGCCATTGCACTCCAGCCTAGGTAACAAAGCAAGACTCTGTCTCCAAAAACAACACAAAACAAAAACAAGGCAAACAAAGAGAAAACAAAGACCGAAATGAAAACCAGAGATCTCGCTCTGTCCCCTAGGCTGGAGTGCCGTGGCGTGATCTCGGCTCACTGCAAGCTCCGTCTCCCCGGTTCACGCCATTCTCCTGCCTCAGCCTCCCCAGTAGCTGGGACTACAGGGGCCCACCACCACGCCTGGCTAATTTTTTTGTATTTTTAGTACAGACGCGGTTTCACAGTGTTAGCCAGGATGGTCTCCATCTCCTGACCTCGTGATCCACCCGTCTCGGCTTCCCAAAGTGCTAGGAATACAGGCGTGAGCCACCGCGCCCGGCAGCTTTGATTCTTAGGACACACAGACTTGGGAGAGAATGCAAAAGTAGATAAGACAACAGAAAGTATATAACATTATTTTTTAGTAAGAAAGTAATCAGCAACACTGAAAGGAAATTTCTTATTCACAGAAAACTCTTATTCTCAGGAGTACAGAGTCTAGACCACTATTTAGAAGACATTTTTATGGCCGTAGGATGTCTCCCTGCTCCTTTCAAGTCTCCATATGTAAATGGCCAACTATTTTTTTCTATGCCTGATTAAAAGGATAACTTGGGATTTACTATGCAAGAATGTTTCATGCTTTATAAGGGAAAAATCTCTACTTTCTACTTACAGTATCAAAATTTGCATTTATATTGCGAATTACAGGAAACTGTTGGAAGCATTACTATAAAAAATGAAGAGCATTGCTGCTTGCAATGAGGGTTTCCTAGACACTTCAACATTAGGATTGCAAAAGTAGCATTTCTAAAGTGGTGGGTGGTAAACACAGGACAAGAAAGAAGTGCTAGGGCTATTTGAACCAATCATGATTTAGAGGTCTTTGGTTCTAAATTTAGCTATTAATGATGCTGTAGAGTTAGAAATTTCAACGTAGAATCTCAACTCCAGCTCCCAACTCATAGTGTATATTAAGAAATTTACTTCCCTTCTCCAGGTCTCACTTTCCTAATTTGTAAAATAAATTATTTGAATTGTTATGATTCCTTGTTATAGTTTCTTGACTGTGGCTAGATTCACACAGTCAGGGATAAATACAAATAAAGGGATTTAATTATGGTGAGATTACCCTTTAGCCCCCCTCTATAGCATGTGTACTTTCTTTCTTTTTTTTTTTTTTTTTTTTTGAAATGGAGTCTCGCTCTGTCACCCAGGCTGGAGTGCAGTGGCTTGATCTTGGCTCGCTGCAACTTCTGCCTCCCGGGTTCAAGTGATTCTCTTGCCTCAGCCTCCCAAGTGCTGGAATTACAGGCACGTGCCACTATACCAAACTAATTTTTGTATTTTTAATAGAGATGAGGTTTCACCATGTTGGCCAGGCTGGTCTCGAATTCCTGACCTCAAGTGATCCACCTGCCTTGGCCTCCCAAAGTGCTGAGATTACAGGCATGATGTACATGTTTTTTATTTTTAAAAATTAAGCTTTCATGAAAATCATATCATGATTTAAAGATTGAATTCAAATTCTAATACCTCTAAATAGCCATTTTTCCTTACAGCATTTCTATACGCACCCATAATTTTTTAAATATAATTTATATATCATAATATCCCCCCTTTTTATTGAGCAATTTTGCAAGTTTTGACACGTACATATTGTCATGCAACCACTGCTACAATTAAGATATATATGAGTAAGGAAGTTTATAGCTATAAACACCTACATCAAAAAAGAAGAAAAACTTCAAAATAACAACCTAACAAGGCATCTTAAAGAACTAGAAAAGCAAGAGCAAACTAAACCCAAAATTAGCAGAAGAAAATAAATAATGAAGATCAGAGAATAAATAAACAAAATTGAAACAAAGGAAACTACAAAAGATCAATGAAACAAAAAGTTGGTTTTCAAAAATAGAAACAAAATTGACACATCATTAGCCAGACTAACTAAAGAAAAAAGAGAGAAGATCCAAATAAATAAAATCAGAGATGAAGGAGACATTACAACTGATACCACAGAAATTCAAAGGAGAATTTGTGGCTCCTATGAGCAGCTATATACCAATAAATTGGAAAATCTAGAAGAAATGAATAAATTCCTAGACCCATACAACCTACCAAGATTGAACTATGAAGAAATCCAAAATCTTAACAGAACAATAACAAGTCATGAGATTGTAGCCATAAAAAGTCTGCCAGTAAAGAAAAGTCCAGGACACCGCTGGAGTCTAGCAAACATTTAAAGAAGAACTAACACAATTCTACTCAGAGTATTCTGAAAAATAGAGGAGGATGGAATACTTCCGAACTCATTCTGCAAGGACAGTATTATATTTCTCCGACACCAAAATCAGACAATGACACATCAAAAAAAAACAAAAACTACAGGCCAATATGACTGATGGATATTGATGCAAAAATTTTTCAATAAAATAGAAGCAAACTGAATGTACCAACACATTAAAAAGATAATTCATCATGACCTAGTGGGATTTATCCTAGAGATGCAAAGGTGGGTCCATATATGCAAATAAATGTCATACATCATATCAACAAAATGAAAGACAAAAATCATATGATCATTCAATTGATACTGGATAATTATTTGATAAAATTCAACATCCCTTCATGATAAACACCCTGAAAAACTGTGTATAGAGGATCCTACCTCAACATAATAAAAGCCCTATATGGCAGACCTGCAGCTTGTATCATAGTGAATGGGGAAAAACAGAAATGGTTTTCCCTAAGATCTAAAACGTAACAATGATGCCCACTTTCACCACTGTTATTCAGCATAGTATTGGAAGTCTTAGATAAAGCAATCAGATAATAGAAAGAAATAAAGGACATCCAAATTAGGAAGGAAAAAGTCAAATTATCTTTGTTTGCAGATAATATGATCTTATACTGGGAAAACACTACAGATTCCACAAAAAAAACTATTAGAACTGAGAAGTTCAGTAAAGTTTCAGGATATAAAATCAACATACATAAATAAGTGACATTTCTATATGCCAACAGAAGACAATCTTAAAAAGAAATAAAGTAATCCCATTTACAATAGCCACAAATTAAACACCTAGGAATTTACCTAAGCAAACTAGTGAAATATTTCTACAATGAAAACTATAAAACATTTATGAAATAAATTGAAGAGCAGACAAAACAATGAAAAGGTATTCCATGTTTATGGATGGGAAGAATCAATATTGTTAAAATATGCATACTTCCCAAAGCAATCTACAGATTAAATGTGATCCCTATCAAAATACCAATGACATTCTTCACAGAATTAGAAAAAACAATTGTAAAACTTATATGGAATCACAAAAGACCCACAATAACCAAAGTTACCCTAAGTAAAAACAAAACGGAGGAATCACATTACCTGAATTTAAATTATACTATGGAGCTACAGTAACCAAAACAGCTTGGTACTGGCATAGAAGTAGACATGTAGACCATTGGAACAAAATAGAGAACCAAGAAACAAATGCATACATCCACAGTGAACTCATTTTTGCAAAGCTGCCAAGAACACACACTGAGGAAAGGACAGTCTCTTCAATAAATGATGCTGGAAAAACGTGATATTTATTTGTAGAAGAATGAAACTAGACCCCTATCTCTCATCATGTATAAAAACTCAAATCAAAATGGGTTAAATACTTAAATCTAATACCTCAAACTACTAATTACTAAAAGAAAACATTGGAAAAACTCTCCAGGACATTGGTCTGGGCAAAGATTTATTGAGTCATACCCCACAAGCACAGGCAACCAAAGCAAAAATGATAAATGTAATAATGTCAAGTTAAAAAGTTTCTGCACAGCAAAGGAAGCAATCAACAAAGTGAAGAGACAACCTTCAGAAGGCAAGAAGATATTTGCAAACTACTCATGTGACAATGGATTAATAACAAGAATATATAAGGAGCTCAAAAAACTCTACTGGAAAAATTCTGATGATTCAATTAAAAAGTGGGCAAAATATCTGAATAGCCATTTCTCAAAAGAAAACACACAAAAGGCAAACAGACTTATGAAAAGGTGCTCAGCATCATTGATCATCAGTAAATGCAAATCAAAACTATAATGAGATATTATCTCACTGCAGTTAAAATGGCTTTTATCCAAAAGATAGGCAACAACAAATGCTGGCAAGAATGTGGAGAAAAGAAAACCCTCATACATTATTGATGGGAATATAAGTTAGTACAATCACTATAGAGAAGAGTTTGGAGGTTTCTCAAGCAATGACAAATAAAGCTACCATACAATCCAACAATCCCACTGCTGAGAATGTACCCCCCAGAAAGGAAATCAGTATATCAAAGAGATGTATCCACTCCCATGTTAGTTGCAGCCATGTAAACAATAGCCAAGATTTGGGAGCACCTGAGTGTTCATCAGCAGATGAATGGATAAAAAAAAATGTGGTATGTATACACAATAGAGTACTATTCAGCCATAAAAAATAATGAGATCCTGTCATTTGCATCAACATCGATGAAACCGATGGTCATTACACTAAGTGAAATAAGGCAGGCACAGAACAAGAAATATCACATGTTCTCACTTATTTGTGAGAGCTAAAAATTATTAATAAAATAATTGAACTCATAGAGATAGGGAATAGAAGAATGTTTACCAGAGACTGGGAAGGGTAGTGAGAGGGTTGTTGGGGATGGGAGTGAGGATGGTTAATGGGTTAAAAAAATAGAAAGAATGAATAAGATTTAATACTTACTAGCACAACAGAGTGACTATAGTCAAAAATAATATAATTGTACATTTTAAAATACCTGAAGAAATATTATTGGATTGTTTGTAACACAAAGGATAAATGCTTGAGGTGATGGACACCCCATTTGCCCTAATGTGATTATTATGCATTGCATGCCTATATCAAAATATCCCATGTAACCCATAAAGATATATACCTACTATGTACCCACAAAATTAAAAATATATATTTTTAATGTAATGAAAAAATATATTTTTAATGTAATAAAAATATATTTTTTTAATTTAATAATAAATATATAAAAGTTTCATCACCTACAAAAATTTCTTAGTATCTCTCTCAAGTCAAAATCACTATTCTAGCCCTTGGAATTCACTGATATGTTTTCCATACTTACAGTTTTACATAGATTTCAGAATGCCATATAAATGAAATCACACAATAGGTAGCCATTTGGGTCTGGTTTTCTTCACATTTGAGATTCATCTATATTACAAAATGCATCCATAGTTCATACTTATTTTTTTTCTGTCTACCTTAAAGATTTGGGTTTTCTTTGTTTTTCACTTATTTAAATACTATGTGCCTGGTATAAATTTCTCTAGGTTTTATTCTGTTTAGTGCTCTCAGTTCTTATATCAGTGGCTGAAGTCTTAAGTTTTGAAAAACTTGCAGCCATTATCTCCTTATATGTATATCCTGCCCTTTTTTTCCTCTCTGTTCTTCTTGTTGGATTCCAATTACAGGTATTATAGGTGGTTTTATATTGTCTCATGGCTCTTGGCAGCTCTGATTTGTTCCATCTCCCATTCTTTTTTTTTTTTTTGTGCACTGAGTTTCAGTTTTGGATAATTTTTACTGAAAAAACTTCAAGTTCATTGATTTCTTCTTTAGCTCCATCAAGACTACTGATGGATCATGAAAAGCATTTTTCATGTCTGACATTGTGGATGTTCTTCATTTCTGGTATTTCTATTTTATTTTTTTTCTTAGGGTTTCTATCATGATGCTAAGTTCCCCAACTTTCCATACGTATTATAAGCCTTTTTCACTAGAGGCCTTAAGTATTAATCATAGTTATTGTAAATTCCCTCTAATAATTCCAATATGTGTGTTATATCTGAATCTAGATTGGCTGATGGAAAGCTTTCCTTATACCCTCATTTTTTCATTAATGCAATAAATCTCCAAAAATCAAAACTTAAGACCCTTATTCTGACCAATTAAAGTCTATGAACACTGAGATTGTCTGGTGATCAAATTCAGCAATACAAGGTTAATCAAGAACAAGCACTTCCCTTTCCCATGAAGTAGGGCAAAGTCAAGAAAGATATACATGTTTGGTTGTTTGCAGATAGATTGGGTTGGCACTGATTAAAACTGATGAGAGAAATGACCTGAAACAAGAGTTCTTTAATAGATAACTGTTGTGTTTTGTTATCCCTCTTTTTGAAGCCATGGGAGTTGACATATCCATCCTGATATAGGAATGGATCCTGGTGCATTTTCCAAGGCATGGGAAAAAAAAGGGTTCCTTTTCTTCTCATCTGCCTAGTCTCTTTCAGTGCTTTAATAGTAAGGCTGAATACAGGGTATCTTTCTCAAATCCCTTTTATTTAGAGGAATCTCTACACCTCTGTTCCTCTTTTTTCTACATGACTGATGACACTTGCATGACTTGGGCCACTCTCATGTATGTACCTAAGGTTATCTACAATTCCAGAATTTAGTTCTCCCTTTCTCAATAAGAAAGCTAGAGATTGAGCTAGATGGCATAAATGTATCTGAATCCTCTTATTTCCATAACATAAAATAAATATCACAAAATATATTTAAAGAAAATCAACTGCAGAAGAGGGAGATTTTTTTGCTCAAAGAAAGTAAAAGAAAGAAATTTAACTATGCGTTAAATTATAAAAATTTGTTGAATCTTACACATAAGATATTATATCTGTATTGCCTGTCCTTGGAAAATGTGTTACTAAAACTATTCACTTATGAGTGACAAATGATACTTGTTAGAGCATTCACATTTATAGATCATCATTTTGAATACTGGTGCCTACGTTCTCATTGAATATATTGTTCATGTTTTTTTTTTCTTCCCTTTCTTCGTCTACTTTCTGTTCTCTTTTGGAGTATATCATTAGGTACAAGGAATGTCTTAGCAAAATTTGTACTTTCTGTTTTTTCCCCCTCCCTCTGCCAGCTCTGATAAATAGTTGGCTTAGGAACAAGATGGCCACAAATTAATATATTGTGGTTTAGGAGTTATTTGTACTCTAAGGAGAATTCTATGTTCTCCTTAGCACCACCAGGGACTTGAAAATAATCAATTAAAAAAAATAAAGCAATACCTGAGGAAAGTGAATAAGATTTGGCACCATGGAAAAAAAGTAACAATGCTATCAACAGAATGTTAACACAATTAGAGTATATTATTCTAAATCTCAAAATACTTTCAGTGTTTTCTTTCCACCAGCTGAGTTGAATCTCCTATAAATAATTATGTTTTTGCTATATCTTACCTGGGTAAATAATATTTGGACAACATTAGAAAAGAACATAAATTCACCAGTAAGGGAAAATCAATGTCAATTAGCCAGTATGTTAGATTATATTATATAAATCAATAATCTATTTTAAAGTAGTTGAAAAGGCAATCTCAATTAAAATGTTTAATTATATAAGCCAAAATTCTATTTTCCATTTTATATTAGACATAGCATCTCTTCATAAATTATTATCCCTGGACCTTATAACAACACTCTGGGGTAGATGTTATTTTGAGTCCTCCCCACCTCTGTTCACTGTACTAAGGTTTGGGTTAGTAGGCAGATCTTTCACCTGTACCTCTGCCTGACCCAGACAGAGAGTACAGCTGAAACATAATATTTTCAGAATGCAAGACTGGGAACTAGTTTTTTTGCTTTAGTCAAGTATCTATAGTTCCTAGGATGACTCGAGGACCTTCAAGTTGTTCACTAGATTATAGCTTTCTGCAATTCCTATGAGAAAATTATAACCTATAATGACTAGAGTTCTGCCAAGATCCGTGCCTGAGATCAGAACACTAGGCTGTACACCTGGCACCATTTCGGTCTCTGTTAAAATCGTTTCTCTAGGTACAATAATCCTGACCTCCATAAGCAGCCTCTGCCCTCTCTCTTCTCTGGTTTCCAACGGGGTAATGTTTGCAGGGAAGCATCCAACCAAAACTATAATGCTGGCTATGGGAAAGAAGGCCCAGAGAGGTTCAGGGAGTTCCTCAGGTGATACGATAAGGAATAAAAGATACAAAAATGGTAGCCAGGTCTCCTCACTCCAAATGCAAGCTCCAGTGGAGCCTTTGTAATATTCTAGTATTGATTTTACCACATTTAAATACATTAGACATAAAGTATATATACATATATAATGTAATTGTACTCACGTGTATTTTATACTGTTAAATTGGCTTTATATTATTGTACTTTTTATAAGAACTCTGTGCAAGAAGACCACTATCAAAATTTCACATATGAGTAAACTAAGGCCTGAAGTTAAGTAACTAGTTCCACAAGTGGTAAATAACAGGACTAGTATTCAAGCCTGTGAAAGCTTTGAATTCAAAGCCGTGCTAATACACTGGATTTTTCTAATGGAGTTTCATGACTTTCAAACACAGTTCATTTTTAAACTCGATGACCAAAACTTGTTCATGTTTTTCTTTCTGCCTGAATTGTTCCATGTCTTTTAAAGAAGGTCACTGCTTTTGAATAAATGTACTACATGATTAAAGGCTCAAGAAGGGCTTAAATTTGAATTGTGGTTAAAAACAAAGGGCTTTAGTTACTAACCTGATTGAATTAACAAACCCTTACATACAATTTAATATAATATTAGAGGGAATTGGGGAGAAAAAGTAAAATCAATTTATGAATAAATGTAGAGTTCACAATGCCCCTACATCATATGTGAATTATGATAATCAAGTCATTCAATGCACAATGATTACAGCTGAAAAATCACAGGATGGAAACTCATGAAGAAATTCTTCATGATGAAAATGCTTCTGAGAACACTGAATAATTAAAGACTACATTAAACAATCTGAGGACTATGTATTGGCCTTATGAAGTATCACAAATTTTGGATCAGAGACATCTAAAGTTTATGTCTACTCTATCAATCAAATCTTCCCTTCTCAGCTAATGGGTTCTGAGACATTGATATGATATGATCAATTGCAAGGAGTTACCAAATGTCTTCCTTATGAAAGCTAAAATACCAAAAGTCACAAGTTATTTCCTTTTTATCTCTTCTTATGGAAATGAGAAGATTCGGTTATACCTATATCATCTAGCTCAATCCCTGGCTTCCCACTGAAAAAGGGAGAACTAAATCCTGGAATTGTAGATAACTTTAGGTACATATATGAGAGTGGCCCAAGTCGCACAACTGTCATCAGTCATGTAAGACAAAGGGGAACAGAGATGTAGAGATTCCTCTAAATTCATTGCTCTAAATAGAAGGAATTTGAGAAAGATACCGTGTATTCAGCCTTACTACTAAAGCACTGAAAGAGGCTAGACAGGTGAGAAGAAAAGGAACACATTTTTTCCATGACTCGGAAAATGCACCAGCATCCATTCCTCTATCAGGATGGGCATGTCAACTCCCATGACTTGAAGAACAGCGATAACCAAGCAAAGCAGTTATCTTTTTGAAAACTCTTGTTTCGGGTCATTTCTCTCATCAGTTTCAGTTTTAATCAGTGCCAACCCAAGCTATCTGCAAACAAGAACTAAACAGGTATATCTTTCCTGACATTGCCCTGCATCATGGGAAAGAGAAGTGCCTGTTCTTCATTAACCTTGTGTTGCTGAATTGGATCACAGAGCAATCTCAATGTTCATAGAATCTAATGGGCCAGAATAAGTGGCTTACACTTTTTTTTTTCCCCTTTGGAGCTCTGTTACACCAAAGAATAAAAGTTTAGAGGCAGAAAAAAGGTTTTCTCCAGAAGAAAAAAATAATTTTAGAAAATTGGGACATTTTCATGCTGAAGAAAAATTACAAATTTTTCATATATATTTTAATGAATGTTTTAGCAGAATGCCTGAGTACATTGTAAGTCAGTAAGGAAACACTTTAAGAAAGAAAATTAGTAACTGTTAAGTGCACTAAATGTTGCCCACTGATCTGAAAGAGTTGTTGCTAACTCTAACATATTATTCCCCAGTAAGAAGATTTTAATTAAATATTCTCTGACAATGCAAAGCTATATACCTGTATTCTTTATTTAGTACCAGCAACTACCAAGTCTCCCAAATAAAGTTACTTTCATTATTCACACAATTTAAGTGGAATTACTTTGTTATGAAACCTAAGAGGGAACCAAATTGTTTAGTTGCATCATTATTTTGTGACAATGAATTTACTTTTAGAAATTGTATTTCCATTATCTTAGAATAGAGATACAATTTGTCTAACGCAGCACTTCCGAAATGAGTATTTCAGCAAAAGGAAGTATTCAAAGGAAAAACAGGAATGTAGCATGCATAAACCACTTTCACCTTTTGATTCTCTGAATATCTTGATTTCTATAACTTACTTGTTTTAAGCAGAGTTTTGGAAGTTCAAGTAGTCAATTAACTAGGCTGATGAGAGATTACAAATGTATAATGGAAATGGAAGTTTAATAATTGTAACCTGGCGGTAGGATGAAAACTGCAAAGAGCTCATTTTCCCTTCTCTCTGCTCACATTGTGGTCCACGTGGTCAAGCAATATTTATAGGTCTCTGACTATCCCATAAGTAAAAACCAGAGAAAGTACTTACATTATGGAAGATTTCACTATATGCAAAGCATTGTAACCAGACATCATTACCATAAATTTTCACTTGGAAATCTTTCTATCAGCGCCTCTGTCTGCAAAATGAAAACCTAGTGATTATAACCAACATTGTGGAAAGCAAAGACATTCTAATGCAGAGTAAAGAAACTACCATTAAGACTCTTATGGGTCTGGTGAAACTTATGTATATTTTAACTGCACTTGTTTTAATGAGCTCAGTTCTAGATGGTGTGTAATCTCCTAATCAGTCATTTCTAACACCTCACTTCCACGCCCCTGTACAGTAAATTGTATCTTCCTCTATGTTCCTGTTGGACTGTATTCATATAGATACTGTTTCATCTGTCCAACTCTATTAGTAATTTAATTACCTGTGCATGTAAATTATGAGCAAATGGAATACAAATACCATTGTTATTGATCATTGTATTTCCCATCAGTCCAAACCATATCAAGAGTTAAATCAAATTCTGAGAGGACTCAAGAAACTTATAGCCTATTGAGGGAAGGAGAAACATAAGGATATGATAAAGCAGGATAAGGGAAATAAGGAAGATAAGCTTTGAATATTATGGGAACATAAAATGGGCAACATTGGCCAGGCGCAGTGGCTCATGCCTATAATCCCAGCACTTTGGGAGGCTGAGGTGAGTGGATCACTTGAGGTCAGGAGTTTGAGACCAGCCTGACCAACATGATGAAACCCATCTCTATTAAAAATACAAAAATTAGCTGGGCGTGATGGCATGTGCCTGTAATGCCAGCTACTCAGGAGGCTGAGGCAGGAGAATCACTTGAACCTGGGAGGCGGAGGTTTGTGAGCCGAGATCTGCCATTGCACTCCAGCCTGGGCGACGGAGTGAGACTCCATCTCCAAAAAAAAAAAAAAAAAAAAAGCAAGGGGCAACAACATCCAGCCTCAGCCTCAGAGAGTTAAAGGAGGCTTCTTGGAGAAGGAAGTATTGGACTATTTTATAAACTAGTGAATCAGTCTAACTAGATTGCTGGTAGGTGAATAGTCATTCTATGTAAAAGAAAAAGCACAACAGGATGCATACGAGAAAATAAACATCTCAGTGATGCTAGATTATATTGAAAAGCCAAGTGGCAAGAAATGAGGCCATGCATCATCAGATTGGGGGCACGTGATGGAAGTGGCTGAAGGACTTGTTAAAAGAATTTAGACTTTATACTTTATTAATGGCCAGGCATGGAAAAATTTTTAAAAGGAAGATAAATTGTCATATTTCTATAGCTACATGCTATTATTTTGTGTGAAGGATGAATTTGAAGTGAATAACACTAGAGACCAGGAGCCTGACTGATCTTAATAATGGCTTCAATAATTCATGTAAGAAATTGTGGGGCCTGAAGTTATGTGATAATGGAGGTGAGGAGACAGAGCCATGCTTGGTTCTCTACTTTCGCTTCACATTAGAATACTAAGAAGATTTTAAACATCCTGAAATTCAGCACCCACCCCCCGACCATTTAAATCAAAATTTAAACTGAATCATTGGTACATTTTAAAGTTGTCCAGGTGATTCCAATGGGCAGTCAAGGTTGTGAACTCTTGAACTAAAGACATTTTTAGGCGGCTCAATGAACAGGTTTTGGTGCTTGATTGATTGGGGAGCGGGGGGTGGGGGGGGGGAGGTAAAGAGACACAGGTGTTAACTATGAAACCCAGGTTTCTAGCTGAGGAGACTGGGTTGATGCTGGTACTAAATAAGAAATAGAGGAAGAGGAGGGCTAGGTGAGTTCGGTTTACACACATCTATCTGAAGTGTCTACAGAGCATACAGGTGATGTTCGATCATTAGTTGGTTATATATCAAGAAAGAGAAGAGGTCTGGGCTACAAGTTTACAGGTGAACAGCAAGAGTCTTCTAGAGCAAGGGCACCAAGTTGTACAGAAAAGCAGAAAGAGACTTGAACCTGCTGAAAACTTTCAAGAGGTGTGCAGTAACAACTGAAAGAACTACAACTGAGTATGCAAAGGTGACACTAATGACATTCTCTCTGAGCCAAGCAGAGAACATTTATAGAAGGTTATGGCAAGCACAGAGTTCAAGAATTACACAAACACAGACACAGGTGTTAATGATTGGTTATATTTAGTTGTAGAAGTGCGGCTATCAGAGTGTGTCTGTTCGTGGTTGGCGGTCTTTCAGAAGCGGTTAGTGAAACAGCTGTCATTCTTTGACTAAATGGGTTTCTAGCCCGTTCTGGTGGTCACTTGTTACTAATACAACTAAAAAATTAGTTCTTGCCCCAAAAAACAACATTTAGCTGCTTGTTGGCATTTGTTACTGAATATTTGTTTCCTATTATATTAATTTAAGCATTTATTTTATTATTTCTTTCTATTCTCTTTAGAGATATTTTGTTGTTTCCTGTTGTCTAAAGTTGATGTTTCAGATCTCTTTTCAGCCTTTTTTCTTTACAACTAGAAACATTTAAGGCTATAAATATCCCTGTAATTATCACTTTAGTGCTGTCCCACATTTTATTTGTTTTTTAAAAAGACCTTTGAAGATGTTTATTCTTTCATTAAGTCAGATTTTTGAGGTTCAATTTGTAGTCAGTAATAGTCACCTTTTGTAGGTGTATAAGTTAAGTTTTTGACAAATATACCCAGTCATATATATTCACCAAAACTAATATGTAGATTATTTCTTCAAGCATCTCTTTTATGTCTTGATACATATTCTGTTTTCTAATGTGAGAGTCTCCATTAGATACATTAAATAAACATATCTTTTGTATCTAATTCTACAGTCTATTCCCCATGATCCCCTGATCTTTTATTCATGTTTCTTTGTTTTCTTCTGTTTTGTGTTTTGTTCATTTTAACTCTGAGCAAACATTCCTCAAAAATTCTCTGTGGAAATTCTTTGATACTTTTATTAAAATTGTGTTCCTTCAAAAGTAATTTTCTCTGCTTCTGTTGGTTATCTGTGGTCACTACCAGCCTGTGAGCACTTTCAATTAAGTTATCTTCTTGAGTTTTTTTGAAATACATTGGTAGCATGTGTCCAGACCATAAACCTATATAGGGAATATTCTAGCCTCCTTCCCCTTCTCAGTTCATCAAGATCAAGAAAAACTAGTTTTCTTAGTATTTGCCCATTTATTACTTTTTCATCTTTCAGCTTTTGCAGTAGTCTTCTACTAAACTTCCATCATAGTTGCTTCCAATCTCTTGCCTCTCGTGCAACCATTGAAATGGAACCACTGCATCACAAAGTGAAGGCTGGCTTTGGTCCTCACTTTCATAATAATCCTTGCTTTTACTTCATTTTGGCTTCTGCAAATGTCAGCTCAGTAATGGATTTATAATTATTGTTTTAGTACTTTTCCCACATTCGTAGTTTGTTTTAATCAAGAGTGCCAGTTAGAGTGTCTATTACACTACACTGTGGGAAATAGAAACCAGCTTGTGTATTTTGAAAAAGATCCCAGGAAAGTCTATATGTACACCAAAATTTGAACACCACTAAACTAAATCTCATAAAATTTATTACTATCTGTATGCAGAGTATGTATGGTAGCAAGAATCTGAGCAGAAAAATGAAAAACAAATTCTAAAACATAAATGTTACAATAAACACAAAAGAACGAACCAATCATTTAGGCAAATTCAACCCGAATAAATTAGGCATGAATACAGAGACTAGCCACTCTTCACTCCTTTACTGTGCTGAAGAGGTTCAAAAAAAGTACAATCACAATTCCTGCATGATATGACTAATAATCATAAAACTATTAGACTTAGAGAAATATATTAATGGTCATATATCAAATGAGTTAATGAGCTACTATAATTATAAATGCAGAGAAGGTATAGTTGCTACAAGTAATCCTTTAGAAAAAGCTAGACTTGAACTAGGTATCACGAGTTGAATATGTGGAGATGGAGAAGGAGTGATGTGATTCCAGGTAAGGGCAAAAATGTGATGAAAATCTCGGAGGTAAGAATGAACACAGAAAATCCAGGCTGGAGTGCAGAGATTCATCAACCAGGCTAATAGAGTAGCATAGTGACAGCCCATGTGGAATGTGAATATGGTGTCAGAGAACCTGAACTCAACTCCTGGCTTAACTAGCATTATCACACACAGATGAGAGGGTACTTACTGTTTGATTGGGAGTAACTAGTCTTGAACAACTAGTTAAATTATTTAATCTTAATTTTAAGTATTAACAGACATAACTCTTTAAGCAAGGAAGAGACCGAAAGCAGGAAGACCAACTCAGAGGGAAGACGAGAGGTATTCTGAGATATGCTAGGCTCAACTAAGTATCATGAAAGTGATTCCCAGGTAACATCTCATTCCAGAATATTTCAAATTTACTAATAATGACAAATCCTATTCAGATATATATTACACCTGACATTTAAATGCTATTTCTTGTCCAACCCAAGGAAGACTCAAAAAGGATTGATGTTTAAAAAAAATTCCCCTTGATTGTAAGATTTCCTAGTGCATATGTTACATGAGATAGGCTTCAGCTGTGACAAGGAAATGGCATGCATATAATATATTCTTGTAAATATGTGCACAGTGTTATTTATTGACACTAGTGCTATAATAAACCTGTGGGCAAACTTACGAAAAAGTATGTATGATTCTTGTGAAATACTAACATAGATTTTATGTCCATCATCTTTATATATGTGATATTTTTCCATTGTATGTGTTAGCTAAATGCTAGAATAAAGATACATATATTTCCATTCTATTGAAAAACAGTATTTTTAATGCTCCTGATTATTGTTACTCTTCCTTTAGTCGACAAAGAAAAGAAGAAGGTTGGAGAGTGGTGCTGGGATTACAAACAGTTTATTAAGCAATTACCATGTCAGGTTCTTCACATACATGAATTAATGTTAACATTGATAGAAACACTACTAGTAAATACACTTGCACTCCCAATGTTGAAACTGGATGGCAAAGCTTAAGTAACTTGCTCAATTCTGCACAGTGTAACAGAGAATGGTTTGGGCAAATGTCAGATTTTTCAGCCTACACTACTCAACGAACCAATCATGACATATTATAGCGACTGAACCTCTAACTCAGGAGTGCAATGGAAACATACTTCATGAGTATAAATTATTATATGTGAAGACTGAAAAGCAGAAAGCCATTTGTGTGTGTGAGAGATATACGATTATTTATGTAATATCTGTATTATATACAGTAATATACATCACACACATATATATGTATATATAGAATATGTATATATAGAATATACATATATATGTGTGTGATGTATATTACTGTATATAATACAGTATAGATATATACTGTATATAATACATATATATGTATAGAATATGCATATATGTGTGTGTGTGTCAGGGCTCAGAACATTATACTTTGGCATAATGAATAATTCAAGCTGAAAGAAACTGCGAAAACCGCAGAAGCAAGCAGGTCATTCTCTTTTCCTCCCCCCCATGAAGACGCTTATGTGACAGTAGTTCTGTCCTATATCTGGAGGGAAACAATGACACACACAGACGCTAAGAAGAATCTGAACAAACAAGCCTTGCTAAGCTCCCCCTGGTTTACTGCTATTAAATTATACCCCTTTGTCCTCCAAACACACTTTTGTGTGACTGTCCATAAAGATACAGTTTTCCCTGAGTCTCTGGGTCTTCATTTTTGAATGTTCCCATGTCACCTAAAGCTCTTTTTTAAATAAAATATTATGCTCTTCTTTTGGTAATCTGCCTTTTGTTTTAGGGATCTCAGTAACAGGTTTGGAAAAGATATTATTCTCCCCTACACATATATAATATATATAGATATGCTTTAAATATATATATATATACACACACATATATATATTATATATATATAAACACCCATACATATGTATGTATACACACACATAGGTTGGAGGAGGGCTGAAAAGGTATTTAGAGAGATCTTATTTGTAGCACAAAATAAAATATTTTATCAATATCGAGAGGCAGAATACAGTGCCAGCAAAACCACTACCACCCGTGGCCTGTCTTGCTACTTGCTGGAGAATTCTTATGTTACCCACACCAAACCTCTGTTTTTCTTTATCTTTACTCCTTTTATCCCCCATGAAACAAAGGTTTTGGGGCTGCATTCAATGAAACTAAGGTGGGTGGGCTGCTGAGAAGAGTATCTGAACAGGAAGTTTCAGCAGATGGGCTGGTGGGCCTCCACCACTCTTCCCTCGCAGAAACAGAACAGCTTCATTTCATTTATATAGATATTGAGATGCTGAACAATATTTTACTTTTTAAGAAAGTCTGATGCTAAAATTAGTTTAAGAACATCTGTGCCAGTAGATGGCGAGTGGAAATTGATAAATCGATACAGTAAACACTATTGATTTTAGTCCTTTAAAGTTTAAGGGTATTATTAAAATGATTTTCAAATTGCCAAGACAGGCTGAATCACGCCCTGGAGACAGCCATATATGTTACCTAAAATAAGGTTGGCGGATGCAAGGGCAGACAGTTGGTATTCCTTGATTTAGCTCTTAAACTTCCTTTGTGCTCAATTTTCTGGCTCCACTCCTGATTGATAGTTACCTCGTCAGATACCTTGTTTCTCCGGAGTACGAATATGGCTCTTTCCCTTAGCACTACGCTTCCATGAAAGATAACCTCGTAAATCACTACACATTATTTTGAAATGTTTGATAATATTAGTCTTACTTTTTCTTTGAATACATATCACATACACATGATATAATAGCAAAAGGTACAAGAAAGTGTAAAATAAAAAGTAAGTTTCTCTTTCAATTGGATCTCTCAGCAACTGAGTTTCCTTTTCCGGGAGCTGCCACCAGTCAAATTCTTGTGCCTTTGTGCAGACATTCTCTGTATGTGGACAGGTGGACATGTATGTTATTTTTTCTCTTTTGACAAACACTCAACAAACTCTTCTGTACTTTGCTTTTGTCACTTAGTGTGTGTTTTGACGGTATGTATTTGTTACATATCCATACATAATGGTGTCCCTCATTTTCTTTGTAACGCAAACTCTTCTATTATATAAATGTTACATAATGTATTTAACCAATCCTATTATTTAGAATTTTTAAAAATATTGTGCTATTACAAATATAAAGCTGCAATGAATATATGGACATATTTAGCATCAAATTTCTATAGATGTTGCCAAATTATTGCCATAAAATAGTACCATTTTGTATTCCTAGAAAAAGTATGAATGCCTGTTTTCCATACCCTCGCCAACACAATGTGTTTGTAAGCATTTTAATTTTTGCTACTTGATAAAAATTATTTCATAATTTTAACTTTTATTTATCTTATTATGAAGGCGTTTGAGTTTCAGCATCTTTTCATGTTCTTTTTTTTTTTTTTTTTGAGACGGAGTCTCACTGTATCGCCCAGGCTGGAGTGCAGTGGCACGATCTCGGCTCACTGCAAGCTCCGCTTCCCGGGTTCACGCATTCTCCTGCCTCAGCCTCCCGAGTAGCTGGGACTACAGGAGTCCGCCACCGCACCTGGCTAATTTTTTGTATTTTCAGTAGAGACGGGGTTTCGCTGAGTTAGCCAGGATGGTCTCCATCTCCTGACCTCGTGATCTGCCCGCCTGGGCCTCCCAAAGTGCTGGGATTACAGGCGTGAGCCACCGCGCCTGGCCTCTTTTCATGTTCTTAAGGGCCATCTCTATTTGCATTTCTCTGACTTATCTAAATTTTTTTCCCCTTTTAACTTGGGTTGCTTTTATGTGTTCTTATTAATTTATAGAAAACTTTTGCATAATAGAAAAATTAACCAATTTCATATTATATGAATTAAAAATTTAAATTTTGTTTCTGATGTTTTTGTGTATTTTTTATTTGTTGTGTAGAATAATTTAGAGTTATATAATCAAATTCATTTTTTATGACTTGTTTTACTCCATAATTTAAAAGAACTTTCCAACATAAAAGTTTTTTTCAAATTTTCTTCTAAGTTTTATTTTTCATACTTAAGTCTTTCATGCATCTGAAATTTATTTTCATGTAAATTGTGAAGAAAGAATATTTTTAGTTGGCCTAAGTCTTTAATGCATCTGAAATTTATTTTCATGTAAATTATAAAGAAATAATATTTTTAGTTGGCTAACCAGTTGTCCCAATCGAATTTATTAATCTTCTATTTTTTCACCTATGATCTCAAATGTAAACTTTATTATAAACAAAATTCCACTATATATTTTATCTTCTATGTCTGCACTTTGGGGACTTTCCATTGAACTCTTAATGTGCTAACTCCTCATTGTTTAAATTAGAAGATATAGTTTAATATCTGATAGGACTATCCCCCATTATACCTTTTTTAAAAAAGTTATGCGGTTTAAATTGTTTTTGCTTTTTTTTAAAATATAAAGTTTTAAAAGATCCTGTCCAATTGGTATTGTTGTTTTTACAAAATCATATTAATTTTATAGATTGATTTATGGAGAACTGACATCTTCATGATATTGAACATTCCTAATCAAAAGCATGATATATTTTTTCTATTTCAAATCACCTTTTAAATCCTTCAGCAACATTTGAATTTTTTCTTTTTTCTCTTTTTCTTTTCTTTTCTTTTTTTTTTTTTTTTGAGATGGAGTCTTGCTCTGTCACCCAGGCAGGAGTGCAGTGGCACGATCTCGGCTCACTGCAACCTCCATCTCCTGGGTTCAAGCCATTCTCCTGCCTCAGCCTCCCCAGTAGCTGGGATTACAGGCGCACACCACAACGCCCAACTAACTTATGTATTTTTAGTAGAGCCGAGGTTTCACCATGTTGGCCAGGCTGGTCTGGAACCCCTGACCTAAAGTGATCCACCTGCCTTGGCCTCCAAAAGTGCTGGGATTACAGGCATCAGCCACCACGCCCAGCCTGAATTTTTTCTTTATATATTCAGCACGTAAGTTCATAGGTAGTCTGTTCATTTATTTAATTTTTTAATTGTTTTGGTAAATGAGAATTTTCTTCCATTACATGGTCTATCTGGATGTTTCTATTACATGGTTTTAAATGATTTCCCTTCAGGATGTTGAAGTAGAAACAATGTAATATATACTTAATGTATGCTGGATCTGTGTGTACGTGTGTGTGTATGTGAGTGTGTGTGTGTGTGTGCACGCACGCGCATGATATAAGTTAATTTTAACCCTTACCATAGGGCTGGTTAATTAGTTTTTAAAGATGCTAGTGTATCAGAAATATATACTCAAAAATATCACTTGATCACTTCAAATACTGTTATTGAAATATATACGAGAAGATTTACTGACTATTAAGATAGATGTCAGAAATATATGTTACCTATTATAATTAGGCTAATAGAGTTTAAGTTATGTGATAAGGCTGAAAAGCTTTTAAGGAACCCCACTGCCTTAGCAAAAATGAGGTTGAATATCCCAGGAAAAGCAAGCCCTGTTTCCCAAAGCTTGGTAGCAGCACCTAAGATAGGGAGTCTTACTTAATTTGTGTTTCTCCACTTCACATATCAAACCGTGGGATGACCCAACTGACTTGCCCGCCCATCGGAATGCCATTATGTCCACCTCAGACTGAGTCTTTTAAGCTAGATATTGGTCAGAATATATCTTGCCTTGAGATACAAGAACTAGTTATTTGATCAATTTTGAATACTTGATAGTAACCATTTGTACCTGTCAGAATTTGATCTAAGTCCTAATTTTGTTATTAAATACAACGCAGTAACAGGAACTCTTCCAGGCTGGTGTCCCAATGACCTTGCACACTTCCACACTGGCAACATAGGGAAGGCTTAAAAACAGCTGATCTCGCAGAATGCCCTGTGATTCTCCTGGAATGTAAAGCATGAGGGTCTTAGGAGGAGTTGGTATGAGCCCACTTCTCGCCTACTGTCTATCCCATAGAAACCACCTCTGAGATAGTTTTCATCTCCCAGGTTCTGATAAGGTATGAGAATTTTTGGCTTGCCTTCTCCTTCTGGGTCTAGCTGCACACTGTGACACTCGTTAGCTACAGTGTATATTTAGCTCCTCAGCAGCAGGGTGCCCCACCACTCGTGTTGCATTGTCATCTGCCTCCTTCGTCTTGGTGTTGTCCCTGTTCTGCTGTTGGGACAAGGGATGTAGTGACACATCACCTTTACTATTCTTGATTTTACTGTCCATGTAAGTAATACAATGTCTGCAAATAGAAAGGGCTCCTTGCCCCTTTCACATCCACATCTGTCAGACTTGTTAGACAGTTTTCCTGGGAATAAAGGTTTGAGCTCCATATACCTCTAATAATTGGAGACTTACTGTCATTTTCCTGAAGTCTAATACTTGTTGTATAGATAAAATGGTTCTAGGTCATCATAGTGGTATATGAGAAAGGTATTGATTCTTGTACTGGTTTTAATCTTAACACTTTAAATTATTTTAACATTTATAATAGATTTTAGTTTTTTCTTGGGTTTTCTAGTTTCTGTTACTTTGAGATGACACCGTACTTCCTGTTAAACACTGTCTTTAGTCAGCCTATGTACAGTTAATTCTCATTAATCTTGGTGGTTATGCTTTTATAAAGTTACAGTGATCACCAATAGTAAATACAAATCCTTTGCTCCTAAGGGAAAATTATATATATGTTACATTAAATAATTTGATATTACATGCAATCATAAAGAGTAATTATATAATACAATTATACATTTATCTCACAAAGATTATAATCTTAAATTTTAAAAACTACTCGTCTTGATAGATTCCATTTCTTTTATTTTACAAAAGATAAAATGAGATTCAGAGCATTAAGTGACTTCCCTGAGGCTGCCCCAGTAGCAGATGCCACAGCTAGGATTCAGCTGGAGCTTCTGGTACCACACTGCGCCGCTCCTCCTGTCTTTATCCTCTTGTCATCACTGTAAGGGAGCTGAAACGCAAGCAGAGTGTTACTTTGTTTGACCTCATCTGGGAAAGGAAGAAATGAGTGACTCAATTTTTTTTTATCACTTTGTATATGTCCTTGAATGATGGCAAAAATGCTATGAATATTCATTACAAAGACATTTTAGTGAGTAGGCAAATTTATAAGTATGGACTTGAGTTCTGGTTTCAAGCAACATGATACTCTTCACATATGGGGAGAGGATTAAGGGTTAAAGCCCATCAGAAGAAGAAACTCAATCCTGGATTTGGTCAGATACACTTGGATATTGACACTGTGGAAATTTTAGCTCCAGAATATTCATAGCTCAATGCCAAACTGACAAGCTGAAAGTCTAGAACAAAATCATAGTGTTTCATTCATTCAGTAGTGTTTTTTACAAGAATTGATGAGGGGAAAGGAATGGTATTGCAAAGGACAAAAGCCAGATATTGTATAGTGTAATGTGACTCACACTAGAAAAATATTGAAATAAAGCCATAAAAGTAACATTAAAATTCAACAAGAGGAAAATAAAGTGATAAATGTGCATACTGCATTATATGCTGAGCTGAAATCTAAAAACTTAAGGGAACATTTTTTCAACATTTCAAATGAATAGAAGTTCCCTAGTGGTCAATAGTTATCAATGACTTTAAATGTTTCTAGCTCCTCCCAAACACAGTTTTATCATTAAGTCTGCCATTCATAGGCAGAGATAATCTATGAGGTATCAGGTATATATTATAATTATAGACCTCTTGTGGGGCTGTTAGAAGATATTTTAATGGTTTAAACTCTACCTCTTAAAAGGTGTAACTCCTTCACAAACAATAGTCTGAGTTCATTTGATTAACTTATTCAGTCTCTCATGCTGGGTTTCAGAGACTATAATCTAAAACTGCTGGAATGTAGTTAGCAGAAGTAAGTTTTAATGCAATTGAGAAGATACTAATATTGAGCCATGAGTAAACACTCCGTTGAAACTTTAGTTAGCAAAGAAGGCAACATAAGAATACTTTGACAGTATTATGACAAATTTCAGAAATTTCCTTTCCTTTACTCCAGAAAACAACAGAAAACAAAGCACCTGTGACCTGTCAGGGGGTGGGGGGGGGCAAGTGGAGGGAGAGCACAAACCTGCATGTTCTGCACAAGTGTCCCAGAACTTGAAGTAGAAAAAAAAGTCATAAAATACAGGGATACAGGGTTTCTCATAGGCACTGACTTGAGAATAATTGCCAAAAATGAATAGTCTTGGAGCCTAGAAATGAAGACAAGTACTGTGTTAGTTTGCTGAGGGTAAGGGCTTCCAGCTTTATCCATGTCCCTACAAAGGACATTATTTCATTCTTTCTTATGGCTACATAGTATTCCATGGTGTATATGTGCCACATTTTCTTTATCCAGTCTATCAATGATGGGCATTTGGGTTGGTTCCAAGTCTTTGCTATTGTAAATAATGCTGCAATAAACATAAATGTGCATGTGTCTTTATAGTACAATGATTTATATTCCTTTGGGTATATACCTAGTAATGGCATTGCTGAGTCAAATAGTATTTCTGGTTCTAGATCCTTGAGGAATTGCCACACTATCTTCCACAATGGTTGAAATAATTTACATTCCCACCAACAGTGTAAAAGCATTCCTATTTCTCCACATCCTCGCCAGCATCTATTGTTTCCTGACTTTTTAATAATTGCCATTCTGACTGGCATGAGACGGTATCCTATTGTGGTTTTGATTTGCATTTCTCTAATGATCATGACGATGAGCTTTTTTTCATGTTTGTTGGCCACATAAATGTCTTCTTTTGAGAAGTGTCTGTTCATATACTTTGTCCACTTTTTGATGGGGTCATTTTTTTTTTCTTGTAAACTTATTTATGTTTCTTGTAGATTCTGGATATTAGACCTCTTTCAGATGGCTAGATTGCAAAAATTTCCTCCCATTCTGTAGGTTGCCTGTTCCCTCTGATGCTAGTTTCTTTTGCTGTGCAGAAGTTCTTTAGTTTAATTATATCCCATTTGTCAATTTTGGTTTTTGTTGCATTGCTTTTGGTGTTTTAATCATGAAGGCTTTGCCCATGCCTTTGTCCCGAATGGTATTGCCTAGGTTTTCTTCTAGGGTTTTTATGGTTTTGGGTTTCTTGTTTAAGTCTTTAGTCCATCTTGAGTTAATTTTTGTATAAGGTGTAAGAAGGAGGCCAGTTCTAGTTTTCTGCATATAGCTAGCCAGTTTTCCTGGCATCATTTATTAAATATGGAATCTTTCCCCATTTCTTGTGTTTGTCAGGTTTGTCAAAGATCAGATGGTTGTAGATGTGTGGTGTTATTTCTGAGGTCTCTGTTCTGTTCCCTTGGTCTATATATGTGTTTTGGTACCAGTACCATGCTGTTTTGTTTACCATAGCCTTGTAGTATAGTTTGAAATCAAGTACCATGATGCCTCCAGCTTTGTTCTTTTTACTTAGGATTGTCTGTGCTATACAGGCTCTTTTTTGGTTCCATATGAAATTTAAAGTAATTTTTCTAATTCTGTGAAGAAAGTCAATGGTAGTTTAATGGAAAGAGCATTGAATCTATACATTACTTTGGGAAGTATGGCCATTTTCACAATAAAGATTCTTCCTGTCCATGAGCATGGAATGTTTTTCCATTTGTGTCCTCTCTTATTTCCTCGAGCAGTGGTTTGTAGTTCTCTTTGAAGAGGTCCTTCATGTCCCTTGTAAGCTGTATTCCTAGCTATTTTATTCTCTTTGTAGCAATTGTGAATGGGAGTTCATTCATGATTTGGCTCTCTGCTTGTCTATTGTTGGTGTATAGGAATGCTTGTGATTTTCACACATTGATTTTGTATCCTGAGACTATGCTGAAGTAGCTTATCAGCTTAAGGAGTTTTTGGGCTGAGATGATGGGGTTTTCTAAATATAGAATCATATTGTCTGCAAAGAGAGACAATTTGACTTCCTCTCCTCCCATCTGAACACTCTTTATTTCTTTCTCTTGCCTGATTGCCCTGGCCAGAACTTCCAATACTACGTTGAACAGGATTGGTAAGAAAGGGCATCCTTGTCTTGTACCAGTTTTCAAAGGGAATGCTTCCACCTTTTGCCGATTCAGTATGATTTTGGCTATGGGTTTGTCATAAATAGCTCTTATTATTTTGAGATATGTTCCATCAATGGCTAGTTTATTGAGAGTTTTTAATATGAAGAGCTGTTGAATTTTGTCAAAGGCCTTTTCTGCATATATGAGATAATCATGTGGTTTTTGTCATTGATTCTGTTTATGTGATGGATTATGTTTATTGATTTGCGTATGCTGAAACAGCATTGCATCCCAAGGATAAAGCCAACTTGGTGGTGATGGATAAGCTTTTTGATGTGCTGCTGGATTTGGTTTGCCAGTATTATATTGAGGATTTTCACGTTGATGTTCATCAGGAATATTGGCCTGAAGTTTTCTTTTTTTGTTGTGTCTCTGCTAGGTTTTGGTATCGGGATGATGCTGGCCTCATAAAATGAGTTAGGGAAGAGTCTCTCCTTTTCAGTTGTTTGGAATAGTTTCAGAAGGAATGGTACCAGCTCCTCTTTGTACCTCTGATAGAATTTGGCTGTGAATCTGTCTTGTCCTGGGCTTTTCTTGATTGGTAGGCTATTAATTACTGCCTCATTTTCAGAACTTGTTATCAGTCTATTCAGGGATTTGACTTCTTTCTGGTTTAGTGTTGGGAGAGTGTATGTTTCCAGGAATGTAACCATTTCTTCTAGATTTTCTAGTTTATTGATGTAGAGGTGTTTATAGTATTCTTTGATGGTAGTTTGTATTTCTGTGGGATCAGTGGTGACATCCACTTTATCATTTTTATTGCATCTATTTGATTCTTCTGTCTTTTCTTTTTATTAATTTAGCTAGTGGTCTATATTGGTAATTTTTTCAAAAAACCAGCTCCTGGGTTTATTAATTTTTTGAAGAGTTTTTTGTGTCTTTATAGCCTTCAGTTCTGCTCTGATGTTAGTTATTTCTTGTCTTCTGTTAGCTTTTGAACTTGTTTTCTCTTGCTTCTCTAGTTCTTTTAATTGTGATGTTAGGGTGTTGATTTGAGATCTTTCCAGCTTGCTCACGTGGGCATTAAGTGCTATAAATTTCCCTTAACAGTGCCTTAGCTGTGTCCCAGTGATTCTGGTATGTTGTCTCTTTGTTCTTATTAGTTTCAAAGAACTTTATTTCTGCCTTAATTTTGTTATTTACCTAGGAGTCATTCAGGAGTAGGTTGTTCAATTTCCATGTAGTTGTGCAGTTTTGAGTGAGTTTCTTAATCCTAAGTTCTAATTTGATGGCACTTTGGTCTGAGAGACTGTTTATTGTGATTTCTGTTCTTTTACATTTGCTGAGGAGTGCTTTACTTCCAATTATGTGGTCAATTTTAGAATAAGTTTTATGTGGTGCTGAGAAAAACGTATATTCTGTTGATTTGAGTTGGAGAGTTCTGTAGATGGCTACTAGGCCCACTTGATCCAGAGCTGAGTTCAAGTTCTGAATGTCCTTGTTAATTTTCTGTCTCATTGATCTGTCTAATATTGATAGTGGGATATGAAAGTCTCCCACTATAATTGTGTGTGAGTCTAAGTCTCTTTGTAGGTCTCTGAGAATTTGTTTTATGACTGGGTGCTCCTTTAATGGGTGCATATATATTTAGGATAGTTAGCTCTTCTTGTTGCATTGATCCCTTTACAGTTATGTAATGCCCTTCTTTGTCTTTTTTGATCTTTGTTGGTTTGAATTCTGTTTTATCAGAGACTAGGATTGCAATCCCTGCTTTTTTTGCTTTCCATTTGCTTGGTAAATATTCCTCCATACCTTTATTTTGGGTCTATGTGTATCTGCATGTGAGATGGGTCTCCTGAATACAGCACACTGATGGGTCTTGATTCTTTATTCATTTTGCCATCCTGTGTCTTTTAAATGTAACATTTAACTCATTTATATTTAAGGTTAATATTGTTATGTGTGAAGTTGATCCTGTCATCGCAATGCTAGCTGGTTATTTTGCACACTAGTTGATGTAGTTTCTTCATAGTGTCATTGGTCTTTATATTTTGGTGTGTTTTTGCAGTGGCTGGTACCAGTTGTTCCTTTCCATATTTAGTGCTTCCTTCAAGAGCTCTTGCAAGGCAGGCCTGGTGGTGACGAAGTCTTTTAGGATTTGCTTGTTTGTAAAGGATTTTATTTCTCCTTCACTTATGAAGATTAGTTTGGCTGGATATGAAATTCTGGGTTGGAAATTCTTTTCTGTAAGAATGTTGAATATTGGCCCCCACTCTCTTTTGGCTTGTAGGATTTCTGCAGAGAGATCTGCTGTTAGTCTGATGGGCTTCCCATTGTAGGTGACCTGACCTTTCTCTCTGGCTGCCCTTAACATGTTTGCCTTCATTTCAGCCTTGGAGAATCTGGTGATTATGTGTCTTGGGGTCAATTTTCTTGTGGAGTATCTTAGTGGTGTTCTCTGTATTTCCTGAATTTGAATGTTGGCCTCTTGCTAGATTGGAGAAGTTCTCCTGGATAATATCCTGAAATGTGTTTTCCAACTTGGTTCCATTCTTCCCAACACTTTCAGGTACACCAATCAATCAATCATAGGTTTGGTCTTTTCACATAGTCCCATGTTTCTTGGATGCTTTGTTTGTTCCTATTCAGTCTTTTTTTCTCTAATCTTGTTTTCATGCCTTATTTCAGCAAGGTGGTCTTCAATCTCTGATATCCTTTCTTCCACTGTATTGATTTGGCTATTGAAACTTTTGCATGCTTCACTAAGTTCTCATGCTGTTTTTTTCAGCTCCATCAGGTCATATATGTTCCTCTCTAAACTGAGTATTCTAGTTAGCAATTCCTGTAACCTTTTTTTCAAGATTCTTAGCGTGCTTGCATTGGGTTAGAACATGCTCCTTTAGCTCAGTGGAGTTTGTTATTACCCACCGTCTGAGGCCTACTTATGACACTTCGTCAATCTCATTCTCCGTCCAGTTTTGTGCCCTTGCCGGAGAGGCATGACAATCACTTTGAGGAGAAGTATTCTCACTTTTGGAAATTTTTAGCATGTTTGTGCTGGTTTTTCCTCATCTTCATGGATTTATCTGCCTTTGACCTTTGAGGCTGATGACCTTTGGATGAAGTTTTTGTGGTGGGGATCTTTTTTGTTGATGCTGTTGTTGTTGCTTTCTGTTTGTTAGTTTTCCTTTTAACAGTTAGGCCCTTCTTCTGCAGGTCTGCTGCCATTTGCTGGAGGTCCACTCCAGACCATGTTTGCCTGGGTATCACCAGTGAAGGCTGCAGAACAGCAAATATTGTGGCCTGCTCCTTCCTCTGTAAGCTTCATCCAGAGGGACACCAGCCTGATGCCAACCAGAACTCTCCTGTATGAGGTGTCTGTCGACCCCTGTTAGGAGGTCTCTCCCAGTCAGGAGGCAAGGGGGTAAGGGACCCACTTGAGGAGGCAGTCTCTCCCTTAACAAGCTGATGTGCTGTGTTGGGAGAATTCCCCTTGTCAGGATTAGTCACTCTCTTCAGAGCCAGCAGGCAGAAAATATTAAGTCTGCTTAAGTTGCCCCTGCAGACAACCTTCCCCAGATGCTCTGTCCCAGGGAGATGAGAGTTTTGTCTATGAGTCCCTGATTGGAGCTGCTGCATTTCCTGCAGAGATGCCCTGCCCAGTGAAGAGGAATCTAAAGAAGCAGTCTGGCCATAGCAGCTTTGGTGTGCTGTGGTGAATTCTGCCCAGTCCAGACCTCCCTGTCTCCTTAGCACAGTCAGGGGAAAACTGCCTACTAAAGGCTCAGTAATGCTGATCTCCCCTCCCCCCACCAAGCTGGATCTTCCCAGGTAGACTCCAGAGTGCTGTGCTGGCAGTGAGAATTTCAAGCCAGTGGTTTTTAGCTTGCTAGGCTCCTTTGGAGTGGGACCCCTCAGCAAGACCACTTGGCTCTCTGGCTTCAGCCCCCTTTCCAGGGGAGTGGACGGTTTTCCTGTATCACTGGAGTTCCAAGCACCACTGGAGTACAAACAAACAAACAAACAAAAACAAAAAAAAAAAAACACCACCTGCAACTCGGTGCCTGCCCAAACAGCTGCCCAGTTTTGTGCTTGAAACCCAGGGCCCTGGTGTTGTAGGCTCATGAGGGAATCTCTTGATCCACAGATTGCAAAAATCTGTGGGAAAAGTGTAGTACCTATGGCAGGTAGCACAGTCCCTCACTGCTTCCCTTGGCTGGGGGAGGGAGGTCCCTTGGCTCCTCGCACTTCCCAGGTGAAGCGAAGACTCATCCTACTTCTGCTTGCTCTCAGTGGGTTGCACCCACTGCCTAACCAGTCCCAATTAGATGAACTGGGTACCCAATTAGACGAAATGGGCACCTCAGCTGGAAATGCAGAAATCACCCACCTTCTGCGTTGGTCTCGCTGGGAGCTGCAGACCACAGCTGTTTCTACTTGGCCATCTTGGCCCCTCCCTAAATATTTTAAGATTTTTAGAGATGAGGACAAATGAAAAGAAGAAGATGAGCAACATCTATTATGCTTTAAGGCATAATAAGAGATACAACACTTGTGCTTTCAAACTGAATACCAGATCTTGTGCAGTAATGTTATAGGGTCAGGATGGAAAGTATTTTCTGAAAAAAAGAAGTTATACTTGAAGGTGGATGTTGAAGGATCCAGTTTTAGAATAATAGTGGCCTCTAATCTTCCCATGGTCCACTCTTCCTCATGATTACCTTTACGGAGTCTGTCTTCATAGCCAGAAAACATTACTGTCTGGCCCAAACAAGAACAATAGTCCCACCTTATCCACAGGGGATACATTCCAAGACCCCCAGTGAATGCCTGAAACGTGCACATGATACAAATTCTATAAACACTATGTTTTTTTGATTTGATAAAGGAGGTAGCCACTAAGTGGTTAACGGGCAGATCATTTATATATCGTGAATATGTTGGACAAAGGGATGATTCACATCCCAGTTGGAAGAAAGGTGTGAGATTTTAGCATGCTACTCAGCTGAACTATATATAGGTACTGAATGTGTGTAGAAAACAACAAGAAAGAACAGACGCAGACATTCAAACCAGAAATACTGACTAGTCTGTCAAATGTCTGGAGACCCAAATTGACGCTTATCTGGTTCACATGAGGGCCAAAAGAATCAGAGGATGAATTACAGAATGCTCCAGGTAACAAGATATCCAGGCTTCTAAGGAAGCAAAATTTAACAAATTTAATTAATAATAAAGACTACATCACTACATGTAACAACCATGTATATTGCCCTGGTAAGCATCCAAACAAAAGATTTTGACGTTCTTGAAAGTCTCTATTCTCCAGGTTGGAGAAATGACAAATCAGGTGTATAAATAAAGGTCAGACGAGTTTAATGGGAAAATATTGCCTAATATATATATTTCAAACACATATATATTTCCTATATAAAACAGGAAAATATTTAATATTATCTATTTTTATATCTATGCATTTTGTGTGTGTGTGTGTATATATATATGTATATACAAAAACAAAAAAATTACCATAAAAAAGATAATAAAGTTATTTTTCTTTGTCTTTCTTTAGTCATTTTCTTCAGAAAGTAATCTGGAACTTCCTATATTCAGGCAAACCAGAATTCCTCTGTGACTGTGATGATTTGGTGCTCCTAAAAAGATTTCTAAAAGTAGAGAAATCTGAGCAGGAAGCTTGGTGGGTTCTTAAATTGACTCCAAGTTTCAGAAAAAAAAAAAACATATCTGAAACTTGGAAATAGGCAATGGAAATTATCAGGTGTTCTTTCAGTGCTGTGGTGTTTGCCTGTTCGATTGGCCTTCTTTTGACAGCCTTATTTTAAAACTCTGTAAGTCTGAGGTTAACTTGTAACTTCTAGTCAGTAAAGTTGCCAATAATTTTTGTCTGCTGAAAAACAAAGCCTTAAATGTGGCAGTCTGCTACTCTCAAGAACTTCTAACCATTTTCTTAAATGCAACTGTCTTTTCCTAACATTTCTTAATTAGTTGCCTATGAAACCAAGTTCCTCAATTCTCATTTCAATTGGCTTAAACATCTTACTTGTTACCTCATTAATTTCATGAGTTCATTATGAGTCTTGATTTTACTTTTACTTGTTTTTTGGATATATTATATTTGCACATATTTATGGGGTACATGTGAAATTCTGTACATGCATTAATTGTGTAATGATCAAGTCAGGGTATTTAAGGTGTTCTTCACCTGAGTATTTACCATTTCTATATGTTAGATACATTTCAAGTCCTGTCTTCCACCTATTTGGAAATATCGTCAACTATAGTTTGCTATCAAACGTGAGAACTTATTTATTCTATCTCTTCTATGTTTATACCCATTAACCAACCTCTATTCATTCCCCCTAGCCCTGCAACTCTCACATACTCCCTTCACTTGGGTATCAATCATTTCACTCCCTACCTCCATGTGATCAACTTTTTAAGCTCCCACATATGAATAAGAACATGTGATATTTGTCTTTTTGTGCCTGGGTTGTTTCACTTAACATAATGACCTCCAATTCGGTCCATGTTGTTGCAAATGACACAATTTCCTCTTTTATGGCTGCATAATATTCCATCAATTAGGTAAACTACATTTTCTTTTTATATTTTTTATTTTATTTATTTTTTATTATACTTTAAGTTCTAGGGTGCGCAATGTGCATGTTTGTTATATAGGTATACATGTGCCATGTTGATTTGCTGCACCCATCAACTCGTCATTTACATTAGGTATTTCCCCTAATGCTATTCCTCCCCCAGCCCCACACCCCATGACAGGCCCCAGTGTGTGATGTTCTCCACTCTATGTCCAAATGTTCTCATTGTTCAATTCCCACCTATGAGTGAGAACATGTGTTGTTTGGTTTTCTGTCCTTGTGATAGTTTGCTCAGAATGCTTCATCCATGTCCATGCAAAGGACATGAGCTCATCCTTTTTTATGGCTGCATGGTATTCCATGGTGTATACATGACACATTTTCTTAATCCAGTCTATCATTGGGACATTTGGGTTGGTTCCAAGTCTTTGCTATTGTAAACAGTGCGCAATAAACATATGTGTGCATGTGTCTTTATAGTAGCATGATTTATAATCCTTTGGGTATATATCTAGTAATGGGATCACCGGGTCAAATGGTATTTCTAGTTCTAGATCCCTGAGGAATCGCCACACTGTCTTCCACAATGGTTGAATTAATTTACACTCCCACCAACAGTGTAAAATTATTCCTATTTCTCCACATCCTCTCCAGCACCTGTTGTTTCCTGACTTTTTAATGATCGCCATTCTAACTGGCATGAGATGGTATGCTATTGTGGTTTTGATTTGCATTTCTCTGATGACCAGTGATGATGAGCTTTTTCATGTGTCTGTTGGCTGCATAAATGTCTTATTTTGAGAAGTGTCTGTTCATATCCTTTGCCCACTTTTTGATGGAGGTTTTTGTTTTTTCCTTGTAAATTTGTTTAAGTTCCTTGTAGATTCTGGATATTAGCCCTTTGTCAGATGGATAATGCAAAAATTTTCTCCCATTCTGTAGGTTGTCTGTTCACTCTGATGGTGGTTTCTTTTGCCATGCAGAAGCTCTTTAGTTTAATTAGATCCCATTTGTCTATTTTGGCTTTTGTTGCCATTGCTTTTGGTGTTTTAGTCATGAAGTCTGTGCCCATGCCTATGTCCTGAATGGTATTGCCTAGGTTTCCTGCTAGGGTTTTTATGGTTTTAGGTCTAACATGTAAGTCTTTAATCCATCTTGAATTAATTTTTGTATAAGGTGTAAGGAAGGGTTTCAGTTTTCTACATATGGCTAGCCAGTTTTCCCAGCACCATTTATTAAATAGGGAATCCTTTCCCCATTTCTTGTTTTTGTCAGGTTTGTCAAAGATCAGATGGTTGTTGATGTGTGGTATTATTTCTGAAGCCTCTGTTTTGGTACCAGCACCATGCTGTTTTGGTTACTGTAGCCTTGTAGTATAGTTTGAAGTCAGGTAGCGTGATGCCTCCGGCTGTGTTCTTTTGGCTTAGGATTGTCTTAGCAATGTGGGCTCTTTTTCGGTTCCATATGAACTTTAAAGTAGTTTTTTCCAATTCTATGAAGAAAGTCATTGGTAGCTTGATGGGGATGACATTGAATCTATAAATTACCTTGGGCAGTATGGCCATTTTCACTATATTGATTCTTCCTATCCATGAGCATGGAATGTTCTTCCATTTGTTTATGTCCTCTTTCATTTCGTTGAGCAGTGGTTTGTAGCTCTCCTTGAAAACGTGCTTCACATCCCTTGTAAGTTGGATTCCTAGGTATTTTATTCTCTTTGTAGCAATTGTGAATGGGAGTTCACTCATGATTTGGCTCTTTGTTTATCTTTTATTGGTGTATAGGAATGCCTGTGATTTTTGCATATTGATTTTGTATCCTGAGACTTTGCTGAAGTTGCTTATCAGCTTAAGGAGATTTTGGGCTGAGACTATGGGGTTTTCTAAATATACAATCATGGCATCTGTGAACAGGGATAATTTGACTTCCTCTTTTCCTAATTGAATACTCTGTATTTCTTTCTCTTGTCTGATTGCCTTCTCCAGAACTTCCAACACTATGTTGAATAGGAGTGGTGAAAGAGGGCATCCTTATCTTGTGCTGGTTTTCAAAGGGCACAAGTTTTTGCCCATTCAATATGATATCGGCTGTGGGTTTGTCATAATAGCTCTTATTATTTTGAGATACGTTCCATGAATACCTAGTTTATTGAGAGTTTTTAGCATGAAGGGCTGTTGAATTTTGTCAAAGGCCTTTTCTGCATCTATTGAGATAATCATGTAGTTTTTGTCATTGGTTCTGTTTATGGGATGGATTACGTTTATTGATTTGCATATGTTGAACCAGCCTTGCATCCCAGGGATGATTGTGGTGGATAAGCTTTTTGATGTGCTGCTGGATTCTGTTTGCCAGTATTCTATTGAGGATTTTCACATCGATGTTCATCAGGGATATTGGTCTAAAATTCTCTTTTTTTGTTGTGTCTCTGCCAGGCTTTGGTATCAGGATGATGCTGGCCTCATAAAGTGAGTTAGGGAGGATTCCCTCTTTTTCTTTTGATCAGAATAGTTTCAGAAGGAATGGTACCAGCTCCTCTTTGTAACTCTGGTAGAATTCGGTCGTGAATCCATCTAGTCCTGCACTTTTTTTGGTTGTTAGGTTATTAATTATTGCCTCAATTTCAGAGCCTGTTATTGGTCTATTCAGAGATTCAAATTCTTCCTGGTATAGTCTTGGGAGGGTGTGTGTGTCAAGGAATTTATCCATTTCTTCTAAATTCTCTAGTTTATTTGCATAGAGGTGTTTATAGTATTCTCTGATGATAGTTTGTATTTATGTGGGATTGCTGGTGATTTCCCCCTTTATCATTTTTTATTGCATCTATTTGATTCTTCTCTCTTTTCTTCTTTATTAGTCTTGCTAGAGTTCTATCAATTTTGTTGATCCTTTCAAAAAACCAGCTCCTGGATTCATTGATTTTTTGAAGGGTTTTTTGTGTCTCTATTTCCTTCAGTTCTGCTCTGATCTTAGTTATTTCTTGCCTTCTGCTAGCTTTTGAATGTGTTTGCTCTTGCTTCTCTAGTTCTTTTAATTGTGATATTAGGGTGTCGATTTTAGATCTTTCCTGCTGTCTCTTGTGGGCATTTATTGCTATAAATTTCCCTCTACACACTACTTGAAATGTATCCCAGAGATTCTTGCATATTGTGTCTTTGTTCTTATTGATTTCAAAGAACATCTTTATTTCTGCCTTCATTTCGTTATTTACCCAGTAGTCACTCAGGAACAGGTTGTTCAGTTTCCATGTAGTTGTGCAGTTTTGAGTGAGTTTTTTAATCCTGAGTTCTAATTTGATTGCACTGTGGTCTGAGAGACGTTTGTTGTGATTTCTCTTCTTTTACATTTGCTGAGGAGTGTTTTACTTCCAATTATGTGGTCAATTTTAAAATAAGTTTTATGTGATGCTGAGAAGAATGTATATTCTGTTGATTTGGGGTGGAGAGTTCTGTAGATGTTTATTAGGTCTGCTTGGTCCAGAGCTGAGTTCAAGTCCTGGATATCCTTGTTAACCTTCTATCTCATTGATCTGTCTAATATTGACAGTGGGGTGTTAAAGTCTCCCGCTATTACTGTGTGGGAGTCTAAGTCTCTTTGTGGGTTTCTAAGGACTTGCTTTATGAATCTGGGTGCTCCTGCATTGGGTGTGTGTATATTTAGGATAGTTAGCTCTTGTTGAATTGATCCCTTTACCATTATATAATGGCCTTCTTTGTCTCTTTTGATCTTTGTTGGTTTAAAGTCTGTTTTATCAGAGACTAGGATCGCAAGCCCTGCTTTTATTTGCTTTCCATTTGCTTGGTAGATCTTCCTCCATCCCTTTATTTTGAGCCTATGTGTGTCTCTGCACATGAGATGGGTCTCCTGAATACAGCACACTGATGGGTCTTGACTCTTTATCCAATTTGCCAGTCTGTGTCTTTTAATTGGGGCATTTAGCCCATTTACGTTTAAGGTTAATTAGGTCAATTAGGTAAACTACATTTTCTTTGTCTACTCATCCACTGATGGGCACCTAAGTTGATATATATCTTTGCTATTATAAATAGTGCTGCAATAATCACCCAAGTGCAGGAATCCTTTTGATATACTGATTTCTTTTCCTTTGGATAAATACCTAGTAGTGGAGTAGTGGGATTATTGGATTTCAGTTTCTTGAAAAATTACCGTACTGTTTTTTATGGTGGCTATACTAATTTACATTCTCATCAACAGTTTATTAGAGTTCCCTTTTCTTTGCGTTCTCACCAATATCTGTTTTTCTGTTGTCTTTTTTCAATAGGAATTCTAACTGGGGTAAGATAATATTTCATTGTGTTTTTGATTCGCATTAAACCAAAATTATAATTAGCGATGTTGAACCTTTTTATACACCTGTTGGGCATTTGTATGTCATCTTTTGAGAAACGTCTATTCATATCCTTTGTCCTATTTTTAATAGGATTATTTGTGGGTTTTTTTTTAACTCTTAAGTTGAGTTCCTTGAGTATTCTGGATGTTTGTCCCTTGTTAGATGAATCATTTGCAAATATTTCCTTCCATTCAGCAAGTTGTCTCTTAAATCTATTGATTGTTTCTTTTACTGTTCAGGGGCTTTTTAGTTCATTATAGTCCCAGTTTGTTTATTTTTGTTTTTGTTGCCTGTGATTTTGAGGTCTTAGCCATAAAGTATTTGCCTAGACCAATGTCTTGATGAGTTTTCCCTATGTTTTATTCTAACAGTTTTATAGATTCAGGTCTTGTCTGTAAGTCATTAATCCATTCTGGGTTGATGTTTGCATTTGGTGAGAGACTGGGGTCCGGTTTCATTCTTCTACATGTGGTTATCCAATTTTCTCAGTACCATTTATTGAAGAGGATTTCCTCTCCCAAATGTATGTTCTTGATTGCTTTGTCAAAGATCAAATATGCGGCTGTACATTTGCAAATTTATTTCTTGGTTCTCTGTTTTGTTTTATTGATCTATGTGTTTATTTTTATACCAATACCTTGCTGTTTGGTTAGTACAGACTTGTAGTATATTTTGAAGTCAGATAGTATGATGTCTCCAGCTTTGTTCTTTTTACTCAGTACTTCTTTGGCTATTTGGGCTCCTTTTCAGTTCCATATGAGTGTTAGAATTGTTTTTTTCTATTTATGTGAAAAATAGTGTTGGTATTTTGATAGGGATTGAATTGAATCTGTAGATTGCTTTGATTGGCATGTTCATCTAACAATATTAATTATTCCAACCCCTGAGCATGGGATGTCTTTGCATTTGTGACCTCTTGAATTTCTTTCATCAATGTCTTATAGTTTTCCTCGTAGAAGTCTTTTACCTTCATGGTTAAATGTATTCCTAGTCATTTTTTTTGTAGCTATTCTAAATGTAATTGTCACTTTGAATTCTTTTTTGACTATTTCATTATTGGTCTATAGAAATGCTACTGATTTGTATACATTGACGTTGTATCCTACAACTACTGAATTTATTTACCAGTTCTAACAGTTCTTTGGTGAAGTCTTTTGGTTTTTCTAAATGTAAGGTCATGCTGTCTGTAGAAAGAGACAATTGATACCCTCTTTTCCAATTTGGACGGTTTTACATTTTTGAGAATTATACTTTAACAAGGTATTTACAGGAGTTTATGAATTTGGTAGACCTACCTTGCCCAAGGACCAGGTCTTTTTAGTTTGAAAGCAGTACCCAAAGATGGCTGTGTTTTTGAAGAATAATTTTTGCTCACAAATCTTAGAAAAAAACCTATAGATGAGACAGCGATAAATATATTTATTGACAACAGGCAATATGTTATGCTTATGTCCAAAATAGTTGGATTGTCTAACTAAGACCCTTATCTCTGGCCATCAAGAAACACAGAAAGTCAAGGGAATCATGAAAACACTCATTCTTGAAAAAAAATTAAACAGAACACTAGGAATTAAAAGATGTTGCATAGCATATTGCTTAATCTGTGGAAAAGCCAATGAATTATTGTTGCCAGTGTGCTGTGTCTTTTAATTTCTGTTTGTCACTGTTGCTCTTCCTTCATAGTGTTATCATCATGTTCTGTGCCCTAGAAGGCTGATCCCTATGGACTGAATCACCTGGTGAGTGCTTCTGGTTAGTTTCAAATAGGACTCAGTCAATGGGAAGTACTAGCCGAAACTGGAGTATGGGAGGAAAGAAACGTTGGGGAATGTCACCCCTGCTCCTTCCTCACTTTGATGTAAACTTACCACCACCACTGCTCCTGCCACAGGCTCCTCCTACATGGTGTTATCTCTCATCAGGATCCTGTATTATTATTTCCTTTCCTTTATCTTTCCTATGGACAATAAAGTCTAATTTCTGGGTGCCTCAACATCTGTCTACATCCTTAAACTAGAAATGGTTCTAAAACTGTACACAAATATTTGCTTCATTAAGGTCTTTTTTCCTGGAACCAACTCTCTTCTTAAATCAGCCCTCCACAGAGATGGCAGAACCAGTTCTTCATGCACCATCTGCTCTCTTTATAACCTGCATGTCTCACCTCGGTTCTATCTTTGCCTCACGCATTTTCTTCTACATCCCAAAGTACTAGACAATATTTCCTCCTTCAGATTACATATTCAACTGAATTTGGTGTTTCCTAAACATTCCCTGTTCTTTCATGCCCATTATATATTTCTTCTTTTATTTATTTGTTTATTACTATTATTTTTTGAGGTGGAGTCCCGCTCTATTACCCAGGCGAGAGTGCAATGGCATGATCTCAGCTCACTGCAATCTCTGCCTCCCGGGTTCAAGTGATTCTCCTATCTCAGCCTCCTGAGTAGCTGGGATTGCAGGCACATGCTGCCACACCTGGCTAATTTTTGTATTTTTAGTAGAGATGCAGTTTCACCATGTTGGCCAGACTGGTCTTGAACTCCTGACCTTGTGATCCGCTCAACTCGGCCTCCCAAAGTGCTAGGATTACACACATGAGCCACACTGCCCAACTTATATGTCTTCTTAAAATAACCTTTTCCCAATTTTTGCCCTGGAAGAGACTAATGATTGCTGTATATCAATCTGCCAAACACTGATTTTGAAAGACTGCCAAGGTCTTTAATGTAATAAAGTTGGGGAGGGAACAATATTAATATCTTATATACCTCTGTACATCAAAGAGTTCCCTAAATATCAACTCATGAAATGTAATAGTAAATTATACAGTTCCCAGCATATTAGCATCTATATCTTTTGCCCCTTTGCAAACACTGAATGTTCCCTAATTAATGATAGTTCTAGTACACCTGCTGTATTTCATTTACATTGTGCAAAAATAACACTTTAGATTTAAATGATGCCTAAATTTTTGCCATGGCAACATTCTTTTTTCTAGTTCTTTAAACTTAATCTTATGCCACCTGTCTCTGTGTACCCAACCATCCCTCATATCTAAATCAGAATTCTCTTTTCTAAGGTCACTTTTGATTATGCATATTTTTCTCCTACCTAATCAACACCTCTTAAACCTCCAGCCTGAAAATCCCACACGCTTAGACAACAGTGACCGCTCTAAATTATTCTTCATATTAAAATTAGTGATGTATACAAATTTCTATTATAAGGCATTCTCAGTATCCCTGAGCATTATTTTGGGACTTTCACTAGAGATCCCCACAACACTCAATCTTGAAGAACCAGCTCATATAAAACCTCCACTGTAAGTCCCTTCTTAACTGCTCTTGGTTTCAAAGAGAATTTCCTTTTCTATGTTACATTTTATAAATGACCTTATTATATTGTTTTCCACATGGTATTGTTATTATATGTTTGCACACATGTATATCTTGCTGTGTTGTCAATCCTGGAAGCCTAGGTCATGTCTGAATTATCTTTGTTATCTCCAGCCTCTAACATTGTGATGGCTGTCACTTAAATTTTTGATCCTTAAAAACTTGAATAAATGAAGAAAGAGAAGGATTACACAGTATTGATTAGGTTACCATTTACTTTAATGGCTTTCAGTTTGCATTACATCCTGGTCACATTAATTGGGCTTGGGTATGTTCCATGTCTCCTGGACACAGGGATACTTTTAATTTCATTTTTTTTTAATTCTGAGCTTATTATTTCATGGTTTGACTCCTAGAAAGTAACTTTCCCATTCACTTTAAGGGCATATTTGTGTAGCCACTAAAACTTAGCTTATCAGTGGGGTTTATAGGGAGCCGAGCATGTTGATGGTTTAACTTCATGAAGCAGCAATCATCAGTGATAAAATCATCATTTTATCCCAATAATTTGTCACATTCAGCCAACTCAGTTATTTTCTTTGCTTCTGAGTCAACACACCTAGCAAGTAGTTCTTATTTATCTAGAACAAGCCTACCTTTTCACAATCCCTGACTGCAACAACATATGCCTGTATTCACAGAGGTTATGAATTGAGGTATTTCTTTAGGATGATCTTTAGTAGTATCTACAGTGCTTTGTAAACTATGAAGTACTACAACAAGATAAGAATCAATATCATTGCAAATGATAAATGTGGCAATTGAATTATTTTTAGAAATTCATTTAAAAAAATGTACTTCAATGCAACACTCTTCAGAGTAAGCACCTTCCAGGCTACATTTGCCTTTGTTAGTTTATACAGATCATCTTGTTTGTATATTGTGGGTTACTATTAATAATATGAGCTTGCCTTCTAGGGAAGGTATGAAAAAAGAACTAATTAAGGAAGAACATTAAAAATTCAGGAGCAACGAAGCTAGTATTCTTACACATTGTTGAATACCAAATACCGTGGAGGCTTAACAGTTTTCAAAATTGTCCTCCTAGAGTGGCCTAACTTATTTCTGTTATCTGTTTTAGCATTTTATCTCTTGTTGCTAAGACAAAGACATCTTTGCAATCACACACTTATCTCATTCTTCTACTGTACTTGTGATTTTTTTATTGAAGCTAACATAGGGTATTGGCATCCAACTCTCTTTCATTCTTGACACATTGAGGAACCATGTAGTCTTTTTTACCAGAAACCCAGGTACCATGCTAGGCTCTGACAGTACATAGTTGAATATGACATGAAGTCTGTTTTAGACAATGTACAGTCCAGTATGAAATAAAAAAATAGTTTCAACATATGCTAATAAAATATGGATTACTTATGATTATAAATTAGTTTTTTAGCACTGAATAACGGTATTGGGCATCATTAATATTCTTAAATATGTGGCCAGGAATTGAGTTTTCTTTCTTATTTTTATTCTTTTTTATTTTGGCCCAAACTCTCCATACCAGCTAATGTAATTGATTTATGACTACTGGTTTCAACTTGGAAAAATTGGTTAGATCTGGTACTGGAAGTGACTCTTGTAAGAAATTAGCACCATAGGCTGGGCATGGTGGCTCACACCTGTAATCCCAGCACTTAGGGAGACTGAGGCAGGCAGATCATCTGAGGTCAGGAGTTTGAGACCAGCCTGGCCAACACGGCGAAACCCTGTCTCTACTAAAAATACAAAAATTAGCTAGGTGTGGTGGTGCACACCTGTAATCCCAGCTACTCAGGAGGCTAAAGTAGGAGAATCGCTTCAGCCCAGGAGGTGGAGGTTGCAGTGAGCCGAGCTCATGCTATTGCACTTCAGCCTGAGAGACAGAGTGAGACTTCATCTCAAAAAAAAAAAAAAAAAATGGAAAGAAATAAGTGCCATAGAGTTTCAAGATAAGAATCTTAAGGGTTATTTGACCATCCTTCCTACACAGTGTAATTGAAAGCAGGTATTGATTAAGCAACATGAATTGTCCAAGAAGTACACAAATACAGAACACATAAGTGGTAGCCTTCTTCTCAATTCGATTACTTTGTGCTGCCAAAGGTAAAATAAAAATAAATAAAATAACTAAAAACAGTTGTACCTTCAGGCAACAATTTTCTTATATATCAAATCTCATCTCAACAGTTGCTTAGTATAGAGTCCATTCTCAGGCAGCTATCTCCACATGTTCCCCTTGTGGTGGTCAGCAATTCTTGGCTGACATCCATCCTTTGTTCATAGCCAGTAGATGACAAGGTCTATACCTGCATTCCCAGCACAACTGTTGAGATTCCCTCCAATCACACATCCTACCTCACCTGATCACTGAGCCATGTAGATATAAGGCATAGACTGGTTACTGTAGGTTATGTACTCCTAGCTACAGGCGGAAGGAGGAAAAAGGAATTGAATCCTGGGAAGGCAACAAAGATATGACATCCTGGTGTCTAATTCCAGCGGCTACTTTTCAGACCTAAACAAATTCAATAATTCTTTTTTGTCTTTGCATATGAGGGGCTGTCTTCTAAATTTTGAAGAACATTTTTGTCAATATAACTAGATTTTATATTCTTTACGGTACATTATTTTTCCATTTTGCCTTCTCGATTACACGGCTGCTGTCCATTTAGCAAAACTGTGAGTTCCACAGCATTATATATTTCTTTTTATCCTCAGCAAATACTCTGCATGGGGCTAGGCACACAATAAATATGCAGTGAACAAGTGGTAAATTGATGTGAATTACTGTCTAGCAGATCATTTCCCTCTATCAATCAGGAGGCAGTATTTCTTTTTCAGTTTATTCTTTCTGTACTAAGCGGAGATATCCAAGACCTGCAATGAGTTAGGCCTCTTCTCTCTGGCTTTGAATTTATCATTTAGTTTTGAGATTTCTTTTTTTTTGAAAAATAATAAATAAATTTGGAACATACTATTTGTTCTGCATTCATAATTAAAATTTAAGACGTACTCATTTTTATGAGGACTTTGTCAACTCCATTACAATATTAGTTAATGTGATTTTGTGTGTGTAGGCCTGGAACAGATTGAACAAGCAGGGAAAATCACAGATGCATTTAATGATGTAGAAAATGCAAAAGTAATAACATCAAAAATTATAGATGCTCAAGAAGGGAAAATGAGCATTTTTAGTAAATAAGTTTCTGAATTTCTACCTTTGAAAAAATGTTTTCCTCCCTTTCCTTTTCTGCCTACACACACCTGTCAGTGACTGTGGGAACATATTTAACAAAAAACAAGGAAACTGTAGAAGCTCTTTGAGTGTTCATACACTATAAGCCTCACACAATCACTTTATAATATTGTTTCATGGATATAATCTTTTTCTGTACTGTCTTTAAACATCTGGATGAAATAGAAAAAATTCATCTAATATTAACAATGGCATGACCACCTGCCTTTCTAGGTCCACACTTGCTGGATCCTTATGCTCTGGTCACCATGACTTTTCCATCTTTACAACACAGCTCAGGGTCATCACACATGCTGTGGCTGCTGTCTGGAGTGTTCTTGTCTTTCCTGTTCACATAGCTGACTTCAACTCAGACTGCAGCTCTCAACACAAACATCACCTGATCAGATGCTTTTCCTGGCCCATTAATCCAAGTTAGGCTATTGTGCTATAGCACTCTACAGCTTTCCTTGATAGCTCTTACCCACATTTGTAATTCAGTGCTTATCTATATATTCATTTAGTTGATATCTGCCTTTTCTACTACCATGAGGTATAAAAAAGCATCTGTTCTTTTTTCCGACTATACACCCATGGCATAGAACAGTTCTTGGCTACAGAATGCATCTAATAATGATTTGTTTTGAAAAATAGAACTTTCAGTCTCTTACTGAGTAATCAAATAGCTACCTAAGGCTGACCATAGTATAGTTTCCAAGGGTGAGTGCCATTAATCTTTTCCTTCCCTCTATGTGCCTACTGCTCCACCCATCACAAAATAAAATCTATTTTCCCTTCCCTTGAATCTGGGCTGGCCTGGAGAGTTGGCTTGGTCAATAGAATGTGAAGAGAGTGATGTGCCAGTTCCAGCCCTGGCCTTTAAGAAATATATCACCTTGCTCAACCTCTCTCTTAGATGCCAACTCTCTGTGGAAAAGAAGACCAGGAAAGATTACTGGGTGATGAGATACTATACAGAGAGAGACAGAGACAGAGGTAGAGATCACATGGAGCAGTATTGAGGTGCCAGATGTGTTAAGGCGCTCTCTTGAACCTTCTAGCCCAAGGCAGCTGCTAGTTAAATGCAGCCAAGCCAATGACCCCAGCTAATGCCAAGTGGGGCAGAAGAACCTCTCTGTTGAACTTTACTTGAATTGTTAACAGAAAGGTCATAAGAAATGACAACTTATTCTTCTTTTAAATTTGGGGTGTTTTTTTATACAGCATTAGCAACTGAAACTGTGGCCCATTAGACGTTGTCACCATCTCTTCAAAAAAAAAAAAAAGAAACAAAAATTACATAGAAATTTAGACAACCTTCACAAGGTCATATGATTTGTAAAAGATAGGCTTAAGATTGTATTACACATTTTTTAAAAAAAATAGTCTAGGGCTTTTTCTTCTATATCACATGAATTTACTTCACTGTCAGTAAAATATATTCTCCAGGTTCCTAAACAACTGCAATGTTGTCAATATTTACTGCATTTTATAAAATACAGACCATCAAACAGAGTGATTGAAGAGATTTGTGCAATGGAGAAATCAATAGACTAGGAGTCAGAAGACCTGGGTTGGGGTCCTCAGTTACTGCCCTCAACTCTGAGCAGTTACTTCATCTATAAAATGAGAACAATAGAACTCATCTCCAAGGCCTATGATGAAATTTAAATAAGATCATGTACTTTACAGCCTTTTGTAAGCTTTAAAGAGCAATGGACATGTTAGCAAATAATCAGGCTGTAATTTTAGAATCGGAAAGCCTTGAATTATTTAAAGGTTTACCCATTTTGCAATTACCATTAACCTTTGGGGTGTGATGTTTATGCAAATGCATTAGAATGAGAATAGCATTATTGCAATCATGATTCTAGAGGAAACTTATGCTCTGAGGAAGAAACAAATTATTCATCTGAATTTTAGTGATGTTCAAACAAAATAGCCTGATCTTTTTGATAAAGAACAGTGCAACTCTGAATTTTGAAAGTTTCTCAATACCAGGAGGGTCCTCTATTCTCTTTATGCTATCGGCTCAATTATAAAGTTAGAAAACACTTATCTAAAACCATATTCGCCTAACTAGTTGGTACCAGGGGATATGACCATCCATTAATCAATTGACTGATAAGCTAGATTTTGCTTGCAAGTGAAAAAAAGAGAGCTAATGTAAAGTATTAGATGCTTATTAAAAAGGAGGGAACCAGTTCTCCAGCCCTTAGCTGTGTGGAAGAAAATGAAGCAAAGGTTAAAATAGCTGGAAGAAGAAATATTTTTACTAACTTCATATTTTGGCCAAGTATCAGAGCATCTGCAAAGTTAATTGGGTAAAAGGAATTATATTATATTTTCATTAGTTGTTAGCTTTACCTATCTTAGTCTGACTCCTCAAATACTTCCACATGACCATTTGATTATCTCTGCCTCCTTTAACAATACTACACATGTTGGAAGGCAGTATTAATCAATTTTACTGAAAACAAAACCAGAGAATTCAAAAATAGTTGTAGCTGACCTTGACACTTTGCCTGCAGATTTGTGGACTGAAAAATAATGACAGCAGTCACGACAGACTAACTAGTCTTCCAGGATACGAATCTCAGTTGATTTTATATCCTGCAGCCATATATCATTTCTGAAACCAAACTAATCCTACTACTCTTACTCCTGCCAGCTCAATGAGTAGTTCATCTTCATCCATAACATTAAGGAAGAGAAATATTCTATATGGGCAAAAAACAATTTAAGCTCAGTGACAACTAAAGGAAGAAAAACAAATGGACTCTGAGCCATTCAGACTGCAGCCCAGAGATGAGGATAGAATCAAACTTAAAACAAAAAACTTCAAGCCATCATTTATTTTATAAATGTACTTTTCAGAGAAGGATTACAGGAGGGGAGTAGAATCCTGCAAGACACAGGATCAAATCCAAACACAAATTCATTCTACTGTGCTGTAAATTAAGGTATAATTGCATACTGATTTCTTACCAATCAGGCCATTCAAGTACCTGAGAAATAAGACCAGCTCAGTAATTTCCAAAGCTCTTCAATCATCGAAACCACCTAAAGATCTTGTGTAAAATACAAATCTATGATCTTCATTTGAAGTATTCTGATTTTAGCCAGGTAAACCACTGGACTAAAGAATCTTGAAGTCCCATTAGAAGCCCCGAAGGCTGTGAATTATGTTATTTTTTACACAGCCCAATATCCTACACAGAAAACTAAAACTCTGCAAAATCTAGGGAATAAAATCAGAGGAAATCAGAGGGAATATAAATACCATCATCTTTTTCTTTTAGACCCTCCAATTACTCTGGAAGAAAGGCAGAACCTCGGAATCATAGTGGGTTTTGGAAATTTGGTATTTATGAGTATATTTTTCTGCTTGCTTTTCACAATATGGTTTATACTGGAAAGGCTGCCAGAAAATTGCGAATCCAAGGTCTGCTAAGGCCAACTCCCTCCACCGAAGTACCACCTTCCCCTGGAGAAGTCCTATAGACTGAGCCTCTTAGGATGTAGAGAACATTGGTTAAAGTTCTTTGATTTCCAAATGCAACTTTTCCCTTATGGTCGTCCCACCTCCTATTGCTTTTGCCAAAGCTTCAAAAGATCAGTACTACTGCTACTTCTATGTCTACTGCCCTTGCCAGCTAGAAATCTCCTCAGGGATATAAAGTGAAGAAAAGATTACTTCAACTTTCTATTCAGTACAATGGAGGAGAGAAAGGTGTAACTGAAAGGGAGAGATTAATGCCCAAATTAATACAATAATTGTCCTTGGGAGTGTTTCCTGGTTTTGTTCATGTATTTGTGTCTTATAAACAGCATGGAGCATGTTTGGGTGTTGCTAAACTTCCTCATGCCTCTTTCTGTTCTCTGTCTGCAGACACTCCTACCCCTTGTGTCCCAGTACTTCCAAGTTTTCTCGTTATTTTGAGTTGAATTAACTCACATTAAAGCATTATGGAGTTAATGCCTTAGTCAAATTCCCTAACTAATCTCTATTTTAAAAATAACCTAGTATGTAAAATGTTTTACCCAAAAGAAAGTCTCTACTGGCCGGGTGCGGTGGCTCACGCCTGTAATCCCAGCACTTGGGGAGGCTGAGGTGGGCAGATCGTGAGATCAGGAGATCAAGACCATTCTGGCTGACACAGTGAAACCCCATCTCTACTAAAAAAAAAAAAATTAGCCAGGCATGGTGGCACGTGCCTGTAGTCCGAGCTACTCGGGAGCCTGAGGTAGGAGAATCACTTGAACCCAGGAGGCAGAGGTTGCAGTGAGCTGAGATCGGCCACTGCACTCCAGCCTGGGTGACAAGAGTGAGACTCTGTCAAAAAAAAAAAAAAAAAAATCCTCTGCTGGTAAATTAGACCTCAGAAGAAGAAATATTTTGGGAAGAGTTGCCATATATGTATGAAAACTAATTTTTTCCTACATGCCAAACAAGAAAAGCCTTCATTGGTTTAAATAAGATTATATATTCAGCAGAACTTGTAAATTTTTAATCTTATACTCAAATAATTTCACGCTCAAACACACAAAAAACCTTGTAGAATACATTTCTAAATACTCCTCTTAAAAATTACTGAAATGGTTGAGGAAAACTTAAATAGGAAAAAATAAATCTTTGTGAGTTATCAAACTAGATGATAGTGAACTACACATTATAAAATAGGAATATTGACAATCTATAGAGTAGAAAGGAACAAACTGAGAGAGAAGTCACCAGTGGACTATAACTCCAAGTCACTAAAGGACTTATAACTCCTTTCCTGGAAAAAGTAATATGCCATTGTGAAAATTGCAGTGATGGAGGTCAAGATCTGAAGGCAAAGGCAAGTTGTGATGGCAGTGAGATTAATTTTACTCTACTTGGAGCCTGTATTAGTCAATCCTCACACAGTTATAAAGATACTACCTGAGATTGAGTAATTTATAAAGGAAAGAGGTTTAATTGACTCTCAGTTTCACATGGCTGGGGACCTTCGGGAAACTTACAATCATGGCAGAAGGGGAAGCAAACATCTTCTTCACAAGGCAGCAGTAGATAGAAAGAGAGAAGGGGGGAGGGTGGGGGAATCTGCCAAACACTTTTTAAAACCATCAGATCTTGTGAGAAGTCCTTCACTATTAGGAGAACAGCATGGAGGAAACTTCCCCCATGATCCAATCACTTCCCACCAGGTCCCTCCCTCTACATGTGGGGATTACAATTTGAGATGAGATTTGGGTAGGGACACAGAGACAAACCATATCAGAGCCCCTTTATCCAACAAGAATCACGAACACTTTGAGACAGCATCAGCAGCCTGTAAGAATAAGTGCTAGGTTGTGTAATAAGAAGGTTAAAGCGATGCTTGACTTGATTTCTCAATAGCATAAGGATATAAACTGTGGCACATATAAGTTACTTTTGATAAAAGGGGCTCTATTTATAGTTACATCATGAAAACAACAAATGCAAACAAGGAGTGCCCTCAATAAATCTAAATGTTCAGCCATTTCTACTTGTACATAAATAAAATAGTACTTATAAATAATAAGAAGATTCTTCAGCTTGGCAGAGTATGTGTGAAGCCTGAAGAAAAATTTCCTAATTTGGAGGAGCAAGAGCATAGGACAAATATTCAGGGTAAAAATGGACAGAATTTATCTATTTTTGCCATTTCCAGCCAACAGATATCAAAGCAAATGCTAGAAAACTGCTTCATAATATACAGCCATATTATTAAGAAGTTGATAGTCAACTGAGCTGGGTTCAGTCAAATCTCATGATAATGTGGCCCAAGTATTCTGATGTAAAACATTTCAAAACTCTGCGGGTACAGTGCATCATTCCCAGGATATAGTGTTCCCCCAACTCTGGTCAACAAAATTCGAGTTAGGAGATCAGAATTACCAACACTGTATACCTTGAGTATAAGATAATGGAACTCCAGAGTTAAAAAGGCTGCTTGTAGTGTAATACTTTTTAGTCAATATAAGAAAAACAATTGTGCAGAAGCAACATTCTCTAGTTAGTTTTGCTCATAATTATAGATTGCATCTTACCTTCCTCAGACTGGTTAACAATTGAATGGGTGACAGAAAACTTCAGCATCTCCCAGTCCTGTCTACCCTTTGATTGAAAGAATCAAAAAGCGCTTGATTGAAAGAATCAAAAAGCACATGAGTGAAAGAATGCAAAGAGGATCTCCCTTCATTGAGTAGGGTTCTGGAGAGATCTTCCCTGTTTTAGGAATAAATAAACAAGGGGAAAAGAGGCAATTAGATAATATAAATGGCTGTACTTGATAGGGAAAATGCCAGAAAAAGCAATTTCTATTTTTCTCCTACTACTGCCTTTGATTTGGTCCTATTACCTTCCCTTTTTCTGTCCCTTGGTGATACCACACAAATCCCATTTATTTCTGATCATTCACAGGGTTAAAACAAATTCAAGTCCAGCAGAGTTTAATTTAAAATAGCAAACTCCCATAAGGGCAAAAATTTCTCTTCTACTCCAATTTTATAACTGACTCAGGGCTTAGGGAATTTATGCGGGAAAAAAATACAAAACAAAACATGATCTGTCTATTCACTTGTCCTTCATCTTCTTCTCCTCCTGCTGGATCTCCCAGTGCCAAATTAGTGGAAGGGGCTTTCATAGGAAAAGAGAGAAAAGTATTAAATCACTGCTATTGATATAATTTTGTCAGTGTCTTCTGTGGCAGGCACTTGATTGCTGGTAGAGGCTGTCTTATGTGATGCATTTGTGGGCTTATTTGGAAGCACCATATGGATTTCTGCACTGCAGAGTTTCCTGACCTGGAGAATAAGTTTGCTGAGTGACCTTTCACTGCCTCCATGTCAGTTCTGCTCTTAAAATTATACCCTGCAACCTTAGACCTTTGTCTCCAGTCTGGCCAACCACATCTTGGATTGGGTATTCTTCAAGAAGGTAAAATAATGGCTCATCTCTGCGGAAATTCAGAGATTTTTGTCTTGACAAATGATTGTTTACTGTCTTTCCTCTCAAACCCTATCTTCCTGAGTTGTTGTTGACAGAAGCCAGACTTTTACAAACAAGGTCAAGAACGGCGCCTTGTTTATATATCTCTTCAAATTCCAGTGATACATGAAACATTCTTACAAGAAGTTTCTTACTACGAGGTGGGTCAGTTCCAGCTCTTCAGAAACCCACAATCTCCATAGTTTTCTTAGATCTCTACTCACTTGACTTGGGCTGGGTGAGTATGCGAAACAATTCTCCTCCATAAGGAGGAAAAAAAGCCTCAAAGGTCATTCCCACTAGCTAGGGTTACATTACACTATCTCAATACTTCTCTCTTCAGTTTATAGTCTCTTTTGTATTTATATAAAGAGGGCTGGAGCTGGATGATTGAGGAACAGATGCAGAACTATTAATAATTCTATCAGTTTTCTATTACTATGTAACAAACCACCACAAATTTATCAGCTTAAGACAATACATATTATTTCACAATTTCCTTTGGGTCAGGTGGCCTGACTGAGTCCTTGACTTAGGGTCTTACAAGGTTATAATCAAAGTGTTGGACAGGCTGTGTTCTAACCTGGAGACTAAAATTGAAAAGATCTGCTTCCATGTCCATGCAGACAGTTGGCAATATTCATTTCCTTACAGCTGTATGAGGGCCTCAGCTCCTTACTGTCTACAGGGTGGAGGCTGTTATCAGGTATTTGATGTTGCCCAGAGTTCCCTGCTATGTGATCCTTCTTGTAGGTAATTTTCAATATATCTCCTTGCCTCTTGAAAGCTAGAAGCAGAGTATTTTTCTGCAGTTAGCTGAGTGGGAGTCTTAGAGTCTTAAATACTTATATATAAATTATATAAGTGATTTTCAATCACTTTGACAGATAACCTAATCAAGAAATTGGTATTCCGTTATCTTTGCCTTTTTCTCTTGTTGAGAAGCAAAGCATAGATTCTACCTCTACTAAAGGGTAGGGGAATATACAAGGGTGGGCATGACATACTGGGGGGTCACCTTAGGATGTGTCTGCTAAATAGTTAAACCAGCCCCAAAGAGATATAACCACCCTTTAGAATGTGTTGGTGCTTATCTATTTATTGAAGCTTTGAGATTTTAGCAGTAATTGACATCGAAAGGGAAAATCTCCACCAAATTTCTGTTACCAAAAAAAATCAGAACAATCAAAACTTAAGAAAAGATTCTATGAAATGAAAGGATTTGAATAAGGCATACAAGAAGTATGGGAATTGCATCTGTTTTAGAAATATTTAGTTCATGTATCAGAACTGCATTCTTGACATCATTTTGTGATTTTAAAGAAAGCAAAATAAAATGCAGCTAATATAAAGCAAGGGAAAATAAGAGATAAGAGTACACACTACAATAACAAATAAAAAATGACCTACTTAAAGAATTTAAAGAAAGGAAAAAATACCATAGTAAAAATAAGTTATAGATCAAGAAAAGAAAATCAACATTGTAGAAAATATAGTAATTGAATGGGAGGGCAAGATTATGAGCGATAGTTAAAAAGAAATACAAGTATGACTAATATTTTCATCATTTCCATGTACTCGAATGATAATCTCATATTCAATGTTGCTAAATTGAGAAATATAGATTTAAATGTTTTATAAAGAATTGCATCTAACCATATATATGATAAAATCCATCTGTAACAAGTCATTTTACTAGAAGAAAAATATTCCTAATTTATACAACACATAGGAAGAAAATAAAACAAGGAAATAGAAAACAAAATAATATAACTGAAGTAAGAGTAAAAACCCTACTCTATTTAGTTTAATGTGGTTAATTTTCCAAATTTAAAAAGGGCTCTAAATGGAGTTTAAAAAAATTGCAATTCGTATATATAGTGTTAAATAGAATCTCCACTAAAGCATCAATACAGAAATTTTGATTAGTTTAATAATAATGCTAGCTCATTTCAAGGTTAGGGAAATTAGATGTCACCTTTTGATTGGAGGAATGTCAAAAAATGCAAATAGAATTTAAAACTGCCACAACTTTTTCATGCTCCTGTTGTCTCTTCCAGAATTGGATCTTAGGGAGGAGGAATTAAAGAGAGTAAGAAGTCATCATCTAGCTGTTGATCATTTCTGCCATGGCAGACATCCATCTTTCGTGAGGCAAACATCTTTCATGGATCCATTTGTTCTATCTTTGAAAATTTATTCTGAAGCTACCTTCCACATTGCCCAGTTTCCTGAAAAGGTACTACAGTTTTGGCTATCTCCTTACAGGCTTCTTCTCCAAGTGCAGACTATATTAGTACCACCACCCACATTATCTTCCCATTACCCATCCTTCACCTTCCCATTACCATCACCGTGATGGGGAGGCATAGTTGTGCCCTGTAGCAGTGACTTTTCCACTGGTAAGAAATGCCTCTTTGCTTGACAAATAGTAGAAGTGATACTTGTTCAATACTATCTGCATTTTCCTTGTCTTGCCATCCCAGGCAGATCCAAGCTCCTTCCTTCCTTCAGCCTTCCCTGTGTGAGAAGCAGGTGCAGGCTTCTTTGTTCATGTATGCCCTCAAAATGCCAGGGACAGCATTTAAGTTTTTCCCAAATCCCTTTGGTCATGCTTCATGGTCTCATGTGTATGCTTAGGGTGGGGGGACAGAGCAGTAAGCCAAGTATATCTCTACTTGTATAAACTCCTTTGAAACAATCTCCTTTAGAATTTCTAGTCTTTACAAAGGTGAAAAGTAGATGATAGTGATAGACAAAGCAGGACCAGTTCTGGCATCTTTTAAGGTCTCTATGGATGTGGCTACCATTTATCTCAACAATATATAAAAATTAATCAGCTATTTTCCTCTGCTTTGTGGTGGTAGCCAAAAGTCTGAGTAGAGAAAAGTTTCTTTCTTAACACTCTATTGTAAAAATAAAGAGTAACACTTAAAAGCTCGTGTTACGAACACTGTGTGTCTAAAACCTCATTATACACGCCAACAGCTTTAAGAGGTGGGCATTAGTATCACACCAATTTTCTGACTTAGGTGGGGTAAGCCAGGAAACGTATTCAGAGATGGAGACTTGCTGGAAAGAGGTTTACTGGGGAGTGCTCTCGGGAACAATGCCTGTAAATGGATGAGGATTGCAGGGCTGGTCAAAGGGAGGAGTTGAACTGTGAGACATTTGCAACAGAGGCATCAGGTGATCTCAAGGGGAACACCACAGTGGGGGTTACCCTTCAGATTTGGCCTGAGTTAAGGCAAAATGGCTAGGACATTGTGTCTGCACACTGACCACTCATTGAGCTGGGAGTTTACCAATGGTTGAGGGCAATTCCTGCAAAAGCACTTAGCTGGGAGTCATTAGCAAATAGGGATCAGGAATGCCTAATTCCTGAAGTCATGGTCTGTACACTGACCTACAACACATATTAAATTTATTTATGACAAAAATTGAAGTTTAGTCAATTTAACTGTATTTTCCATTTTTACACAACCCACAGTTCGTAGGCACAGGAAATTCAACCCTGGACTTTCTGACTTTATAAATTCTCTTAGGATGAGAATTATGCCTATCCTAGAATCAGACTAATAGGAGGAGGAACCAGCATGAAGGCACATAAAAATAAAGGAAGAAAGACATTAAAAAACAAAGGAGAAGGGAACAATGCAAGAATATTTAGCCTGGAAGGAGTGAAAAAAGAAATAGGCTATGGCCATTGAAGAAAATTGAAAGGTGAATAAAGATCTTTTATGGGAAAAAAGCACAATGACCAGATGGAGTTTACAGATGAATTCACCTAAGCTTCAAAGACTGGATAATTTCAAATGTATTTATAATATACCAGAGTGTTGAAATTGTGGAGAGCTTAATTCATACTCTGAAGCCAGCATAACTTTAATCCCCAAACCTGACAAAATTATAATGCGAAAAAGAACTTTGTAAGTCAATTGCACTTGAGTATATATAATAATTCCGATTAAAATTTTAAGTAAAATCTAATAATTCATAAGAGAGTAAAATGCTTCATAAAAAAGTAGGGTTTATTTCACAAATTCAAGAGTAGATAAGTAGCTGGAAATTTCTAATACAATTCATTATTGAGGACTGAGAGTGTCTGTGTCAGCATGATTTGGATGAAACTAGACCATCTATGTCAACACGACCTGGCTATTTGTTTCAGAAAAACCTTGCCTAGGAAAGAACTACAAACTAAAAAATAATTTTATATTTTTTTTAATAAAATTCTTCCAGAGCTATTTATCAAAGACCTGGGTCTTCTGACCTGGGTTGTTTACCTACTAAATGACATTCTACTTATCAAACTTGCTTCAAGGCCTTTACTTTGCTATGTCTACCAGTCTAAAAACTATTGTATCTGAAAACTTGCCCAATCTTAATCAGTCCTCTACTTTGAAAGCGCTACTTTAAACCACTGAGCCCAGACACCAAAGACCTATAAATATACCAATTCTGACTTTCCTCCTGAGGCACTGCTAAATCTCTGTTAAGTAGTTTTCTCCCTTACTGCAGTGAGCTTAAATAAATTCAGTTTTGTTTCATTAATAGGTTGTCTTGAGATATTATGGTAAGTTCAACGATATCAACAAATGTGATGTTATAACAATTATGCATGGAAACAGATATTAAATATTTTGCCATTAAGCAAATACAAGCTAAAAAGCATATTATTACATATATATTAAAACAGGTAACATTGAAAAATAGTGACAATATCAAATGATGGTACTGATACCAGCATTTGGTACCAATACCAAATGAGAAAGAGTAGATCTTTGATGTATCCTTGGGATATATCCTTGGTAGAAATGTAAAGTGGTACAACTTCTTTGGAAAATAGTTTAGAAATTTCTTATGAAACAAAACATACTATATAAGTCAGCAGTTACACTCCTGGGCATTTATTGCAGAGTACTGAAAACTTATGTCCATAAAAAAAAACCTGTAAACATAGCAGAGTATTTGTAAAGCTTTATTTGCAAAATCATCAAAAGTTGAAAACAATTCCAGTGCCCTCAGTGAGGGAATGATTAAAGAAATTGTGGCAAATCTATATAAGGGAATGCTACTCCACACAATAAAATAATACATCATTGATATACTGCAACTACTTGAATGAAGTTAAGGTCATTATGTTGAGTAAAAAAAAAATCCAATCTCAAAAGATTACACACTGTGTGATTTCATTTATATTACATTCTTGAAACGACAAAGTTATAGAGATGAACATATTAGTCATTGCCAGGGGGACAGAAATTGGAGTGGGTACAAATATTAAGGGGTAGCACAAGGGAAACCTTTGTGATAATGGAACAGTTCTGTATCTTGATTGTGGCAGTAACTTTATAAATCTACAAGTGACAAAATTGATTAGAACTACACACACACACACACACACACATAAACACACACACACCATTGGCAGATGCTGAAACGGCATTTGATAAATTCAGCAGTCATTTCTAACAAAAACTCTAAGAAAATATAATGCAAAGAAAGAGCAAAAGTGCCTAATTTTAATAATACTATCCACTACAAAACAAATGTTATAACAGACCATGTCAATTAAAATTACTTTTTATACAGAAAGTATAGTAGTAATTGGACAATAAGTAATTTATATTAGAAGTTTTTATTACAATGTTGTGTTTTAGCATATACAAGTAAATGACTTACAATTATGGATTTGTGGTTAAAATGAAGTAATTGTAAAAGTAATAATAATGAGGATGATTTAATTGCTGATTCACCGTGCTCAAAATCCAATGAAGCTAGTAAGTCCCAAGTGAAACATAGAATATGCAAATACATTTCTATTAGTAAATTAAAGATTACCAATTTAGTTTCAGGAAAACAATATCATCTATCATGTTAATATAGTTTATTCAAATTATAATGGATTTTTAGTTTTATTTTGAATTTTATCATTTGCTTTGCTTTATGGTCATGGACTTGCATGCTTAAAACTTTTATAAAATTATGTATTTAAATGATATTATCATGAATAATTTGATTCAACATTGGTGTCCATGAAGATTTCTAAAACTTCTCTTCTCTATCCATGTTTGATGAATATTATTATAGTTCAGGCATATATTCCTGGGAACTTTCCACCAAACAACCAGAAACTGTTGAGTCTTTCTTGTAGGATTATAGTGTAATAAATAATTAAAGCCCAATTTTGCAACATAAAACTATAACAAATATTTGAATGCTATTTGATAAGCATGCCATAAACACACCACAAGATAATTTTATCAAATGATTGAAGCCAAGAAATAAAATTTGTGACCAATAGATTCGCAAAATAAAGGCGCCACATAATAAGTATAATATATTGCAGGAGAGTGAAACTCTGTGATTTACAAAAGCTCTAAAAGAAACAGTTTACAAAATGTAATTCAGCACACTGCTTTCCTTAGAACTTCCTAAATCCAGTATGATTTTGAGATTCTTAAGTTACAACTGCAAAGACTATATTTCCAAATGAGGTCTCATTTATAGGTATAGGGAGTTAGGCTTTGAAATTATCTTTTTGGAGGACACAATTCAAAACACTACAATATCCATTAAGAATCTTGATGGTTTGGGATCATGCCATGGAATGAAAACTTGAAGAGCCTAAGAATATTCTGAAGAAGGAAATGCTACACCAAGATCACACATTGATGCCTGAAGCACATTTGTCTTTCCAATCAGCTGAATTTATGTGTATATGTGTCTTGATAAGGTGGCTGGACTTAACTATTTCTTGTGTCACTTCCACATTTTAGATTTCACAATACAATCTAATCTAGCGGCAGACTTATAAAATTTTTGCTGATTCCAAAGTCCTGTACATCAGAATTTTAAGCTAAACCTTGTAAAGGGATGGAAGGGAAGTGGGACCCTGTACCCAGTATCTCAGAATGGTTTGCCAGGCTGCCTGGGTGAAAACACCATCGTTTCATTTGGTATGCTATTGAAGAAATGAAGCCAAATAAACAGGTCAAAAGAATAAGGAATAAGGTTATATGAATAAGCTTCCTGATAACCGTTGTCAACATTACAGAGAACAGTTATCTTCTGTAGAAAACTTCAGGTGTTTCAGGGCTAAAGTGGGTCTGAAGGCTTCTGGGTAGGTAGTATAACCCAATCAAGAAATGGTTATTAAAATGGGTTCAACTTGGTTTTTACATTTTCTGTGTCCCTCAAGCCTGCAAATTTTCACATATACCTTTCTGTATTTTCAGAAAATTCTATCCCTTATTAAAAGTGTTGGTTTTGTTCAATGGTTCGACATCTTCCCCTAAAAGTACATTTCCCCTAGCCTAAGTCACGCAGTCTAGGATAAATCCTCAAGTGCTCCGGAAAGGCAATCCAAGGTGAGTGTTGGTACTCCAAGTCTTGTAGAACAAGATCGTTTCAAAATGTGTTCACCAGCATGAATTGCTGATTTGTCAAGAAAGAAGCTGTTAATTTGGGCACTGCTATCTCTCTGTTTCTCTGACTCACACACACACACACACACACACACACAAACACACACACACTTTCCATTACTCAAGGGAAAACATTAATTTTCCAAACTAGTACATAAATTTTCCAAACTAGTATAATCAAAGCCACAATTGATAATATTCTATTTTTTCACGTGCATCTTCAAAATCAGTATAGCTGTACTCATTAGAGTCATTTTTGAGTCACCTAACACAGATTTCCAGAATACAACATATTCCTTGCTTTCCAATATGTTTGAATATACCATTTTTCAAAAATCTGAGCTTGATGTGTTTTTTCAATGAAAATGTTCTCAGTAAGAAGTAACTATTTTCTTGGTGATATGTAATTGTTATTTATCCCATTAATTTTATAGGTATATCTTCTTAAATTTTGCAAAGTCATCATGAATATATTGCTGTTTACAATAATCTTTGAAATCTTCTGAAATACCAACTTACAATGGCATTTAATATTTGTAATTGTGAGTTCATATTTTAAGAAATAATTACTAAGTTTGCATTAACTTTTTGTGCCTCTTTTTCAATCAATTCACTGAAGAGAACCGCAGAGATATCCACAAGTAGCCTTGCTGGAGGATTTTTATTTGTTTATTTTACTAACTCACACTTATTTTTTCAAATTAAGTAATTAAAACAGCACTCTACAAATGAAAAAATCATAAGGACTTTTACATAAGGTAATTTTGTATCAGTGAGCTTCTGATAGGTTTTGCAGTAGTAACAAGTAACATTACAATCTCAATTGTTCACAGCAGGCTTATTTCTTATTCACATTATTTGTCAGTTCCATGCTGTTTTTCCAGGTATCTTCGTTATTCTGCAATCCAGACAGGTGGAGTAGGCTCTGCCAATGACATGCATTCCCATAGAAGAATTGTTCAATAGCACTTAAAGCTTCTGTTTAGATGTTGCATACTCACATTCAATTAATGGAAGCCAGTCAAATGGTCATGCTCAACATCACTGGCTGGGAATTACATTCATCCCACAGAGAGGCACTGCAAGTCACATGGCAGTTGGGAGGGATGTGTAAACCTCTCACAGGGAGGGTAGCAGATAACTGAAGACAAAAACAAAATCTACCACAAACTTTTCTGAGTAAACATTTTAAGGAGCAACCTTGTCTTGTATTTGTGCATTTATGGGGTTTCTTAATGTCTGCTTTTAGCTACACAGAGGTAAAATATTGACCTGCATACTTCTTAGGAATTAAATTCTTAGTTAAAATATTATCTTCTTCCCTAACCTGACTGGAAGTAGAAGAGTGTGGTGATAAAGGGATAGTGACTTAATTCTCTCAAATATAAATGCAAAGAACACTATGCTTTTATTTCTATGGCTATAAACTCATTTTTTTCTCTCCTAAACTTGCCATTCTCAAGTGAATCCTATGCTTACTGATGGTAGGAATTAATTACATTTATTATCTTTGGGGAGTTGAGTTGCAATTTGCCAGAGTAAAAGATTGCAGAATCTCCTCTTGAGACATGTTTTTACTATTATGATTAATTCTATCTAGATCCCATAACATTTATTATTTAACCATAACAATAACACAAAACAATACAATTGCTTAGGTGCTGGTCATCAATCTTTTATGAGACTTTAAGTGAGAAAACATAAAAAGGCATAGTATTTAAGCAGTGCATCACAGTTTTTTTGTTCCCATTACCATAACCCTCAAGGCTTAGCTCAAGTATAGTATGGTGATTAAAAATACCGGCTTTCTTTCATACAATCGGGATTGGAATAACTGATCAGGTAATATTTGGACATCCATTTAACTCTCTATGTCTCAGTATAACCATGGCAAAAATAATTAGTTTTTATTTCATTTATTTACTGTGAAAACTTTTTAAAAAGCCTGTTAAAAACTATAAAAAGCCTGGCCTATCACAAAATAAATATTCAATAATAATGATTCCTGTAATAGCAATTATTACTAATATCATCATAATTCTTGTGAGGATTAAGTGAGTTAATATGCATGTGTAAATCATTTATAATATTGTCTTGTACATAAAATAAGCACTACTAAAGTGTTAGCTATAATATTATTATGTGCTATTACCATCAAGATGTACACTGTTCCATTCTGAAATTTTCAACATCATGGGTTACTAAAGATAGTTGGGAAAAGAGATATAAATTTATATTAAGAGACACAATGTGGACATACTCAATGATTGTTTTCCCAAACCCATCTCACCATTTTCCCTTTGTCCTTTTTCAATACTTCTTAATCTAGCATTGTGGGATCAAAGTTATTAATATATTTATTTTAGGACAAATCCCAATTCTGCCATATAATACTTCTATAACCTTGAAAAGTTATTTAAATTTTTTTAGCCTCAGTTTGCTTATATTTAAAATAAATGTATCATTTATTTAACAGCAGTTATTGCACGGTTCAAAGGAAATTATGAACTAAAGGAAACTAGCACCTCTTTAATAAGTACTACTTGAAAAGCAGCATCAGTGCATATTCACAAATGTTAAATAATTTAAAACAATAATGAACTACAAAAAATATACTTACTGGTAAATAAATACTTCTGCCTAACAAAGTTTTGCCAACTAAAGTGGCAGCTTACATAATTTAGGAATAAAATACATAAGCCTTTGCTGCTTTTCATGGTAATCCAGTTTGTAAACTTATAGGGCAGGTTACATTTAAGAATATATTTTCTAAATATTTTCTTCTGTATGTTTAACCTCTAAGATATTTTATGAAAAAGGCTTCCCTGGTCAGGTAAGTTTGAGAAACATTGTACACTATATATATTTCATTGAGATTCGAAATAGTGCATTAAAATTCTGAGAATTCCTGCCAAAGAAATGTTACATGTAGGAAAATTCAGATAATAAACTTCATTGAGGCCCTAAAGACATTTTACATAAAATCATTATAAACATTCTGAAGTACTGCAAAATACAGTTGGATATAGGCCTGTTTTTCCAATTTATTACTTGATGTTACTGGTGTACACTGAAAGAGACATGAGGCTAGGAAACACAAGGAGACAGAAAATGTCACTCTTTGCCCAGGAGAACTGGCACAAGAGAAATTTCTGTTTTAAGATATAAAAAATATGCAAAAATTATCCGAGAAAATGCTTAAAAGGCTAGGATATTTTAGCTTGTAATTGAAAGACATAACCTTGGTCAAAATAATTGAACACCTGGGAAATAAGCACTTGTTTCTTAACTCCTTTTGAAAATTGCATTTTCAAATTGCATAAAGAGATTTCTGTTCTGGCTCTATGAAAAAAGCTTGCAGAAGGCAAATTATCCAATCAAAATCAACTGGATAAGCCAGATTGAACTTAAAAAGAAATCTGTTCAAAGACCTCAGAGAGTTTCTGAAGCAGCCAGGACTTGAGAGACTAGGACCTGGAGAGAAGGAAATGTCATCAAAGTGAGCATAGCTTCTGAATGTTGCTGTTTTCCTCATGGCTTTGTTCATCCCTGGCATGAGTCAAAAGGCTGAGAATCCAGACACAGAGCAGATATTGAGATACAGAGAAGCTATCAGAGCTTTAGGAGAACTCACAGGAATGAGAAGTGAAACTTTGAGTTTGGGGTTGCCAAGGCAGGCAGGACTGAGAGATCAAGATCCTAGAAGGAGGAGGGAGTCAGAGGGAAGCAAGCCTGAAACTAGGAGCAAGTTTTTGCCCCAAGACATTTGTTCATAGAGTTGTGCAGAACAAGAAGATATGAAAACAAGGAGAAAGTGGCTGAATATCAGAGCAGAGATTCTCATTGTTTCTTAGTCCTAGGGAAAGAAAAAATGGAGATCAGGACCCACAAGGAGGGAGAAACATGGATAACAATGCAGGCTTTTATTTGTATCTCTGCAGGACTGTCCCAGGGAAATGCCATTGAGTCAATATTAGAATGTCTCACAAGCACTTCAAAGCAGGCTCAAGTCAGCTCATTCCCTAACTAGATTGAGGGGATCTTTCCTTCTGCTACCTGCCAGGGGATAGGATGAATGCTCTCTGGAGGAAAAAATATTATACAGAGGCACTATATTTTTTCAAATACATTATTTAACATTTAATTAAAATTAATTACCAAGAACATGACCAACAGGGGAAAACAAAACAAGAATTACGAGCAGAACCATAGATAGTCCAGACCTCAGTGTTATTAGTTATGGACTTTAAATTAACAGTGATTAAGATGTTGAAAGAAATAGATAACCAAAATAAAAACTTTCATCAAAGAAATAAAATCTACAAGAAATAATAGAATGAAAATTGATTCTACAATTGAAAGCTACAATAGTTGAAGATCTCAATAGATCAGCTTAATAACAGATTAGACACAGCTGAAGAGAGGATTAGTGAGCCAGAAGATGAGCTAGTTGAAAATATTTTTCTGAAACACTAAGAACAAAAAAGAGTCTCCTGAGGCAAAGATTTGCTGAGAGCAGAAACTCAAGTCCTTGAGCATTTAAAAACACAGAATTAAAACATGAGTTATGCTAAATGTCTTAAAATGCAACTTGGGAGCATTTAATTTTCAGAGTGAATCATATTAAATATCCTCTTTACTTTAATAAGAAATTGAATATAAAAAGAAGCCCCTTCACTCCCAGCATTTAAAATAGTCTGGGGTCACTCATTACAATAAAAAGATGAAATATACAGGTTTAGACAAAGATCTGATTACAGATGGTTGTAAATAAATTGTGCCATTACTGCTTAATACTGGAAAAGTATTAGTGAAAAGTGAGTCTAACTCACTTTTATATAATCTTTTAAATTTTCTTTATTATGTACCAGGAATGATAATTGAAAGAGTAAAATGTTGCTTTTTCAAAGTTATTTTTTTCTTGAGTAAATCTAGCTGGTGCCTACTACATGCACTAGAAATCAATGGGAATTACTCCCAATTATTAACTTCCTTTCTACAGTGGAAATATCATAAACTCAATGGCATTACATATACCCTCACCTACATCACCAAATACGTTTTCCATTCATTTCCCTCTCTATTTTCTAATGAGGTGAATTGGGTTAATATTGTTGAAATTGCATGACTAAACATGTGATTCCTTATAGATCTCAGATCCCTGACAATGTGCTTTTTAACATACTCCAGAAATGACTCTCTATTTATTTCCAAACAATTAAAGCTCTTTCTAGAGTTGAATTGTAGAGTGTAATTCTGGGAGAAAAACAAGACCAAAAGGTTCATTAAGGCATTCCCAGTGAAAAACATTGCATTAATTACCTAATCCCCATGTATAGAGGGGTGATACTTTTCTTTCCCTGGAGAACAAAAAGGCTACCCTGTTATTAATTACTGGGAGTTGGAATGTAAGGTGAATTACATAAAGGCAAAGGACTTAAGCAATAGGATATTTGGGTCAAATAATTAATAATACAGAGGAGTGAGGTATATGTGACTTCCATATTATGAACTACAATAGTAACTAGATGCAACATTTTTTACCCTGCAACTCTGTACCTTGAGATTGGCATTGTGTCCTGGAAGCCTCACTTGGCCGAGCAACTGGGAAATGAGATAAGGTAACTGGAGAGGAAACTGGAGTGGGGCCTGGAGGCAAAAACTCCAAAATGGCGATGAGCAGTGACGGCCCCAGAAGGTAATTGGGCATTCACTTACCCAGTGAACTGAAAAGAACAAAAATGAGTTTCCTTCTGTGATGTAGCCAGGGCACTAGAAAATCTGATTAAATGGCTCACAATCAAAAGAATGTAATTGGCCAGTTCAACAAAAATTGTTGGAATTAAAAATAAATATACACTTCTTAAGACACATGACTCAAGATAGAGCTGAAACATGCAAGGATACGTAAGTTCTATTTCTGTTCTTGTGATATGAGTTCAAGACAAAGTTTCACCAGGGTTGTTCAAGAAATTCATAAGGGTACATTCACTCAGTTATGGGAAAACCATTGAAAAAGTAGTTATCTAGGTTCAGGGTATGGTAAGTGAAAGCATAAGGTCTATTCATATCCCCCCACCCCCACCCCTTCCCAAAATTCAAGCACTTTATAGGCTCTAGAGTTGGAGCGGAGCGGCTCTTCATCCTTAGAAGCAGCTACATCCAGCTGCTATTGAACTGAGCCTGTATTGGTCAGTTCTGCTGACAGGCAGATTCAAAGGTATCTCCATTCAGGTCTTCACCACCATGAAGTTTCCCAGAGAGACTCTCACCACTGCTGTTCAGACACAAGGACCATGCCATAACCTGTCATCAGGAAAGAGACTATGTTAAAGAAGGATTTTCATCCTGTCTTATGAAGAAATTCCATTTCAATGCTGCGATAATGCAAAGTAATTCTTCTCAACCATCTGAAATCACAATTGTTCCTTTCTGGAGATGGCATGTGAAGATATTCCCAAGGTAGGAGCAGAACTTTTTTTTGTTACAAACTCCTAGGGTTGTGTTGTTGTTGTTAGTGGTAGTGGTGGTGGCAGTGTGCTTGTGTTTGTGTGCGTGTGTGTTTTGCCTCAGCCTATTGTGTCTTTTTTGAGTGGTTGCAAATAGGTTTGAGGTTATAGTTTCTATGCTTGCAGATCTATTGAAACGGGAAAATCAAGGAATGGGGTCAGCAGAAAATGGGGAGGCTATGAATGGAGCTTAAGAACCTGGCAATGTATAACCAGCACCTTGAGGGGAAACACTTAGCCTGCTTCAGCAATTTTGGGGTCATTTTAAAGCACATAGGGTGAGAAGGCAATTCAAGCATCCACTGCTGACAGATTACTCTCCCTTATGTCTTTGAGGCAGGGCAAAATTCCAAACAAATTCATGTGGTCAAGTGGAAAACCATGAACATTCTTAGGAAATCTGTCTCAGTCTTGTAGATTTCAGCTTGAAAATGCTGCCTTTCCCAACCACAGATGAAAATAGCAGCTTGTATGTTAACCAATAATTCTTTTCACCTTTGCACTACAGATTAACCTCAAAATATATAGCTAGGAAGACAACTAAGTATATTAATAGATTAAGAAGTTCAGAGAGAAAGTAGAGTAGCCAATAAAAATGAGTGTCATGATTAAACCTAATATGGTCTCTTTGTTATAGGTTCATGTAAACACACACACACAGAGTATATAATTGGCCTTTGAACAAAGGGGCTTTGAACTATGCAGGTCTGCCTATACACAGATTTTCTTCCATCTCTGCCACCTTTGAGATCATAAGACCAACCTCTCCTCTTCCTCCTTCTCCTCAGCTACTCAGTATGAAGAGGACAAGGATGAAGACCTTTATGATTATCCTCTTCCACTTCATGAATTGTAAATACATTTTCTCTTTATTATGATTTTCATAATAATATTTTTTATTTAGCTTTACTTTGTTGTAAAAATAAAGTATTAAAACACATATAACAAACAAAATACGTGTCAATTTACTGTTTATGTTATTAGAAAGGATCTCAACAGTTAGCTATAGGTTGGTGCAAAGGTAATTGCAGCTTTTTCCCATTAAAAGTAATGGCAAAAACCACAATTACTGTTTCACCAACCTAATATTCATAGATAAATTTTTGGGGAGTCAAAAGTTATATACAGGTTTTTAATTGCATGAGGTGGGGGGTGCACCTAACCCCTGCATTGTTCAAGGGTAAACTGCACATTCTACTTTTCTTGAGTTAATGGCAGAATTGCTGAGAAGTAGCCTATGAAAGAAAGGGGAAGGAATAAATGTGCATTTTGAAGAGGGGGGAAATGGTTGCAAGGAAACCGTGTTTAACATACTCCAACTACTGTTTGAAAGCTAACAAGAAGCACTGGGGCATTGGGAGGTGGTGGTAACCTACAGTCACCCATTCCCCTTCACAAGAAAAGAAGAAAAGGGGTGGGGTGAGTCCTAAGAACTCCAGTGTCTAATTTAATTAATTTAAAAATTCTAAATTATATTAGCAGAGTTCTTAAGACTAATACGTTTACTGAATAAGGATATTGAATGAGATTTTTTTAAATTGCCAAATACTACTTTAGATATTTTCCCTAGTAATATGATGGAGCACGTAATCAGAGATGTCGATGGACTTGTAGGAAGTAATTGATTGGCTCAGCTGTAGGTTTAGAGAGATCATTAATAGCCAACAAAAAGGATTTTTTTTTTTTTTTTCTGGAGAGGAGTAATAGAAGTAAGATCCAAACACAGTTTTGTGCTGGAATGTAGAGAATTTTGAATGAAAGGCATTTGGGTAATGTCTTTAGCAGGTGAAAAGGAGGATCTGGGCTAAGACTGAGACCATGGGCAAGGCAGAGAACACTGGGTGAGCAGTTAAATTACTCTGCATGCTTTTGAGAGATAATGGCAGAATCCTAGCTAGTAGAAAATGGCTTAAGCCAAGAAAGGAAATGTGTTAGCTAACATTACTGTAACTATAGGGGATCCAGAATCTGAAGCATCTCTTGAAAAGATAGTAGAGTATATCTATTAAGGCAAGGACTCTGAAGCCAGACTGCCTGCAATTAAATCCCTGTACTAGTACCTATTTACTGTGTAACTTGGAACGTGTTATTTAACTTTCAGTGACTGACTCAGTTTTCTTTCTTCTAAAATGAACATAATAACCGCTTCATAGGATTTTTGAAAGAGTTAAATAAAGTTGATATTCAAGGCACTTAGGAGAGTGTGGCATATTTGCTCTGTTCACATCAGGACTCTGTTTCTCATTTCTCCTCTCTGCTTTCTTCTAGTTGTCTTCATTCTGGCAGGTTCTTCCAATTTGGTTGCCAGCTGTCAGCTTTCAGCCCGTCCTCACAGCAACCCTAGCAGAAACACAACTTATTTTTCCCCATAGTTATAAGATATTTGACTTATTCTGATTGGACTAATTTGTAAGTCACACTCAAATCCCTGATGAGAAGGGGAGGATGGCCAGAGGATGCACTAGTCTAACTTGGTAAGCCTGGATCAATTGCTCATCTTGCAGCTAGGAGTTAGGCTCAATTCCATACTAACTCTGTGGAGCAAGAGTAGATTCAATGCTTCCACCAAGGAAAACTGAGGATCTGGAAAACCAGAAAGAGAAGAAATGAATTCTGGGTAGGTTAAAAACAACAGACGTATTCCATAGCTCTGAGAAGGAAGCCCTGACATGATTTCATGCAGATTGAGGAGCATTACGTAAAGACCAAGAAGAGACCTTTAATCGCTTCTCAACTAAGCCTCAGTTCCTCCTTTATCAGCATTAAAGTTGTCACAATTGTCAAGCTAGAAAATTTCCTTTGTGATAAGTTTGTATTTTTCCTTAAATTAATAATTTCTACTATTTATTTAGTCCCTGCCCATGACCGGCATTGTGCTGGATGATTTACTGATATAATAGCTCTGTAGTCTAATGTGAATGTGTCATCTTTATTCAAAAGCTCAAGACTGGCCCATGCACAGAAGCTGGCAGTCAGGACTTAAAACACAGGTCTGTTTGAACTTCATGGCAATGGTCTGTCTGCCACATTGCCAGGCTTCCTTGTGTGGGTCCTTTCTTCCTGCTTTGCTTTGCTCCTGGTCAAATGATCTTAGACATCATCAAGCAGGTCAAGGAGAGAGCTTTGAGGCCAAACATATCCCTAGTGTTTGGAAGGCATTCCACCCAACTAGCTTCCTACCTCAGCCAGGCCATAGCCCTATTTCCTGTTGCCAAGAGAGGGATACCACGCCTATTGGTAATTTGGGATGAGGCTCTTTAGAAAGCTGCTAGCAGCTCTGTCTTTAAATGACAGGCATTTGTAGCCATCTATCATCCCTATTCTAACACAGAGGCATTGCTTTAGATTTTTATATCTCCTCAGTGCCAGAGGAGATACACATTGTTCCAACTTCACCTATATCACCCCAGCCTTATCTTCTGAGCCCCCTCCCTGTCCCCAGCTTCTCTCCACCTCCTCAGGTCTTCTAAGGGCCCACCCTGTGCAAGAAAACATCCTACATTCCTCTAACACATGCTAGCATTTCCCTTTCTCACAATCATGTATTTTGGTAGAATCACAAAACGTAGTCTTTGATTCTAAACATCTTTTCTCTTTTTCAAACATTTACATAATTATTTATGCAATCAATAACTAATAATCTACATAATTATGTGTGTACCTCAAACAATTAAATACAATACTGAACCAAGCCTTTCTATTTTCTTTTTTTTTTTTTTTTGCTTTTCTTTTTTTTTGAGATGGAGTCTTGCTCTGCCGCCCAGGCTGGAGTGCAGTGGTGTGATCTCGGCTCACTGCAACCTCTGCTGCCTGGGTTCAAGTAATTCTCCTGCCTCAGCCCCCATAGTAGCTGGGATTATAGGCGCCCACCACCACGCCCAGCTAATTTTTATATTTTTAGTAGAGATGGGGTTTCACCATGTTGGCCAGGCTTGTCTTGAACTACTGACCTCGTGATCCACCTGCCTAGGCTTCCCAAAATGCTGGGATTATAGGAGTGAGCCACTGCACCTGGCTGCCTTTCTATTTTCTTGTCATTTTTATTTAGTGTCCCAAAGCACCGAGTCCAAGGAGGGGCACATGACTGACAGTCAATGGGTGAAAAGCTTGTTGATTTTTCTAACACACAAAAAATGCTAATTTCCTTTCTCTTTTGTTTCTCAGACTGTGACTAAGTTGGTTGGAGGTTGTAACACCATCATTCCATTGCCTCTCGCTGCTCTGCTGTTGCTTTCCACCAGCGTAAAATCAATTAAGGGTGAGTACTGAGTCTTATCTAAAATATTCTGGTGTCATAAAGCAAGGACCTCTTTTATTGCCTTGTCATTTTTCTATAGAGAACAAACTAAACCTACTATTAGAAAGAAAATACAGTCTACTCCAGAAGTTTTCCCAGTATATAAAAAAAACATACATTCTCAGTTTTCAGAGTTACAACACAACTGCAGTAGTCCTAAATTTATGCTTTTGAACAAAAGTACAATTCTCATTCTCATTGCCTCTTCTATGTTGCCCTGCTTAATTTGCTGTTATTCAATAGCAATTAAAACAATACTCTCATCCCAGTCAGTTGCAACTGAAAATCATTACATGCTGACAGCTTCTGGGAGATGATGTTGGGAGAAAGGTGGCTGTAATATCTAGTCCGCATCAGGGCACTGCTCAGATGTGACACCTAAAGAGCAGGGAGAATAGAACCTGCAGAGTAGAAGAGGTCACGACAAGGAGTTTAGTTCAGGAGTGGGGGAAAAGGGACATGTATAGGCTGCCATCACTAGCCATGCCATCTCTCTTCAGTGGAGCTGAAACAGTAATTGAGTTCTGGAGCAGTCCATCTAAGTTTGCTCCAACGATTCTAAAGCCTGTCTGAGATTGCTTCATTGTCTTATTCCCCTGGGAAAGGGAGAAAATAGGCAAAGGAGGTTGGGACGTGGAATACTGAGTGACTAGAGAAATAGACTGAAGTCATACACTGTTCTGACACCAATATTCTGAATAACCCAAGAAAGTCATTTAAGACTTGATGCCCTCTATCCCCATGATGACATAGAACACCAACAGCCTTGATACAAGTGGTGTGCTGCACTAAGAGTAATGAGACCTGGATTCTAGTCTTGCCTCTGCTCCTCGTTAGCAGTGAAAATGGAGGTAAATCCATTAATCTTGTTTACCCTCAGTTTCCGAAATTGTAAAACTTCTGCATGTCTCCTAGTTTTATAACAGGAGATATGCAGGAGTTGTTGCAAACTCAGATGCTTTCAAAGCCACAAAAGCATGTAAGGAAATTTAGTGGCTCAAAAACACAAGAAAGACTTAGGACTACAATAACTAGAGTTCGCAAACCTGGTCTAAAGGCTTTCAGCATTCAAACTCAAGTTTTAGAAACAAACAGTATGTATTTTTAGGTCTCTAGTTTTTGCTTGTAGACTAGAGAATCTCTTAATCCTTTTCTGCCCAGGTACTCTTTGAACATGAATTCCTGGGATAGTAGATATCATAGGCTGACCAATTTATCATGTTAGTCCCAGCATCTGTCAAAGTGCCTGGGACACAGTAGTTGCAAATTATAATTTGTTGAGTGGCTGGCAATTTTCCTTTAAACTTTAACTTTACGGAGTTAAATCTTTGTTTTGTTATTTTGAGGCCATTCCTTCATTTGACAGCTCTTGGCTTTCATCTGTTTAATCATTTTCCTTATGTTCTATCCTATGTGCCCTTTTCTAAGCTTTTTCTTAGCTATGAGAAGCATAATTGTTTGTAGTTTTATCTGTAATGTCTGAGACAACATCAGTCACAAAAACCTTTCTCTAAGCAAAGACAGCACAGCAAAGAAATCAACAGTTAACCAGTAGTGTTGGCAGAAAAAGCATCTTCAGTCTTCTGCAGGTTTGCTGCACCCTCTTTTAAGGAGCAGCCCCTTTGCTGTTTTGCCCCTTACTCATGTGCCTCTCTGTTTCAATTCCTAATTCAATAATCCATTTATATCAACAGCTGTTTCTCTTTCTGTTCATCCTCTCTATAGAGCTGACCCAAACTCTAAGCTATTTCCAAGTTACTTCAAGACGGCTCTCTCGATCAGCTCCTTGGAGAGGTTGCAGAGCAGAGCAGGAGCTCTCTTAAAATTGGGCCAGATTCACATCCTAAACAGCTCCAGGGAAATTTCCCTTATTTACACTCCAACCACACAAAATGCTTACTCTCCCCCTTGCAAGTCTCAAATGTTTGCAAGATGATTGCAGTATTCTTTTTCTATAAAGCCTCAAAGGTCTTCCATGGAATCCACTTCAGTGAAAAATTTAAAGCCCAGTACCAGAAATATAGAGGCACCTCTCTTATACTGTAAGTGAACAATCAGTATTAGGTATTTTAGAGGTGAGTTATGTATTTCTTCTGTGTGTGAAAATGCATACCATTTTCAGAAATTGGGGTCATTGAAGGAATTTTCTTTTTAGCACTGCCTTCGCTTAAGGCCCAGAGCGATAAACAGAGTTGGTTAATGATACCCTGGAGGAAGACAAAGTCTCAGAAATGTAGCTGGTTGTCTTTCCGCCTTGGAACTTCTCCTCCTTTCTTTGCCTGTAAATAACCAAGATGTGTTTTACACAATTACATTGTGTTTAGCAGGCTGCAAAGGATATGAGAAACCTGGGAACATCATGGCCTGTTCCTTTCCCTAAAGTGAATGAAAACTAAGATATGTGATGTCTTAGTTCTGGCTGCTATAACAAATTATCATAGACTTGGTGGCTTAAATAACAGAAATGTATTTCTTAAAGTTGTAGAGACTGGGAAGTCCAAGATCAAGGTGCCAGCAGATCCAGTGTATGGCGAGGACCCTCTTCTCAGTTTGCAGATGGTGATCTTCTCATGTCCTCACATGATGGAAAGCAGAGAGTCATAGCAATCTCTCATGACCCTTCTTTTAAGGGTACTAACCCCATAATGAGGGTCTCCCCCTTATAACCTCATTTAAACCTAATCACCTTCGAAAGGCCCCACCTCCTAATACCATCTTATTGGTATAAACATAAACATTCAGTCTATAGCACATGGTAAACATTCTAGGAAAAGAAGATGGTTCTGAGGATGGGAATAATGGTGATCTTTTAGAACAGAGCAGAGAGAATGTCACCTGGACCATGAAGTATGGATAGGATCTGAATGGAGGGAGGCAGACATGAGTAGGCAGAAACTAGGGATATATTTTGATAGTAAAAAGACTGGTCTGACCCTAGAGGAAGGTTTATGTTGTAACCAAACAGCAGTACAATAGGTTCTAGTGGGTAGGAGGGAATATGTCTGGCTAACTTCAAAGGCCAGGTAAAGCAGTTAACATCTGAGGTAGCAGGCAAAGACTGAAGAAATATCTTGAAGACAGCAGCGACATTATGAGAGAATAGCTGTTTATAGTTGGAAATGGGCCCACTTTGGGAACTAGAAATATGGCCAATTTCATCTACATTAAGGTCCTGCCCCCATCCACACCCCTCACTTTTTAAAATTAAGGACAAGGGATATTGTTGAATCACCACACTATTGAACTTAGAAAGCAAAATTGTCTCATTTTCTTTTGTTTTTCCAGGATAACATATGAATGGTTATACCAGTGAAAATAAAGTGTTCCCTAGAAATTTCAGTTTTCTAGGTAATCTCTTCACATCTTGAATAGTGTCTGATAGTAGTCAGTGGTGTTGGAGTTAGAAAACCTCTTTTCTTACTGAAATGCTCTTTCAGACTCCAGGTCATATTTGTGTTTTCTTAGTCCTTCAATCAAAGTCTCAGTATTTTTATCTGTCAATTTGGTTAAATACGCTGACCTTTCAAAGTGTTGGGAAGAATCAATGACATAAGCATATGAATGTATTTTGCTTAATGTAAGAAACCACTATTATGTAGTTTCCAACCTTGCCTCAGAAAATTGAAGATGAGTCTCCCTTTGTGTGTACCTGTAGGTCTTGTGTGGTAAGAATCGTAAGAAGACAATAAAACTACAGCTGAGTCATGGCCTGGTGTTCTCCTGATGACACACTCAGCCCTACAGTGTTACAGAGCTCACAGAATTATGTGGCCACAGTTTCTACAGTGTGCTATGACCACAAAGGAAGAGTCTTATGTAGGATTCCCTCCAAGCCTATTCTGGGAAATTGATGGGGCTGCTGGCAGGTTACTTGGTTTTTCATGAAACATGAGTAAGGAAGTGAAGAGAGTGGACCAAGGAAGGAAGAAAATCAATCAAGGATGTGTTAATGAGCAGGTCTCCACTGTGGGAAAGACTTCCAGGGCCCGTCTCTTGAGTCTATAAATGCATTTCAGTATTTCCACAAAAAAGATGGGAAGCTAGAGCATTTACCCACTGATTCGAGTTCCTTATGTGCTGCCATTATCCCTTGAGGTGCTATCTCCAGTCATTCTTAACAGCCATGATTGCTGACCAGCTCTCACAGCCCTAGAACCACGCCCTCCTAGAGACACAGGCCTTGAAGGGGAGGCTGCCCACATGAGCAGACACTGTGGCCTTGGCTATAGTTGAATTTAGAGGAGGGTTGAGAGGACATGAGATAACAACAGCTTCTGCTGTAGGAAGTACTATCTGTTTAAACATGGGAGGTAGCGTTATCACAGAAAATAAAGTGATTCACAAAGAAGCTAATCAAAGGAAGGTTTTCATAAATGTGGCTGGAAATGGATGGCGAGATTAAGATTGCATAGTATTTTGGCTATGAAACCTGAGAACCACTGACATGCTGTCTTCAGCTTACTCAACGTCCAGCTGGCAACAAAGACAATGTAACGAACAGTTTGTAATACCTAAAGTTTAACTCTCTGTCAAAAACACATCTGACTAGCTCAGGAAAAATAATGGCTTAGCAGTTCCAATTATATCAGCTAGATTTTATTATTTCATACAGTTAGAGTCTTGTGCCTATTGTAAATTTTATTAACCCCTTAAACAGACACTTCTTAGATAACTAGCAATAAGATAAGGGGTGGGGGGGAACCCAGAATAGTTGCCAAATGTTTCACATAAGTTTCTGTAGGAAGAATTGAAAGAAAGGTCAAACTATTCACATTGGGAAGGGTATGAAAACCAAAGAATATACAAGTGTCTCAGATCTAAAGGAAAAATCTCAAGAGCCCAAATCTAAATAAAGTAGTTCATCCAAAAGGTATGTGCCTTTGCATAAAACCAAACATTATGTGTGAACCAGAATTACATCCTGGATTAAAGTCCACAACAAACAAGCTATATAAATGGAAGAAAAGAAAGAAGGAAGGAGAGAGGGAGGGAGGGAGGGAAGAAGAAAGGAAGGAAGGAAGGAAAGAAGGAAGGAAGGAAGGGGAGGGAAGGGAGGGAGGGAAAAGGGAGGGAGAGAGGAGAGAAGGAGGCAGAGAAGGGAAAAGTAAGGAAGTAAGGAGAGAAGGAGAGAATTAGGGAAGCAAACAGAAATAAGAGAAAGCTCTTAGAGGGCAGCAACTACATTTTATGAACATGCCTTACCCTTAGGAGCATCTATGTCTCACATTTTAAGTATCAAGTTAATTAATTACATCACTTAAAGATTGATCGTCTAATTAATTAGCTAATTACTTGATCTAACCATCCATTCAGACAAAGTAACCATAGTGACAGTTCTGTCTAGACACTGCCTGATTTTAGTCAAGGTCAATGTCTGGGAAGTTATCCCAAAGCAAAATCCCAGTGCACAGTGTTGATGGAGTTCACAATCACTCTGAAGATAAGAGAGTCATTTGGACTTTCCTCACCTGGCAACTTCTTTTCTGGTTGGCATTGGATTCAATCTCTGGTCAGTTTCCAAAGTTAGGTGGAACTTATAATACTGGGACAGAACTCTGCAATTTTATTTAACCAATATTTCTAAACTATGATAATTTCAACAGGTAGTCAATATGAAAATGAGATATTTTACATTTTTTAAAAAAAAGTCTTTGCAATTTTATGTCTTTAAAATAGTAAGTATGATGGTCAGTTTTATGTGTCAACTTGGAGGGTATTTTTGGGGTGACCTTTAATGCAGTAAACTTTGGGTAAAACAGATTGCCCACCGTAATGTAGGTGAGCTCATTCAATCAGTTGAAGGCCTGAATTTAACCAAAAATGTGACCACCCCAAGCAAGAGGGGATTTCCAGAAGACTACATTTGGACTTCATTGGCATCACTGTCCTTCCTGGGTCTTGAGACTTCCAGCCCATACTACAGTTTGGCCTTGCCAGAGTCCATAAACACATAAGCCAATTCCTTTAACCTCTCTCTCTCTCTCTTTTTGTCTGTCTGTCCATTTGTCTCTCTCTATGTATGTGCGTGTGTGTGGGATAATACATCTCCTATATGTTCTGCTTCTGTGAAGAACCCTGATCAATACTGTAAATTTACATTTTGTAATTGAAGCACATTTCAATTAAATTAAAACTTCAGTTCCTTAGTTGTACCAGCCACATTTTAAGTGCTCAATACTCACAGGTGAGCAGTGGCTACCACAGTGGCCAAGAGTAAGCATTGGCAATTTTTTTCTATAAAGGACAAGATAGTAAATATTTTAGGCTTTCTAGGTCATATGGTTTTTGTTGCAGCTGCTCACTCTACAATTGCAGCCCAGATGCAGCCTTAGACAATATGCAAATAAATGGGTGTGACTAGGGTTCAATAAAGCTTTATTTACAAAATCTGGCAGTAAGCCACATTTGTCCTAGCCAGCTGTAGCTTGCCAACTAATGCTCTAAAAGAATTGAAGCAATTTTCTGGCTTTATAATTCTATGATTTAAACATAGCTTTTGCATTTTATTAAAGAAATTATTTGTCCTGAAAACTATCCTTTCAAAGGCCCAGGCAATTTTATTAGGTTTACCTCATTGTGTTGAATATCAAACAAACTAAACATTTATAAAAACTAATGAAGTAAACTTGTATGTAGATAATTTAGAGCACTTAAAAATGTTAGCGTGCTCATGAATATTATTTTTAATAAATTGACCTACTAATTTTATCAAGAATCTGCGTGTTGGAATTCCAGGTCAGATAAATGGGTTCCAGATAAATTTAATCAAGGAATGGTCTGGTAAAGACAAATGGTCTTAACAAGATGGACAATGTATATTAACATTAATTTCATCTGTTTTTCCTAACGTTCATTATAATGTATCTGTAGAATATTTAAAATTATTTATGTGGCTTACATTTCTACTGGACAGTAATAAAATTACTCATCTAGTTTCATACTCATCTAGTCTTGCATGACATCTGTATTTATACAAGTTCACGGAGAGCTGACACAAGTTATTCAAGAGGCATGTGACTTATAGTTATCTATAATTTGGTTGTTCTTGCTCCTGTTTTATTTTTTCCTCAAATCAGGGAAACAAAAGTTATCTGAGAAGAGTCATCCTGGAAACAACTGAATTAATTTTTTAATCCGTTAATTGAATATATATTCATTGTTATATATGGTTACATATAACAATGAATTATATATGCCTTATATATGTATCATGGACTACACTTTACTAAAGACATCTGAATGTAAAAAGACATTATCCTTTATTCTAAAGCGTACTTTATGCCTTTATTTTGTATTTTCACTATAAATTTCTCTAGATAGTTATTTTTACATTTCAAATTTAGTATATTAAGGTCTATTATATATAATAAAGTCAATTCATTTTAAATAAACAGTTCGACTCACATCGGCATATGAATATACCAATGTGGCCATTACCCCATCAAGATATACGGGTTAGGCATAATTCTAAAGAGTCTCCCCCTTTCCCATGGAGATTCTAGTCTCCTAGTTATTCAGTCAAACACTAATCTAGGTACTTCTGTGAGGGGCTTTGCAGGTGTAATTAAGGTTATAATCAGCTGAGGGCGGGTCTCTTGGATTATCAGGTGGGCCCAATTCAATCACAGAAGCCCTTAAAAGTAGAAGAGGAAGGCAGAACAGGAGGTCAGAGATGTAAAATACGGGAAGGACTTAACCTAGCTTTGATATCTTGAAGATTCAACAAAGATTCCTCCCTTGGAAGAGGGGGTCATAAGACACAAAATGCTTCCTGAAGCTGAGAATGACCATTGGCAGGCAGCCAGCAAGTAATGCGACTTCATTCCTATAGTTGCCTGATACTGAATTTTCTGAAAATCTGAATCGACTTGGAAGTGAATTTATCCTCAGGGCTTCCAGAAAGGAGCACAGCCCTCCCAACATCTTGATTTCAGCCTCGTGAAATGTGGAGCAGAGAATTGGATAGCCATGTCATGCCTACACAACTGTGAAATAAGTAAGTGTTGCTTTATTTTGCTGCTTTTGTGATAATTCATGTCAACAATTGCAGGAAATGAATACAATATAGAATGCTTTTCTCTCCCTCTTGCCCCATGGTAACAATTCCAGTTCACCTCTGCCCAAAGCAATCACTGTTCTACTTTGTTTCACTATAGGTTAATTTTACTTTTAATAAGATTTCATATCAATGAATTACATAGTATGTATACTTTACTGTTTGTCTTTGACTACTTGGCATATTTACTTTGAAATTCATTCATCACATGTATTTCTCTTTATTGCTGAGTAGTATTTTACTGTATGATTATATCACAGTTTTTCTCTCTATATTTGTTGACGAATGCTTGTGTTGTTTTCAGTGTTTGGTTCTGTGAAACAAAGCTGCAATGAGCATTCATGTTCAAATCTTTTTGTGGACACAGGATACTATCTCTTGGGAAAATATCTTGTAGGGGAAGTGTTATGTCATATAGTTAACTTTTAAGCCAGTGCCAAACTGATTTCTACAAAGGTTGTATCATTTTACACTATCATCAGCGAAGTGTATATATTATATATATTATACATAGCTAAAAGTAAAAAATAAGATCAACATACTAGGCACTGGCAAGGATATAGAGCAACCGAAGTTTATATATATATATAATATATCTAATATATATAATATATAATATTATATAATAATATAATATATATTATATATAATATATAATATATATAATATATAATATTATATAATAATATAATATATATTATATATAATATATAATATATATAATATATAATATATAATATATATAATATATAATATATAATATATATAATATAATATATATAATATAATATATAATATATAATATAATATATATAATATAATATATAATATATAATATAATATATATAATATAATATATAATATATAATATAATATATATAATATATAATATATAATAATATAATATATATAATATATAATAATATAATATATAATATATATAATATACAATATATATTATATATAATATATATAATAATACAATATATATTATATATAATATATATAATAATACAATATATATTATATATAATATATATAATAATACAATATATATTATATATAATATATATAATAATACAATATATATTACATATAATAAATATAATATATATAATATATAATAATACATATTATATATAAACCTCGGTTGCTCTATATCCTTGCCAGTGCCTAGTATGTTGATCTTATTTTTTACTTTTAGCTATGTAGTGAGAATTAGAAAAATATACCGTAAAAATGATCATAACTTACACTTTCCTGATGATAATGATGTTGAATAGCTTTTCTTGTGCACATTGGCCTTTTTTATATGTTGTTTTGTAAAATGTCTATTAAAATCTTTTGCCAATTTGTAATGGTTTGTCTCTCGGAGTTGCAATGTAAGCGTTTGTATTCAAAATAGAATCTCTTGCCAATTACATCTAAAATGCAATTTTTTCTTCCAGTCTGGGTTTCATTGTTTTATTTTTCTTCACCATATTCTTAATGAGCAGAACTTTTTTTTAAATGACAAGCATCATCTATTCTTTTGTTTCTTTGTTAGTGCTTTTTGTGTCCTAAGAAACCGTTGCCTATGCCAAGGTTGCAAAGAATTTCAACTAGATCTACTTATAGAGATTGTATAGATTTAGTTTTTGCACTTAGCTCTATGATCTATTTCAAGTCAATTTTGTTATTGGGGCAAGGTAAGTGTTAAGTTTCTCTCTGTTTTTATTTTTTTCCTGTGAGTGCCAGATGTTCCACCTTTTTTGCCATTTAAATAACTTGGCACATTTATTAGAAATCAACTGGCAATATAAGTTTGATCCTTCTTCTTGGATTCTGTTTGCTTCATTGATCTACATGTCTAACAATTGCACACAGTTTTGATTAGCATAGCATTATAGTTAGTCTTGGAACTAAGTATGGTGTCATACTTCTTTCACCTGAGTGGAGATTATTTTGCTTATTTTAGATCGTCTTTTCTGTACACATTTTAGAATAATATTCCAGTATCTATGAATTGGAGTTTTAATAGGGGTTGTGCTGAATCTACAGATTAGAAAAAGTCTAACATTTTCACAGTTTCAAATCTTTATATCCATGAACATATTATGCCTTTGTTTATCTGATCTTTAATTTTGCTCAGCAACGTTTTGAAAGATTTTTTTGGTACAGATATTGCAAATATTGTTTACTTATTCCTAAGTATTTATATTTTTTGACTTTTTAATCTTATTTTCTAAATATTTATAGCATATGGAAGTTTAATTTCTTTTTGTTTATAAGCCATATATCCTTCTAGTTTGTTAAATCTACTTTTATCTAGTACTCTTTGGAGATTGCTTGAAGTTTTCTTCCTACATGACTGTGTCAAATGTAAACAGGACATTTTACCTATCCTACACAAAAATAAATGTATGACTATAGTTTATTTGTTTTGCCTTATGGCACCAGCTATTCTATGTAGTATAATGTTGAATGGTTGTGATAAAAGGGATAGCCATGCATTTTTCCGCCGGATTTTTAAGAAAAACATTGGGTTTTCACCAACTAGATGTTACCTTTAAGTTCTTGTAGATGCCCTTTACCCGATTGAGAAATACCTCTTCTATTTCTAGTGTGCAGAAAGATTTCACCAATAGTGATTCTCACCCAATGCCTATTAAATTATTGCATTATTTTTCTCTTTTGTTTTATTTTATTGTGAATTGCATTAATTGATTTTCTCCATGTTAATTGAAGCTTGCATCACTAAGACAAACCCTGGCTTATGTTTTTATTTTTACATACTGCTGAATTTGATTTGTTATTGTCTGAAAGATGTGTGTCTACGTTGAAGAGGGATATTGAAGATTTTTAAATACCTTTTATAGGCTTAAGTATCAATGAAATGCTAGCTTCCTAAAATGAATTAGAAATTATTCCCTTCACCACTATTTTCTTAAAATAATTTGTGTAGGATTGATAATATATCATTCTTAACTTTTATAGAATTCACTAGTGAAGGTTTCTGGATCTGGAGTATTCCTTGTGAGAAGTTTTGTTTCTTTGTTTAATTACAAATTCAAATTTCTTAAATGATAGAGCAGTGTTTTATGTAAAAAAAATTTCTCATGTCAGCTTCAGAAATTTGAGTTTTTCAGGAAATGTTTTTAGCAAAATGATTTATAATGCTGTATTGGTATAATATTTGTAGGATTTGTAATGATGTCTTCTGTCATTAGTGACATTAGTAATTTGGACTTTTTTTCTTTGTCATTCTCTGGATCAGTTTTCACTGTAGTTGTACCTGTTGTATTGGTCTTTTCAAAACCAGCTTTTGGGTTTCCTTATTTATCTTATTATGTCTGTAAATCTAAATTTAGAAACTTCTAATTTTATGTTCCTTTTTACCTGTTGACTTTGGATTTAATATTTCATTTTTTCTACCTTACTAAGATACAAATTTAGATCAATGCTTTTAAATCTTTCTTTTCAAATGTAAGTATTGAAAAATATAAACTGTCTTCTGTGCACTGCTTGAAGTGCATCACACAAATTTTTACATCTTATATTTCACTAGCATTCACTAGGATCAAATATCTTTATTTGTATTTTTTTGACCCATAAGTTATTTGTATGTTTTTTTTATTTCCATATACTTGGTGACTTTTTCCCCAAATATGTGTTATTCATTTCTAGCTTAATTTGCTACTTAAGAGAAGACATGCTTTGTATAATTTTATTTCTTTTAAGTCTACTGAGTTTTGTTTTATGACCCATAATGTAGTCTTAAGTTAATTTTTTGTGCATTTAAGGAGAATAAATATTCTGTAGTTGTTTGGGATGTCCTAAAATATCAATTAGGTCAAGTTGACTGGTAGTGTTGTTAAATTCTTTTATATTCTAACTGATTTTTCATCTTTTCTTTCCTATAAATTACTGAAAAGTGTTGAAATATCTAATTGTAATGGTGAGTTTCTCAATTTCTTATTTCAGTTCTACCAGTATTTTGTTTCATGTATTTTAAAGCTCTCTAATTAAGGGCATACACATTTAGAATAATTACTTAAGGAATGAATCCTTTTGTTATGACTAAATACTCTTTTAAAAAAATCTCTGGTAACATTCTTTGTTCCAAAATCTGCTTTTTTCCAGATATTAGTGTAACCACACCAGCTTTATATTCAATAAGGTTATCACGGTGTATATTTTTGATACTTTTTCCTTTCCTCTATTCGGGCTTTATATTTAAAATGTATTTAGTATTGTCTTGCTTTTCTTCTCCAGTCAAAAATTTGACCTTTTACTTTGAATATGTAGACTATTTAAATTTAATGTAAGTATCGATGTGCTTTTGTTTAAGCCTACCATGATTTGGATTTATAATTACATTCTATTTGTCTCGTGTTTATTTTGAATTATCTCTTGCCTTTTTAAAAATTGATCATTTTTAGTATTCCACGTCTCTTCTACAAGCTTATTTACTATACTCCTTTAACAATTTTTGATGGTTTCGCAGGGTTTACAAAATAAGCCTTTAACTTAACATACTCTACCTTTAACATTATGCCACTTCTCACATGATCTAAGAAACTTATTAGGTATTTATTTATTTTTCCCATACGTTGTCCTATGATCACATATGATTTTCTACATATGATAAACCCCTCAATGCATTGTTATTTTTGCTTTAAGTAGTCAAATAATCAGTTATGTTATTTTTAAACAATAGAAAAACCTATATTTACTCACATCTATATCACTTCTAATGTTTTCTTTCCTTTGTGAGGACCTGAGTTTTTACTGGCTTATATTTTATTTAATGTGATTTTTTTTAAAAAAACATTTTTGTAGTCTGACTGCTAATGACAAATTTCTCTCAGATGTTTTTGGTATATTAACCAGGAAAAACCCAGTGGAAACTTCCAGAGCACTTTCTCTGTTTCTACAATACCCTGCCCTGCAAAGTCCAGCTACATCACTCTCCAAACTTGAAACTTTCTTTTTTTTTTTTTTTTAGAGACGGAGTCTCCGGAGTAGCTGGGACTACAGGCACACGCTGCCACGCCCAGCTAATTTTTTGTATTTTAGTATAAATGGGGTTTCACCGTGTTGCCCAGGCTGGTCTCCAACTCCTGAGCTCAGGCAATCTGCAGGCCTCAGCCTCCCAAAGTACTAGAATTACAGGCGTGAGCCCCTGAACAGGGCCCAAACTTGAATCTTTGTCTCCTCAGCTCAACAAAATCACTGTGCTCTTATTAGATTACCCTTTCCTGGGCCAAAATTCGGGAATATCCTCCAAACATAAAGGCAGAGCTTAACTCTTTCTATTTCCCTTCTCTCAAGGATCATAGTCCTGAGCTGCTGCTTCTTCACCATCTGCTTCATTTGTTTTACTTATTTTAACCAGTTTTCTATTTGTTTTCAATAGGCGGGCAAGTTCTATAATACTCCACCATGGCCAGAAGTAGATATGTTTATTATCTTCAAAATTTATTTGTAAATGCCATCTTTTCTCTAGTTTTTGTTACTAATACTTAGTTATATTTGTGGGAACTATTTTTACATCTTATTTGTAGAACAGCACTGTGAATAAATATTTCTGAAAATTTGATGAAGATTTTTTTTTTTTTAACCTCCAATATATTCCTGAGTTAAAGCATCTGTGCAGTCTTGGGTGGATATAATGGGATTAAGTGATTAAGTGAGAAAGAAAAGAGTAGTTAAGGTCAGAAGCTTCAGTGATATTTGCACACCTAGTTACAAGATCCATATTCCTTGTACAGTAGTTAATGTAATCTGTGCTTATTGATTTGCCTGACCAGTACTTACCCAACGGGCATAACTACAACAGCTAGAAAACAATACATCATTAGGTCATCTATGTATGCAAAGACCCTCACATGCAAAGCTTGTGACAAAGTAAGCATACTAAAATAGAAATCTGTTGTGTCTGGTATTTTATAGTTTGTCATTTCAGTGCATGCTGAGGTTGTATACTCCTTTATAAAGTGTAACTCTGTATGATTTTTGAACAGCTATGTATTTTACATTTTAATTTAAAATATCCTATCCTGGAAGTTCAAAACTGACTGCCTAGGTATAAGTTGGGAGAAAATAAAGCTTAATACAGAGACAAAGGTAAGAGTAATTTAAGAAAATATGTCATGGCAAAATAAATATGAGTTAAATGCAAAAAAAGCTAGTATAGTCTATGATCGAATCCACTGAAATAAAATATTTACAGTAAGAAAGGTGATAGTCTTATTTTTGCTTGCCAAGGCCATATCCAAATAATATTTCATTTTTGATGTCTTCTTTTTTAATAGGGACATATTGAAATGAAAGTTTAAGAGATTAAGACATTGAGAAGTCTAGAAATCATGTACTGTGATCTGGGCTAGACTAGGTCATGAGGATTTACTAGACTAGGTAATAATTTTCTAGAGTTTTAAAGAAAATTTTATTAAATATTCATTTAACCTTAATTCAGAGCAGAGTCTGAGCATACAGGGAGGAAAATTAAAGAATTAGGCCATCTAGTGACAGCTCTCTACCGGTATTCCACTTTGCCAAGCAAGTATGCACTGGCCCCAAACTTGTGTATACCATCCAGCCAAACAAAGGTCATGAATAACCAGACTCAACTCCCTTAGAAAAACATATACGAATAACTTATTTTTGCTCAAGGTTTCCCCTTGGGAGAGTATCTCAATTGCGTCACTACTCCACTGTAAACAGCTTTTTACAGCATACCATCCAACCAGACATATTGTACTATCCATGACAGAGACTGCTAGAAAAAGTCACCCTACTCATTACATATTCAGTCTTCTTAGTGTCCCTTATCCATAAGGACCAGGAGTTTGTGCTACTCTTTTACCAAGTTAAGCACTATTTATGAAAAATAATTGGAAAAATTAGAATCTTATAGTTTTAAAATAACTTATTTTATTCAATAAAAATACATTGTAACTTTCTTCAAAGAATTTAAGAGTTGCTCTGGGAAGACTGAAATAGAAATTTTACATGTTAACCCTAAAGATTAAAGCTAGGGTCAATGTATATAAAATTCAAGAGGTAGATGTTGACTTTCTACCAAACCCCAGTGGTAAAGATTAAACTTATAGAGAATCACAGTAAGGGATATTTTCAAATCTTCCCAACCTATGGAACTAACCATCATTCAAATCAGCCATACCTCAGAAATCTTGATATCCAATATCTTATTCAATATATTTTGTTATTGTAACAGGTAAACTGTATATCTCAATTTCTTAACATGATAATTAATTGTTGATTTATGAAACATCCAAAATAGGTGATTTTGATTGACTAAGTAGAAGAGAGAAAACATGACTGTGCTCTATAGATTCAGTTAGAGATGTGGGCATTAATGCTTCCACTGCAAATGGAAGGTAGGACATTCTATGGACAGGTAGATGTCTGTACCACTGCCCTATTATGTGCCCAGTTTCTTGTCCTTCCATTTATTGCTTTCTTCCTCTCATTAAAGTCATTCTTCAATATCACAAACCATTCTGCTTTCTGAATTTTTTTTTGTTCTTATAATCAATCTGGACTTTTGAGGGCTCTTCCTTCCTAGCCTGGGTATGTTTATCTTCCGAGCATCTCTGATTAGCACAACTATCCTTGTGGGCCTATATTCATTCCTCAGTAAGCTATGTATCTTAATTTTGGATTACAAATAAGGACTGTCTTCAATAACCCTAAACCTGCATAACTTAAGTATCATGAGACATACACAAAATAATAAATAATATCATAAATAATGTCTGGTCTCCATTATGCCAATCACTACACGTGATGGAGATAAACTTCATGTCCTGTTCCATTGCCAACTTTCCTAAAACTTCACTACTGACTTTAACATTCAATATACCCATCTTTTCTTCATCTTATGAAAATATGGTACCTGAAATTTCCCTCAAACAGTTGTGACTACCTGTGATGATCTTCTTCAAGCCTCAGTCTCTCCACTTACTAATTTTCATACACATTTAGTCAGAGATTGAGTTGAGTTTGTCTGTTCAAAGTTAATGCCTATTCCTGCATATAAACCCCAAACCTTATATTTCTTTCAGGATTATTTCATCTCCTTACCTTTTAGTCTCTCCAGTTTTAATTCTCAGTTTTCTTGTCCATTAACTATAAACTATGCTCAAGTTTTTTCTTCTTAAAAATCTTTATTTTATTGATCAATCTTGTACTCTTATTCCTTTCTCATTCAAATGTCTCAGAAAAGTTGTCCATCCTTGCTTTTCCCATTGAATTACCTCATATTCATGCTTCAACTCCTGGTTATCTGGCTTTCATTCTTATTACTCTAGTTACTAGATACTTGGGTCAGCTAGTATAATGAGAAGAGTAGAGGTCAAAGAACTATGCAGAAGACAGTTTCAAGATGGTACAATTTCTGAAGTGTTTGCTAAATTAGAAAACTAGAATATAATTAATAATCATGTATTTACCATGTTCTTAAGCTCTAAAGAATATTTTTATTCTAAAAATGGAAAGGAATCCATTAGCTTTGGAAATTTGGGAACCATTGACAGTATATTGAAAGTTGTTAATCAAAAAGATATTGCTACTTCTAGGAAGCTGGAGTAAATATACTTCTCCCTGTTCTTCTCTCAATTACAACTTAAAACTGTGGTCATGATATATAAAACCAATGTAAGACACAATTAATGGAAAGAAGGCATATTGTCTAAAGAATTTGGGACTAGAGCAATGAAGTGATGAATTCCCTGGGTTGTCTTTTTGCCTTATATATCCTACATGTGCTTGGAACTGGAGAAGCTGACATCTGGAAATGCCAAGAAGTATAGATACAGGAAAAATACAATTAAAATGCCCCAACACAAATCTGCTGTCTCTAACCAGAGGGCTAGGAAAGGATAGCTTCACAAGACAAAACATTAGTAGAAAATAACCACTCAGTGTTCATTCAAACAGCACAGAAAATACTTTGGTGCCCATCCATGCCATAAAGGTTGGTTGGGGAGCCTAGATTTCCACTCTCATGAGGCTATAACAAAGTACACCAACACTCCTACTGTGGTAGTATCAAAAAAGGCTATGTGGGCACCCAAAACATTCATCCTCCATGTCAAATCACAAGCACATTCCTATCTCCAACAATGTCAGTGGAGACAATGTGGAAATTCTGAACTTCCATTCATATTCAGCAGTAGAGAAGTGCCCCCTCTCTCACTGCTTGGGTAGAATAAGAGGGAGTCTAGTGGAGAGCTGGGATTTTCACCATTACCAGGTGGTAATGAAGTCAACTCCATTGTAGAGTCAGTAGAGATGATATGAAGAACTGGAAGTCCCATCTCCATTCAGCAGTAATGCGGACCTCCCTCCTTCATGCATCAGCAATGGCCAAATGTGGAACCTAGACTTCTACCCCTGTCTGACAATGACAAATCAGTTATCTGCTCCCCCTTCTTCTGCCAGACTGATGTCAGAAAATCTGGCTGAAAAATTAAGACCTAGAGTATCACATAACATAATTTAAAAGTCTAATTTTTAAGAAATCATTTGCCATGTGAAGAACCAGAAGGATCCCAAACTGAATGGGGGAGAGAGGAAGAGACAAGAAATAAATACCAACATTGAAAGGGCAGACATGTCAATTATATCACAAAGATTATAAGGTTGCCATGATAAAAATGCTTCAACTAGCAATTACAATCCAGCTTAAAAAATGCAAAATTACCAAGTCTCACTAAAGAAATGGAAAGTCTCAGCAAATAAATATGAGATACAAAGACTAAATTGAAATTTTATAACTGAAGAAATATAATAACCAAAATCAAATGTTTAGCAAATGGGCTAAACATCAGAATAAAGAGGACAGAGGAAAGATCAGTGAGATGTAAAATAGAATAGAAATGATACGACCTGAACAACAGATAAAATAGGCTGAATAAAAATGGACAATGTATAGTTTCATATAGCCAGAAGGATATTGAATGCCCCCAATACAAAGAAATGATAAATGTTTGAGATAATGGATATGCTAATTACCCTGATCGGATACATACATTGTATGTATCAAAGCATCACTGTGTACCCCATAAATACCTACAATTATAATTGTTAAAAACAGTATCAGGGATCTGTGGGACTATAACAAAATGACATTCATGTCACTAGAGTACTCGGAAAGTAGGAAAGGATGGGCCTAGAAAATATGCAGAGATAATGGCTGAGAGTAAAGGTCCACCAAGAGCATCCTGCGGCTGAGCCAAGATGGCTGACTTGATGCAGCCAAGAAGAGCTTCCTCCACTGAGAGACCAGGCCCTCGAGAAGACTAGCCCACTCTGAGCAGATCTTCAGAAGAAGGGCATTGAGAGTAGATGGAGGGAGGGTGCAGACCTTGGGCTGAAGGGAGAGGAAGCTAGGAACTCTGCACAGTGTTGCTGAGCACCAGGACTCTTTCCTGGTCCTGAGCAGCTTCTGGGGAAGGGGTGAATTAAATAGGCATGGAGTGGCTCACTGTCACCACAGACCTCCAGAATCCTAGCTGCAGAAGACCCCACAACCCTCATGGACATTTTAGTTGACAGAGGGAGCTGCTCAGGGAGTTGACAGAAACAGGACTCCAGCCTGTGCAGAGCCCAGAGTGTTTGATGCCAGAATGGTTGCAGTGGAGCACAGCCAGTGTTACCCAAACCTGAGGCTTGCCACATTCTTCAAGACGGCATTGGCCTTTGTTGACCGTTTGACCTGGACAGAGCAGGGCAGTCTTGCCTGTGAAATGTGGCCAGTCTGATCTTAATGCCTCATTGCCTGCCAGCCTCTCCCAGGGTTCCTTCCTGGCTGTGCCTGCTCAGCCTCGGATGCCAAACCAGGGTACTTTCTGGCACCTGCTACCATAAGCCCCTTGCAGGCAGACCCTGCCTAGCTGTAGATGGGACCCTGCCGGTGCATGCCCTCCCCATATCCTCCTGCCACCGCATTGCATGTGTTCACCTGCAGCCACCCCCACAATCTCATTTACAGTAGCCACAAAAAGAATAAAATACCTAGGAATACAGCTAGCCAGGGATGTCAAAGATCTCTAAATAAGAATTATCAAACACTGCTGAAAGAAATTGGAGATAGGGAAAAACACTCACTGCTCATGGGTAGGAAGAATCATATTGTTAAAATGGCCATAGTGCCCATTGCAATTTATAGATTCAAAGCCATTTCTATTAAACTACCAACTTTTTTTTTCACAGAATTAGAAAAAAACTTCTAAAATTCATACGGAACCAAAAAATAGCCAGTATAGCAAAAGCAATCCTAAGCAAAAAGAACAAAGTGGGGGGCATTATACTACCTGACTTAAAACTATACCACAAAACTGCAGTAACCTAAATGTGGTACTACTACAGAAACAGACACTTTGACCAATGGAACAGAACATAGACCACAGAAATAAAGCTGCACACCTATAATCATCTTATCTTCTGGATTAAAGACTTAAGTGTTAAAACTAAAAATCCTAGAAGAATACCTAGGAAATACCATTCTGGACACAGGCTCTAGATAAGATTTCATGATGATAACTCCAAAAGCTATTGCAACAAAACAAAAATTGACAAGTGGAACCTAATTAAACTAAAGAGCTTCTGTAGAGTGAAAGAAGCTATTAACAGAATAAAAAAACAACTACAGAGTGAGGGATAAGATATTTGTAAACTATGCAACTGACACAGGTCTAATACCCATAATCTGTAAGTAACTTAACAAGCAAAGGCAACCCCATTAAAAAATTGATGAGGAATATGAACAGACACTTCTCAAAAGAACACATACACATGGCCAACAAGCATATGAAAAAAAGGCTTAACACTAATCGTTAGAGAAATACAAGTCAAAACCACAAGGAGATACCATCTCACATTGGTCAAAATGGCTATTACTAAAAAGCCAAAAAATAACAGGTGTTGGTGAGGTTGTGGAGAAAGGGAATGCTTATACACTGTTGGTGGGAATATAAATTATTTCAGCCTCTGAGGAAAGCAGTTTAGAGATTTCTCAAACAAAACAGAACTACCATGTGACCCAGCAATTCCATTACTGGGTATATACTCAAAGGAACATCAATCATTCCACCATAGAAATATATGTATGTGTATGTACATTGCAGCATTACTTGCAAAAGCAAAGAGATGGACTCGACCTAGGTGCTCATCAATAGTGGACTGAATAAAGAAAATATGGTACATATACACCATAAAATACCACACAGCCACTAGAAAGAATGAAGTCATATCATTTGCTGCAACATGGATGCAGCTGGAAGTCATTAGTCCTAAGAAAATTAATGTAGGTAGGAACAGAAAACCAAATACCATATGCTCTTATTTATAAATGGGAGCTAGACACTGAGAACACATAAACAGAAAGAAGGGAACAATAGACAACATGGCCTACTTAAGGGTGGAGTGAGGGAGGAGGGGGAGGATTAACAAACTAACTTTTCAGATACTAGGCTTATCACCTGGATGATAAAATAATCTGTAAACCAAACCCCAGTGATATATAACTTACCCATGTAAACCTGTACATGTACTCATCAAATCTAAAATAAAAGTTGAAAAGAAATAAACAGCTATAAAATTTTAAATGCCAAAAACAGAGGTAATGGCTGAAAATTTTCTAAATGTGTCAGAAGATGTAAACCTACAGATTCAAGGAGCTGAACAAATTTCAAATAGACTAAAACCTAATAAATCAATGTCTAAACACATCATAATCAAAGTTCTAAAAACTACAACATAATATACATCTTGAAAGAAACCAGAGAAAAATGACACTTTACCTTTGGGGAAAAATGATTTATATGACAGTGGGTCAGAAACCTTGGGATCTAGAAGGAAGCAAAATGATTTTCAAGGGTTGAAAAGAACTGTCAGTGCAGATCCTTTAGCCAAAATATCCCTAAAGAATGGAGGAAAAAACAATACACTCCCAGATGAAGAAAAGGAAGATAATTTCTCACTAGCATACCTACTCTAAAAAAATTGGCTAAATGAAGTTCTCAAGATAGAAGGAAAACAAAAGAATAAACATAGAAATATCAGGGGGAAATAAAGAACACAGAAACGATTTTTCTGTGAGTTTTCTAAATTATGTTTGCTGACAGAACATTATTAGAATGATGTGATTTTCAATGTTATATAGGAGAAATACTTAAGGTAATTACATTAGAAATGTGAGAAGGTAAAGGGTCATAAAGTCAGGGAATGTTTCTCAACTGGTAAAGGATAACACTGTTGGTCTGAAAAATTTTGCATATAAAGTGTAATACAGTGCCAACCATTAACATACAAAGAGAGATTCACAAACATTATCAGTAGTTCTATTTTTAATTTTTTTGAGAAACCTCCCTACTGTTTTTCCATAATGATGGTACCAATCTACATTCTCTTGGTGTTCACCAATAGTGAATACAGTATCTTTCTCCACACTCCTTACAACACTTACCTCCTGTCTTTGATAATAGGCATTCTAACAGGTGTGAGGGGACATCTCACTGTCATTTTGATTTGCATTTCCCTGATGATTAATGATGTTCATCACTTTTTCATATACCTGTTTGCCATTTTTATGTCTTCTTTGGAAAAATATCTATTCAGTTCCTTTGCCCATTTTAAAATCAGATTGTTATTAAATGAGTTGTGTGTATTTGTTTATATTTTATATAGATTAGCCTTTTATCAGATACATGGTTTGCAAATATTTCTCCCTATCAGTAGACTGCTTTTTCATTTTGTTAATTATTTTTCTGTGCAGAAGTTTTTTAATTTGATGTAGTCCCACTTGTTGGTTTTTGCTTTTATTGGCTGTTTCAGGTGTGATACACAAAAATCATTGCCAAGGCCAGTATCAAGATTTTTTCTCCTATGTTTTTTTTCTAAAAGTTTTATGGTTTCAAGTCTTACATTTAGGGCTTTGATCCATTTTGAGTTGATGTTTGTGTGTGTTGTAAGATAAGAGTCCAATTTCATCCTTTTAAATGTGACTGTCCAGTTTTCCCAGTATGAATTATTGAAGAGATTATCTTTTCTCCATTGTGTGGTCTTGGTGGCCTTGTTGAAAGTTCTGACATAGCATTCCATCTGCTAGGTATATACCAAAAAGGAATGAAATCAGCATCTCACAGAGATATCTGCACACCCATGTTTGTGGCAGCATGGTACACAATAACCAAGATAGGGAAACAACCTGAAAGAAACAGAAACATTGCACAGAAGGAAAAATACTATATGATCTCACTTATATGTGGAATCTTAAAAAAAGTCAAATATATAGTAACAGAGTAGAGTCTTCATTTTCATGGGTGAGGGGAAGGAGGAAATGGGGATATATAGGTAAAAGGGTACAAATTTGCATTTAAGTATGATGCATAACTCTAGAGATGTATACAACATGAGGATTATAGTTAATACTGTACACTGAACATTTGCCTAAAAAAATAGATTTTAAGTGCACTCATCACAACAAAAGCTTTTTTTTTTTTCTCTTTTGAGACGGAGTCTCGCTCTGTCGCCAGGCTGGAGTGCAGTAGGATGATCTCGGCTCACTGCCACCTCCACCTCCCTGGTTCAAGCGATTCTCCTGCCTCAACCTCCTGAGTAGCTAGGACTACAGGCAGACACCACCATGCCCAGTTAATTTTTGTATTTTTAATAGAGATGGAGTTTCACCATGTTGGCCAGGATGGTCTCTATCTTTTGACCTCGTGATCTGCCCACCTCGGCCTCTCAGAGTGCTGGGATTACAGGCGTGAGCCACCACGCCCAGCCACAAAAACTTTTTTCTAATTGAGATGACGTGATGATCACATCAAGTGATGGATATGTTAATCTGCTTGACTAGTAATCATTTCATTAATATGAATCAAAATATCATGTTGTATACTTTAAATATATACAATAAAGACATATTTGTTATTTTTGAAGAAAAGAAACCGCTAGAGGCAAATAAAAATGTAATTGTAGAAAATGTTCAAGCATCCCAGAGAAAGAAAGAAAAAACAAAACAAATGTAACAAGAAAACTGTCAATCAATAAATGGGCAAGCTTCTACCTTAACATAACAAGAATTAAATTAAATATGGATGGTTTAAATATATCAATTAAAAATATGAAAATCATAAAGGGGATTACAAAACATAAGCCAACTATATGCTTGTATATAAGAATTTATTATAAATATGATACAGACAGATTGGAAGGTAAAGTTTGGAAAATGTATCATGCAAATATTAATAAAAAGAAAGCATGAATATCTACATAATATAAAAAACGTAGACATCAAAACAAAGAACATTACCATAGACAGAGAGAGAAATTATACAAAGAGGTAAAGTCTATCCCCCAAGAAGGTAATCTTAAATGAGTATGCACCAAATAAGAGCTGTAAAATGAGTGAAGCAGAAACCAGATGAATTGAAAACAGTATAAGCAAATTCACAATTATGGTTGGATATATTAACAGTACTTTAATACAACTGATAGACCAACCAGATAGAAAAGTAGGAAATATTTAGAACTCAATAATACCAACAACTAATAGGATCTAACAGACATTAATAGAATACTACACCCCCCCAACCAACAACAAAAATAAATATACATAATTTTAAGTGACCACAGAACATATACCAAGATAGATCATATCCTAAGTTATAAAAAACTTCCCTAAATATGAAATAGTTGAAATCATATAGTGTGTTATCTAATCATGATGAAAACAAACTAGAAATAAATAATAAAAAGCTAAGAGGAAAATTTTCAAATACTTAAAAATAACACACTTTTAAATAGTTCGTAGGTCAAGAAGAAAAATAAATTACATTGAAATAAGTAAAAGGGAAAATACAGGATAACAAAGTTTATGTCATAAAACTAAAGCTTGTGCTAACAGGGAAATTTAGAGCACTAACTTTGTATGTTAGAAAAAGAGGAAAAGTCACAAATCAGTAATCTAGGATTCCACCTCAGAGACCTAAAAACAGAAAAGCAAAATCAACCCAAGATATGCAGGAGGAAATAATAAAGATAAGAGCAGAAATCAATAAAATTGAAAACAGAAAATAGAAAAATATCAATGAAACAGAGCTGGTTCTTTGGATTAATAATTTCAAAATTATCTAGAAAGACTGGCAAATTAAAAGAAGATTAAAAACTCCCAATATCAGCAATGAAATAGGCTATAACTATAGACCCTGCAGACAAAAAATGGGTAAAAAGGGATTACCATGGGAAGTTTTTCACAGCTATCTCCGACAACTTAGATGAAATGAACTACTTCCCGGAAAAACAAACTACCACATTTGCTCAGAATGAAGTAAATAATTTATACGGATAACCCTATAACTATTTGAATGAATCACTTAAAGATTCTCCCTGCAACCACAAAATTTTCAGGCCCAGATGGAATCACTGGAGACATGTACCAAATGTTTTAAAAACTACTAACCCTAGTTTTAAACAATTTCTTCCAGGAAAAAAATGGAGGAGAAAATATTTTCCAATTCATCTTATGAATCTAGTATAACTTTGATACTAAAATAGAAAGACAGTGCAAAATAAAAGATTAAAGAACAATGTCACCTAAAAATATACAGGCTGTGAAAGAGAGAAAATATTTACAAACCTCCTATTTATATTTTTATATAAACATAAAAAATTTGAAACAACATAGAATTTAGCAATACATATAAACATAGATGAATAGAATTTAGCAATACATAAACATAATTCATAATCATAACCAAGTGGTGTCTGTTTCAGGGTCCAAGGCTAGGTAAATAGTCAAATATCAATCTATGAAAATCACCACCTTAACAAGCTATAGAAGAAAGATTACATAATCATATCAATTGATACAGAAAAATCATAATCAACCCTGATGCATAATAAAAACTATCAGAAAACTGGAAATAGAGACTAATTCAACTTGACAAAGAATGACTTCAAAAAGTTCTACAGGTAACATCATACTTAATGATGAAAGACTGAATACTTTACCCGAAGACTGTGAATAAGACAAGGATGCCTTTTTTCACCACTCTTGTTTAACATAGTGCTATGAGTTTTTAGTAGCACTAGAAGAAAAGGAAATCAAAGACATTCAGATCAGAAAAAACATAACTTTTCTAAGTTGCAGATAGCACACTTGTCTACAGAGAAAATCCCAAGCAATCTACAAAAACATTTTTAGAGCTAATAAGTGCGTTAAAGGTTGTGGGATAGAAGATAAACATTAAAAAATCTATTTTATTTCTGCATGCTAGCAAGAAATACATGGGCACTGAAATTCAAAACATACCATGTATAAACAGCTCAAAAATAATTCTTTGGTGTAAATGTAATAAAACCTGTATAGGACTTGTATTCTGAAAACTATACATTGATGAAAAAATCAAATAAGATATAAATAAATGAAAAGAGATACTATGTTAACGGATTGAAAAAAAATCAAGCCAGTAAATATATTCCCCCCAAAAGATATACTGTCAAGACTGACACAATTATTATCAAAATACTAGCAAGATTATTTTAGACATAAATCAGGTTATCCTGAAATGTATACAGAAAGACCGTAGAACTAAAGTAGATTAAACAATTTTATATTTAAAAAGTATAAAAAAGAAAAATCAGGCTATTTAATTTAATACTTACTCTACAACTACGATAATCAGTAGCATGTGGTATTGTCAGAGAGACAGACACACAAATTGATGAACAAGTAGAGATCTCATAAATAGACTCATACCAGATTGTTCAACTGATGTTCACATCACAAAGGTGCAAAAGCAAATCAATGGAGGAAAGATAGCCTTTCTAACAAATGGTGCTGAAGCAACTGGACATCCATGGCCTCCCCTCAAAAAATATGTAATTTGACCTAAATTCATAAAAATTAACAAAATGAATCATGGACTTAAATATAAAAGTCAAAGCCATGTAACTTTTAGGAAAAGAAACCAGGAAATCTTCAAGATACATGGTTAAAGAATTTACATACTTAGCACAAAAGCATGATCCATAAAAAGAAAAGTTAATCAAATGATCTTCATTAGCTCATTTCCTTCATTACTTTTGTGGTGAGGAAAAGATCCTGTTAAGCTGAAAAAGACAAGCTAATGAGTGAGAGAAACTATTTACAAACCACCTAGCCACCAAAGGAAGAATAGCAAGAATATATAACTCAAATCACAACAGTAAAAAAGCAAACAATCTGATTACACAATTGAGCAGAAGACGTGAAGATACATTCCACCCAACAGGATTTACAGATGGTGAATAAGTACGTGAAAATATGTTCATCATCATTAACCACTAGGGAAATGTGAGTTAAAATCACAATGAGATGTCACTACACATCAATCAGAATGGCTAAAACAAAAAATAGTGACAACATAAAATTCTAGCAAGGATTCACAGAAACTGGATCACACATTGCTGAGGAAAATGTAGCTTTTGAGTAGCTCTCAAAAACAAACTTTGGCAGTCTCTTAAAAAAAAAGTATGTAACTATTATAGAACCCAGAAACTGTGTCCTAATCATTTATCCCAGAGAAATTAAAACCTATGTTCACACAAAAAGCAGTACACAATATTTATATGAGCTTTATTCCTAATAGTGGAAAAACCCATGGAAATAAATCTCTCACAGTTGAAAGGTAAAACGAACTGTAATATTCATACCATGGAATACTGTTCAAACAATACAAAGGAACAAACTTTTGATACCTCCAACAACCTGGCTCTCTAGAGATTATGTTGTGTACCCAATCCCAAAAGGTTACATATGATATGATTCCATTTATATTTAACATGCATGAAATGACAAAATTAGAGCAATGGAGAATGTATCAGTGCTTGCTTGGGGTTAGAGGAGTTGAGAGTGAACGGGAAACAGGTTTGGCTAAAAACAAGAAAACAACATGAGAAAGCTCTGTAGTAAAGGAAATTTTCTGTATCTTGACTATATCAAGGCTAATATCCTGGTTGTGATATAGTTTGTAAGAGTTTGCCATTAAGGAAAACTTGATAAATTACACATGGGATCTCTTTGTATTATTTCATACAACCACATGTGAATCAGCAATTATCTCTAAATAAAAAGTGCAATAAAAAAAACCCAGAAAACAGAAAGTTGATTAAGTACCAGAAGCCAGATAATGGTGGGTTATAGAATTTAGAGGGTGGTAGGGAGTTATATATGGGCAAATATTATGTTGTCCCCTAAGGCAAATCTGATACTTATTGGTTAAATTTATAGATGTTTCTTTCTCTGTGCACTACTCAAATGTAGTTATTTACTCCATTTCAGTGCTCAGTTCTATGCTCTTTTCTATTCACTCACTGAGTGAGCTCATACATTCTCATGGTTTTAACTGCTATATGCTAATGATTTCCAAACTGACATTGTCAGTCTTTTCTCCTCAAACTTCAAATTCTTACAGTCCATTGCATAGCAGACATGCTCATGTGGATGTTCTGCAGACACCTTACTCAGAGCAGAATTCCTCACTTTCCTCCTCTTGCAGTCTCTGTTTCAATTAGTGTCACAACCCTCCAACAGTTCTGCCTAATTAGTAACCTGAAAACTATTCTTGACTCCAGCATAACTTTCAGACCTCTAGCCACTCAAGCACCAAGTTTAGACACTTTATTTTCACATCTATTTTTGCCTTGCTCAGGTTCTCATATTTCTCTCCTGCAAACTACTGCTATATTTTTCTGACTAGTTTCCCTGCCTTCAGATTTGCCCACCTCATTAATCCTTTGCTCATCTTCCAGAGTTTTCCAAATTGCAAATTATCCATGCTATCCTCAAGCGTCCACAGAATAAAACTTAAAATCTATGTCAAGTATAAAAGCCCTCTGTGATCTGATTTCTTCTACCTCTCAGACTTATTTAGTTCTTTCTCTGCCTGGAACTTGATGCCCCGGGAGCACTGGATTGCAGGCAACTACCCTATGTCACACTTCTTGCCTTTTTTGTAATGACCCTCTGGTAGTAAAATGCTGTACCTTTCCCTACCCAACCCTCCCAGAGACCACTCTCCACTCTCCTCCATCTGTTTTATTACTGTTCAATATTTAAAACTCTTATTAAGCATGAATTCCTCATCCTGACCTTAAAGGATTGTATGATTGTCCCCTATCTTCTCACAACACCCTATGTAAATCTTTACCATGGCCCCACCTACATTCTAGTTAGATATCCGGTTTCCCCAGTAGACGAGAGGATATTCAAGGGCAAGAAACATGCCACACTACATAATAATAATGCCAAGAAGATGTAGAATCTTTCAAAAACGATCCCAGCTTTCATTTTATAAAGATCACTTTTTATAAACTCTCAGAACTCAAAATATTAGGAAGATCTATATTTGTTCATTCATTCATTCAACCAATATGTACTAACAGACAACCATTGTGCCAGGGGCTAGGAATATAATGATAAGAATGCAAGCTTCATGTCCTCAAGCTTATAGTTTAGTGTTATAAACTATAAGCTTATAGTTAAGCTTATAGTTAAGTATATGTCACTCTGTAAAATGTTGTGCAATGGAAAAGATAAAATTCTAGCATCTGTTTCACATGATCAGTACAATGATTGGAAGAAAGTGATGTTAACGATATTACAGGAAGACAAAGACTCAAATATCAGAGTTAGGCCAAGTAATCACCAAGAAAAGGATCCTGACAGAGACACAGTAGTAAGGTGCAGAAATAAATATTTGAGGTCGTTGTGGTGGGAAGAATTGAAAGTGTTTAGTTTAGAGCAAATAAGGATATGGGGTGAATGACTTTAAAAAGGTGTTTGCAGACATACTTGGCTTGATTTTATGGATGGATTAAAATGTGGGACATAAGTGGTGCCAATTCTAAACAACCTGCAGAGGACACGTGATTGTCCTTAGATGATCTTACTAGACTCCACATTAGTGAGACTTTGCCTCACTGACTATGGGGGTATGTTAGGCTGTTCTCGCATTGCTGTAAAGAAATACCTGAGACTGGATAATTTATAATGAAAAGAGGGTTAATTGGCTCATGGCCCTGCAGGCTGTACAAGCATGGCACTGGCATCTGCTTGGCTTCTGGAGAAGCCTCAGGGAGTTTGTACTCATGGCGGAAGGGGAAGTGGGAGTAGACATATCATATGGCAAAAGCAGGAGTAAGAGAGCGTTGTGGGGGGGTGCCGCATAGTTTTAAATAACCAGATCTCACAAGAACTCACTACCATGAGAAATCACTACAGTGAGGATGATACTAAGCCATGAGGGATCTACCCCCATGACCCAAACACTTCCTACCAGGCCCCACCTCTAAACTTGAAAATTACATTTCAACATAAGATTTGGGTGGAGACAAATATCCAAACTATATCAGGGGGATTCTGATCCCTATTGTTTTGCAGAATAAACTTCCTTCTAGACATTGTCAGTCCTGACTCTCTAAATTGTTAAAGTCAAAAACCAGGCAAAATAAAACCCTTAGTCTTCTCATCCCAGCACTGAACCACAAGAAGATTGTATAGCTTCTTCTATAGAATAAGATCAAGAATTTCTACTTTCCTAGGTCATGTTACTATCGAGTCCCTCCGTTAGGAGTGAGTTCAGTTGTACTAACTCAGAGTCAAGAAATCGGGTCCAGGACACCTGGGTCTCCTCAAGAAAGATGCCTGTCTACCTTCTCAGGTTCTTTTATGTTATGAATAGGAATTCTTACAGAGACACCTGTCTCACCCTAGTTCCCAGGTCAACTCTAGCCCTACTTAGAAACTTTGTCCCCTCTGCTCTTGTACTATTGTCTTTGGAGCAATTGTGCTCTCCCAGGATTCAGAATGTTTCCCTGTCCCTGTGGAGGCTGGAAAGTTTTAGCTTCATGAGATATGCATTCACCATAAGAAAATGAAAGTGGTTAGAAACAGAATCATGAAATAATAAAGAACCACCCAAAGGACCATGATCCCTGACTCCACCGCCATGTCTACAGAGTCTGGGAACTCTGCAAGTGACAGAATTCACATGCAGTCCTTTATTAATCAGTTCATTTTTATTCAACAACGATGTATAAAGCCCCTACTATGTAGCAAACGGTGTTAAGTGCTTAGAGCTTTCAGTCTAGTGGGCTCTGACCATTTGGTTTACAAACTACGTGTTAGTCCCAAGTCATCACACTGAAAGGGCATACACAAGGGGCTGCCGAGCAACCTACCCTTTTCTAAAAAATAAGCACACTTCAGGGTTTATTGCTTCTTACTCTCTTGCCTTAAAGCTTTGGGTTTAGGTTTTTGTTTTTGTTTTTTTTCCTCTCTCGAGACAGAGTCTCCTTCTGTCACCCAGGCTGGATTTAAGTGATACGATCTCAGCTCACTGCAACCTCCACCTCCCAGATTCAAGCAATTCATCCTGCCTCAGCCTCCTGGGTAGCTGGGATTACAGGTGCCCACCACCATGCCCAGCTAATTTTTGTATTTTTAGTAGATACTGGGTTTCATCATGTTGGCTAGGCTGGTCTTGAACTCCTGACCTCAGGTGATCTGCCCACCTTGGCCCCCAAAGTGCTGGGATTACATGTGTGAGCCACCACGCCCATACCATAGGCTTTTCTTTTTAAGACCTCTAACACCTCCCTAAGTGAACCTGAATAGCATTTCCCACTTTCTGCATTCAGTATATAATTCAGGCTAAGACATAGCTGTAGCTGTAGTAGTACCTACCAATATATGGTCTACCTAAGAAGGGCTGATAATCTCACTGCTATTATTTCCGTACCTGATGTACTTCAGGGTAAACTAGAACATTACAGTGGTCAAAGGGCTTAGCTCTTCGCTACCCCTGACTTATTGGTCTAGCACATTCCCCACTTCCACTCAGTTTTCTGCCTTATACTTCAGTTTCTTCTTCAAGCAGGAGTGCTCTCTTGAATTCCAACCCATTTGCCTAGGGTCCTAATACCCTTCCAAGCTCTAACCAACTTCATCCACAGGAAAGCATTTGATATTTACTCTTATTCTCCCACTTATTTACCAGAGTGAGTTCTTCCTTCGACGGACCACTCTGAAATACCACTATTCAGCTCACCACCTGCTCCTACCCACCTGATTTCAGGTACTCCCACCATCTGTGGCCCTGCTGCTATGCCAAGCCATCAGTTCTGCATTTTACCAAGCCCTGGCATACCTCCAGCAACAATTATTATGCACACGTAGTTCAAGGGTGGATTGAGACTGCCATCTTTCTAATGATATTTCTTTCCATAGGACAGCTAGAAAATTCAAAATTAAGCAGTAGTACAATGAGTTGAAATAATTTACAGATATTTTTAATGCTGGAGAAAAAATAATGATCCAATTAAATCTTCCCCTAAGAAATCATTATTCTATTGAGTCCATCCAAACAGCAGGGTGTGATTTTAATTATTATAATGGAACATAATTGTCACTAAGCTGAGGAGTTAATTATTCTGAAAATAATTGTGTCATTCTTCTACAAATAAAATGATACAAAAATGTATTTTGTGGCTCCGAGTTTTGAATAATACCAACACAGCCAGTATATTTACTAATGTGAAACTTAAGCAACAATCACTTGTGATTCACCCAATTTTCTCCCAAGAGTTGGGTTTGCAATTTTAAACTTGCAAATTTTATGGAAACTTCATTATTTCTCTAATGGGAAACACAAGATTCTTACAGAAGTGCCTCAGAATTGGCATTTGCCATCTATCTTAAATGCCACCATCCCATTGGAGTGTTGTTATAGGTCTCACTGAGACTGTCTAGTTGTTTGTCTTTTCTATATTATAACTCTTGATCCATGGGTTAATTTTCAGACAATACAGCAGAGACCGAAAGACGTGAAATTATCAGACATTATATTATCCTGAAATGAAGGCCAAAATTGTATCCCTGGAGAAAAACAGTCAGTATTCTCAAGGTTAAGATTGAATGGTGGCCCTCAGGGCATAATTGAAGAAGAGTCTTAGGCAAAAATAATGGAGTAGAAATATTTGGTAGCATAACTTATTTTCCTTATCTGGGACTTACTTCAATTAAGTTAAGCATCATTTCATACTGTGTTTCTAGATTTCTATTTGTTGGTATATCTGAACTTGCCTGCCTTTTCCATCGTACCACCCGTCTCACAGCCCATATTCTGGGGCCTTGGGGCCCTTTATCTGTAATATTAATGGTTTAATTAGAGTCTTATTCTCTCACGAAACCTGTCCTGTAAGTACTTGAATCAATTGGAACCATTAGTATGATTTGCTATCATAAAAGTCTTTTGGCTTTAAAATTATTCTTCAACTGACAGATGTCATAAAGTCAAGAGGGAGGGAGCTACATAATTTGGAACTGGCCCCAACAGATGTGTCAGTGATCAGAGGGGCATATGGACATGGTAGAATTTAAGCTTTAGGTGAGGGAGAGTCAATTAAAGATTAAGTGAATACAAAGTTTCCATTGGGCCCCTCTGATATCAATTGCTATCATGGAAAACTAAGACTATACTCAGAATTCAAAAACAAGACTATTTTTTTTTAAGAACTAGAATTCAGGAAGGAAGAGGGGCTGGGAGCAGCACACACTAAATCCTTACTACATCAAAATTATAGAGTTTCACTTATTAATTAATATAGGTTGTATTCTAATATTTGCCTAGTGGTTAGCATGAAGTAAGAACCTCATGACACTCAGGTAGTAAAGATGAGAAAATGTAGCACTAAAATGGGCAGTGTGAGTGGCCAGAAAGAGAAAGAAAAGAATATGTAGGAAGAGGTTTTTCATGGAAACTCAGGAAGTATTTAGTTGGTGCAAAAGTGACTGCAGTTTTTGCCATGATTTTCAATGGCAAAAACCGTGATTAGTTTTGCACCAACTTAATAGAACGTTTTCACAGACAGAGAGGTCAATTGTATCAGAGGTTTTTGAGAATCAAATAAACTGAGAAGAGAAAAATGCTCATTGAATTTAACAATCTACATGTTATGGGTTACTTTAACAAGATGATTTTGTGGAAAGATGAGGATAGTAACTAGATTGGAAGACTGAGAGGTAAGTGGCATAAATGCTGACAATGATTATAGACAACCAAAGGGGAGATAGAAGATATGGGGAGAGGGTAAGGAGAAAGATTTGTTTATTTTTGTTTTCGTGTTAATTGGGAGGAACTCCAGTGTGTTTAGAAACAATTCAGCTGAGAGGAAGTAAATGAATATGCAACAGAAAGAGAAGGGATTAAGCAGTACAGCATGGCGTCTGATCAGGCTAGCATTCATGAGACCAAAGCAGAAATTCAATATGAGGATTGGCCCCAGATTACAGGAGGAGCAGTTCCCGGCTCTGTCATTAACTCCTAAGAGCAACGCTAGAGGTTGGTAATTCCATTTTCTCAGTTAAGATCTGCTACTCTCTTCGTGAAATACCAGCAGCATATTTGAGGTTTGATTCCTGAGAGCCTTTTCCAATTTGAGATGAGGATTACATTATTTTTACAATGATGAGAAGCCTGAAACTCCACCTGCTTCCAGATAGGAAAGCAAACTTAAGACAATACTGCAAATGTGAGGCACACTCCCTCTGGGGTGTCCCTAACCACCAGTGACAGCTTCTGGTTATGTTGCTTATAGATCCTAATCCTGGGAGCAGAGGCTTGAGTTACTTATTAATGGAGAATGGAAAAAAGCAAGGTTGAGATATATTCTAAGTGTCATTTCTAAAATGTAGTTTTTAAAAAAGATTAAAAAGGGGAAATAAATTTACTTTTGCTCTGCTTGTGGCTCATGTCATACCGTTGGCACAATCAATGGCCCTGCATGGTTATTCTGAGATTGTGGAGTCCAACAGAATAAAGTAAGCTGAAAGGGGAAGAGCCTGCCACTGGCCCAGAGCTGGGTTCCATAAACTAAGCCCACAGACCCTACATACATTTTATTTCTATAAAAATAAATAAATAAATTCAAACAGTTATGCCTAGTAATTTATGTATCCTCCATGGCTGTGTTTGTGCAACAGTGGAAAAGTCGAACAGTTGTTACAGAGACCGTATGACTCTCATAGACTGAGATAATTATTCAGTCCTTTTTCAGAAAAGAATTGGAGCACTCTTGGCCTTGAGGAATGGAAGAGCTATTCCATGTCTCAGGCTATTGAAAGAGAAGGATGTGAGACTTCCCACTTTTCCGTGGAGGAGATGCTTTCAGACTGATCTAACAGGCAGAATCCACAGACCCAAATAGAGGACTGGATAGTAGAGGCAGTGCCCAAGTCCTCATAAGTGTTCAGAGGTCAAGGTCCTTTCTTTTATTGGAGGACTGCAATTCCAAGGGGACTTTGCTTATGGAAGCAATGCAAAACCCAAGTGCCTTGGCAGCAACAGAAGGCTAAGTTAGAAGCCATCTAACACTGGCTTTGGGTCACTTACCTTCAAGAGTCTGGTGGTAATGACTCTAAGGCAGAAGAGTCTGGGCAAAGAGTGATGGTCACTGTTTTGAAACAGAAGCCAGTAGACAAGATCCGTAGCAGTTGTAAATTCTTCATAAATTAAAATGATAAAGCCTGGCCTTGACTTCATTAGTAATAATAATAGCTTAGCTAACATTTGTTGAGAGCTTTCTAAGCTCTCATAATTACACCTTATACTAACATGCACAGCACACTATTAAGTTATTATTTTTTTATATTTTAAGTTCTGGGATACATATGCAGAACATCCAGGTTTGTTACATAGCTATACGTGTGCCATGGTGATTTGCTGTACCTATGAACCTGTCATCTAGGTTTTAAGTCCCACATACATTAGGTATTTATCCTAATGCTCTCCCTCCCCTTGCCCCCCACCCCCCGACAGACCCCGGTGTATGATGTTCCCCTCCCTGTGTCCATGTGTTCTCATTGTTCAACTCCCACTTATGAGTGAAAACATATGGTGTCTGGTTTTCTGTTCCTGTGTTAGTTTGCTGAGAATGATGGCTTCCAGCTTCATCCATGTCCCTGCAATCAACATGATCTCATTCTTTTTTATGGCTGCATAGTATTTCATGGTGTATATGTACCACATATTCTTTATCCAGTCTATATTGATGGGCATTTAGGTTGGTTCCAAGTCTTTGCTATTGTGAATAGTGCTGTAATAAACATATGTGTGCATGTGTCTTTATAGCAGAATGATTTATAATCCTTTGGGTATATACCCACTAATGGGATTGGTGGGTCATATGGTATTTCTGGTTCTAGATTCTTGAGGAATTGTCACACTGTTTTCCACAATGGTCGAAATAATTTACACTCCCACCAACAGCGTAAGTGTTCTATTTCTTCACAGCCCCACCAGCATCTGTTGTCTCCTGACTTTTTAATGATCACCATTCTGACTGACCTGAGATGGTGTCTCATTGTGGTTTTCATTTGCATTTCTCTAATGACCAGTGATGTTACCTTTTTTTCATGTGTTTCTTGGCCACATAAATGTCTTCCTTTGAGAAGTGTCTGTTCATATCCTTTGCCCACTTTTTGATGGGGTTGTTTTTTTCTTGTAAATTTAAGTTTCTTATAGATTATGGATATTAGAACTTTGTCAAATGGGTAGATTGTAAACATTTTCGCCCATTTTGGAGGTTGCCTGTTCACTCTGATGCTAGTTTATTTTGCTGTGCAGAAGCTCTTTAGTTTAATTAGATCTAATTTGTCAATTCTGGCTTCTGCTGGAATTGCTTTTGGTGTTTAAATCATAAAGTCTTTGTCCATGCCCTTTTGCTAGCCCTGAATGGTATTGCCTAGGTTTTCTTCTAGGGATTTTATGGTTTTGAATTTTACATCTCAGTCTTTAATCCATTTTGAGTTAATTTTTGTGTAAGATATAGGAAGAGGTCCAATTTCTGTTTTCTGCATATGGCTAGCCACTTTTCCCAACACCATTTATTAAATAGGGAATCCTTTCCCCATTGCTTGTTTTTGTCAGGTTTGTCAAAGATCAGATGGTCATAGATGGGTGGGGTTATTTCTGAGGCCTTTGTTCTGTTCCATTTGTCTATATATCTGTTTTGGTACCAGTACCATGCTGTTTTGGTTACTGTAGCATTGTAGTATAGTTTGAAGTCAGGTAGTGTGATGCCTCCAGCTTTGTTCTTTTTATTTAGAATTGTCTGGGCTATTCAGGTTCTTTTTTGTTCCACATGAAATTTAAAGTAGTTATTTTCTAATTCTGTGAAGAAAGTCACTGGTAGCTTGATGGGAATAGCATTGAATCTACAAATTACTTTGGGCAGTGTGGCCATTTTCACGATATTGATTCTTCCTATCCATGAGCATGGAATGTTCTTCCATTTATTTGTATCTTTTATTTCATTGAGTAGAGTGGTTCGTAGTTCTCCTTGAAGAGGTCCTTCACGTTTTATTCCTAAGTACTTTATTTTCTGCTAGCTTTTGAATTTGTTTGCTCTTGCTTCTCTAGTTCTTTAACTGTGATGTTAGGATGTCAGTTTAAGATCTTTCTAGCTTTCTGATGTGGGCATTAAGTGCTATAAATTTACCTCTTAACACTGCCTTAGCTGTGTCCCAGTGATTCTGGTACGTTGTCTCTTTGTTCTCATTGGTTTCAAATAACTTATTTATTTCTGCCTTAATTTCATTATTTACCCAGGAGTCTTTCAGGAGCAGGTTGTTTGATTTTCATGTAGTTGTTCAGTTTTGAGTGAGTTTCTGAATCCTGAGTTCTAATTTAATTGCACTGTGGTCTGAGAGACTGTTATGAATTCTGTTCTTTTGCATTTGCTGAGAAGTGTTTTACTTCCAATTATGTGGTCAATTTTAGAATAAGTGCCATGTGGTGCTAAGAAGAATGTGTATTCTGTTATTTGGGTTAAAGAGTTAGATGTCTATTAGGTCTACTAGATCCAGAGCTGAGTTCAAGTCCTGAATATCCTGTTACTTTTCTGTCTCATTGCTGTGTCTAATATTGACAGTGGGGTAGTAAAGTTTCCCACTATTATTGTCTGGGAATCTAATTCTCTTTGTAGGTTTCTAAGAACTTGTTTTATGAGTTTGGGTGCTCCTGTATTGGGTGCATATATATTTAGGATAGTTAGCTCTTCCTTGTTGCATTGATCCCTTTACCATTAATGCCCTTCTTTGTCTTTGTTGATCTTTGTTGGTTTAAAGTCTGTTTTATCAGAAACTTGGATTGCAACCCCTGCTTTTTTTTGCTTGCCATTTGCTTGGTAAATATTCTTTCATCCCTTTATTTTGAGCCTATGTGTGTGTTTGCGTGAGATGGGTCTGCTGAATACAGCACACCAGTGGGTCTTGACTATCCAATTTGCCAGTCTTTTAATTGGTGGGATTTAGCCCATTTACATTTAAGTTTAATATTGCTGTATGTGAATTTGATCCTGTCATCATGAAGCTAGCTTGTTATCTGGCACATTGGTTGATGCAGTTTCTTCACAGTGTCATTGGTCTTTACATTTTGGTGTGTTTTTGCAGTGGCTGGTACCAGTTTTTTTTCTTTCCATATTTAGTGCTCCCTTCAGGAGCTCTGGCAAGCCAGGCCTGGTGGTGACAAAGTCCCTCAGCATTTGCTTGTCTGGAAAGGATTTTATTTTTCCTTCACTTATAAAGCTTAGATTGGCTGGATATGAAATTCTGGGTTGCAAATCCTTTTCTTTTAGAATGTTGAATATTGGCCCCTACTTTCTTCTGGCTTGTAGGTTTTCTGCAGAGAGATCTGCTATTAGTCTGATGGCTTCCCTTCATAGGTGACCTGACCTTTCTCTCTGGCTGCCCTTAACATTTTTTCTTTCATTTCAACTTTGGAGAATCTGATGATTATGTGTCTGGGGTTGATTTTCTCATGGAGTATCTTAGTGGTGCTCTCTGTATTTCCCAAATTTGAATGTTGGCCTGTCTTGCTAGATTAGAGAAGTTCTCCTGGATAATATCCTAAAATGTGTTTTCCAACTTGATTCCATTCTCCCCATCACTATCAGGTACACCAATCAATTGTAGGTTTGATCTTTTCACATAGTCCCATAATTCTTAGAGGCTTTGTTCATTCCTTTTCATGCTTTTTTCTCTAATCTTGTTTTCATGCCTTATTTCAGCAAGGTGGTCTCCAATCTCTGATATTTTTTCTTCCTCTTGATCAATTCAGCTATTGCTACTTGTGTATGCTTCACGAAGTTCTCATGCTGTGTTTTTCAGCTCCATCAGGTCATTTATATTCCTCTCTAAACTGATTATTCTAGTTAGCAGTTCTTGTAACCTTTTATCAAGATTCTTAGCTTCCTTGAGTTGGGTTAGACATCCTCCTTTAGCTCAGAGGAGTTTGTTATTATCCACCTTCTGAAGCCTACTTTTGTCAATTCATCAATCTCATTCTCTGTCTAGCTTTTTGCCCTTGCCGGAGAGGAGTTGTAATCATTTGGGGGAGAAGAGGCATTCTGGCTTTTGGAATTTTCAGCGTTTTTGCACTGTTTTTTTCTCATCTTCGTGGATTTATCTACCTTTGGTCTTTGAGGCTGATGACCTTTTGATGGGGTTTTTGTGTAGGGGTCTTTTTTGTTGATGTTGTTGTTGCTTTCTGCTTGTTAGTTTTCTTCTAACAGTAAGACCCCCCTTGTGCAGGTCTGCTGCAGTGTGCTGGAGGTCCACTTCAGACCCTGTTGACCTGGGTATCACCAGTGGTGGCTGTAGAACAGCGAAGATTGCTGACTGCTCCTTCTTCAAGAAGCTTTGTCCCAGAGGGGCACTGGCCTGATGGAAACCAGATGGCCTGATGGCATCTCTCCTGTATGAGATGCCTGTTGACCCCTTTTGGGAGGTCTGTCCTGTCAGGAGCCACAGGGGTCAGAGACCCACTTGAGGAGGCAGTCTGTCCCTTTGCAGAGCTGGTGCACTGTGCTGAGAGAATCCCCCTTGTCAGGATCAGTGGCTCTCTTCAGAGCTGGCAGGCAGGAAAGGTTAAGTTTACTGAAGCTGCACCCACAGCCACCCCTCCCCCCAGGTGCTCTGTACCAGGGAGATGAGAGTTTTATCTGTAAGCCCCTGCCTAGGGCTGCTGCATTTCCTTCAGAGATGCCCTGCCCAGTGAGGGGGAACTTAGAGAAGAAGTCAGGCCACAGCTGCATTGCCTTGCTGTTGGTTTCAGTAGATTTATTTAGCTTACTGTTAAATACTTACTGTGGTGAATTCTGCTGTTGGTTTCAGGTAGATTTATTTAACTTACTGGTAAATACTTACCGTGGTGAATTCCGCCCAGTCCAAACCTCCCAGTCTCCTAAGCACTGTCAAGGGAAAACCGCCTTCTAAAGCCTCTGTCATGGTGGATGCCCCTCCCCTGACCAAGCTGGATCTTCTCAGGTAGACTCCAGACTGCTGTACTGGCAGTGAGAATTTCAAGCCAGTGGTTCTTGGTTGGCTGGGCTCCATGGGAGTGGGACCTGCTGAGTGAGACCACTTGGCTCCTTGGCTTCAGTCCCCTTTCCAGGGGAGTGAACAGTTCTCCTGTGTTACTGGGGTTACAGGCACCACTGGGGTACAAAAAAATCTCCTGCAGCTAGCTCAGTGTTTGCCCAAATAGCCACCCAGTTTTGTGCTTGAAACCCAGGGCCCTGGTGGTGTAGGCTTATGAGGGAATCTCCTGATCTGAGGATTGCAAAAATCTGTGGGAAATGCCTAGTACCAGGGTGAGTAGCACAGTCCCTCATGGCTTCCCTTGGCTGGGGGAGGGAGGTCCCTGGCTCCTTGCACTTCCCAGGTGAAGCAACACCCCACCGTACTTCTGCTCACTCTCTGTGGGTTGCACCCACTGCCTAACCAATGAGATAAACTGGATACCTCAGTTGGAAATGCAGAAATCACCCACCTTCCGTGTTGGTCTCACTGGGAGCTGCAAACTGGAACTATTTCTATTCAGCCATCTTGGCCCCTCCCTGATAAGATCAGTATTAAGTTCTTTAAATGAATTTTTAAGATGTAATTCTTATAGCAATCCTATAAGGGTAGTTATGCCCAACGCCACATAGCAAATATCTGAGCTATGATATAAATCCAGGCAGTCTGAATTGAAAGTTTATATTTCTAACCACTAATTTTTTAAATATGTCATAGGTCAAAATCTAATGTAATTACCATGCTAGAAAATACTCCCTTAAATAGGAGCTACAACTATGCAACTGCCCAATGGGTTCATTTTGCCCACTATTCACATGGAGCCAATTCATCAAGACAGGGGAATTGCAATAGAGAAATAGTTTAATTCATTCAGAGCTGGCTAAGCAGACCAGCTTTTATTATTACTGAAATCAGCCTCCCCCAAAATTTGGAGGCTAGAGTTGTTCAAGGATTGTTTGGTAGGCCAGGGAATTGGTGTTGCTGAGTGGTTGAGGATGCTAGAGTAGTGGAAAATGGTCCTTGTGTGGGCTGAGTCCACTGTTGAGTGGGGCACAGAAATGGTTGTTGGATCCAGCTGGAGCCATCAGTGGTCAGAAATGCAAAAATCTGAAAAGATATTTCCACTTTTACATTCTATAATAGTGATTTTATCTGTAGGAGTAATTAGGGAAGTTGCAAATCTTGTGACCTCTAGAATAATGTCTGGTTATCATTCCACCTAGTCCTTAGCAGAATTCAGGCACCTTCCATACTCTTAACCTAGGGCATTTTCTTAGCTTTACAAAAGTGGTTAAGTTTTTGGGAAGGGCTATTATAATTTAAACTATAAACTAAATGTCTCACAAAACTAGCTTTACCCAAGCCCAAGAATGTTTAAGGGCAGTTTGGCAATTCAAGGCAAGATGGGAGTTGGTTAGATTAGACCTCTTTCACTATCATAATTTTTTCACTGTTATAACTTTTGCAAAGTTGGTTTCAAGTAGATTTATTTAACTTACAAAATGAACTTCCTATTTACCTTATGTAGCTTCCTAGGTTAACCTCACTAATAAACTTTGGTGTTATTTTTCCTATTTAATTTTACTGTTGTCCTTCTTCTTTTGCATACCACTGTTTGTCTTGGTAAAGACATCAATTTGAAGATAGAAATGTCAAAAAAAAAACTCTCAAGCTATAAACAGAACAGAATATAACATGCATATTATTGAGAGGATTTTGAATTCTTAGAAGCAGAACTTATTAGAGAAACACATTGTGTCAACATACCATTCATATTGATCTCAATAAATTCAAAAAAATCTCCACTAGAGTTTCTCCTTTGAGTTAAAATATTATTTACATAAAGGGAATTACAACCTGAGAATTTCCACTCTATTATACCTGGGTAGATGCTGATGCCTTTTTAGAAAAAAAAAAAATAAAGTTTTTTTTTTTGTCTTTTGGTTTTTAATTTATTTAATTTTTCTGGGTACATAGTAGGTATATACATTTATGGGGTACATAAGATATTTTGATACAGGCATACAATGCAGAATTATCACATCACAGAGAATGGGGTATCCTTCACCTCAAGCATTTAACCTTTGTGTTACAAGCAATTCATTACACTCTTTTACTTATTTTAAAATGTACAATTAAGTTATTGACTGTAGTCATTCTGCTGTGTTACCAAATAGTAGGGCTTATTAACACTTTTAATTACCTTTTTTGGTACCCATTAGCCATCCCCACCTTCTCCCCCCAACCCCCATCCTCTGGTAACAATCCTTCCATACTCTATATCCCATCGTCCATTGTGTATATGCACCAATGGATACCATTGTACCAATAGTATTTCATTGTGTATATGTACCAATGGATATCAATGGATCAATGAATAAAGAAAATGGATAAAATATTTACACATTCGTCTGTTGATGGACACTTGGGTTGCTTCCAAATCTTGGCTATTGTGAACAGTGCTGCAACAAACACGGGAGTGCAAATATCTCTTCAATATACTGATTTCCTTTCTTTTGGGTATATACCCAGCAGTGGAATTGCTGAGTCATACGGTAGCTCAATTTTTAGTTTTTTTGAGGAACCTCCGAACTGTTCTCCCTAGTGGTTTTATTAACTTACATACCCAACAACAGTGTAAGAGTGTTCCCTTTTCTCCACACCTACACTAGCATTCGTTATTGCCTATATTTTGGATATAAGCCATTTTAGCTGGGGTAACATGTCTTATTGTAGTTTTTATTTGCATTTCTCTGATGACTCATGATGTTGAGCACCTTTTCCTATGTGTGTTTGCCATTTGTGTCTTTTGCGAAATGTCTATTCAAAAATTTTGCCCATTTCTTGATCAGACTGTTAGATTTTTTTCCTATAGAGTTGTTTGAGTTCCTTATATATTCTGGTTGTTAACTTCTTCTTAGATGGGCAGTTTGCAAATATTTTCTTCCATTCTGTGGGTTGTCTCTTCACTTTGATTATTTCCTTTGCTGTGCAGAAGCTTTTTAACTAGATGTGATCCCATTTTTCCATTTTTGTTTTGGTGGCCTGGCTGGTGGGGTATTGCTCCAGAAATTTTTGCACAGACCAACGTCCTGGAGAGCTTCCCCAATGTTTTTTGTTTGTTTGTTTGTTTGTTTGTTTGTTTGTTTTGAGACAGAGTCTCGCTCTGTTGCCCAGGCTGGAGTGCAGTGGCACGATCTCAGCTCACTGCAAGCTCCGCCTCCCGGGTTCATGCCATTCTCCTGCCTCAGCCTCCCAAGTAGCTGAGACTACAGGTGCCCACCACCACGCCTGGCTAATTTTTTGTATATTTAGTAGAGACGAGGTTTCACCATGTTGGCCAGGATGGTCTCAATCTCTTGACCTCATGATCCACCCACCTCGGCCTCCCAACATGCTGGGATACAGGTGTGAGCCACCTCGCACGGCCCCCCAAAGTTTTCTTATAGTAGTTTTATGGTTTGAGATCTTAGATTTAAATCTTTAATCCATTTTGATTTGATTTTTGTATATAGTGACAGAGAGGGGTCTAGTTTCATTCTTCTGCATATGAATATCCAGTTTTCTTAGCACCATTTATTGAAGAGACTACCTTTTCCTCAGTGTTAAGTTCTTACAAACTTTGTCAAAAATGAGTTCACTGTAGATGTTTAGATTTATTTCTGGGTTATCTATTTTGTTCTGTTGGTCTATGTGTCTGTTTTTATCCCTGTACCATGTATTTTTGCTTATTGTAGTTCTGTAGTGTAATTGGAAGTCATGTAATGTAATTCCTCCAATTTTGTTCTTCTTGATTAGTATAGCTTGGGCTATTATAGGTCTCTTGTGGGTCTGTATACATTTTAAGATAATTTTTTCTATTTCTGTGAAGAATGTCACTGGTTCATTGGTATTTTCATAGGTATTGCATTGAAACTGCAGATTTCTTTGGGTAGTGTGAACATTTTAACAATATTGATTCAATCCATGAATATGGAATATTTTTCCTTTTTGTTTCCTCTTGAATTTCTTTCATCAGTGTTTTCTAGTTTTTATCATAGAGATCTTTCCCTTCCTTCATTGATTTCTAAATATTTTATTTACAGCTATAATAAATGGGATTGCTTTTTAAATTTTCTTTTCAGATTGTTCACAGTTGACATATAGAAATGCTACTGATTTTTGTAGGTTAATTTTGTATCCTGCAACTTTAAAAAATTTATTTAGAAGTTCCCATGGTTTCTTTATGGAGTCTTTAGGTTTTCCCAAATATAAGATTATATCATCTGCAAACAAGGATGATTTGACTTCTTCCACTTCAATTTGGATGTCCTTTATTTCTTTCTCTTCTCTCACTGCTGTAGCTAGGACTTCCACTACTATGTTTAAAAACGGTGGTGAAAGTGGGCATTCTTTTCATGTTCCAGATCTTAGAGGAAAGGATTTCAGTTTTTCCTCATTCAGTATGATATTAGCTTTGGGTCTGTTGTATATGACTTTTATTATGTTGAGGTATGTTTCTTCTATACCCAGTTTTTTGAGGGTATGCAGTATGAAGGCATGTTGAATTTTATCCAATGCTTTTTCAGCATCAATTGAAGTGATTATGTAATTTTTTACATTTCATTCTGTTGATATGATGTATCACATTGCTTGATTTGCATATGTTAAACCATCCTTGCATATCAGGGATAAATCCCACTTGGTCATGATGAATGATCTTTCTAATGTATTGTTGAATTTGGTTTGTGATATGGTTTGGCTGTGTCCCCACCAAAATCTCACCTTGAATTTCCAAGTGTTGTAGGAGGGAACAAGTTGGGGGTAGTTGAATCATAGGGGCAGGTTTTTCTCATGTTGTACTCATTATAGTGAATCAGTCTCCCGAGATCTGATGGTTTTTTAAGGGTGAGTTTCCCTGGGCAATCTCTCTTTTTGCCTGCTGCCATCCATGTAAGATGTACTTGCTACTCCTTGCCTTCCTCCATGATTGTGAGGCCACCCAAGCCACGTGTAACTGCAAGTCCATTAAACCTCTTTTTATTCCCAGTCTCAGGTATGTCTTTATCAACAGCATGAAAACAGACTAATACAGTAAATTGGTACTAGTAGAGTGGGGCACTGCTGACAAGATACCCTAAAATGTGGAAGCAACTTTAGAACTGGGTAACAGGAAGAGGCTGGAACAGTTTGGAGGGCTCAGAAGAGGACAGGAAAATGTGGGAAGGTTTGGAACTCTCTAGAGACTTGAGAGTGCCTTTGACAAAAATGTCTTTATCAGCAGTGTGAAAATGGACTAATACGGTTTGCTAGTATTTTGCTGAAGATTTTTGCATCAAAAATGGACATTTTAACAATATTGATTATTCTAATCCATGAACATGGAATATTTTTCCATTTTTTGGTGTTCTCTTCAATTTCTTTAATCAGTGTCTTATAGTTTTTATTATAGAATCTATATTTCTCAGGGATATTTGTCTGTGGTTTTCTTTTTTGATGTGTCTTTGTCTGGTTTTGTTATCAGGGTAATACTGGCTTTGTAGAATGAGTTTGAAAGTAGTTCCTCTTCCTCTATTCAGAATTTGAGTTTGAATAGGATTGGTATTATTCCTTCCTTAAATGTTTGGTAGAATTCAGCAGTGAAGCTGTTGGGTCTTGGGCTTTTCTTTACTGGAAGATTTTTATTATTGTTTTAATCTTGTTACTTGTTATTGGTCTGTTCAGGTTTTGGATTTCTTCCTGGTTCAATCTTGGTAGGTTGGATGTGTCTAGGTATTTGTCCCATTTCTTCTAGATTTTCCAATTTATTGGCATATAGTTGCTCATAGTAGCCAGTAATGAGTCTTTGAATTTCTTCAGTATCACTTGTAATGTCTTTTTTTCTGATTTTATTCATTAGTATCTTCTGTATGGTTTTCTTAGTCTGGCTAAAGGTTTGTCAATTTTTGTTTATTCTTGCAAAACACCAACTTTTTGTTTCATTGATCTTTTGTATTGTTTTCTTTATTTCAATTTCATTGACTTCTGCTCTGATCTGTATTGTTTCTTCTAATTTTCAGGTTGGTTTACTCCTGATTTTTTAGTTCTTTAGCATACCTCATTGGATTGTTTATTTGAAGCTTTTTTTTTAAATATAGGCACTTATAGCTATAAACTTTCCTCTTAGTAGTGCTTTTACTGTATCCCATAGGTTTTGGTATGTTGTTTTCCCATTACAATTTGTTTCAAAAAATTTCCTTCTTGATTTCTTCATTGACCCTGCTGGTGAATCAGGAGCACATTGTTTAATTTCCGTGTATTTGTATAGTTTTCAAAATCCATCTTGTTAATTTCTTGTATTCTATTGTGATCAGAGAAGATGCTTGATATTATTTCAGTTTTTCTGAATGTTTTTAGATTTGTTTTGTGACCTTGTCTATCCTTGAGAATGACCCATGTGCTGAGGAAAAGAATGTGTAATCTGCAACCATTGGATTAAGTATTCTGTAAATATTTATTAGATCCATTTGGTCTATAGTGCAGTTAAGTCTGATGTTTCTTCATTGCTTTTCTACTTGGAAAATCTGTCCAATGCTGAAAGTGTTGTCTTGAAGTCTCCAGCTATTATTGTATTGGGGCCTTTCTCTTTAGCTCTAATAATATTGCTTTATGTATCTGGATGGTCCACTGTTGGGTGCATGTATATTTAAAATTGTTATATCCTCTTGCTGAATTGATCCCTTTAACATTATATCGTGACTTCCTTGTTTCTACTTATAGTTTTTATCTTGAAATCTATTTGTCTCATATATGTATAGCTACTCTTGCTTTTCTGGTTTCACTTGCAAGGAATATCTTTCTGTATCCTTTTATTTTCTATGTGACTCTTTAGGTGAAGTGTGTTCCTTGTAAGCAACAGATCAATGGGTCTTTTTTTGCTCATCCATTCAGCCACTCTGCCTTTTGACTGGAGAGTTTACTCTATTTACATTCAATTTTATTATTAAATAATGACTTGCTCCTACCATTTTCTTATTTATTTTTCTGATGGTTTTGTTTTCTACCTTTTTTCTTCCTGTCTTCTTTTAGTGAAGGTGATTTTTTTTTACTTGTGATTAAAAAAAAGAATAAAAAATGAAAACTAAAATAAAAAATGTTTCTTGCTTTTAATTTTATGTCTCTCTTGTAAGTTTTTTGAGTCGGAGATTATCATGAGGTTTGCAAATATTATCTTATAACCCATTATTTTAACCTGATAACAACTTAACCTTATTTGCATAAACAAACAAAAAGAAAACAAATAAAAACTCTGCACCTTACTTTTGTTCCCAGGCTTTTAAACTTTTTGTTTTTTTCTATTTATGTCTTATTGTGCTATCAATGTCTTAAAATGTTGTTGTAGTTATTTTTTAGTGGTTCATTGCTTATTCTTCCTACTTAAGATAAAAGTAATTACACATCACAGTTATCATTTTATAAAATTCTGTGTTTTTCTGTGTACTCACTACTACCAATGAATTTTTTACCTTCGGGTGATTACTTGTCACTCATTCACGTTCTTTTCCTTTTGATTGAAGTACCCCATTTAGCATTTCTTGTAGGACAGGTATGGTATTAATGAAATACTTCAGCTTTTTTTTGTCAGGAAAGTCTTTATTTCTCCTTCATGCTTGATGCATATTTTTGGCAGATATACTATTCTAGGGTAAAAGTTTTTATCCTTCAGCACTTTCAATGTGTCATGCCACTTTCTCCTGGCCTATAAGGTTTTCACTGAAAATTCTGCTGCCAGGCATATTTGAACTCCATTGCATGTTATTTGCTTCTTTTCTGTTACTGCTTTTAGAGTCCTTTCTTTATCCTTGATCTTTGGGAGGTTGATTATTAAATGCCTTGAGGTAGTCTTCTTTAGGTTAAATCTGCTTGGTGTTCTATAACCTTCTTGTACTTGGATATTGATATCTTTCTCTAGGTTTGGGAAGTTCTTTGTTATTATTCCTTTGAATAAATGCTCTACCTTGATCTCTCTCTCTCCCTACCTCTAAGGCTAAGGCTAATCATCTTGGATCTGTTTTTTTTGTTTTGTTTTGTTTTGTTTTTTTTTTTTGAGACTATTTTCTAGGTCCTGTAGGCATGTTTCATTGTTTTTTTATTCTTTTTTCTTTTGTATCCTCTGACTACATATTTTCAAATGCCTGCCTTCAAGCTCACTAATTCTTTCTTCTGCTTGATCAGTTCTACTATTAAAAGACTATGATGCATTTTTCAGTATACTAATTAGATTTTTCAGCTCCAGAATTTCTGTTTGATTCTATTTAATTATTTCAATTTACTTGTTAAATTTATCTGATGGAACTTTGAGTTTCTTCTCTGTGTTCTCCTGTATTTATTTGAGTTTCCTCAACACAGTTATTTTGAATTCTCTACCTGAAATGTCACATATCTCAGTTTTTCCAGGATTGGTCCCTGGTGTCTTATTCAGTTCATTTGGTGAGGTCATATTTTCCTGGATGGTGCTGGCGCTGGTAGGTGTTATTCAGTGTCAAGGCATTGAATAGTTAGATAGTTACTGTAGTCTTCACTCTCTGGGCTTGTTTGTGCCCGTCCTTATTGAGAAGGCTTTGCAGATATTCGAAAGGACTTAGGTGTTGTGATCTAAACTGTATCTGCCTTAGGGGGCACCTCAAGCCCAGTAACAATGTGATTCTTGCAGATTTATAGAAGTACTGCCTTGACAGTCTTGGACAATATCTGGGAGAATTCTCTGGATTACCAGACAGATACTTGTTCTCTTCCCTTAGTTTCTCCCAAACAAACAGTTCCTTTCTCTGTTCTGAGCCACCTAAATCTGGAAGTAGATTGACACAAGCATGCCTGTGGTCACCACCACTATGACTGTGGTGGGTCAGACCTGAAGCCAGCACAGCACTGGGTCTTGCCCATGGCTAGCTGTTACCACTCCCTGGCTACTGCCTATGTTTGTTCAAGGCCCTGAGGGTCTACAGTCAGCACTTGGCAAGGCCAGCCAGGCCTATGTTCTTCTATTTAAGTTGGTGAGTTCCCACAGGCCCTAAGTGGGTCCAGAGGTGCTGTCCAGGATGCAGGCACTAGTATCAAAACCTTAGAAGTCTACCTAGTGTTCTGTTCTACTGTGGCTGAGCTGGCACTTAAACCACAGTCATTTCTACTCTTCCATTCTCTTTCCAAATGCAGAGGAAACTTACCCCATAGCCACCACTATCACAGGCCATGGGGAGTACTGCCAGACTACCACTGATATTTCTTTAAGGCCCAAGAACTCTTAAGTCAGCTATGGTGAATGCTGCCTGGCCTGGGATTCGCCCTTTAGGGGAGTGGGCTTGCCTCTGGCCTGGGGCAGGTCCAGAAATGCCAGTTAAGAGGCAAGTTCTGGATTCAGGGACCCTAGGAGCCCACTTGGTGCTCTACCCTCCTGTGTCCATGATGGTACCAGAAGCCAGCAAGTCTCAGAGGTTCACCCAAGGTCCTCAATATAGTACCTGGGTATTGTTGCTGGTTATTCAGGGCTGAAGGGCTCTTCAGTTGGCATTTGATGAATGCTGCCAGGACTGGGTCCTTCCCTTCAAGGAAAAGCATTCTCTTCTGGCCCAGGGTGTGTCTAGAAATGTAATCTGTTAGCTAGAACCTGGAACAGAGGCCTCACAACTCTGACCATGCCCTATCCTGCTGTGGCTGAGCTGGTATCCAAGATACAAGAGAAGATTCTCCCCATTCTTCCTTCTCCTCTCCTCAAGCTGAAAGAAGGGGTCTCTCTTGAAGCTGTGAGCTGTACAGCCTGGAGTTAGGGGAGGGAGTTAGAGAGTCACTACTTTCTTAGTCACCCCAGCTGGCATCTTAGTATATTGTGTGTACTGCTCCTGTCCACTGTCTTTGGGTCCAGCTCAGCACCAGAACTTACCTAAGAGTTGCAGTCGTTATGGCCCAGACTGCCTTTCAAGTTTACTTAGAAACCCAGAGCACTTTAGCCCTCAGTGATGAGGTTTGTGGGAACTTAGGTTTGGACCACTGGGATCTGTGGTTCCCCTCTAGCTAGGGCTGCTTTAAATGCTACCTCCATGGGTGGGCATCAACTGACTTTGTTCTGATTTTTGTTTCTACACTAGCAGGACAGCACTGAGTTCAATGCCTCACAAATGCTGTGCTCTTCTTACCTCAGTACCCAGAGACACTTTCCACACTAGGCAGCTGCTGCTGGGTGGGGGGTGGGGGGGATGTAGGGGAGGGGTGGTGTCAGCTATTCCAGGCTATTTTTTTCTGTCTCTTTAGTGCCTCTTTCAGTGAAACAATGTTAAAACCAGATTATATGAGGGTTCACCTGATTTTTTGTTTTATGAGGTGTTTCTTCTGTATAGACAGTTGTTAAGTTGGTGTCCTTGCAGGAATTGGGGGGTGGGGATGACTGGTGGAGATTTCCGTTCTACCATTTTGCTCTGCCTACATCCTCTGAAGACTTTTTTATACTTTACTTTTGCACAAACATCAATACAATTGCTTTCTAATATCCTCCTAAAATATATCAACTTCTTTCCCTGGCTTTCAAAGCAATCTCCAAATAGATCCCATCTACATCTCTAAACTTGTTTTTTTCTAAACCAGCTACTCTATATGTGTTTATTTTCTTATCATCCGAGTATAAATCTCTGCCTTTTCTGCATTTTCCAACATGTTGGGGTACCTCCTCTGGGCTCTCTCTCTTCACTACCATGTAGACCTCTACCCAAAGAACAATAGAATTCTCCATTGAAACATACCCGTCCCTATCCCTTTTCTTAAACTTCATCACGAATCTATTAAAACATTTATCATTTTGCCAGTACAGTTTTTTCCTAAATTATATTATCTTCAATTTTTGTATGTAAGTACTGTCTTCTTAATTAGATTATTATTTCCATAAAATTAGGAAGTTTTCCGCTTTCTTTTCTATGTTTTCAACCTAGACCTGTCCTGGGTGACAAGTTTACTACTCACTTAATATCAAATGGTCATGAATTTGAATTCTGGCTTCTGTAAATTCAGCTATTTGAGCTTGAATAAGCTGTCTTATAAGCCTCAGTCCTCACCTGTATCAGAATGATGAGCATATTTTTTTTCAAAATATTGTTATAAGTACCCTTAAATCAAGAATATTGTCGTCTGGTTCACTACTGCATACTAGCACACACAAAATATAGTACTTGAAAAACAGGGATTGATAAATATTTAAATAAATGTAAAGATAATGTAAAATGATATTTATCAAGTTTATAACTGGCACAAAGAAACTCAATAAATGCCCAAACCTTAGAATTATTCATTTGTCAATTGGCTTTATGAATGAGCTTAGCTGAGGATCAGTGATTGAAACATTTTTTTTCACTGTACTGGGGATAACAACAGCTTCCTTGCTGAACATCACAAGACGTTTGGAAGATGAGAACAGTCATGGGGCTCACAAGAAAGGTGCTAGCAAGGTCATCAAAATGCTGTACCAATAAGAGATGTGACTTATCTATAAAGATGATGTGTAGATCTCAATGTCAAGTGTCACCTCACCTCATAGAACTCATGATTTATGAGATTTTCACATTCAAAAAAATATTTAACAACTTATTTTAAGTCCTTGGAGTTTTGTCCTAATTTCTGCATTTGGGATTTAGAAGTGTTACAATGTTTTTATTGGCCTAGGTACAGAGGTAGAATCACAACAAGCCCTATGAAGTGCAGAATGCAGCATAACCAGACTTCTTGGATGTTGTCCAAAGTGAATTATTAATAAAGTTTAAGAAAATGTTTTTTGGCCCTCCTATTACTATTTAATTATTAAATGTCTCACTGACATTGCAGGGCATAAATGATTCTCCAGCAGTTTAGTATTTATTGTTGGTTGAGAAAGAGACAGTTGGAGTTGTGATAACATTAAAGCATCTTTAGAGGTTTCCAGGACGTGATAGAAAAGGTGACATAATGTAAAAACCTGAGCTTTGGCACCAGACTAGATTGTATTCGAATACTGGCCTTTCAGAAATTTGCTGTATGATTTTGAAAAACCACTTAACTCTTTGTGCCTCCTTGTCTTCATCTGTAGAATAAGGATAAATAACAGCTGCATTTTAGGTTTGTTGTTGAAATAACATGGAATGAAAATGATTGTGATATTTTACTTTGAATTTCAAAATCCCTCTCACTGAGGGTCAAGTACCTTCTATGAAGAAGATTACAGAGAAGGGAAAAACGAAATCTTAGAAAGCAACATGGAGTGTAATGTATAACAGGACTAAGTGGCATATAAATTAGGGTAATACTTCCTTCTGTAGTAGATAAATCCCCAGAAATCATAGTGATTTACCATAATAAAAATTACTGTCTTGCTGACAATTCAATGAGCGTGGTCAGGAGATGAACTATCACAGGGTGATTTAGGGGCCCAGTCTTTTCCATCTCATGACCCCACCATCTTTCAGGACTTCTAAGTCCTTCACTGTCAGCCAGTGGTCATAAAGAGTAACGGTGGTCTAAGAGGTTTTTATAGCCCAGGTCTGAAAGAGACAGCCATCACTTCCACCACATTTCAATGTCCTCAGTCTTGTGGTCACACTAAACTGTGAGAGAGGCTGCGAAATACAACCTAGCTCTGTGTCCAGAAGGAAAAGGGAATGATTGTGGTAAACAGTTAATAATTTATACCACTAGTAGTAAATACCAATCAGCAAAGGAATCTATTACATGAAAAAGGGATGCAGACATCAAATATGTAAACTATTAAACTTAGAAAAAAAAAAACTCTGCTAGTTATTGAGACCTTAAGAGAAAGTAAATTCTTATGAAGAGAGAAAAACAAAATGGTAATAGACAATATGCAGAACTTGAATGGATGTGTATTACTTTAACCACAAAAGTGAAGGTAACCAAGAACCAGAAGAAATGTGATCAACTAGAATTTAAGGTCTCATTCCATGCTTTAATTTAGATATCAACATTCCAGTAAAAATCCATACATACAGTAAAATTAATTAGTGGCAAGGCCTTAATGTTACCTAGTTAGTTTCACTTGAGAAGAATTTTTTATTAAAAAGAAAAGAATTAAGGAAGATTGTATTCCACAGATTAAAAAAAAAGAAAGAAAAGATTGCATCATAATGAAGAAAATTAAATCTCAGGGATTAAAGGTTATTAAAGGTTAAATGAGTATCAAACGCCTCAGATAATTTTTGCTGATTTTAATCACAGTTAATATTCACTGCTATAATATATGGCTTCAATCCACCTTGTTTTGCCTGGTCTAGGCTGGCATAGCTGTTAGGAAGGAAATCCCCTATAACATGAATCCTGACTAGGAAACTGACACTCAGTATCCCCATGTTTTGGAGTGGTTTCACAATCTGCTGCTTGAATTGCTTTCCCCACCTTAACAGTGGAGGGTCAAGCTAACTCAGAGCAGCAAGTCTGTAAAAATGAGAAAGAATTGAATGTTGATCCTCTTCCTCAGCTGACTTTTCTTCCTGCTCAGAGGATTTTACTTTTAACAGTGGAGGCTCAGGGGGCATTAAATTGGCTTTGTTGCTTATTTCTTGATTATGCCAGTGGCTATTTTGTCCATAATAAATAAGAAAGTCTCATTGTGTCGGGAAGATCCTAGGTTTGACCCAACTCTCCCTGGCTCCTAAGAAAGAACCAGAGGGATGTTTTAATTTATCTGATATTGTCTCCATCCTTGGTTCACCCCCATCCTCGCCATAATGCTCTGACCAAACATCTCATTTGCTTTATCTTTTTGTCTCCAATCTGTCTCCACTGTCTCTTGGTTTTACATCTCTACCAAACCAATAATAAAGTCAATTAAAAATTCAAGTAAGATAGAGCCAGATATCAAAGGGTTCTTGGATGGAGAAACCTTTGGAGCTTATGAGTAATGTAGGTCAGCAAACTGCAGCCTGTGGACCAAATCCAGCCTTCTGTGTATTCTGTACAGCCCGTGACCACAGCCATCCTAGTCCACTCAGTACTGTCCATGGCTGCTTTCCCACAATGGCAGAGTTGAGTAGTTGCTACAGAGAGCGGATGTGGATTCCTGGGCCCCAAAGACTAGAATGTTTACCATCTAGGCCTTTGTAAAAAATGTTGCTGAATCCTTACCTAGATTGTCATAGATGCAATTGAAGGATATACCAGGTATTAAGGAATAGAGATGTTGTGACAGAGAGGCAAATATGAGCAAGTTATGCACAATAAGCAGTAAGTAGATTATACATTATATTAAGTAAACATTAAAAACTACACACACACATAGGTACAGAATAAATAGGTGAAGAGAAGCATTTACTCTTTGAGAATAACAATCTTACGTTTTGCATTTTTTTATTTTTAATCCTTCCCACTACTTAAAGCTAGTCTAAGAACACGGGAAGTAACATTGCTAGTTTACCAAATGCATTTAGCTTCAAAAAGCTTTCTGACTGCCCACGTCTCTATCTCTAGGCACTTATCTCTGTTGTCAGTTTGTCTCGGCCAATATTGGCTGTTCTAAAATGGAAATTCCTAGAGGAACTTGCATTTACCCCTGCTCAGTTAATGAATAGATGACATTCTCTATTCTTCTTCAGGGTCACTAAACTGGAACTTGTCTTGAGAATTAAATGTACTTTAATTAAAGCTTCAATATAACAAGAATTTTGCCACTTTACATATTTTTCTTGTGGCCAGGCATCAGTGATAATGAGACTAAGGTCACGGACTTGATTCCCATGTAGCCTACTTAACTCTGGTCTATTCCAAGTTAACAAACATTATAAAGCTCCTACAGTGTGCCAGGCACTGTGCATGTCATTAAGACTATGAAATTGATAAGGTACAGCTGCTTTCTTGAAGAATCCTAGAGCTTAGCAGAAAAGATTGGATAGTCTTGTGCCTAAGTGACTGGAGTTACAAGTAATATTGTAAGAAATACAGATAAATTGCTTTGCTACAATCACTTAAAAAAGCAGAAAACAGGATTATGAAAAAACCTGGAAAGAACCTGTGTTTGCAGTATGCTTTAAAGGTATATGCCATTTTTTAAGGTAAGAGAATGATGACAAGGAGCCTTCTCGATATAAAGTATGTACACAACACTGAAAAAATGTGTAATATATTTAGTAAACACTACTAGATTCCAATTTACTCAGAATACAGGACATACATATGGGAATAAGGAGATTAAATGTTTGTGGAAGGTCTGGAAATTCAAACTGAAAAATGCTGGTTTTATTTGCTAAACTAAGACGAGCCCTGGTGGATTTTAAGCAGTGAATAATTGGAGAATGGCTAAGAAGGGCAGACTGGCTGTCTGCATAGAATCAATTGGAATCTGAAAACTCGAATTGGAGGTGAGAGGAGAGTTAAAGATCTATTGCAGCAATTCTAGGAGGGACATCAATGAGCCCTAAGTAGAATGCTGGTGGTGAAGATGGAAAAGAGATAGACTTCAGCAACAGTACAGAGACCAAATCTAGAAGACTTTGGTTATAATTTGCATGTTAATAGAGAAATAGGAATAAAAAGACCCTTCATTTTCAAGCCTAGAATGCTCTTAAAAAAAAAACTATTAAATGGAAAATAAAGTCAAAGGAAAACATAGTTTGTGAGGACTTAAGGGGAACTATGAAAATTCTACACTTAACATGTTTATTTAAGGTTCAGGAGAAGCCTTAATAAAGTTATGTGGTAGGACGGGATTTGGAAGAGAGATTCAGGATAAACAGAAAGATCTGAAATTTTCTTAAACAGAAGTTTTTTACACAGATGTTATTGTAATGGGCACAATTTGAGAAGATGCACATGTAGAAAAAGAAGTGATGAGGCCTAAGAATAAAACCCTGGGCCATGGCTATGTTGGAGAAAAAAGTGAAGTCACCCATCAAAAAAAATTAGTGAAGTGGTGCAAGTATAGTTGTGTGTCCAGGCAGGAGGGCCACATTTCAGGCAATCTTATCACAAATAGGCAATAAAGAAGCCTGAGAATCTACATAAAAGCTTCTATGGTAAAACGTGCAGCCAAGATAACATACTACATGATGGCAACATGTGGGTATAAATGTGCATAGCAAAAATGTGGAAATGGGCTGGGTGCAATAGCACATGCCTGTAATCCCAGCACTTTGGGATTACAAGCTGATGCGGGAGGACCGCTTGAGCTCAGGAGTTCAAGACCAGCCTGGGCAACATAGCGAGACCTTATCTCTACAATTTTTCTTTCTTTCTTTTTTTTTTTTTTTAGTTAGTTGGGTATGGTGGCACATGCCTGTAGTCCCAGCTACTCAGGAGGCTGAGGTGGTAGGGACACTTGTGCTCAGAAGTTTGAGGTTGCAGTGAGCTACGATCACCCCCACTGCACTCCAGTCTGGGCAACAGTGTAAGATCCTCTCTCTCTCAAAAAAAAAAAAAAAAAGGTGAAAACCTTACCCTAAGTATTAGCCAGAAATCAAAGGCCGAGGAATTTTAGGGGCTTATGTTGCCATTTAAGTGTTCTTGGTTTTGTTTCAAGAGAATATATTTGGGTCAATCTATCTAATCTAATTGTAGTAAATGGGAAAAACTAACCGAATCATAATCCGTTGTTGTATACCCTATCTAAAAGAGGACTATGCTGGCCAGGCGCGGTGACTCACCCCTGTAATCCCAGCACTTTGGGAGGCTGAGATGGGCGGATCACCAGTTCAGGAGATCGAGACCATCCTGGCTAACACGGTGAAGCCCCATCTCTACTTAAAAAGCTGGGCATAGTGGAAGGCGCCTGTAGTCCCAGCTACTCAGGAGGCTGAGGCAGGAGAATGGCGTGAACCCGGGAGGCGGAGCTTGCAGTGAGTCGAGATCGCACGACTGCACTCCAGCCTGGGCAACAGAGCAAAACTCTGCCAAAAAAGAAAAAAAAAAGAAAAAAAGGACTATGCTAACTAATGGGAGCATGCAGCATAAAGCCTTTAAAAAATATATCAGATGACTTGAATTTATCAATGTATGTCCAGCAACCCTCTAGACAGGGTTTTCAAAGGAGCTGATAAGCATATTCTCCCCTCCTTATCTGGCTTATCCAATTTAGGTGCCTTTAAGAATATAGGGCTAATTCCTCGTGTTGGATTCCATGAAACGTTTTGATGACAAGTTGACCAAGTAGCTTGAGGGGCACAGGGTAAATGTGCTGACGAGGATATATTCTGGGTCATTTGGGATAATATATTAGTATATTAGCACTCTGAGTTATTAGACTATTATCTCTAAATGTATTGATAAATGTATCTAGACCTGCCTTCATGAGAAGACATAAAAACTAATATACTACCCTCTGTTTTCTACAGACTTCTATAAATTTCATTTCATCTCACCTCTTAGCTGCAACTCAGCCTTTATACCTAGAGGTACTATTCACATCGTATTGCTTCTGGGTTTAAAGCATTGTTTTGGTTACCCATTAGTGATTAACAAACCATCCCTAAACTTAGTGGCTTAAAACAACGACTTACTATTTCTCACAAATCTGCAGTAGGAGCTGGGCTTAACTGGGCTGTGCTGTTCCACATGGCACCTGAAGGGGTTGAAACTCTTTTATGAATGGCAATTGCTTCTTCATTGACATGTCTGGGGATGGTTAGAACCACTATGGACATGACAAGCTTCTCCCTCTTCTTCATGTGACCTCTCCATATGTCTGGCTTGGGCTTTCTCACAGTACATGGGGTCTCAATGTAGCTGAACATCTTACATAGAAACTGGGTTCCAAGGCAGGGAGCGGAAGCTGACAGTTATCTTAAAAGCTGGAAGGGGCCAGGCACGGTGGCTCACGCCTATAATCCCAGCACTTTGGGAAGCCCAGGCGGGTGGATCACGAGGTCAGGAGATCGAGACCATCCTGGCTAACATGGTGAAACCCCGTCTCTACTAAAAAAATACAAAAAAATTAGCTGGGCATGGTGGCGGGCGCCTGTAGTCCCAGCTACTAGGGAGGCTGAGGCAGGAGAATGGCGTGAACCCAGGAGGTGGAGCTTGCAGTGAGCCGAGATCGCGCCACTGCACTCCAGCCTGGGCGATAGAGTGAGACTTCATCTCAAAAAATATATATATATACATATATATAAAAAGCTGGGAGGAAACTGGCACATCATTTTTTCTGCTACATTTTATTTGCAAAAGGAAGTCTAACCAGATTCAAGGGAAAGTTAATAGACACCAGCCCTTGATTTGAGAAGTGACATGCACATATAGGTGGAGAAGAAATTGATGACTGTTATTTTATAAATATAGGGCAGGAGGCACACAATAGACAATGATTGTTGAATAAATATGAATAAATTAATGAATGAATTGATTATAACTAAAGAACTCCTCTCCTTAAATAAGATCTAATATTGTTTCTTTAAATTTATGCCTACCTCGAGGAGCCTTATTTTGTTATTAAGTAGAGTTGAAAATTTAGTTTTTCTAGATAGCAGTATTTGTTTTCGTTATTCATAAGAAATTCAAGAGAAAGACCTTCAGAGTAACTTTGAAAATAAAATGTTAATAATAATACATATAAGGCTTTCTATGGGCTGGGCATTCTTGTAACTCTTTCACATTTAATAATTATACAATTTTACTTCATAGACGAGGAAACCAAGACACAAGCAGCTAAATATCTGGCCCAAAATCACTGGTAATTTGTAATCCTGCCCAAAATTGCTGGTAAATTGTAGAGCCTAAATTTAAACCCAGATTTTAACCATTACATTTCTGTACCACTTCTCCTGCTTAAAGGAAATAGTGGATTTTACATGGGAATAAATTTTCTTCTTCCATTCATCTGCATTATCTTTGTATCCTTGCCCTTTATCTTCTTTGTCCCTAGTAAAGTTAGAATTTTCATTATTATATAATAGTGAAAATAGGGATAAATAGTGTTCACATGGTTCTTCAAATATACGAAAGCAGGCTTACTAATTACACCTCTATATAACTGAGAGTATTTGATTTGGGAATAGGACTCCATTAGTCACCCGTAGCACCACTTTGGAGAACAAGGCATGGAAATGGAGCATTTTAATGAGAAACAGTTGGGATTTCTGTACTAAAAATATATTTACAACACTTTGTAAGTAATACTTTTTATTTGGGACTTCTGATCCTAAATTCTGCAGGCAACACAGGACATCTAAAAAGAATCATACAGAGAAAAAACCCAGAAACCTTTACATTTCATAAGGATTTCTTCTTCAAATTTGAATTTAGTTCATAATTATATAAGCAGTTATTTTAACGAATATGTCCAGCCAAATCAAACAACTATTTTATTAGAGTTCTTGTTTATATGTATAATACAAGGAAATGTGAGAAACAAACGTTTATATTGATTGAGCAAAGTGGATTTATAACTTTATAACATAGGTTTTAATCCTGAATCCTGACTCTTCTGTAACTGGTTAAGTGAATTTGAGAATACTAGTTAATATCTCGCAGATTTGTTTTCCATCAATAAAAAGAGCAAATCTATACTTACCTTATTGTTCCCTAAAGAGAATTAAAAGAATCATTTTACATATCTATTTCTATGCGTGGCATATAGTGTGAGTACTTTGTAAATGGTCATTTTCTTACTTTAATTTCAAACTGTTACATATCAAATTACTTTCTCTTAAAATGTTTTGAAATATAAATATTTTGGAATATTTTGTATTAGATGTTAAAAAATTACATAGTTGATTACAATGATAATACTACCATATTTTGTATGGGCTTTGCAGTTTAAAAATGATTTTATACTTCCTGGAGTGTTCACAACATGCAGTTGAACACCAATAATTAGTAATCCTATTTTCAGGTGGAGAATATGGAGGGTGCCAAGATTTAGTTATTTGTCCAGAATTCAAGACTTTTTCCAGGATTCAACCACATATATAGTAGATGGCCTTTAGGAATGCTTTGGGAAAAATCAAACAAAAATCTTTTATGATGAATGTGTTATTGAGAAATTTTACTTAAGAAGTGGGTTTTTGAATCTCACTTCAACCCTCAAGCTACTGTCCCATCTGTCTCCTTTCTTCAAATAATATTCTCAAAATAGTTGTCACTACTCAACGGCCTCCACTGCTGCCTCCTTCTCATTCCCTACTCACTTTGTGCCAATCTTGTCCTGTTGCCACCACAGTAACAAACCTCTGACATAAAAATTTAATTTCCAATGATCCCAGGCCAGCATGACTTTTCTCAGCCCCAATCTTCTTTGATTTTTCTATTACAATTGACACTAATGATCAGTCACTCTAAAATTCCTCCTTGTGTTCATCCTTTCTTTCTGACTGCTCTTTTCCTGTCTTAATTTCTCTTTCCACTGAAGGATGGACAGACAGTCCTTATGGCTTTTGTCTTTTATTATATTCTCTTATTATATTCTATTTCTCTCTTATTATATTCTCCAGGTGAACTCACTCATACATTGCCTCAACCCTGACTCTTGTATTGATTGCACAGAAGTCTACATTTTTAGTCCAAATTCTTTCATGTAGCTTAATTTCCATAGTGTCAGCTGCTTCTTGCCCACTCCCACCAGGATGGTCAATTGGAAGAGAGATTTGAACGCTACTCAGAAACCTTTAGTGACTCTACGAGGGCAGTATTTGACGCCAAAGGGTTGAGGGGTGTGAGCATGTGTGAAACATAGAGATGAATATCTTATTTTGGCTGGGGAATAAAGCACAGGAAGGTAAGAAGTTAAAGTAGCTCTAGCTACTTGGCAGAAGTAGCTAGAGTAAAATTCTGATAACACTCTAGATTTTAGACTTGTTTCTGCAGAAAACTGGTAGAAACTTCTTTTTCAGCTTTCTTTCCTATCTATTTCTAACCTGTCTCTCTGCTTTTAAATCCATCAGACTATCTGTATATAGGGTGACCAGCACACAATAAGAATAAATGTATGGCACCTTAACTTTGTTATTTAATTATGTCCCAAATAATTTAGGATCATGCTGCATTGTACGATATTCACCAAGTGTTCTAATCTTTTCAACTCTTGATCTCTTGTTTCTATTCCTTCCTATACCCTATACCTGTAATGCAATACTGCCTCTCTAACATTGTCCTTGGATAGTCATGCTCAGGAGCAAACTGTTATTAGGCTATTAGACCACACTTTGTTGACCTCAATGTACATAAGAGCCGAATAATCACCTGATTGTTTCCCCTAATTCCTGTAAGCAAGTTTCTGTTGGGTCATCTGAAACCAACAAACCAAAGTATTTTGCTGAACAAAAAAAGATTCTGCTTCCTGTATAAGTAAGCACAGCATCTCATGAAAATTACTTTTTGAATAAAGCCAGAGAATATTTCACTTGCAAACCTATCTGGTCTCTACTCTAAAGTGTGTGTTTGTGCATAATCTGAAGTCAGCCTCTTCAAGACTAAGACTTTGCCCAGCCCTTAGTCTCAACTTCTTTAGATGCAAACCAAAAAACCCCTGTAAAGTGAGAACTCCTTTTCAAAGAGCTCTGTAACCCAGAGATGTCAGTACAAGGGAAGAACTGAATGTTATTATGGATTCTAACCCCTGTTCTTTTCTCCTATTAGTCTTTTGAATCTGCAGCAGGAAAATCAGGACTTTGAGCCTTATTACCTATCCAGACAAACTTTTCACCTGGCTATCATCAGTTCTAGGGCCTGACATGCCTTTATTGAATAAGATATTGAATGAGATATTTTGCTTTGAGCAAATAAAAATACCGAAATATTTAAATAAAACATTAAATTAGTTTCTCCTGCTTTCCTCAAATGCCACTGGAGTCTTGGAGAAAATAGAAGGAAACGACAGATCTATTTCTGCCTTTTGCAAAATGCATCTGTGTATACAAACCATTCTGAATATCCTCTTGATGAATTAACCCTCTGGGTTACTAAGATGCTACCTTCTACAGCTGAACAAGAGCAATTTTTGCCACTTGTTGCCCTTGTATCAACTCTTTTCATTAATAGGAAAGGTTACTATTTTAACAAGCATTCCTGAATAATAAATAGCAGAAAACGAACCACTTCTGAGTTCTACCCTTTAGCTATCTCTCTCAGGCTTGGAAAGGGAAGCTTTGCTGAAAAAAAAAAAAAAAGCTGGTTTATGACTGGAAACAAATCTTAATATTTTGGAGAGATCTTAATACATAAAAGCCACAAATTTAAACCCAAGGGCAAATAAACCATCAAGGAGGATCGTTTGAGCTGACCCAAGAAGGCCATTTGGAATCTCAAAGGCAGACAGATGCACCAAATGTTCTTGATTGGGGAAAGAAAGTCCCAGAGGCATGAAAGAACATGGCACATTCAGGAATTCCCCCACTCTGGCCCAAATTTTATTCACTGAGGGGAGCAGTGAGGAATGAAGCTGCAAAGATTAATCCCAGACTGATTTATTTGGGCAGAAAAAGGGTGAGGGTGGGCAGGGCACAGGTGCAGATCAGGGACATGATCCTTAGGCAAAGCAACTCTGAAACTTATCAGTCGAAATCCTGAAAATGACTGCTGTCATTGGTGATGGGAGAAAACAAAAATATCTTCTCATTTGATGTTCTATTTCTAAAGAGAGAACATAGTAATTGTAAGACACAGTATTGGCTGGAATTAAAGCCTATTAGTCATGCACATACTTTTGCTGACCCCATCCCTGATTTGAAATCTACAAAAACTTTTAAAATTATAACAGTTGCTATTTGTGACACTTTACATATTTTTAAGAAAGTACTTCCATAGTGGTAGTAATAATATTAAATATCATTTATTGAAGCTACTGTGTGCCAGGCATTTTATATTGTTCTCATTGGAGTATTAACAATTACTTTGCAAACTAAATATTATTATCCTAATTTATAGGAGAGAAAACTGAGTAAATATTTAAAAGCTTTAGTATTTTACCCCAAGACACAAAGCTAGTATGTAATAAAACTACAATTTAATCAAGAGTGCTGGTGACACCAAAGTCTATCCATTATAACATGCTGGTTGAGGGAATCCACGGTGCTGAAGAGTTCAGACATTCAAGTTGCTAAGTTGTTAAGTCTGGAAATGTCAGCACTTTCTAAATTTTTAATTTTTTCAGTGAAATTCTTTGAAAATATGCAAGCTCTATGGCTTTACCTTGTATAGCAGGGTTTTGAACATATAAAGACTTTTCTTTATGAACTTTCAGGAACCTTTTAATGGCCAAATATGTCAAACAATAGTCACCCTTCCTCTTCCTTGACATCTTTTAAAAACTCCACACACTTGACTATTTCACCTTCTTGAAAATCTCTTCTCCATTGGTCTTGGTTATACCCCCACATCACAGTTCCCTCCAACTTTTCTTATCACTTTTTTTCATGATCTTATATTAAAGACTCTTTCTTCTATTGCTCATTAAAGGTCAATGTTCTCCAAATCATCTTCTCTTTTCTTTTTATTAGTCTACACACTCTCTTTGTGTAGTGTTATAGTTTCACAGTTTCAGTTGCCTGCAACACAAAGATATTCATATCCTAGTGCCCCAAACCTATTAATGTATAGCCTTACATAGCAAAAGAGACTTTTCAGATATGATTGAGTGAAAGATCTTGGCATAGGAAGATTATCCTGGATTATCTAGGTGGACCCCCTGTAATCCCAAGAGCCTCATGGAAGGCAAGATGGTCAAAAAGAGAAGATACAAGAACAGAATCAGAAACCAGAAAGAAGAGTAGATGCTATGCTGCTGGCATGAAAGAGAGAAAGGGGACCACAAGCTAAAGTATATAGGCACCCTTTGAAGCTGGACAATTTAAGGAAGATGGATTCTCCTCCAGAGCCTCCAGGAAAAAAAAAAAAAAAGGCCTGTCAACACCTTTAGTCCAATGAAACTGATTTCAAACTTCTGATCTCCAGAACTGTAAGATAGTAAATTCATATTGTTTTAAGCTACTGTATATGGTAATTTGTTAAAGCAACAATAGGAATTAATATATCTTCAATATATTAAGAACTTTCAAGCATTGAGTCTTGTCCACATATCTCTCTTGAATTCCAGAATTACATAGAAGACTACTTGTTGATTACCTCAAACTAAACATCCCACAAATATATAGTTGAACCGAGCCCAACCATCACCCCACCCACCTACTGAATTAGCAAGAATCACTCTTGACCACTCCATCTTTGCCAACCTCATAGCAAAGCTTTGTCACAAAAGGAGGTCATGATCTACCCCAACAGAAGTAAATGACAGAATATTCACAGCTTCGCATCACATATTTATCATGACATTCATTAAAACTTGTCTTGCCAGGTATTGACCAAAGACATTAAAATGTCTCAGTAAGGCACAGATAAAAGACTTTGGCTGTAAGACTTGTACTTATTGGTGATCTTTGAAATATGAGCTGACTTCAGTGGAAAAGGAGAAAAAAATCCAGAGCCATTCACACCAAGTGTAGAAGAAAGGAAAATAAACAGTGGTAAATATAATTTTCTAAAGAGTGCTACCACAAGGTGACTAAAGAAATTCAGACCTTAGAAATGTCAGTCAAATCCACACATTATTCTTCATCTGATACCTAGAAAATTATATTCAGTCCTTGATAATATTTTTTGAGTGATATTAGATTAACTGGAGCTCATCTAGAGAATGACCAGAAAGGATAAAAAAATTTTATATGAGGAACTATAAAAAAAATTAAATATTCAATACTGAAGTGCTGACATGGTGTGAACTCAAAGGTTTAGATTAAAACCAATGCCTGAAGTACTGTGACTCACTAGAAAAAATAATTACTACTGATAACATAACAATAAGCTAATTATTTACATGGAATGATATTACATAAAATAAAGCAGTATATTTGACATTATTATTAGCAATTAAGAATAAGCTGAGTAAGCATTTAGTACCAAAACTGTAGTATGGAATATGCAGTAGGAACCAATGGGCTACAAAGAAGGAAAGGAAAAAAGAAAAAGCCTTGATTTGCATCCAGACTTTGCAATTGCTTTGTTGGCATGTGAACATTTCATCTTTCTCAGTCTCATTTTTTTCTATATATATTACAAATAATCTTTTAAATCATTGAATTTTTTGTAAGGATATGTTAAATAATGCATGAAAGCAGTTAGCAAACTGGCACACATCAATTTTTCGTAAATAGTGATATTACTAGAAGTAGGAGAATTCAAACACTGGATACTGCATTAGTCTAGATGACCTCTAAGACATTTCTCAAATCTGTTTTCAACAATATAGCCAAATAGTTAATAAGAATAAAACAACTTTTCTCTAAAGAGAATTGTAATGTTTTGAAGAAATACTACTAACATACTTTAAGATATAGATCTGAGGAAATAGGAAAGCTAGGGAAATTTCAAAATACCAGACCCTGAAGGAGAACTGAGTCTAGAGTGGGTAGGCTAAGGCTCTGGCTGCCCTAACGACATATACTTATCTTATTAACCAAGAGTTGTGAATTTAAATGACATCAAAATGATAGGAGGTAAATGTTGGGCTCATATGGAATGTGACGATAGAAGTGAGATCCTGATAGAAAGCCAGATTCCTTGATGCACAAAATGAAAAATGCAGGGTCACCATAGAGAGGAAAAAAGGAAGCTTAAAGATCTTAACCCAGACTCTAATTAAAAAAAAAAAATTAAGGGGTGTTTTTTTTTCCCAGAGAAGTTATAAACTCAGCCCTGAACCCACTAGGGCTTGTACATGATTCAGAATCCGCCACACTGAGTATTCACATAAAAAGAGGCCCAAACAACCTGGGCAGAAGCAAAGACCAATCAGTCAGGTCACACTTTGAATTGAGCTCAAAGTACAAAATTAATAACTCATAAGGAAACAAATTACCATGAATTATTGTGAGTAATATTATATCTGGAAAAAATCATTGACATTATAATATTGGATAAAAATATAAAACAATTATGTTTACCATTTAATAAAGAACAAAGTATAATATGAGGAAAAAATAATCTACTATTAAAGAGATAAGACATACTTTGAAAATAACCTAATACAATTTCTGTAAATAAAAACTAAAGTTATTGAAATTTTAAAATATCAGTGGATTCCTTTTTTTTTTTTTTTTTTTTTTTTTTTTTGAGACGATCTTGGCTCACTGCAATGTCCACCTCTGGGTTCAAGCAATTATCCTGTCTCAGCCTCCCAAGTAGCTGGGATTACAGGCGCCTGCCACCACGCCCAGCTAATTTTTGTATTTTTAGTAGAGACGAGGTTTCACCATGTTGGCCAGGCTGGTCTCGAACTCCTAACCTCATGATCCACCCACCTCCCAAAGTGCTGGAATTACAGGCACGAGCCACCGCGCCCGGCCTGGATTCTTTAAATAATGCATCAGCACAGTTAAAGATAGATTTAATAAGCTGGAGATTAAATTTAAAGAATGTACACAGAATAAGTCACAGAATGATAAAGCTAGGAAAATACATCAAGAGGTAGAGAGAATATAAGAAGAATATAATGACCTCATTTTTTTCAGACTTTATGAAAACTAAAAATCCTCAGGTATGGGAAATATATTATGTTCCAAGTAAAATAAATAAAACCAGATTCACACATAGGCATGTTATAGTGAAACTGCAGAGTGACATTAAAAAAGATTTTCAAAGTTGCAAGAAAGAACATGTAATATACTAGTTTTCTTTTTTTTCTTTCTTTTTTTTTTCTCGAGACGGAGTCTTGTTCTGTCTCCCAGGCTGGAGTGCAATGGTACAATCTCAGATCACTGCAACCTCTGCTTCCTGGGTTCAAGGGATTCTCCTGCCTCAGCCTCCTGAGTAGCTGGCATTACAGGTGTGCACCACCACCCCTGGCTAATTTTTTGTATTTTTAATTTTTTGTAATTTTTTTTGTATTAGTAGAGACAGGGTTCACCATGTTGGGCAGGCTGGTCTCGAACTCCTGACGTCGTGATCCGCCCACCTCGGCCTCTCAAAGTGCTGGGATTACAGGTGTGAGCCACTGCGCCCAGCCATATATTAGTTTTCTATTGCTAACAAACTACTAGAAACTTGGTGCTTCTAGACAAATTCATTATCTCATGGTTTCCATGGTGTGTCTGAGCACGTCATAACTACATCCTTTGGTCAGAATTCACAGGGATGCAATCAAGTTGTCAGCCAGGTGCTTTTCCCATCTGGTACTTGAGGGCCTCTTTCAGATTCCTGGCAGAATTCAGTTCCTTGCAGTTGTTAGGACTAAAGTCCCCAGCTTCTACAGGCCTGTCCTCATTGTAGGCAGTTCACAGCATAAATTTTTGTTTAAGGGCAACAGAAGAGTACCTCTCTGTTTAGAAAGGTCCATGTCCATCTTTTAAGAATTTTTACCTGTATTCACTATGTCTACGAGTTGAATTGTTTTGACTTTTAGATCCCACAAATAAGTGAGAACATGTTTTCCTTTCTGTGTCTGCCTTATTTCACGTATCATAACGATCTCTATTTCTATCCATGTTGTTGCAAATGACAGGATTTCGTTAATTTTTATGAGACAGTAGTACTCCATTGTTTATATGTACCACATTTTCTTTATCCATTAATCTGTTGATAGATTCTTAGGTTGCTTTTAAATCTTAGCTATTGCGAACAGGACTTCAAAACACACAGGAGTGTACATCTCTTCAATATACAGATTTCCTTTCTTTTAGGCATATACCCAATAGTGTGATTGCTGGATCATATGGATGCTAAATTTTTAGTTTTTTGAGGAACTTCCAAACTGTTTTCCACAGTGGTTGTATGCTTGAGGGGGTGAATACCCCATTCTCCACAATGAGATTATTTCACATTGCACACCTATGTCAAAACATCTCCTCTACTCCATAAATATATACACCTACTATGTATTCACAAAAGTTTAAAAAACAGTTTTCACCTCATTATGTGAGTTTCATTCAAGATCATTCCCCTTTTGCTTACTTTAAAGTCAACTTGCTTGACACTTAATTACATTTGCAAAATCTCTTCTACTTTGCCCAATAAAGTAACCAATCATGGGAGTGTTATCCCACATCTCCCATGTGTGGAGGGAGAGGATTATAAAGGGTGAGTACAGGAGGATTAGAACTTAGAGACCAATTTAGGGTTTTGTGTAGAACATATAGATTTTTCTGGAATGGAATTTCCATTATACTGATAGTGGGTATCTCTATATCAACCACAGAAGCTATCAGACAATGAAATAATATTTGAAAATATTGAGATAAAATTACTGTGAATATAAATTTATTAGAAAAATATGAAGAGTTTTTATCTCTTCTCACCAAAGTAAATTACAAAAATATATTTTGAGACAGAAATTAAACACTGAAGGAAGAGCTAAAATATAAGAAGCAGCCAGGCGTGGTCCTATAATCCCAACACTTTAGGAGGCTAAGGCGGGCAGATCACCAGGTCAGGAGTTTGAGACCAGCCTCGCCAATATGGTGAAACACCGTCCCTACTAAAAACACAAAAATCAGCTGGGTGTAGTGGCGCATGCCTGTAGTCCCAGCTACTCAGGAGGCTGAGGCAGGAGAATCGCTTGAACCTGGAAGGCAAAGTTTGCAGCAAGCCAAGATTGTGCCACTGCACTCCAGCCTGGGCGACAGAGGGAGACTCCATCTCAAATAAAAGACAAAACCAAAAAAAAAAAAAAAAATAGCAAGGAGGAGTTAAAAATTATAAAATGTGTGGGTAAATCTAAGAAATTGTTGATGGCAATAATACATAAGACAGGAGAGTGTTAGAATAAAATCCATGTTTCTTTCTGAGTTGAGGGCAAAAGAGGTAATGTTGATTAATTATAATCTTATTAAAATTATGTATGCATGTTAAAATTATCAACCTGTTCACTAATAGACCTTGATTGCATTATATCCAAAAAAGTAAAAGCAGAAAAATAAGTGAGAGAAGATAAATAATCCTAAAGAAGACATTAAATGAGGGGTAGGAAAAATACAGAAAAAGCCACGTAAACAAAACCCACAAAATAACATCCAACGCCTAGAACCAGCTTACTCACTGATTTGCAGGAATTCTGTAAAAACAAAGATAAGTGGCCAGGAGCGGTGGCTCACACCTGTAATCCTAGCACTTTGGGAGGCCGAGGCGGGCGGATCACGAGGTCAGGAGATTGAGACCATCCTGGCTAACATGGTGAAACCCCGTCTCTCCTGAAAAAATACAAAAAATTAGCTGGGCGTGATGGCAGGCACCCGTAGTCCCAGCTACTCGGGAGGCTGAGGCAGGAGAATGGCGTGAATCCAGGAGGCGGAGGTTGCAGTTAGCCAAGACAGCGCCACTGCACTCCAGCCTAGGCGACAGAGCGAGACTCTGTCAAAAAAAAAAAAAAAAAAAAAAAAAAAAAGATAAGCAGGCATAGATTCTTGGTTAAGGATTTTTCAGTAAAGATCTATCCTGTAGAAAGTCACCAGCTGCTTTGGAGAAAAGCAGCAACATCAATAGATAACGGGACTTGGAATTCTCTGTGATAGTAGAGTTTGATAATACACCAGGAGGTTTTCCTCCCACTGGACACTCCAAATGATCCTAATGCAAATAAATTTAGGAGACTGGTTTCTTCACTATAGGATTTCTCAGAACTTTTAGTAAACTGATGGAAATTATAAATCCCTAAGAAAGAAGAATATAAAATGCAGTGCTTCCCAAAGTTACTTGCCCATCTAGTCCATTTGGAAGTGTTTTGTGTATTCATTTTTGCCAAGTATGTCATGGGTCTATTGCACCACTGAATACTCGTCTACACAAATGCAACTGAAATGGGAAAAGTTCCCTTGTCCCTCTCACAGGGCATGTGATGGGGGTGTGACTCATTTCTTCAGTGCCCTGCTGCTCAAACCTCTAGGGGAGCACAGGGAAGGGCAGGCTGTGGAGCTCTGACCCCATGGCAGTGTCTAGGGGTGAATGTTTACAGCTGAAATCTCAGTGAGCGTGTGTTACAGGATGCTCTTTTAGTTTAGCCATCCATGTGTGGCTTGTGTTAGTCAGCTCAGTTAGATCCCTGCCTTATCACAAGGACAGAGGGCATTCTGTATCCTGGGGTTCTTGCCTTGGTGTACCAGAAGAATCAGATCACACATTGTTTGGAGAATGACTGCAAGGTTTTATTGAGTGGAAGTAGCTCTCAGGAGTCGGGGGAGCCAGAAGGAAGATGGTTTTCCCCTGGAGTCGAGCCACTTGTTGGCCTTGGCTCTCCTACAACTGCCCCAGCCAAACTGCCTTGGTTTGCTGCCTGATGGCCTGTCTGCGTGCCAGTGTGATCCTACACTGGTGCATTCCTCTCGATGTCCAGCCGCCTGTGCAGCAAAAATCCCTGTCCTCACCTAGGTCCATGGGCAAAGGCCTGGGGGTGGAGCCCTAGCCAGGGACCACTCCCTCCTCTACCCAGCACTTCCCTTCCCCCTTCCCTATCATTTAAAGGGACCACACCCTTCCCTTCCCAGCATTTCCCTTCCATATCACAAGGACCAGTCAGAAAGCTCAATTAATTATCGCTGGAAATGCACTGACACCATTATGACATGAGACCACAAAGAGAAATCATGCTGTTTAATGCCCCAAGGAAACATCATCCATCCCCCTGAAAAACCACTTCAAGACCACATAACTTTTTTTGGAACCATATAGTTTCCATCCACCAGTAACAGGCCTTCTAAGAATAAAAACACTGAAAAATGAATATTCATAATTTATTTAAATAAATATTCAAATCAGCAAAGGTATCAGTTACCTTTATATTATTTCTTCTTCATCTTGGAATGATTGTGTCTTAGTTTACTTCTCCCTCAATCAAATATCTACATCCCATATGGCCCTCTCCTCTGGTAAGCGTTTCGGCAAACTGATCCCTGCTGATGTGTTAGTGAGGACTTTCTTTAATCATAAATAAAATGTTTGCATTTTCACATGAGCCTTTGGAGAACAATGTTTTAACTTCCTGGAGATGGCTCACTTCTCAGACCTCCTACTGCTTTAGAAATATGAAGAAGTTAGCATTGTGCCTAGCACATAATAAGCCATGATAAATATTGCCATTATTTGTATTCTTCTTGGCAGCTGAATTAACCTGGAAACCCTTTGGACCTCAGCTCTTCTATCTATAAAAAGGGGGTAATAATAATAAGTCTCTGACTGTGTCACTGCAATGATTAAATAGGATATGCACAAACTCCTGGTGTTGTGTCTGCTATAGAAGTTATTCCTTTCTTTCTGTGCAGAGGCCTAGCATAACTTTAGCTGCGGTTCATTAGTCTTGAGATTAGCCTGTGATCACAGAATCTGAGACAGAATACGGAAAACATAAGCCATAGGCTCGTAAATGAACAAACTGGGTTCAACTACTATCTCCAACATTCTTGGAGTGACCTTGAGCAAATCACTAATCTTCAGGACCTTTACCTGTAAAATGAAGATTGAAATTATATGTATTATATACGTGTGTATGTGTGTGTCTGTATACACACACAGATACATATAGATCTAAAGTGTTTAATAAATGAGAATTATTGTCATTATTATTACCATGAGTCTACCCTTAGGAATCACTCCATTTGGGTTTCTCTTGATGTCACCTATGCCCAGGGTTTATTCTGATGACACTACTGACAAGAATTTTAACCCATGTGAGCCACCTTCTAAAAAGACACAAGAGGAAAAGAATATCCTTTCCTACCTAGTCAACCTGAAGCCACATCTCCTCTATGACAGGGTCCATTCTTCTGCTTCTCCTTTTGCTTCCCCAAAATGAACATTATGTAGAGCACAGTGCATCGGTGTAGGAGAGGTGGCTGTGGTGGGAGAGAGTGGCCCTGTGTCTTTGGTTTCAGGCTGCCCCTCTTGTCCTGTGTGACCGTGGACAAGTCACCCTCAGTGGAGAGAATGAATGGACTGGGGCCACTCCTTTCTCCTGCTGGTTGTTTTCTCCCGAGGAGTCTCTCCAGTATTGGTTGCCTTCTTCCTTGTGTATGCTTTAGAGAACAGAAAAAAGAGAAAGGGAACATGAGAGACAGCAAAGGCAAACCCTCAGTGCAGACAGAAGTTGTGATATGTTCACAATGCAGTGGAGAGAGGACTCCTAAAGGTCCTCCAGTCACATCTGCCCCCAGTTCCCTACCCTGAGGTTAGGTATGAGGGCAGGTAGGGATAGGCATTGCTTATTTAACACACTTGGGGGAAGGTAAATAAACATGGTACATATCATCAAAACTGGTATAATTTACAGAATTCTTGAATATCCTCTTGCCTAAAATTATCTTCCTTACCAGAATCATAGGCTGCCTAAAATTCAATCCTTACAGAGTTAGTCCTTTGGCTTCAAATAGCAGGCATGCAAGTTCCCAGGTAGGGTGCAAATGGGGGAAAATAGCCTATTATAATTATTATTCACTAATGTTCAAAACGGATTATTGTTATTTTGAGACAGAGTTTCGTTCTTGTCACCCAGGCTGGAGTGCAATCACGTGATCTCAGGTCACTGCAACCTCCTTCTCCCAGGTACAAGTGATTCTCCTGTCTAAGCCTCCCGAGTAGCTGGGATTATAGGTGCCCACCACCATGCCCAGCTAATTTTTGTATTTTTAGTACAGATGGGGTTTCACCATGTTGGCCAGGCTGGTCTCGAACTCCTGACCTCAGGTGATTCACCAGCCTTGGCCTCCCAAAGTAGAGGGATTCCAGGCATGAGCCACTGCGCCTGGCCCCAAACAGATTATTAAACCTTCTTTGAGTTTGCAGATAAGAGAGCACTGATTTAGAAACAACAGGGCTAGGAAGAAAGAGAATGTGGCAAGGGAGTCATGACTATGAGACCTTGGACAGCAGAGGAGAGAGTGCTGAGCAGATAGCTGCCAAGGATCAGTCAGTTACGAAGCTGGCCATGGAGAGAAGGGAAAGTGAGGAGGGTGTGGCTAAGGGTTTGTAATCACTAGGAAACCAGAGGGGAGGCAAACCATGAAGAACAGACACAAAAAGATAAACTGCTTTATCTTGGAATATAAAGCATGGAACTACTGTACTACCCTCCTTCAAAGCTGTGACCTTCCCAGAACCCTGTAATTTATACTAATTTTAACAATTATAATATGTTTACTTGGCTGTCTCCAAGATGTGAGGCCTAAGACAGACTCCAGGAAGAAGGGGCTCACAGAGATTCACACTAGGCGTACACACACAACTTTATTTGATCAGAGGAAGTCAGGTACTTGTTAGCACCAAGAACAGAGAGAAAGACATTCTAGACATTCCAGAAGTGCTCCAACCTCCTTCCTCTCTTCCAGGAAAGGCATGGAAGGAATGCCCTGTCCACCGTTGATAAAATTGGGAGACCCTAATGGACTTAAGTATGTGCTGGTTTGATTTTGTTTTTCTTTTGTTTGTTTGTTTTATTTTGTTTTGCCCCCCCCAATTGGCTTTAGACGAAAAAAATTTCTCCTCCTCTTCCTCCCCACAGACTCCCTAGCTACTTCCAAGTCACTGTCTATTTCTTTATCTCTACTTTGGTTTTAAATAGTCAGTCTCTCAGGATAACTTTGTGGGTGGCCTCTTCCACCCCTTCTTGAGCAGATTATTATGGCAGATTACTGGATTAGTGGTTAGACCACTAATGATGGCATATGACCATTTCCCACCTCTGTGAACATTGACTAGTCTGTCAAACAAGAATCTTTAAAGTCTTTTTCAGTTTCATTGTTTTGTAATTCACCTAAGACTATTCTTTACTCTCAAAATTCTCCAAAGAAAATGGTATACTATACCCTCAGAATAAACCTGCCCTAAATCTCCACCTTAGGATTTTACTTCTTTCTTTATTTCTATTCTAGATAAAGCTATATTTATATATGTATCTGTATCTATATATTAATTGTATTTATTTATGTCTCGATATAAATTGCCTATCCCTATTTTTACACTCACACCAGAATCATTCATTTACCTGCAGGGCACATTCAATCAAATATCTTTCTTTCTCCTCACTGTTCCCAACCTTTTGTCCCTTTGTTAAAGGACAGAATGTTTTCTGCCCAAGGCTTAAACCAGTCATTTTCTCTTTAGTGAAGATACCTGAAGAGTCAGTTTTCTCACATGATGATGGGCTATTAAAGGATTTGGAGGCCTCTTTTAATTATGGGATCTGATACCTTGCTACCTGCCACCTCCAAGGGACCAGTAGCTAAGAGCTTCCTCAGGATCTATAGGATCCTCAGGGTCTATAGGATTTCATGAGAGATGAAACTATTTATCTGATGATAAACCAATATCCTTCTCAAAAAAAAGTTTCTTAAAAATTCAACAAAATGAAGGTGATTTTTTTTCCTTGATCCATTTTCCTTTCAAATCTTTTTTTGCTTATAGCAGGCCTGATATTAAAAAAGAAATGTAGAGGTATGTGTGTCTAAGCATGTGCATGTGTGTGTGGATGACGATGTGTAAGAACGTGTGAGTGTATATACTTGTGTGTGAGTGGAGAACACTGTGCTGTGTATTTCTGAATCTATGAGTATATTTTCTGGCTCTAAAATATATTCCAAATATCCTGTTCCCTTATGCTCTACACAGCCTAGTGACCCTCCTGCAAATATTTTTACCAGTCAACCACAAATGTGCACATACAAAGCAAATCTTTGCCTTCCAAGGGCAAAGGAAATTCATAATAGGAAATGTGATTTTTGTACACTTTTATGGCATACAATGCAAGGGCAGGCCATGAAAGGTCATAGAAGCCTTCCTCTATGTCTCTAAGATGGTCTACCTGTCACATAACCTGAAGTTAGAGAACATTATATAATAATGATTACCTGACCCAGGTCTTTTTCATTTTGTAAACAAAAAGGGGAAAAGATAATCTATACTGTTTGTTCTACTCTTTATACAAGGTGATCAGTGAAACTCATCCCTTTGGAAGACATTCACATTCCCACAACCACTCTTATCTAAGCCCACTTTAACTGCCTGATTCTTTTTTTTTATTGATATATAATATATGTACACATTTATGGGGTATATGTCATTATTTTTACATGCATAGAATGTGTAATGATCAAACGGCCTCTCTTCCTACTTCCCTCTAATCTACCATTCCTGAGTTGGCCATTCAATAACCTAGTGCTCTTTAATAGCACTGAATCCTCTCAAACAATGCACAGACTCCTTTGCCTGAAATTCAAGGGCCTCCACAATCCAGCCCCAACACCACTCATCTAGCTGTATCTGCATATATCAGTAATCCTCAGTTCTTGTTTTCCTAGCCCAGAATAAGTAAGTCACAACATCTGCAGAAGGTACAAGGACCAACCATCCCTCTGTTTTTAGAACTAAGTTTCCCTGATATGCAGGGCTCTCAGTCCTCAAACCAGGAAAGTCTTGAACAAATTGTTGAGTTTGATGGACTTGAGCCCTCCATCAAACATGGTTTTCCCGTTATTCCTGAGACTCACCAAAGGTATTTTTACATGGTACAATCATTCTGCCAGTCTTTTGTCACCTTCATCTGTTGACTCTACCCTAAGGTGCTATTTTCTCAGAGCCTTTTGCACATTGTTCATCTTCCCATGACCTGTCTAATACGAAGTGTTATCTCTCTGCCTGGATTAACTGCAAGTTTTCTCCGCAGTTAATAGCAGAGCACACAGGCCCTCACCTTCATATCTGAGGCCTCTGCTTTGCTTTCAAACTGCCTCCATAGGAGAAATGAAAGCCCTGCTCTCTAACACCCACATAGAGAATCAAACAGCCTCCTCACACAAAGGAGTGCAGCTTTCATCACTGAGGAGTCCTTTATATTTATAAAAAGAATAGTTAACATTCTAGACTGAAGGATTCATATTTGGCATCATTCCACCATGTAGAGTCTTCACCATGAACAATGAATAAAATATGTGTCATATATTTGAGTGACTACATAGTGATTCTGTTGGCTATTCCAAAACAAAACAAAAAGGTATATTTCAAAGTAACTTGCTTTCTTTATCTATAGAAACTGTTCAAAACATTTAAATTTAGGTCTCTTGAAAAGTCTATGTCTAGTTACCTCATCACAAATACATACCTGGTATATATGAGTGTTCATTTGTATATCGATGTTTTGACTTCTATCTACTTATAGTGGGGTATAATATGGTTTTATAAATGTGTGTGTCTTCTCTCTCCATTTTTTCTTATTTTACCTATTTCCCATTTATTTTGCCAGAGTTTTCCAAGTAATATCCCAGCAAAGAGAGAAAATAAAGCAGAGAGAACAAAATAATTCTTCACTTTCAAAATTTCAACATAGATATTTGAAACTCACAAAGAGGACAGGATTTGAAGTACCTGGATATATTTTAGTTTGAAGAGTTTAATATTTGAAGGACTAAGTTTTATCCATAAAAATAGCTTAAGGAAGATGAGAACGGGAGTCAGCTCACCCTGTCCTCAGGTTAGAAAACGACTCCATAGTCTGGAGAAAAATGATGAAAGAGGAGAGGAGAGCCAGAAAGGGTAAAGGGGCTCTGATACTGAGAGATCCTGTACAGGAGCCCATATGGACTAACCATACAGGCCAGGGCCACATCTGAAAGAGGATGCTAAAGAAACCCAGGTGTGTATGGGCAGGCCAGAACAAAGGGAGCGTGTTAAATACAACTCCAATAGTTAGAAATTTTTGTAGGGAAGTCTCTGTCATCCCATCGTAGTTCAGGAGTAGAGAAATAGAAGTGACTGTAACAAGTAAGCACAGAGGGCATGAAGCACCAGCAAGTCCTTTCTAGTTTTAGATTTGTTCAGTAGAATAGCCAGAGATTTCACCTGAAACTAGAAAGAATCAAAGAAGTGGCCCTCAAGGTAGGACCAAAAGAACATATATGCTATCTTTATGGTGTATGTTATTATGGATTATGTTCATTGGAAACCAAACATGAATTTAGATGCTTTAGGGGAATACCTAACAGTGACCTGTAACCAGATGTCCCTTCCTTCCAGGTTCTGAGACTTTTTCTCTCAAATAATTTAAATGCATCCTCAGGTATAGTGGGTAAATATAAGACTCTAAATTTTTTAAACAATTAATTTTTGTGATTAACATTTTCTATTGAAACCATCCTATGAATTACCTATTATTTACACATTTTACAGTGAGGGTAACTCAAACCCATAGAGGGTATGTAATTTATTAGTGGTCAAAGACTTAGAAAGATGTAGAAATCAGACACAAACTCACATTCTTGAGCTCTGAGCCTCAAGCACTTTCCACCATACTGCACTTCTCTCCCAACCTTTTTCTTGTTGTTGTTGGGTTTTTTTTTGTTTTTGTTTTTGTTTTTGTTTTTGTTTTGTTTTTTAATCATGTATCTCTATCTCTGTTTCCTCCAGGTCCCAGTAAGAATAAATCCAGATATCCCTGGTAGGTTGTAAAATGGTTTGTTGGTCAGAAGCAATGTTGTGGGGGATACTATGACAGTAAACAAGGCATCTGGTAAATCCCCGGGGCCAAAACTTAGAGAATGCAAGAAAGGCAAATCCATATTCTCGCAGAGTACAAAAATAAATATCTATTCCAGTGACAATAAATCACTTTCTTCTCTGTGGACAAAAACGAATCTCATGTAATTGACCTGCCATGAGTTGCCAGTTAGTGCCCTGGGGTTTGAGCCTGCTGTGATGTAACATTAATTTCTACTGCTGGCAGATGGAGTTCTCAGCAGTGACAGTTACCTGAGCAATCTAGTAAGAAATCCATGTTTTTGACCCTATGCCTAACTTTCCTCACTGTCATCATAGCCACCTTTATTCATGAGTCCCGTGAGCAAATATGGAATGTCAGGCAAGAGAGGCTGAATAATACCAACAGTGATGATTACTTTTTTCATGTGATTAATGTGGCCACAATAATCATGGGAGCAGACACTTGGGGGTACAAATGTGATATGGTTTGTCTCTGTGTCCCCACCCAAATCTCATCTTGAATTTTAATCCCCATAATCCCCACGTGTCAAGTGAGGAGCCTGGTGGGAGGTGATTGGATCACGGGGGTGGTTTCTTCCATTCTGTTGTTATGATAGTGAGTGCTCACAAACTCTGATGATTTTATAAGGGGCTTTTCCCCCTTCCCACGCTCTCTCTAGCCTGCTGCCAAGTAAGACATGCCTGTTTTCCCTTCTACCATGATTGTAAGTTTCCTGAGGTCTCCCCAGCCATGCAGAACTGTGAGTGAATTAAATCTTCTTTGTTTATAAATTACCCAGTCTCCAGCAGTATCTTTACAGCAGAAAATGGACTAATACAAAATGCCCTTACGTTCTGGACAACTTTAAGAAATTCATTCGTGAATCGATCACCAAAACTGCCTTGTTAATAATCTTCTGATATTTCTTTAATTCCAAGTTTCTAACCATCTTTCCAAACCATGATCGACTCCTACCCATGGAATTGATGTATATCTAAAGCCTCAGTCATCTCTTTTTTCAAACAAAGTGATCATCATATTTAGTTTTTACATTTTGCCCAATAGATGTATTATCATAGCTATTGTTATTCAGGAGTATCCCTGAGTGAGACAATACACTTTTGGCTGATGTCAACATATTAGATTGAGTCATCTATAAATAAAGCTTACTTGTTTTTCCTCAGTCAATTGATACTAGAGGAACTCTTTATGAAGTCACAGTTTGGCTAGAAAAAGTGACAGTGAACCCACAGAACTGGGCACATTGGGAGTATTAGTAATCTGATTATGTAACATGTTGAGACCTTTTGAACATGCTTAGGCCCAATCCTGTTTATCTTATTTCCTATTGATGTTGGTGTCCTACTGAGCACACGCAGCTCTGTGGTTTACAAGTTCATGATAGCAGTTCAAATAGCACATATGATGACTTGTTGACCCATTGGATCAGTCAAAGTTCTATCAGAGAATCAGAACTAATACTATATTTGATGCTCCTCAATATCATAGGAAGTGGACATTTTCATTCTCATCTTTGTGTACATGTTTAAGTACAGGTGAGCCACTGGCATTTGATAAGACCATGCCACCTTTTTAAGCTCTTTGCATTTATTATACAGAACTAAGGAATTTCTGATATCTTAACTTCACTTAACATAAGACACTGTTATATTTAGTTTTCAGTAAACAAGTCCTAAATATTTGCTAATACAAATTAGCAAACAGCTTCTCCTCCTGGACTTGAATCTCTTTTTGGTTCTGTGAGTCAAACTGAGGTATGTTTGAGATCATATAGATGGTAGGGTGGGATATGGGGAGTATAGCTGTTCTCTTGCAAAAGCACTGATTACAAGGTCTTCAAATAAAACAGGAAGAATCTCATCAGCCCTGTATGGGTGGTGGGGAGTAGCTGCTAGTGTTGTCTGAGACAGTCAGTAAAGTTTGGAGGTTCAGAATACTCAAAATCAACTAAGTCACCTCAAATACCTAAGAATTTTTAGGCTTAACTTTTTTTCAGCCAATACCCTTATGTGTTTAGTCAGGGCCTGGCAAGACTCTAAATTCTCTCTATTTTATTTCATCAACTCAGAATCAGTCTCTGGATTTGATGTTTAGTTACATAAACCCAAAGGAATACAAGATTCTTTTGAGGGCACTCATAGAAACGCTCCAGTTCTTTTTTCAGGACTTGAATCAGGATTTTAAAACATGACCCCATTACTTTCTTGCTTTGTGCTCTTCAGTTCAGTTGGAAGCAACAGCCTGGCCTATTGTCATTATATTCTTCACACCTATCAACATGGCCTACTTAAGCATAGCCATTACCTTTAATAGGTGCATCTTTCCCAGTAACAAAAGGCAATAATTTAATAATTCTTCCATCAGTAGATGCTACAGATTACCAGCATTCCAATCTCTACTGCTGACTAGTCTACCCTACCTTCAACCTAGTAGGTCAGACAGACAACTCCAACATCCATGTCCTTCATCTGTCTCACCTGAAGTCATTCTGATACTATTATACCTTTCTGAATTTCTTAGTTGCAGATGCCATAGTCTCCTGCAGCTATACTAGGCAGACAAGGGTTCATTTCAGAATTTCTAGTAAGCTAGATGATAGAGGCAAGAGAAAAGGCTTTTAGTAAAACAGGACTCTTGTAACAAAACCCACAGTCACTTCCACTTTATGATGACACCTGTGCCATTCTGCATTATCCAAAGAGTCAGTCTCCATGCTGCCCCTTCACATTGTCACATTACTCTTTCCCTGTCTCAGGTGGTGGCTTTGCTTTTGGAATTTAGGTCATACACAGAAGGCTGCTGAAATTTTTTTGCCTTTCCAGCTTCTAAAAGATAGGGAGATACACTAAAGAGGAGTTGGAGTTGGCATTGAGTGAGCCAATCTGCACAGTGTAGCCAAGTGCTTTGTACTTTAAAGAGGTTTTGAAGGCAAAAGTCTGTCAGTCAGTTACACTTTTATTACTATTAATAAGTATTGTTGAATGGAACTCCTCTGAGAAGTTCTCTCAATACCTTAGATGCTTGCATTTAATTTATTACTATGCTATGTGCTATCTTATATTAGTATCCAACTCTTCTATATGTATAAGTATAGAATTTTCCTTCTCTCCCATTAATGCAAACTCTTCAAGGACTGTGGGATGGACTTCTTTTATGCCCCACCCACTATTAGGAGAGAGCACATCAGAAACATGATGAGGAACATGGCTGTGACCTCATACATCAAGATGAAGTCCCAACATATGCCTGTCAGTAGATGGGTCACCTTAAGTATCCACCACTCTGATTTTATTTTTTGTACCCTGGGAAGTGGAACCTTTTAAACAAAACAATATTTTAAAGCAATTAGTACAATTATAGAAATTATAAGATATTATATGATCAGGTGCCCTGCCAGAGGATGCACTGCTAAAGAATTCATTTTTGTTTGTCTTTTTTAGATTTTGTTATTTTCTTTTTTCCCCTCTTCTAATGCTAGAGAAATGCTACATTTTATATTATAATCTACGTATAATTTTTTTTAAATTATTGAGAGATGCCACCCTTAAATAGTAGGTTTTGTTTGAGCAAATCCTACACTAGCCAATTGTTCATAGAGAGGAATATAACAAGATCCATTGATTTGTGGGGATTAAAAAAAAAATGTACCATAGCCTGGGAGAGGTGGTCAGTAGAAGGAAAAATGGATGATTTTTCCAGATGTTGGAGGGTGCAGACAGAGGCATGAGTCCAGATCCAATACTTTGAGGCTGGGGCTAGCTGTATAAATTTAAATGGATGATTATTAAGAGCTATGATCCTGGGAACCTGAGGAATGATGACACTTGCCCTGGAGGCTAGGGGATCCTTCTCTTTCAAAAACTACTGTGGTTTCTGCAGAACCTCAACAAGCAGTAACGACATCAGAAGAGTGGGCTGACCTGACCATCAGCCTGTAAGTTACCAGTCATCAGCTGTCACACTATAGCAGTGAGAAACAGTGGCAACCTGGTTTCAATGGTGCAGAAACTCCTATAGAATGAAAAACTCCCTAGGATTCTGTTACAATTAAATAGAAAAGGAATTAGACACTGAAATTCTTGATGTTAAGCAGGTGAGAGATTGAGCAGTTTATTTGAAAAAATAAGAGACCTGAGTATGCTAGATACCCTCAGGCCTGTACAGCAATTCATACCATTTACATTTAGTTTGCCTTTCTTTCTATTCAGAATTTCTGCCCTAACTTTTCCAATAAATATCTGAGCTTCAGGGATGTCATCAAAAATTGAGGACTAATACTAAGTAATGTGTTATAATTATCACATTATGATGCTCTATGCTTATTTTTTCTTTGGGAGGATTGGAGGTAAAAATCACTTATATGGAGAAAAACCTTTTATTTTGAAATCACTCTGTTAACACCTTCCAAGCTCAAGCCTATGGTTATTTCTTTGTGTATCACAGTTATTTGAAACATTTTAGAAATATCAGCAAAATAAAAAACACCATGGACTTTCAAGGCTGGCTATATTGTACCTGATATTGTGCTCAGCATGTAGCACTCTTAGGTAATTAATGGGGTTGGCTGGTTAAAAAAAAAAAAAAAAACATAAAGCTGTTCACAGTTTTCTGAGTCTGTATACAAGTTGTGGGAGTCTTCAAAGCAATGGATACCATAAGACTTTAATGAATTTTATATACAAAATGAGGACATTGCCTCCTTCTCACACTCAATGGATTGTTCAATGGATTTGCATATATAGATAAGTCATTTGTACATGTCTGTTATTCAGTGGTCCTTTCTCTCTGTGTGAACTCATAGCACTTATTGCTTGCACTGTTCATTGGGTGAAAAAGTATTCTAAATGCCTTGAGACATTATGTTATAGAGCCTTGATTGCTTCTCTCTTAATCGAGTACATTCTCAAAGAAGGCAAGTACCTGAAGCAAAAGGCTAAATTTTGGGGAAAAAATACAATGACTTGCCCACTGCAGCAGCTCTCTAAGATGTGAATGTCACTAAATGATGTCAAAATTCTGTGGTGTTCAATCTACAGATGTAATTATTATCCCTTATCATGCCCACTGATGCCTCCTTCTCTTGTTCATTCCCTTTCTGTGACTAATCTTCTGGCTAGGATTAACTCTACTCTGGTTTCTGCCTCGCTTAATCATGTGGCAGCTTTCTTCATTGCCATTTCATGGTTTCACGGTGATTATAAAGTGACTTTTATCATTCTGCTTAGCAATTAGGACTGGTAATGCTAGATTCATTCTCTGGGTTCTAAGTTCAAAACAAGCATTGAGACTCCCATTTTCTACCTCCCATATGTGGCAATTAAGAAAGAATAGAATTAAAGGTGACAATTTGCCAAAATTTAGGGTGTATGAGAGGCCTCCTACATAGATGATTTGATTCTAATTAACCTGCCAACTTAAAGAAAAGGGAGTATCCTTGACTCAACATAGAAATATAGTCATCTCTCTCCATCTGAAATACTTTCTTTCCTTTATGGTCCCCATTCAACTTACAACCTGCGTCTTTACATAACTAAATATCTTCCATGAGTGGCCTGTATGTGTTGTCTCTACTCTCTTACATTCAATTAACTCCTAAAATCACTTCCTCCACCCTATCTGCCTGAGTGCCAATAAGAAACGCATCATCTCAAGTTAGAATGATTTAAGAAAATATTATTTACAAAGATAATATTTACAAGAGATGGTGCAATAACCCAGGGTAAGTATTATACAAGCCATGAGAGCCACCACTAGGCCCAAGAAGATAAGAAAATGAAGTACTTACTGGAACCCAGAAGGAAAAAGACATAGACAGGACACCTTAGAAGCATGGTGATTCCAGGACCATACCAACCCAAAGTGACCTTACAGGGAGAAGCTGGGAAACAGATATCCTGACTGTTGTCTCCTTCCTCCTTCTATTCTTCTTGGCATTCCCCTTTGGAAAAACCCAATAAAAGCCAGACAATAAGGGAAAACATTGATGAAATATGCAGGTCAGCTTTTTGAGGCTTGAGGCAAGTAAAGAAGGGTGGTGAAAGTGGATATCGAGTTGGAAGACACGAAGACACATTTCACCTCAATGTTCCATTGGAATTATACCTCTAAAAAGTCAACTCCTCTCTAGTTTTCATACCAAATGGCCTATTTTTATTTACTTGTCACCTCATTCCTTTGCCTCTTTGCTTCTGGATTCCATGACACCCTTCACCCCTAATCTTTTGCTAGACCTTGGCTCGTCTTTTATTTTCTGTCTGCACACCTATTTTTCCTTTTCCTGGCTTTCCCAGGAGAAACATCTGATATACTTTCTGAGTATAATCTGTCTGCTAAGTCATCCAGCATACTAATACCAGCTTCATATCACTAAAACACAATTCTCATCATGACATTTTTCTTCCTAAACTGCTTTGATAGCTCCTTTATGCCCATAAGATACATTATAAAGACGTTTCTTAATCTAGCCCCGGCTTCTCTTTCCACACCCAGTTTCTGCTCTCTTCTCCCATGTCTTGTGTTCAGCCAGACTCTCCAATTCCTTAAGCATGTTCATGCCACTAAGATTTGAGAATACTGCCCGCTCTGTCTTAGATTACTTTTGCTCCTTTTCTGCCTAATGCTCTATTTTATCCTTCCAGAGCTAGTTCAAATATGTTGTGATCCAATAAAAAAAAGAGAATTTTAGACCAATATCCCTGATGAACATCGATGCAAAAATCCTCAATAAAATACTGGCAAACTAAATCCAGTAGCACATCAAAAAGCTTATCCACCATGATCAAGTGGGCTTCATCCCTGGGATGCAAGGCTGGTTCAACATACACAAATCAATAAACGTAATCCAGCATAAAAACAGAACCAAAGACAAAAACCACGTGATTATCTCAATAGATGCAGAAAAGGCCTTTGACAAAATTCAACAGCCCTTCATGCTAAAAACTCTCAATAAATTAGGTATTGATGGGATGTATCTCAAAAGAATAAGAGCTATCTATGACAAACCCACAGCCAATATCGTACTGAATGGGCAAAAACTGGAAGCATTCTCTTTGAAAACTGGCACAAGACAGGGATGCCCTCTCTCACCACTCCTATTCAACATAGTGTTGGAAGTTCTGGCCAGGGCAATCAGGCAGGAGAAATAAATAAAGGCTATTCAATTAGGAAAAGAGGGAGTCAAATTGTCTCTGTTTGCAGATGACATGACTGTATATCTAGAAAACCCCATCGTCTCAGCCCAAAATCTCCTTAAGCTGATAAGCAACTTCAGCAAAGTCTCAGGATACAAAATCAGTGTGCAAAAATCACAAGCATTCTTATGCAACAATAACAGACAAACAGAGAGCCAAATCATGAGTGAACTCCCATTCACCATTGCTTCAAAGAGAATAAAATACCTAGGAATCCAACTTACAAGGGATGTGAAGGATGTCTTCAAGGAGAACTACAAACCACTGCTCAACGAAATAAAAGAAGACAAAAACAAATGGAAGAACATTCCATGCTCATGGATAGGAAGAATCGATATCGTGAAAATGGCCATACTGCTTAAGGTAATTTATAGATTCAATGCCATCCCCATCAAGCTACCAATGACTTTCTTCACAGAATTGGAAAAAAACTACTTTAAAGTTCAAAAAAGAGTCTTCATTGCCATGTCAATCCTAAGCCAAAAGAACAAAGGTGGAGGCATCACGCTACCTGACTTCAAACTATACTACAAGGCTACAGTAACCAAAACAGCATGATACTGGTATCAAAACAGAGATATAGACCAATGGAACAGAACAGAGCCCTCAGAAATAATACCACACATCCACAACTATCTGATCTTTGACAAACCTGACAAAAACAAGAAATGGGGAAAGGAGTCCCTATTTAATAAATGGTGCTGGGAAAACTGGCTAGGCATATGTAGAAAGCTGAAACTGGATCCCTTCCTTACGTCTTATACAAAAATTAATTCAAGATGGATTAAAGACTTAAATGTTAGACCTAAAACCATAAAAACCCTAGAAGACAACGTAGGCAATACCATTCAGGACATAGGCATGGGCAAGGACTTCATGTCTAAAACACCAAAAGCAATGGCAACAAAAGCCAAAATTGACAAATGGGATCTCATTAAACTAAAGAGCTTCTGCACAGCAAAATAAACTACTGTCAGAGTGAACAGGCAACCTGCAGAATAAGAGAAAATTTTTGCAATCTACTCATCTGACAAAAGGCTAATATCCAGAATCTACAAAGAACTCAAACAAATTTACAAGAAAAAAAACAACCCCATCACAAAGTGGGTGAAGGACATGAACAGACACTTCTCAAAAGAAGATATTTATGCAGCCAACAGACACATGAAAAAATGCTCATCATCACTGGCCATCAGAGAAATGCAAGTCAAAATCACAATGAGATACCATCTCACACCAGTTAGAATGGCAATCATTAAAAAGTCAGGAAACAACAGGTGCTGGAGAGGATGTGGAGAAATAGGAATACTTTTACACCATTGGTGGGAGTGTAAATTAATTCAACCATTGTGGAAGACAGTGTGGCGATTCCTCAGGGATCTAGAACTAGAAATACCATTTGACCCAGTGATCCCATTACTAGGTATATACCCCAAAGATTATAAATCATGCTACTATAAAGACACATGCACACATATGTTAATTGAGGCACTATTCACAATAGCAAAGACTTGGAACCAACCCAAATGTCCATCAATTATAGACTGGATTAAGAAAATGTGGCACATATACACCATGGAATACTATGCATCCATAAAAAAGGATGAGTTCATGTCCTTTGTAGGGACATGGATGAAGTTGGAAACCATCATTCTCAGCAAACTATCGCAAGGACAAAAAACCAAACACCGCATGTTCTCACTCATAGGTGGGAACTGAACAATGAGAACACTTGGACACAGGAAGGGGAACATCACATACCGGGGCCTGTCATGGGGTTGGGGGAGAGGGGAGGGATAGCATTAGGAGATATACCTAATGTAAATGATGAGTTAATGGGTGCAGCACACCTACACGGCACATGTATACATATGTAACAAACCTGCACTTTGTGCACATGTACCCTAGAACTTAAAGTATAATAAAAAAAAATTAAAAAATATGTTGCAATCTATGATTTCCCTTTTTGCCTCTTCCCAAGAAGAATGGATCCCCTTCCCTCTGCTGTGTCCCAGGGAGAAACTTTCGTGGCCCTTTGGCCTAATTTCCATTTTGGCACTGAACATAAAAGCTGTAATTAATTCCTCCCAGTTAAACAGTGCTTGAGGTAGGAACACACAGTGCTTCATCTATCACCAATAATATATCAGGGTGCTTGGCACATGGAAAGTTTCCTAACATATTTGCTAAATAAATGAAAGGTGACTAGCCTGGTATATTAATACCACCTTCTACCTGGTACCTGAAGAGCAATCCTCTTGTGCATTAACAAGCATCTTCATATGTAACATGAACTGTGGTCAGATGGAGCCCAGGAATAGCCATGGGATCCAGCCAAGCATCCCACCTATGGGGTAGATAACAGGTGAGGAGCTGGTTCAGATGAGGCAGAGTTCTTATCTGCATTGGGACGAGTATACACTGGTGTCAACCCTGTCTACTGAACATGGGAATTTCTCTTTTGTATTGAAGCTGCCCAATCAACTGGCAGAAAATTCCCTCTTGTAGGGCTCCTGAATATTCAAAGTGTCCTTCACATACCCCTTATACAGGTCCACTAACTGGTCATGTAGAAGGATAGACACCTTTCTATTGGACCGGTACCAGCAGCCTGCTTTCTGGGCCCCACCTGGTGACCCCAGTGTCATGTTACTCTATCCTCCTACGTTCCTGCCCTTCTTTCTTCTTTCATTCTTTCTCTTCTTACCAAACTCCCAACTATAATGTTCATGTTTTCCTTTTACAGAAAACTCTGGTGGCCCATTAAAGTGGCACTCAAATAATCAGTGAGTGGAAAGTCAATCCCCTTTTCATCCACATTAAACATAAATAGGCAATTGCCAAAAAATAACAAGAATGAGAACAAATGTGTTCTTTCTTTCTAAGGTGGTAAATACAATGAAATAAAACAAAAGGTGTTACCATTTTAAACCAGGTTGAAAGTTCTGATCCAGTCATGATAGTTTTACCTAAGGTTAAAAGTTCTGAATGCCTGTCATTGAGCTACCCACTCCCTATGTGGTGACAAGCTACCACCTCCATATAGTTGACAAGATCATCCCTCACTCTGCACAGCCTAATTTCCATCTAAAGAAATGACTCTATATGTACCAGTAGAGTTCTCATTTAAGTCTTTAATGCTTTCAAAAGCATTAATTTATATGCAAATTCTTCTGATGTGGCAGTCACCTTAACTGGGCAATACCCTAATCGATGGTTAATACTGTCCTTTAGTTTACAACCCTCTGAATGCAAAATATATAAAACAAGAGACCAAGAAAAAGCATCTACTAGTCATTTGTATGTTGAAAGGAGAGCTGTTGAGTGGGGTTAAAGAGTTTCAGAAACTTTAACAACTTCACTATTTTGCTAAATGGCAAGGCTGAGCATGAATTTATTTATTTTTTTTAACCTGATCACTGCCAAATGTGTTTTTCTCTTTCTCTCCCATCACTGCACATCTTTTACTAACTGGAAACCTAGAAGTGTAAGAACTTTTATTTATGTTGCCTTAAGCATTGGATAATTATTTGGGCCAATTTTGTTCATGCAGGAATTATAATACTCTAGGCAGTGGCACAGGTTTCAGTTGGTGTATAATAGCTAAGAAAGTGTCTCATTATTTCAAAAATAGCTGGTGTTTTCTTTTTCTCAATTCCAAACTATTTTGAACATGTATCAATTAGGAAGTTCCCATAGGTATAGCAGTGACGGTCTCAATTGAACAGAACAGTTGTCCCAATTCTTTATATTTTATAGGCCAGTAGTAGAATTCCAGGCTTTCTGAGCCATGATATATTATAAAAGCAGTCTACCAAAGAGAAAATTTCCTGACAGGATTACAGGATGATTCTTCTCCTATTGGTTTTAGACCAGGACAAAAAGCACATCATCCAAATCACTCCTCATTTCTCTCTTTCTCTAAAATTGTAAGTAGTTACCACAACCCCATCTTTTCTAGAACACAATGGACACAGAAAAACATAGAATCCTTGCAGGGAAAATCAAGAAAGTGGCCAAACATTAGTGTGTCAAAAGGATAGCCCAGTTCGTTTCTAGCTACATTGTCAGAAATGATGAAAAGGAAAAAATGTTTTTCTGTTGTATTATATCCACTTGATCACATTTTAGAAGTCATCAGAGAAGACTGCTAGATTTAGAGGCAGAAAATCTAAATCTAATTCTACCACTTCTAATAATTTAATTGTTAACAATTAAATATAACCTATTAAATTTCAGTTTTGTAAATTACATTGTGTGATGTTATTAATGTGGTCAGTTCGTGTTAGGTAACAGCAGGGCAACACCCCCAGAGTTGGAGGTGAATTAGCTCTCTGAGAATCTAATAAGAAGGTAGCAAAAGCCAGACCCAGATAATAATTAACTGATAGTTTGCGAGAAACACCCTAAATCTTTCTAAATGCTCATGTGTAAAATAGTAATATACCTACTGGATGATTTTTGTGGGTATTACATGACTTGATTCCTCAGAGACTGGATCTCTAGGTGCTCAACAAAGCTTAGTCCCTTCTCTTCCCTTCCTATACAATAGACTTGGGAAGGCATGAGAGCAGTAAGACATCAACAGTGCATAGTATTAACATGTCACTAGAATGTGGTATTGAAAGTGAAAGGAAAACAGGGAGGAGAAAGTGGTGAATGGTTTTTGCAAAAACTCTAAAGAGGATTCCCCCAGTGCCTTAGGGTCCTTAAGCTATGGGAGCCAGTCATTTGACAACCATTCTTTCATGGCCTGAATGCATATTTACTATACAAGGCTTTTATGACAATTTGCTTTCTATATAAATCTTTTCTTAGGGATGATAACACAAATTAGTGATTTTGAATATTCCAGGCTTTTTGGCAATCTTATTTTATACACTAAACTAATAGTTTAAATTTCAAGCCAATTCTTTAGACTTTTAAAAATGTTAGTTGGCATAAGAAAAACCACGGAGCAACAATAATCACTTTCCTGAGTACTTAAAATTTGGAGTATCTGAGTCTACTCCTCTCCAGAACAAACCTATATCATGGTCTCCTAATCAAAATACTGCATGTAGGCCGGTTGTGGTGGCTCATTCCTGTAATCCCAACCCTTTGTCCAGTTGAGGTGGGAGGATTGCTTGAGCTCAGGAGTTCAAGACCCGCCTGAGCAACATAGCGAGACCTGATCTCTACTAAAAATAAAAATTTAAAAATCAACTGGGTGTGATGGCACATGCTTGTAGTCTCAGCTACTCAGAAGGCTAAGGCAAGAGGATCACTTGAGTCTGGGAAATCAAGGCTGCAGTGAGCTGTGATTGCACCACTGCACTCCAGCCTAGGCAATAGAGTGAGACCCTGTCTTAACAACACAAAAATTCTGTATGTTACCTCAATATCATGGCTTTCTAAGTATAATAGCTATGCTTCATCAAGATTTTTTTCATAATTTAAAATTTTTTAGATAATTATAGATTCATATGCAGTTATAAGAAATAATACAGAGAAGTCTGGTATACCCTTTAGAGTTTCCCTCAATGGTGACATCTTGAAAAACTAATACAGTATCAGATGAGATACAGTCATTGATACACTTAAGATACAAAATACTGGACTCCCATTATGGCAACAATCCCTCTTGTTGCCTTTTTATAGCCACACACATCTATCTCTTAACCCTTGGTAACTACTAATCTGTTATCCATTTCTATAATTTTGGCCTTTCTTTATGTAAGGCTTATGTGGCTTCCCCTGACACCCAAGTGAAAGGCTCCGCATTACTCTCAGTTGGGGTGGGAGTCTTGGCTCCCACTAGGCCTCCGCTGGCATCTCCCTGGCTGAGAGAGGTAGGAATGCCTCTTTACTATGCCCCTCAAGGCTTCCACTGACACCGTAATGGGAGGTAGGTGGTACGCTTGGTTACCATGGGAGTGGTGAAAGTCATGACTTCATTAAGCCTCCTTTGACCCTCTAAGAGAACCCCAAAGGAGAGACAGGCATTGCTTCATTACGGATAGTTGTGGGAATGGAAGTGGTCTCCGCTTGACACCACATGGAGCAGGAGGACTCGTGGTCTCCGCTGACACTACAGGGGGCAGGAGGACCTTGCTATAATCCAGTGGGGATGAAAAGTCCTGGGTTCCCACTCAACCGTCTCTGCCAATTCTCTGGTGGAGGTCTGGGGGCACCTCACAATAGCCTCTGAAGCAGGAGGGTCTAGGCTCCCCACTTTGCCCTTCGTGGTATGGGTGTGGGTGGAGGCCACAGTTTATCTGTCATGTTTAGTTGGAATAGAGTGATTATTGTCTAAAAGTTTTATTTTTCCTAGTCTATTCCCTTTCTGGAACAAGCTTTTGTTCAGACTTTTGGTTGTTGTTTTGGCATTTCTGGGTTACCAGCTTCTTCAGCTTCCGGTTGGCATATAAGGGACAAAAAGAAACACAAAGAACTCAACACCATGTTCTTGCTTGAATCCTGAGGTCCTGAGCTAGTCTGCCTTTTCTCTTCACTTTTCAGAGTCTTCTTTCACATAGGAAGAAAACAAGCATATTTATGTGTAATGACTGGGGGTTTTAGTCATCTCATCAAGTTTTTTTGTTTGTTGGTTTTAATATGTGAATATACCTAGCACATTCCCCCAGCCCAGAGTAAGACAGCAATGTACATTACTGAAGTTAATATTTAGAATTACAAAAATTCTCTAATTATAGATCTTGATATTCCTCCAGGGTACAATTCAATATCCAAAACTGAATTAAAATGTCCCTAAGTACTCCAACCCATTGTGATTTATTCCTCCTCAAACTCCCAACAATGAATTCCTATTATACTTGTTCAGCAAAATTTATGTGTCATGAGATAACTCACCATTTATTTACTGTGTTATATCATGCAAGGTACTTAAACGTCCTCATGTTCTTTATCTATAAAATATTGTTAATAATAAAAAATGGCACGGATAGGACTCCACCCCTGTATAAGTCTATAACTCCATTATAAAACACATTAAAAATTGATAGATTGGATTCAAATTAGGAGATCAGAGTTCTTTCTACTTTTTATTTTAATATTTTTTAATCTTATAGAGATGGGTTCTCACTATGTTGCCCAGGCTTGTCTCAAACTCCTGAGCTCAAGCATTCTCCCACTTCAGCCTCCCAAAGTGTTAGGATTACAGGTATGAGCCACCACACTCAGTCCCAGAGTTTTCTTTATGTAGCTGGTTTAGTACGCAGATGGTTACTCTCAGAATACATTTTTAATTGCAGTTGTTACTGTTGTTGATTTTAAACATGACACTTCAAAATAGGGCTGTAGGACTATCATCCCCCAAGAGGCAGTATAGCATAGTGACTAACACAATAGGTTTTGAACCTGTGGCAGGCAGAATAATGGTCTCCAAAAAGTTGTCCAAATCCTAATGGCTGGACCTAGTGAATGTTTTACCTTACATTGCAAAGGGGACTTTGCAGATAAGATTAAGTTAAATATCTTGAGATGGGGAAATTATTTTGGGTTAGCTGTGTGAACCCGCTCTAATGACAAGGGTCTTTATAAGTAAAAGAGTGAGGCAGGGTAGTCAGAGTCAGAGAGAGATCTGAAGATGCTAAGGTGCTAGTTTTGAAAATGGAGGAAGGGGCCACACCCAAAGATGGCAGGTGGCCTTACTGGCTGAAAAGGATAAGGAGATGGATTCTTCCCTAGACCCTCCGGAAAGAATTCAGCCTTGCCAACACTTTTGTTTTAGAAAGACCCATTTTGAACCAATATAAGACAATAAGTTTCTCTTGTTTTGGGCCACCAAGTTTGTGGTAATTTGTTGCAGCCACAGAGAGAATCTAATACTGGAACCAAATGTTCCAGATCTGTCATTGTTAATATATCTGATCTTAAATAAGAAATTTAATACTGGACCTTTAACTGTTTCATCTTTAAAATGAGTAGAAGCATTTTACCCAACTGCAATTAAAAATGCATTCTGAAAGTAACTATCTGTCTACTAAACCAGCTATATAAAGAGAACTCTGGGGCCCAGTGTGGTAGCTCATGCCTGTACTCCTAGCGATAGATCCTACCTCATACAAAGGAATAAGTACATAAAAAGTTAATAAACATTATTAGGCAAATAGTAAGTGCTCAGTACCTGTTACCATAGTATCACAGTAGTGGTAGTAATTATTCATATATTCAAAGAATGTGATTGAAAAGACAATGAGTACTTTACAAAGATGATATTATAAATGCAGTCTCCTATGTCAGGAGTCCCCTGTCCCCGGGCTATGGACCAGGACCCGCCAGTCCATGGCCTGTTAGGAACTAGGCTGCACAACACAGGGGGTGAGCCTTGAGTGAGCATTACCGCCTGAGCTCCACCTCCTGTCAGATCAGTGGTGGCATGAGATTCTCATAGGAGCGTGAACCCTATTGTGAACTGCACATGCAAGGGATCTAGGTTGCACGCTCCTTATGAGAATCTGTAACTAATGCCTGATGATCTAAGGTAGAACAGTTTCATCCCAAAACCATACCCACCCCCTCACCACCCATTCCATGGAAAAAATTGTCTTCCACGAAACCAGTCCTTGGTGCCAAAATGGTTGGGACCACTTTCTCTAACCTGTTTTGTTTCAAATACTTATATCTAAGGAGGAGGCCATGTGTTAGGATGTAGGAGAAGCCTAAAGACAGTTTCAAACAATGTATGAATGTTCCAGTTCTTAAATTGGGTGATAAGTTTATGGCTGTTTGCTGCATTTTTATACTTATTAGCGTACATATGGAATCAGCCCTGGATCCACAGGTTCTGCTTCCATGAATTCAACAAACCGTGGATCAAAAATGTAGTTAAGCCTATGATAGTTGTATTAGGTATTATAAATAATCTAGAGATGACTTAAAGTTTACAGGAGGATGTATATAGGTTATATGCAAATACTACACCATCTTATATAAGTGTCTTGAAAATCTGTAGATTTTGGTATTTTGGGAGGGTCCTGGAACAAATCCTCTACAGATACCAAGGGATGACTGAACAATTCATATATATTTCCTTTGTATCAAATGCTAAATAACACATTTTTTTCTAAAAGCTATGAATAACACTTGAGAAACTTCTCAGATCTTTATTCATTATAATTCAGCTAAGAAAACTCCATTATGCTGTGGTAACGAATAGCTCCAAAAAATTTCATGGGCTTACCAAAGCAGATGTCTATTCCTTACCCAATGGTATGTGCTCACCACAGATCAGCAGAAAGCTCTGCTCCTCTTGATTTCTCACATCCCCAAACTGACCAAGGCTTCATCTTGCCAAGAGTTTTTGAATCACTGAAGTGATGGGAAGGGAAAAAGTGGGTAATTGTGCACTGGCTTTTAATGTTCACCTCTCAGAAGTAACACTTCTGTACAGGTTTCATTGGACAGAGCAAATCACATGTCCTTAGCAATGTTAGAAGAGGGCATGGATGTTTAATTGTTGCATGTGATTATAAGGCAAACGCCACACTGTTTTGTGAAAAGCATTAATGATTTTCACAGTTCATTTTTCTGGGCACCAAATTGTTGTATTTTGTCCAACAGTATCCAGACTTTAACACAGGCCCTAATATACGGTGTATATAAATTAAAAAAATATGTAGGGCAGCAACTAGAGGTCTTGTGAAATTTAAATAACAGTTCTAAAAAATAGATGAAATATTAAAATAGACATGGTAATACCTTTTCAGGGCCCAAAAAAGATATGACAAGTCTAGAATCAAGTACTATTTGGTAGTTAGAATAAATGTGTGAGTTGATATTAGTGTGTGAAAGCTTGATTTAATTTATAACGGATTGGCTATCATGACAATAAAATTATATACCAGTTATGCTTGAGCCAGTATTTTAAATTTTATTGGATGAAATATGTACATGGAAATAGAATTTAAGTCCTAATACCATACTACAGGACAAAGATCCACAGTTTTAAACTCAATTATGATTTCTCCCCCCAATACAAAGTCAAATACAATTTCAAAAGAAGAATATTTATAATAGCATGGAATAGAATGCATCAATCTGGACGCTTAGCCTGACAAACTTCCGTTCTCTCCCCACCTGCTTATTCTACCACCGGCAGCTCCCCACAGATTTTGACACGTCGCAATACTAAACCCCTCTGAAAGCTGGACAGGGGCTTGCTTCCTATCATTTCTGCTCAATGTACTGACTAGTCTTAGGCAATCCTTGGGAAGTTGCATGTCAATTTGGTGTAGGGAAGAGGAGATGACGGAAGCATGGAGTGGAAAAAGTTGTTAATAAAGTGCAGATTAACAGGAATCAATGCTGAAAGTCAGAAGAGGGGCAAGAGAAACAGTCTGGAAATGGGTTGATAGTGGGCCTGCCATGTTTGTACCCCCTTCTCACCTCTCTTTACCCTGTGTTGTTGTCAACACTCTTTGTTGATCCACCATCTTAGGCTTCTGGAAAATGCCCTTCGCTTGGTGGGAACAAAATAATGTAAATCATCTCTCATCTACATTATCTTGATTTCATGTTACTGCTTTGCTTCAAGACAATCCCTGATTGCTTCATTCATTATAATTCTTTTCATATGCACTGCATTTGTATTGTAAAAAGAACGTATAACATTTGAGAACATTTTGAAGAAAAAAATTTCCATAATTCCATCGCTTGGAAACAACTATTTTGATTTCTGTGTATTCTCTTGCAGACTTTGTCCAAATGTATACCTATTTTTATAGTTGTAATTTGGATGATTCTGTTCATTCCCTCCCCACTGCTTGAAACAAGACTCACCTCTTGGTAATAATCATATTTTGATTAGAGAAGAACACAATATATGTTTTTTAATTAACCTGTGTTAATAGCCAGTTCCTATACATAGTCTCAGGCTGCATGTTCCTCCACCTCAGCATTGTGGAAAACACAATGACTAAATATGCTTCATTCCAGAATACCTTGAATGGGAAGGAAAGAAAAAGAGTAAACTCAGTGTGCCCTCATGGCAGGCATTTTCCATGTATGTTCTTTCAAGCCCTGCAAAAAATATGTATATTGTTATATTTTGTCGTTAGAAATAAGACAGCTTCTGTGCAAGAAGGTGGGTGACTACTCACCTAATCAGTAGCATAATCTGGTTTTAAATTTAGATCTCTATGATAGCGAAGTCTACATTCTTATGAGCTCCAATTTCTATAAAGCCCAAACAACTCTTTTGGCGGTAAAGCATAATTACAAATGTTAAAATGGCTCTCATTGCTTGAGATCGTTTGAATTCCAGATTACGTATGGATTTTCTTTCCCCTGTAAGAGAACATGGGCCATTTCACTGAAGTGGATAAATGGAGAATCCCCAGATCTAAGACATAAAAATGCCAAATGAAAGTAGATACCATTTAAAGGTACATTCAGTCCTCATTATTCATTGATTCTGTATTTACCAATTCATCTATTTGCCAAAATTTGTTTGTTACTCACAAATCAATACTTGAACACCTTCATGGTCGTTGACAGACATGCACATGCAGAGAGTCACAAAAAATTTGAGTCACCAAAGTGCACATTCCCAGCAGCAGTCCAACGAGACAATGCTCTGTCTTCTTGTTTAAGTTCTAGTACAGTAAATAATTCTTTTCGCAGTCTGTTTGGTGACATATTTTTTGTATTTTTGTAATTTATGTTGGTAATTTTGCTATTTAAAATGATCCCCAGGCAGAGAGCTGAAGTGATGCCTAGTGACACAAAGCACAAGAAGACTTTGATGTGCTTTACAGAGAAATTGCATATGTTAGAAAAGCTTCATTCAGGCACAAGAAATAGTGCAGTTGGCTGTGCATGTGATGTTAATGAATCAACAATATACAATATAATGTCTGAACAGAAACATCCATTAAACAGGGTTATGTATTGAATGGTTGCAGAAAATGTTGTGCATAGTAGCTCTCAGAAACCTAATCCTGTATCTACCCTAGGAACAATGATTTAGTATTCACTAATTCAATGTTTGCATTGATTTTACAGAATATCACTACCATAAACAATAAGAATCTACTGTATCTTTCAGTATGCTTCCAAATAATACATTCCATTTCTATGTCATCTGCTAGGGATAAGAAGAGGTGGTATAGAAAAGTGTAATAGCAGCAGAACCAAGATGGAGGGGGTCGGATCAGGAAGGTGACTCTTCATGACCTCGGCTATCACGGATTCTGTGCCATTGGCTGAGTAGACACAGCTGGAATCATTAGGGTCCCCAAATCATGACAACAGCCACATTCTTACCCAACCCCAACAAGTGATCTGATTAAAGTTGAAACTTACTGGAAAGCCAAACTTGCCCTTTAGCCCAGTAAATGCTGTATTTCAGCACAACTTTTTTAACATTTTATAATTTCTGGTTGAGAAAAAGCCAATGCTGTAGTCAATCAGCAAAGGTTTATTGAGTACATCCTTGGTTGGTGTACTATTGGTCTGTATAAAAGAGACACAATACTTGGTTCTAAGGAAAGCATGGTCTTGGGGAGATGAGACTTTCATCAACCCCATGGTGAGAAGCCTGATGGACAGGCTGAAGGACAGGCTGAACTGGAATAGAGACAGCTTGCTGAGGACAGCTAAGGGCCCACAGGGCTGGTGGGATACAATCTTGAGAAAGAGGTATAATTTAAGAAGAGGCACAAAATATAAAAGGCATAAGACTCAGATGAGAACAGAGAAGATAATGTGAAAATGCCTTCCCTTAGCACAGAAACATCACAAATAGGGTAAGGAAGGGTTGATTGTAATTCGTGTGATCCAGGCCTAGCTGTTGCATCCATTGTTCACAAAGGCGTCCCACAGCTTTCTGAACGAATGAGTCCTTTGGTTATAGGTAAATGAAAAATTTTAACTTTAGAGAACTTAGGTTTTTTTTTCTTTTCATTAATTCTCAAATAGTTAGCACAAAAGGTAATGTCCCAGGTAACCTGAGTTAGTCCCAGAGAAATTTTGATCTGAGGCAAGTCAATTAACATTTCTGAGTGACTCTTCCTTGTTTCTGAAGAGATACTCCTATTCTTTCCCCATTCTACTCCTCTGAAATCTCTTTTTGCTGAAGGATTCCACAAATTCTGAACTGACTCATTAAGGGTTACTTCTTTATTTATATTTTTTCCCAAATGAAAGCCAGCTGGCTGGGACTGACATCTATTTAACTTAGCAGGATATGTAGTTACCTAAACAGGTCACAGATGACATTTTACTGAAGCTTCTTCCTTTCATGCAACACTTCCTAACTACTTAGCTGACCTACACTCTGATGGTGGTTTCCTGTCCCCCACGTTTTCAGCTGTATTTATTGCTTCTCCTCTAGGTCCTTTAAAATCACTCTTTCTCTGCCCTCTATGTCTCTTGAAATTGACTTCGACCACTTAAATAAACACTGACAGTGAAATGTTATTCTGCTTCTAAGGGTCTGCTCTGTTCTTGTAGCACAGGACAGAGGCTTCTACCGGTCTCTGTATCCCTTAACTATTTCCAAACATAGGACGAAGTCTTCAGAATTTTAGTAGAGTTGTTAAAGCACAAATTTTGTGTCACATGCCTGTGTTCAAATCCAAGATCTGCTACTTAGTATCTATAGGACCCTTATACCAAGTCACTGAGATGAAAAAACAAAACCGGCTATTTCAAAGAGTTGATTTAAAAACTATATAGACAATGTATATGAGATATTCAGCACGTATTGCACACGTGGCAGATGCTAAGTAAATTATGCTGTTATAATAGCTGTAGTGTTCTTATTATTCAGAATGTGTTCAAGAAACTGAATGAGTAGGCAGGGGTTTAGAGGTTCTATTATCTAGGAGTTTTCTATCTAGGGGTCCAAGGTGCTTGCTACCCACCCCAATAGAGAAGGTAGGCATGAAAGTATTTTGAAAAGTTAAAAGTAACTCACAAATGTAGGTAGGAAGCTAGAGCTATTCTCATCCCTGCAAATATCTCCTTTGTGATCTACTGCCCAGAATTTCTTTTCCAGCTTCCTTCACCCCATCCAGGCTAGGGCAGTAATGAGTAAGATTTGAAAGCATGAATGTGAAGGAGCAAAGCTCCCAGTACGATGGAATTGAATAATGCACCAAGTCTTTTTTGAATAGGAAATAACTGTTAAAAGATTTCTTTTCATGTAATTCCAGGCTCAGTTCAACGAGATCCCCTTGCAATCTCTTGAATTTGTCTTGCTTCTCCTTACAGGCTGCCTGGGTTTCTGCTATTTGGCTCCACAGCATGGCTGAGAAAATACAGTTCTCCGTGTCCCTGCAGAGCATATATATGGTCAATAGACAGCCTGAAAACCACAGAGAATAAATATAATAATAGCAATAATAACTCTCCTTTAATTAGATCTTTATAGTAGCTAAATTTATTTAATACATTTGGTCAGATACTCTAATTATAAATATTATCCCCATTTAATTGTACATCACTGTGAGGCAGCTACAATTATCCCCATTTTACAAATGAGGAAACTGAGGCTTACAGTGGTTTAATGACTTGCTCATTGGCTTACAATTGGTAAATGGTGATGCAGATTTAAATCAAAGCCAGAATTAAAGGCATTCTCTGTTCCTTCCCTTGCGTGCAAGCAGAAAGAGCCTCCTACATAGGTCTTTGGCACCAGAAAATCTTATTTTTATTACATAGTTTCAGTCAAATAGGGAATTACTTCCAGTTACCTTAAAAAGTATCTGCACCGAGCATCCGTAGACATTTGCATCTCTAAGCCAATGATGAGTCAGATTATATCCAGATGCTATGTTTTATTATGGAAAAAGTGGGGAATTTAAAAACCACATGGCCTTTAGCTTTATGTCTGGGGAAAGAGAGATTGCCACAAGGTGTCCTGGGAATATAAAAACCTTGTTTCCCCAATAACATTTACCAGGAGCAAATCTTAATGTTAAACTTAACCATGGGCTATTGTAAGGGGTAAGGATTAAATCCTCCATTCCTCTATAGCATCTTTGGCATTCTCTGGTTGAAACTATGCCCACTGGGAATGGAGACTTTAATCCTTACCCCTTACGGTAAAGTATGGGCAAGATCTGCTCTCCAGATAATCTCTGAACCTAATTTATTGGCTTAGGTTCCAAAGAACCATAGTTTAAAGGGGGATTTCTGCATAGGAAAGGAAACTAAATCACATGAGTTCCAAAGTTCCTTGCAAGTAAGACGGTTTGCCCTTCTATGAATGTCTTGGTCTAGAAATAACAGACTCTATATCCAGGGCAACTTGCTGGTATTTTTGCCTGAATCTACGTAACTTATGTCTTTTATATATCTGGGATGATGCTACTTTTACTTAGCCCGTATAATAAACATTTCTCACACTGTCAAGAATAAGAATAAACAATATACAGTGGATACTTCCTTTGTGCCAGATCCTTTTTGCATTATACATTATCTCTACTTTTTAAAATATACCTTTGTTAACCCTGTTTTTCAGATAAAGAAACTGAGGCACAAAAATGATTTTAATGATTTTTTTTAGTAACATTGGCAGTGGTTCTCAATCTTACATAGATCTAGACATAGACATAGATCCTAAGAATATTTTTTTCCTGTGGCATTTTTAAATGTGGCAGAGGTTTTCAAGATTTTATACATACACACCCACATATATGCATACAAACACACGCACAAAAAATCTAGAAATATTTTAAAATATATACATATATAGGCCACTTGACCAACATATCTTGGGGGTAAGAAAGTAGGAATTAGAAAAGTATGAGTGTTCTGCAAACAACAAACAACCCAGAGCAATATTTATTCAGAGCAAAAATGAGATTTCCCCTGCAGTCTGCCATGACACCTCTAATTGAATAGATGGGGAGAAGAGTTTCGATGTTTTGTTGTTGATGTTGTTTTGACATTTGTTTGTTGGTTTGGTGTTAAGAATATGTTGCAGGTGGCAATAACAAGATGGCTTGATGGCTCTAAGAGATGTGCTGAGATATTTGGAATGAACTCTGTTCCTGAAGTTTCAACCACAGGCCTGATATCTTGTACGGAGGGAGTGTAGAGTGGGGCTACCATAAAGGTGACAGTCTTTTCAGGCTACCATTTAGCTTGAGGGCTGTCTCCGGATGAAAGAATGAAGCTGGAGCCCTTTGGAGGGCATGAGAATTACTCCCATACCTAGCTATGGAACTGATGCAAACATCTGGCCTTGGACACTTAACCTAAAAAAAACTACTCATTAATTATCATTAATTAATTAACATTAATGCAAATTGCTTCCTTGAGCAAAGTGCCTTCACCACACTTGTCATTAAAATGAGAGTCAGTACTTCATTGTGCTGGGAAAATCAAACCTAAAAGTTCTCCAAGTATCCCCTCCACTGGCCCTCCTCAGAATCCACAAATCTTTATGGAGTGCCTGCTATGCTAGGAATTCTCATAAGCATTATGTAATTTAACTTTCACAATAATCATCTGAGGTATCTATTGTTATTTCAGTTTTGAGATGAAAAAATAAAAAAAACATTTGAAGGTAAAGTCTCCTGCCTCAAATTACAGTGGTCATTTGTGGTAAAACAAGAATTCAACCCAGGCCATACTCATTGCCTCCCAGATTAAACATTATTTCTCAGCTTTACCCTACCTGATTTTCTAATATTAGGAGCAGATTTTCATAAGAAAACAAGTATTCAGTATGTCTGTAGATACATGTAGAAAAAGATTCACAACAACAGCAAAAGCATTTTGTTAAAATAGTTATGAAAAGGTTTCCTCCTTGAATTTCACAGCAGTCTAGGAGGAATATTGGACTCTTTAAAGATGCCTATAATCTCATGCCTGTAATCCCAGCACTTTGGGAGGCCGAGGTGGGCAGATCATGAGGTCAGGAGATCAAAACCAGCCTGGCCCACATGGTGAAGCCCTGTCTCTACTAAAAATACAAAAATTAGCCAGGCATGGTGGCGGGCGCCTGTAGTCCCAGCTACTCAGGAGGCTGAGGCAGGAGAATAGCTTGAACCCGGGAGGCGGAGCTTGCAGTGAGCTGAGATCGTGCCACTGCACTCCAGCCTGGGCAACAGAGCGAGACTCCATCTCAAAAAAAAAAATATGGATGGATGGATGGATAGATAGATAGATAGATAGATAGATAGATGATAGATAGATAGATGGATGAAAGCTCCGAAAGGACGCGTGCTCACCAATTTGAGTCTGCCTTCTCATTCCCTACCGCTGAAGAGTGAAAGGAGTGCATAAAATTACCAGGTATGAATGGCTAGAAGGGACTCACAAGTAATCCAGAGAAGGAAACTGATACAAAGATATATGTGCCGCACCTTTTAGGAGACAACGTCAATTGTGGACTAAGCAAGGGACATATCAACGAATTTAGTTTTCAGTTGAAATCTATGATCTTGTTTTGGTCCATCTTTTGACTTTTCTTTCTTCAGAATGGAGACTGATACCAGGTCTGTTATGATATTCAGTGATTGAAATGTTATTGTAGACAAAATGTTCCTATCTCACTTGAGCCTATTGGACTATGGCTCACTGATTCTGGCCATACTTGTTACTTCATCTCAAGGATAAATATCATTTCTCTTTCATATGGTCTTGTGGGGAGTTCAAATATCCTGAAATTATAATGAACGAATACTTTAATTAATTTAAATGAAACAAAACAGATATATTTGGAGCTAGAAAGGTTTAAAATTTCTACACACTGAGTGGTTTGAAGAAGATATGACTTGCAGTCAGAGTCTAAGATTTTCATCTCCCTCAACAACCATCCCATATATGATACTGAATAACATTAAAACCAGAAATATTTCTCCTAAATTAGCCCACTATTTCTAGTTATCTAGTATCAAGTGCTATTCCAGGCCTTACAAATATAAGATGGTTCATTTAAAAAATAACAAATTATTCCTTATTTTTCATGTTACAAGAAAGTATCACATCTACAGAATTTCATAGTTGGTAGATCATATATCTTTCTGAACATATTTTTTTTGGAAAAGAGAACAGGCCATTAGGCTTTGCCAGGAACAATGTCATTACCATTTGTCTAATTTTGAAGACAGTGGCTGAAATATACCACTGCAGCTGAGATATACTGAGTGAAAATGAATACACTCCATCTACATGCAATAACATGGATGAAGCCTGGTTACATGATGTGAAAGAAGTAAGTTATGGGAACTATATACAGCATGGTGCCTTTTTCATGAAGTTCAAGAATAATAACATTAAATATCTTTTAGCTTAGATTATATATATGATAGAATTATTTAAAAATATTTGTGGAATAAACATAAAATTAAGCATGGTATTTACTGTGGGTGAAAACAGGGAGGGAGAATATAGGTCTATTTAGATTACTGTCAATGTTCTTAATAGATTGAGCGATAGATTCACAGTGTTAAGTATATTATTCAAAATAAACCTGTAAATAAAGGGAAAGATTACAGGTGTGGAACCATGATGTGAGTCAGGCCTAAATTAAGAATTCTGATTTATCTAATGCTGTGTACCTAAGGTCCATTTGGAGAGGAGATAGAGAAGGAGAGAGAGAGAAGACGTTGAGACCCAAAAGGGGGCAATAAGCTGTGGAGGCTGGGAAAATAAAAGATTTGAAAGAAAGGAGAAATGAGAATAGGAAAATCTTATTTCACTAACTTTAAAATGTATATCTGACTCTGGTTAAGCTTCCCCAAATCATACTACTTATCCCTCCTTGTCTTCCATTAATTTAATAAATATTTATTAAGTACCCACTTATTTCCAGAAGGCATGCTAGAAATGTTCCCTGCTTTTATGAGAAGGGCAGTTCTGTGGCTAAAGAACAGGTGCAAAACAAATAATTAGGAATATTTAATTACGCTAATAAAATAACTGATATGTAGGAGTTAAAGACATCATAAATCATAAATAACTACCCATTGATTGCATCTATAGAAAAACTCACAGAGGATTTCTATTTTATGTTTTTTTCTCTCTTTTTGAAGTTTTTGTTTGTTTGTTTGTTTTGTTTTTTGAGACGGAGTCTCGCTCTGTCGCCCAGGCTGGAGTGCAATAGCACAGTCTCGGCTAGGCTCACTGCAACCTCCGCCTCCCAGATTTGAACAATTCTCCTGCCTCAGCCTCCCCAGTAGCTGGAAATACAGGTGCATGCTACCACACTCGGCTAATTTTTGTATTTTTAGCAGAGACGGGGTTTCACTATGTTGGCCAGGCTTGTTTCAAACTCCAGACCTTGTGATCCGCCCGCCTAGGCCTCCCAAAGTGCTGGGATTACAGGCATGAACCACCTCACCTGGCCTCTTTTTGAAGTTTTTAAAATGAAACCAGATTGTAAAAAATTTGGAAGATATTTTTTGAAAAGAAGAAAGTGCCTAAAATTTCACTACCTTGAGATAAACATTATTATCATTTTGATATATTTCCTTCCAGTCATTTTTCTACTGGTATTCACATTATGAAATTCTGAGCAACCTTCACCTTCAATTCTGGTTCCTAAAAGTGAGAGTTAGCCTTTGTCATATACACTAAATTGAGTATGGACTCCCATTAAATATTGGCAGTGCTTTTAGTTGCCAGAACTGAGGAGGGACTACATTGATACATCCATATTCTCTGACTCAGCCAGAATAGTAAAGACTTGGATTACAAAGATTCACCTCAGAAAGAATGTGTAAGTTTTAATGAAACAGAAGATCTCATACTACCTAAGAAAAACTTTAAAACAGTGATTTAGGGCAGTGTCTCTCAAACTTTAATGTGCATGCAAAACATATGGGAATTTTTTTTTAAAATAGAGATTCTGACGCATTTGTTCTAGGTTTAGGATTAAGATTTTGCTTTTCTAACATGCTCTGAGGTAATGCAGATATTGCTGGCCCATATATCACACTTTGAGTAACAGGGGTTTGGGGAATAATGAAAACCTCTCTAATTTGTCTTGTCCTAATAGAGAATACAAAGCAACTCTTTTATGAATAAGTCCCATAATCTCAAAGGAAATTCTTACGAGTGCCAGGAACCTTTTTTTTTCAGTAGCTGTGCCATTTTAGGGTTGCCATGAAAGTAGATAAACATGATTATGCCCAAAACTTTTAGATTTTATTGTTATCATGTTGCCTACCAAGCAGCACCACTGTGCTGAGAGAGAAAATTAGCCTCAACTTTCTGTAGAAGAGTTGGGCGGGAAAAACATTAAAAGATGTTTTGTCCTTCAAATTATGACACTCAACATAGCTCAGTCCCTTTCTGAAGATGTTTCAGTGGTGTGCTTGAACTGACTCCTAATGACTTAGAAGAGCCAGTTATGTGCTTCTCATCTCCATTTTTGCATTCACTGATGCCATGTGATAGCTTGAAATCAGGCTTGATAGGAATATTTGCACAAGGGAAATTAAAAAACACTAAAAACTGCATGTTTGTTTTTTCCAGACAGTTGATTGTTGAGCCTTTACTAGTGTACCACTTCCTTTTACACGTCAGCAGAAACGATGTAAGTTCTTTGCCTTCTCATTGCATTATCAGAGCCTGATCCAATGATGGTCACATAAGCCAGCTTCCCAGAAGTATCAGAATTTTGTGTTTCCATTTCTTGAAGCTTCCTAGGATAGTAAGACTGTGAAGTTTTTTAATGGTTTGATACTTGTACCAAGGTAAGAGTGGGAAAAAGTATGGTTCTTTATGCCTCAGGATTCATGCCTACTACAATATGAGACAAAAATTTTTTTAATTTTTTTTTTAGGAAATTGATCAACTGACTTAAATATTTTTCTCTTCAATGATTTGGAAGCCATTATGGATATGATGAACAGTTATCTTTTGTTTAAAAGAAATCAGGAGAGAGCCATGTAGAAAATCATGAATAGAAGAATCCACAATATCTAGAAAGGTTTTTATATTTCTAACTTTAAGAAGTTAGCCTATACCCAATTTTATACACACACACATCCAACATATTTTTAAGGAAGGGTGTTATATAGTATTCACAGCTGATAGAGCCACAAAGATTTCCTCCATTGTCAATAGATGATTAAGTTTATATATTTGTCTACATTGTGTTTTTGTGATTGCCTATGTGTATGCCTGTGTAGTATATAATTTTGTTTCTGTTATTGTTGTTTACCTAAATGATTTCAATCAGAGCAGAATTTCCCACTTGGCTTTTGTCAAGGAAAAAGACACTAAGTAACACTGTGTTTTTTTTTTTTCTGCCTGACTACTGTATTTTTAAAGTGCTAGCAATGTTGCAGCTTCCTTTTTTCCCCATAGGGTCTGTGTGGGAAAAAGAAAAAAATTACCTGTTGGCTGCTACGGAGGTAGGGATTGACTTACAAATGGAAACAGACAAGTTCAGGGACCTGCATTGTCATGAAGAGCCAATAAAAAGCCTGCTAGTGATCAGGCATTGCTGCTAGGAGGATCCCTGAGCTGAGCAAACACTCCTTCAAAGGATGTTTTAAGAGCCAAATTAAATAAAAATCCATTGAAGGATACCAAAGTAGCAGTAGGTGTCTGGATCGAAACGAACACAGCATATTCTCTGCCAAGGGCATTCCTTCTATTTCTGACACTTCGGGTTATTAGAGGTGGAATCTTTATAGTTCTTGAGAAAGTTCGCATCTGGAATGCATCATCTTTATGGTTTGCACTCTATCTTCAAAGAGAGTAAGTGATGCTGCTCACAATGATAGAGCTTGGATAATTGCCATCTTCATTGTCGCTGCTAGGCATCAATCCCAGCCTTGATTGGGACAATTGTACCAGTCGTTATATGGTGGAGGTATTCTCCTGCATTAGACTGAATTGTTCTCCTGCATAAGACTGAATTATACTAACATAGAGAATATCTGTGAAGGTTAAAAATTTGTAGAGGGGAAGTGTCAAAATGTAGAAAAATTGACTTCAATGCTTATTTTATAAAACTGGAATAAGTAGGTAGATTTTTTAATTTAGAAAAGTTAAAATACAAAATAAATTGTCTTATATTGTAAATAGCAAAAAACTTCTCTTTTCAGAAAAGAAAGGAAGGAGGAAATAAAAATTGATACTGTATCTTCCAACTGGATATTTACTCCTGATTTTGCTATTTCTGTTAAAGGACCTACTTAATGTCCACTCTCTCTCATTTCTCACACTCAGGAACCAAGATCTGTTGCTTATATTTCAAAAATATCATCACATATGAATAATCTCAATCACATACCAATTACATAATTTCTTCAGAGTAGGGAATACCTTGTATCAAAATTTTCTTAATTTAAAACTTTATAACTTGTTTAATACCTAGCAAAGAATTGTTAATAAATGACTGTAATGGTCTTGTATCATTCTCTTTAACCTCCACTTGTCAGGGTGTGGTGGCTCATGCCTGTAATCCCAGCACTTTGAGAGGCCGAGGGGGGTGGATCATGAGGTCAAGCAATCGAGACCATCCTGGCCAACATGGTGAAACCTGTCTCTACTTAAAAAAAAAAAAAAAAAAAATTAGCTGGGCGTGGTTGGTGCATGCCAGTAGTCCCAGGTCCTTAGGAGGCTGAGGCAGGAGAATCACTTGAACCCGGGAGGCAGAGGTGGCAGTGAGCCAAGACCGTGCCATTGCAAGCCAGCCTGGGCAACAAGAATGAGACTCCATCTCAAAAATAAATAAATAACCTCTGCTCAACATCCTTCCATAGTGCCATGATTAGGTTAATAATCCCAAAGCTGCTTTATGTCGCTTGCCTTCTCAAAACTCTCAGTAGTCCCTTATTACCCTTAGTAGTAATTATTAACATTTGGAGAATCTTTGATCACTTTGAAAATATAAGCAAAATAATGAATTCTCTCACTATAGAGAAAAAATCATCAGTATCAGCTTTCAGCATCATCACTACCAATGCTGACATCTTCATGGACATTGCCATCATCACCACCATCAGCACAAATATTAGAAGAGGACTTTTATGTGTCATGGCTGTTGACGCATTTAATATACACCACTTAATAAGGCATATATCCCCCATTTTACAAATAGAAAAACGAAGAGCCCCTTTAAGGAGAAATATCAAGTTGAAAGTCATAAAACTAAATCTATATGGTAGTCATAATTTGAACCCTGTCTCACTGAGAGGTGATAGTCCTAATTAGTATGTCAAATAAAAATCACATCCAGACCGGGTGCAGTGGCTCACGCCTATAATCCCAGCACTTTGGGAGGACAAGGCGGGTGGATCACCTGAGGTCAGGGGTTTGAAACCAGTCTGGCCAACATGATGAAACCCCATCTCTACAAAAAATACAAAATTAGCTGGGCATGGTGGCTCATGCCTATAATCCCAGCTACTTGGGAAGCTGAGGCATGAGAATTGCTTGAACCTGGGAGGTGGAGGTTGCAGTGAGACGAGATCATGCCATTGCACCCAGCCTGAGCAACAAGAGTGAGACTCCATCTAAAAAAAAAAAAAAAAAAAAAATCATGTCCATAGATTTTATATTACAATATGAATCTTACAATAAAGTCTAATATGGTAAATCATATACTTAAGGTTCCAATTTGTCAGTATTCAAAGATTGTTGCTCAAACCCTGTATTAGTCAGGGTTCTCTAGAGGGGCAGAACTATTAGGATAGATGAATATATGAAGGGGACTTTGCTAGGTGAATTGACTCACATGATCAAAATGTGAAGTCCCATAATAGGCCTTCTGCAAGCTAAGGAGTCAAGAAGCCAGTCCCAAGTCCCAAACACTCAAAAGTAGGGAAGCCAACAGTGCAGCCTTCAGTCTGTGGCTGAAGGCCCAAGAGCCCCTGGCAAATCACTGGTGTATACCCAGGAGTCCAAAAGATGAAGAACTTGGAGTCTGATGTTTGAGGGCAAGAAGCATACAGAACAGAAGAAAGATGGAGGCCAGAAGACTTAGCCAGTCCAGTCTTTCCACATTCTTCTGCCTGCTTTAATTCTGGCCAAACTGGCAGCTGATTAGATTGTGCCCACCCAGAATGAAGGTGGGTCTGCCTTTCCAAATGCACTGACTCAAAGGTTAATCTTTGACAGCACCCTCACAGACGCACCCAGGAACGATAGTTTGCATTCTTCAATCAAGTTAAGTTGACACTCAATATCAAACATGACAAACCCGTACCCATAACTTTTACACTCTGCTCTGAACTGCTGGACTGGAGTAATAGAAAAAAATAACCCTACATTTCCCAGATTAATATAACTTTTATATATGTGTTTAAAGTTGGCCAGTGGGAAGCACTGGTAGGAGATTAGAAGGCAGGAGGAAGGGAGAAGGTCTCTCTTCCTGGCTCCCACAAAGTGTCTCACCCTGTTACAGCAGGAGGGACAAAGTGACTGCAAACTCCAGAAACCCTGAGCTCATCAGCAACTCTTCAGGAACTCTTCCAGGTCCAGGAACTATAGTACTTCCAAAAATAAATAAGGCAGTCTTATGGGTAACAGCCCAGGGAATTTACCACTTGAGCTGAGTGTTACACACAGATATTCTTTCTTTCTCATCTTCTAATACCCCTTCTTATTTTGCTCCTCCGGTCCTTCCAACATATTTGTAAACCATTGTTAATATAAAAGATACTCTCTTTGTAATACCCAGAATGGATACGTTTTCCTGATGGGATCCAAACTAAAACAGGAATGGTTCCAGTTAACTGTCTCTCAGATTTTGGAAAATAGAATTGGTTATCTTACCTGATTAGACTTGTAAGCTGAAGTGAGCTCATTGATATTGGTAAATGGGATTCTGATAATCCATGGAAAGTACTTAAATTATCAGTGGTGGCTTGGAGTAAAGTACATAAGGCATTTGGAGACCAAGTGCTAATGAACTTGACCATTATGGTAGTAATGGTTACACTAAGAATCATGCAATTGGCTGGCTATTTCTTACTGCACTGAAGAGTTTAGAGAAGGAAATTACAGGCTGAGGGCACTAAACTCTCAGTCCAAGATACAGAACTGGATATATTCTATGATGGACCCCCCAAAATAATTCTTTTAATAGACACGGGATTAATACAGTTTAAAATAAATACTAAGTTTGATGCTGCAATGTAAGTTGAGTTTACATCTTTGTCAAGCCTCTTATGTTTAATTTCAAGCATTGAATGACAAGGAACGAGAACTAACATTTGGGGTAGAGGAATTTAGTTGCACTTAGGGGACGTGATAACCTTCAATCCCCAAATCCCACTGAGTCTCTCTTTCCAGAGAAATTCAATCCTCCTTTTCTGTCTGAAAAGAGTAGCCTTTCCTGTTTAAAGGCAAGTAATTATCACATCTGAGGCCATCGTCTCAAACGTAGATGCCAAATCTCTTCATAACTACTCCTTATTGTCTTTAGACTGAAAACTAGAGAAAGAGCTCATCATCATCCTGGGAGTAAAAGGGCAAAGTCTAACCCAGCAGACAATAATTCACATGATTAGAGAATTTCAGGTTCTTGCTAAGTGATATGAGAAAAACACATGGCATATATGTAGAAATTAATTCTAAAATCCATAGGTCAAAGAGGACGGGAATAATGTTGGTTTGAAGCTATGTTGATGCATCCATGTACTTAGAGATGATGGTTCAATACATTAGCCTGAACAGTTAGAAGTTGTTCTAGCAATTTTCTTGATTGGTTGAAAAAACCCTAAAGCCAATGTTGATTTAAAGTTAATGAAATTTACATCCCAGAACTTCCCTGGTGAAAGAAATAAATCCCAAAATTTAAGGAGACAGAAATATTGGAGTTGATTTTTCTTGCAGCAACCTTCCTACCTTCTTTTCCTTTCTCCAGAATGTCTCCTTATAGGGCTAAAATGATATTTATTTTGCTAAGACATCCAAAAGTGCTTTAATTCAGGAAACAAATCCTTGAGGATTTCCTCTGTATGCTGGAATGATGGTAGAAGCTGCTGATATTGATATAGATTTTCTGATTTCAGTGGGGTTAATGGAATCCTGGACTGGCGGAGATGTATCCCTGCTTAATTATCGGATATAAGGTAAGGACAATTACTGTAAGGTTAGAGCAGGGCCTCAGTAATCATCACCTTTAAAGTTATTTTGTGTTGGCTAACATATCATGATGTCACTAAGAATAAAACACACAGGCATCTTACCAAAGTATGACTTGATCTTTAAGATCTGAAAGTATTTAGATATAATGTGTAGAGAAAAAGCTTGAATTCCACAACGGAATGTCACCCAGAGCTGACCCATTTCAGACTTGCATCCCCTCAATGAAGATGAAGCTGGGGAAGGACCCCTGAGGAAGGATCCTGCCATATTTATATATGTAAATCTTCCTCCAAAGTCTCTCAAAAGGGACCTGTGTCTTTAGCAGGATATCTGAGCACAGACCAAAAAGAAATTACCAAATATTTCAGCAGTTACTACACATGGCCTCTTGGTTAATACTAATTATGGAGCTATTATAGAGCTATTAAAATAGCACCGGGCTCCCCTAGTTTGAGTGGAGGTTCATGAGGATCTGGTAAACAATAGAGATGTAATCTAAAGCTATCTGTCAATGGGTACAGTAATTCTACAGACCCACCCTGTGTTTTTTTGTCCCCCCAGTTTGCTTGCTTGCTTGCTTGCTTGCTTGCTTTCCTTCTTTCTTTTTCTTTTTTTTTTTTTTTTTCGAGTTGCACTCTGTTACCCAGGCTGGAGTGCAATGGTACAACTTTGGCTTACTGCAAACTTTGCCTCCCAAGTTCAAGGGATTCTCTTGCCTCAGCCATCCGAGTAGCTGGGATTACATGCATGCACCACCAAGCCTGGCTAATTTTTGTATTTTTAGTAGAGACAGGGTTTCACCACGTTGGCCAGGTTGGTCTTGAACTCCTGACCTCAAGTGATCCACCTGCCTCAGCCTCCCAAAGTGGTGGGATTACAGGCATGAGCCACAGTGCCCCGTCCCCTCCAGCTTCTTAATACACAGGTAGAATAAACATACCCTAACACTGACTGAATTCCCACCTGGGCTCACTGAAATAAGCTCACACATAGGCTATGAAATAGCATTTCATAGGTGTGGGACATAATCGAGAAGGAAAAATACCAGGTCAGAACCCTAGAAACTTCCCCTCTGTTTCATAATAGCAAATCATGTGCAACAATACAACCCTGGAAAAAGTAAGACATTAATATCACCATTAAAACCCTGAAAGATGCAGTGGTCTTAATTACTATCACATTTTTCTTTAGCTTACCTGTTTGGCCTTCAAAGAAGATTAATGGACCATAGAGAGTGACTTTGAATTATAGATTGAATCATATAATAACTTCAGTCTTACAGAGGTAAAAAATTAAGGCTCAAAAAGGATTGGATCCATAGTTAGTGAATAAGGTGGTAAGGATTGAAGCCACATCTGTCAAATGACGAAACAGGTTTCCAGTCAGTATAATTTGTCTGAATCTCACTGGTAGATGCCAGGAAATCTACACAAAAATTCTATCTTGTTAAATGTCATGTTTAAGACCTGGTAAAACTAGAATGACAGAATTATTTCTCTCTCCTCTCTCTCTCACAAACACACACTCCCAAACCCACACACACTCAAACCATTTTTCTATGACTCAGTTGAAATCTACTCTTTATTATGTTTTCCCACCATCACAACCCACTGAAATCATGTGGTCCATATTTTGTGTAATGTTTATTTCCTGCTTAAACACATATATTTTGTAGCATCTTTTTCATTGTTATTTAACTTCTCTTATTATTTGGTTTCTCATGCTTTGTTTTTTTTACTTAGTCTGTGATTACAGTGTATAGTCTTTGGATGTTATGAACCTCAAGGGGAGATAAGGAGCATATGGAAAGAAGGCAGAGATCTAAGATATCACAGACTTAAATTTGCATCTTGGCTTGTTGTTAATTAGCTAAGTTGCTAAGCCTCTAAGACCCGGCTTCATTGTCTGTAAAATGGTGTTATTAATAAATCCTCTCAGGTTCAGGCTGGAGATGTACATGACATTGTAAGCGAAAGTGCCTCACATATAGAATATATTTCTTAATTTTTGATTCTTCTCCGGTTCTTCTATTCTGTGTATCTGCTCTTTATCCTTTAGCACTCAAAAGCAGTCGTTTTAAAATGTGGAATAATAAAGCTCAAAGAGATGCAGAGACTTATCTAAGGCTAGGTAATGGTGCAGGAAAACAAGAATACAGGTAACCTGGCACTCAGCATCACTTTAGAGTGGAATTTCAAAGGGCAATCACTTTCCAAGTAAGGGAACAGAATCACGTCAAGGATTAGGAGGATTCTTTGAAGAGCAAGCATCCTTCAAGGTATACCAGAATTACTGCCCACAAGAGAAATGGAGCACAGGATAGAGTTGTCCTTGAGTCGTGCAAAACAGGAAATATGAATCTTCATGGTCCAGGTGAACAACAACCTTCTTACCTCCTACACTCAAAGAACTTGAGCACCAGGTTCCCACAGGGCTTTTCTAAGAGTGTGCCATAACTGTTGAGTCTTGAACAACCTCTCTCAATAGCAGACTGTAGTTTTCTCTTTACCTGTCTATCATCATGCAACTATAAGCTTCCTGAGAACCAGTTGTGCATCGTTCATCTCTATTTTGCCAGCACTTAAAGCAGTGCTTGGCACAAATGTGGCATTCAGTGAATAACTGCTGAATGAATTAGTGATCCTAAGTTTAGAGATCACATCAAACATCGTTTTCCTTTTATGAGTTACTTCATATTCTTAAAGGGACATCAGAAGAAGAAAAGCTCTCAAAGTGAAAACATAAAGTCATTATTTGCTAAGTGTTCATTTTCAGGAGAACTTATGGGAGGAAGAAGCCGTAGGGGTTGGCAAACCATGGCCTGTGTTCTAAACTCTGCTAACAGTTGTGTAAGTAAAGTTGTGTTGAAACACAGCTATGCTTATTTGTGTGTTGTTCATGGCTATTCTTGTACAACAGCAGAATTGAAGAGCTAAAATCTGGCCACCTATTCATTTGGCCAAGAAAGCTGAAAATACTTGCTACCTGGCCTTTTACAGAAAAAGTTTGCTAAATCCTGTTTTAGATCATGCAAACTGCTTTCACATATTTTTATCTCATGTAAGGTATTAAAATCCCTGCATTGCCTTTTGAGGTAACTATAGAATACAATTCTGAATATTATATATAGAATTCTATATATTCAGAAACTGCCTCTGAAAATTGTGACTGGAACATAAGAGATTCTAAATAAATATTTCAGAAAGAATAAAATTTCTGGGTACTGTTAATAAATTGAGAGACAATGTATTCTGGTCTGATATGAATAATTGATTCAGACTAAAAGGATAATAACATTCTGTTAAATCTCAGTTCCATGTTTTGAGAATAAATGTTATATAGTAATGGACAGTGTCTTTCCCACTCACTCCCATGTACATTCATGCCAGGAGGGCTTTGGCTTGTTCTTCCTTCACATACACCATCCCTCCTTCTTTGTATCACACAGCACTGAGGACGCTTATACTTTCACCCTCTCTCTACTCAACACAGAAACATGGAGGTATGAAAGGATTCAGGTGTATGTTTTTTTCTGTGGTTGTTTATCCCCTTTCTGTTAATTTGTGCAATAAAGCTGACTCTTCTTTGCATCTTATTGCAACATTAATACTGGATTGATTCACAACACTAGCTGACCCCAAATATAAGATGAGCTAGTGTTAACCCAGTGTTGGACTTCCCATTTCCCCATAATCTATTACTTGAACACACATTTTCGTGTTTCTTTTCACAAATACCCCCAGATAATTAGTTTTTCAGGATAATTGTCTTTGTCAGTATAATCCCATCTTCTGGCATTCCTGAGAATATCACTACTGCAAAAGAGGAGACGTAGTTTGCTCCATCTTCTAGCTAGGACTCCTACAACAGGCATTTGAAAGAGATGCTTATGAAAATGGATAACAATAATATGTATTACCTGTGGGCTCATAAATGTGTATAAATGTTAAGAAAAACACATGACTCGTTATAAGTCACAGTAGTGGATGCCTCTGAGAAAGAAAGGAGCACACATGGACCAGATTACGAGTAAAAGGGAAGGGAGCTTGAGCTTAATCTGTAATGGTCTAAGTAATTTTTTTTTGAGATGGAGTCTCACTCTGTCACCCAGTCTGGAGTGCAGTGGCATGATCTTGGCTCACTGCAACCTCCACTTCCCAGGTTCAAGCAATTATCCCGCCTCAGTCTCTTGAGTAGCTGGGATTACAGGTGCCCGCCACCACTCTCGTCTAATTTTTGTATTTTCAGTAGAGACAGGGTTTCATCATGTGGGCTGGTCTTGAACTACTGACCTCAGGTGATCTGCCCTCCTCAGCCTCCCAAAGTGCTTGGATTACAGGCATGAGCCACTGCGTCTGGTTGGTCTAAGTATTTTTTTAAAAAAAGATTTTATATATGGCTCGTGTAACTGACAGGTAGTCTTCTTTTCCAAAGAATTCTTATTAACCATAAGCAACATATAGTAAAAGTTTAATCAGGTACATAGGAGTCAGATGAGGTTATTTTCCCTATGCCACCAAATTCCAAACTTTCAGCTGTCCTATACCCCACTCTTCATGACAGAAATGTGTGTATGTGTTGGGAGAGTTAGGATGTCTTCCAGAGCTGTTCATCTCTGAACTCTGTCACATGATTGTGACCTCATGCTCTAACCCATCTATGATTCTGTGCTTTTGTAGGTTTTCTCTCTCCCAAATTTTATGCAGACTCCTTTATATGAAAAATTAGAAAATGTGCAGAACACCATGCCTACTCCTATGACAGAGCCTGCAGAGCAGATATCTTAGGACCCCATAGCATATCTCTTCAGCATCTGTCTGATCTAATCAACAGTTGTGGTAGATGGTTTTATATGAGTGACTTCATGATGACAAATCCCATCTCAAATGTGTGCTATGCATCTATTTCTGTCTCTCCAATTAGTCTTCCCCAATTTGTCTGGAACCCTCTTTGATTAACATACAAGCTCAGCCCAGATGTGTGGGACAGTTAACGTCCCTGGGATTGTTGTAGATAAATGCTCCAGCATGCAGTCATTCTGGTGGACAGTTCTAAGAGGAATACTGAATATTTTTTCTGGTAGAATGGAATGTTGACATTGTAGTCACTAAAGTAATAAATGGGAACCTGGGAAGGGAACATATACACAAACAGCTCTGAGCAGCTTAAGCATGACTGTCTTCTGTAGGCCATATTTGTTGGTAGGAGATGATTCTATGAAAAGGGGCTTCCTAAAGTCAATAGGGATAGAATTCCAGAAAGGCACATGCCAGGTGGAAGCATTTAACCACCAGAAGCAGGGTAAATGCAATTACTTTAATGAACAACTGGCATGATAATCCAGGAGCCTCAACTACAGGGATAGTTGGAAATGCCTATTAAACAAAGGGTTGCTAGAGACAAGAGAGATGGGCAGAATCAAGGTATTAACTGTCAATTGAGGTGCTGTTTGATGTATATATTCAATAAGATTAAGAACACATGAGTGGGAGACTAAGGTCAGCACCATAATAGAAAATCACAGTCTTTTACCTAATTTGTAAACAGATTAAGTTCTTAGTTCCAGGAGCAGGGTCCGATTGAGGAGGAACCTCAGTGCAAGTATACTGTATATAATATTCCCTGATTCTTCCCCAAAGGGACTTGGGTCCACTTACTAGATAATTCACCTGCTAAATTGTATAGTAGGGTACACAAATGAATAGGAGGTATTGAGCTGACACTGATACCCAGGGACCTAAATACCATCACATTTCCAATTGCAGCAACCATGGCTTAATAAAAATAAGGTTAGGCCAGGCGCGGTGGCTCACGCCTGTAATCCCAGCACTCTGGGAGGCCGAGGCAGGCAGATCACCTGAGGTCAGGAGTTCAAGACCAGCCTTAACATGGAGAAACCCCGTCTCTTCTAAAAATACAAAATTAGCCGGGTGTGGTGGTGCATGCCTGTAATCCCAGCTACTCAGGAGGCTGAGTCAGGAGAATTGCTTGAACCTAGGAGGGGGAGGTTGTGGTGAGCCAAGATCGCACCATTGCACTCCAGCCTGGGCAACAAGAGCGAAACTCCATCTCAAAAAAATAAAAATTAAAATTAAAAAAAGGTTATCAGAGTCCATATCTTTCTTGGATGAAGATTTCAGTCATACACTGGGCAGTGGAAGAAGGAGGTAACAAATGCCAGTTGTGGACTAGAGAAAAGGTGCAGCAATGGAAATTAAAGTTTATCATTAGGTTAAATCTTTCATAGATATTTTGGCTAAATATCATCTTGAGTTGGTGATGGAGTATATCTAAGAGTAACAAGTTTATGAGAGTAGTGCAAGGAGTGGCCTGTAGCAAAAGCTGTCTTTCTCATCTTCAAGTCCTCTTGGCCTACTTTTGATTTAGCCACAACTCTGTAGCTCTTTATGACCTCATATTCCCTTTGTGCTGAGAGTCCTTCTACAAGCACATGCAGCTTCTCCTGATCCAAGGCCTTCCCTGATGCCATGTGAGATAAAATGATTGAGGTAAGGATGCTTTACAGGGAGATTCAGCAGAACTGAGTTTCCCACCAGTACGAGTGACAATGAGAAAGCATCTTATGTTGGAGTTTTCTCTTTCCCTGACTCTATCTTGACATTCCTGAGCCCTCACTCCTACTTCTTGGGATCACCATTCAAATAAATAATCTTCATCCAAATTCTTGTTTCAGGCTCTGTTTTCACAGCAATTTAAACTAAGACAGCTTCTGTTCCAAAACATTCAGTCTGTCGTTTCATGCCTCATACACTCAGTGCAAATACACTTCTCAACTGCATTTAATCTAGGAATCAGACCATCTTCAGTCCTTCAAATAATTAACTAGCTTTCTAGTTGAAATTTAGGCTTGACTTGGTAAAATTTATTTTGTACCCTGGTTCTTGCCTGATTTTGATTCCTGGCTCTGAATGTAATTTTTTTATGTATATATCTTATGGTGATAAGACAGTAAACTCAATTTAGATGTAAATATTCTTCCAAAATATTCTCATTCACTGAAGAGTTATAGTTAATTACTTTTAAATGACCATCATCGTTAAAACCCTCCCCAAATTTCTGAGGTTTTACTCACACTGTGAAGTGAATCCTTCCGTAAGTAACAGTGTAGATAATTTTACTAGTTACCTCAGTGAAAAACCATGAACAAGTTCAAAAACACAGATTGAAGCTTTCCAGTGCCCCAGGAGGGTTCTAATTTCATAGGTATGAGTTTAAACTAGAAATGGGAAGTGGTTTTTGTTAAAGAGAGCATAATACCTGAAACATCTGGCACTGCTAAGAGCATCAGTAGCACTGGTATTTTAATTTTTAATTGTGGTAAGATAGACATAAAATGTACTATCTTAACAATTTTCTAATTTACCATTTAGTGCTGTTAATTATACTCACTGTTGTGCAACCATCACTGCCGTCTATCTCCAGGACTCTTTTTATGTTGTAAAACTGAAACTCTGTATCCATTAAAAGAGTGGTCCCCAATCTTTTTGGTACCAGGAACTGGTTTCATGTAAGACAATTTTTCCATGGATAGGATGGTGGGGGATGGTTTCGGGATAATTCAAGCACATTACATTTAATGTGCACTTTATTATTATTACATACTTACCATAATGTAGAGTCAGTGGGAGTCCTGAGCTTGTTTTCCTGTAACTAAATGGTCCCATCTGGGGATGATGGGAGATAGTGACACACTATCAGGCATTGGGTTCTTATAAGGAGCATGCAGCCTAAATCCCTCGCATGTGCAGTTTACAGTAGGGTTCCTGTTCCTGTAAGAATCTAATGCCCCTGCTGATCTGACAAGAGGTGGAACTTAGGCAGTAATGCTTGCTCACCACCTGCTGTGTGGCCTGGTTTCTAACAGGCCATTGACCAGTACAGGGGGCGGGGAAGAGGAGAGGGAGTTGAGGACTCCTGCTCTATCTCCTCAGAATCATTGTTCTACTTTCTGTCTCTATGAATTTAACTAGTCTCGGGTACATTATACCAGTAGAATCATATAGTATTTGTCATTTTGTGACTGATTTATTTCACCTAACATAATTTTCTCAAGGTTTATCCATGCTATAGCATGGGTCAGATTTCTTTCTGTTTTTTTAACTTTTAGTTTAAGTGCTGGGGTACAACTGCAGGTTTGTTGTATATGGTAAGCTTGTGTCCTGGGGGTTTGTTGTACAGATTATTTCATCATCCAGGTATTAAGCCTAGTACCCATAAGTTATTTTTCCTAATCCTCTCCCTCCTCCTACCCTCTATTCTCCATGGTTTTCTGTTCCTGCATTAGTTTGCTAAGGATAATGGCCTCCAGCTCCATCGGTGTCCCTGTAAAGGAAATGATCTCATTCTTTCTTATGGCTTCATGGTATTCCATGGTATATACATACCACATTTTATTTATCCAATCTATCACTGATGGGCATTTAGGTTGATTCCATGTCTTTGCCATTGTGACTTTATTCCTTTTCAAGACTGAATAATGCATTACATATATGTACCACATTTTGTTTCTCCATTCATCTATCAGCAGTCATTTTGAATGCTTTCACCTTTCAGCAGTTGTAAAGCTGCTATGAATATGGGTTTACAAACATTTCTTTTGAGAATCTACTTTTAATTTTTTTGTGTATTTTCCATAGCAGCTGCACCATTTTGCATTCTCACCAACAGTGCAAAAGGGTGCCAATTTCTCCACATCTTTGCCAACACTTTTTATTTTCTATTTTGCTTTTTTGGTTTTATTTTGCTTTTTCTTTCTTTTTATGGTAACCATCCTAAAGGATGTAAAGTGGTATCTTATTGTGGTTTTGATTTACATTTCCCTAATGATTAGTATTGTTTAACATCTTTTCACATGCTTATTGGCCATTTGTATATTCTCTTTGGAGAAATGTCTATTCTAGTCCATTACCAATTTTTTTTAAAATTGAGTGTTTTTTTGTTGTTGTTAAGTTGTAGAAGTCCTTTATATATTAAGAGGATATTAATTCCTTTTCAGACTATATGATTTGCAAATATTTTCTACCATTTCATGTTTGTTTGTTTGTTTTGCTTTGTTTCATTGTGTTTTTAGTGACAGGGTTTTGGTCTGTCTCCCAGGCTGGAATGCAGTGACATAATCATAGCTCACTGTAACCTCAAACTCCTGGGTTGAAGCAATCCTCCCACCTCAGTCTCCCAAGTAGCTGGGACTACAGGTACCTACCACCATACCTAGCTAGTTTTAAAAATTTTTGTACAGATGAGGACTCACTGTGTTGCTCAGGCAGGTCTCGTACTCCTGGCTTCAAGTGATTCTCCTGCTTCAGCCTCCTAAGGCTGGGATTACAAGCATGAGCCACTGCACCTAGTCCATGGGTTGACTTTTTACTATCTGTTGATAGTGTCCTTTGGTGTACAAAAGTTTTTTAGTGTTTAGTTAATGTGTGTATATATATATGTGTGTGTGTGTGTGTGTAGATATATACTGTATATTATATTTATTAATTTCCTATCAGATACTTGATTTGCAAATATTTTATTTCTTTCCATATGTTGCCTTTCTACTCTGTTGATTATGCCTTTGATACATACTTTTAGCATTTTGACATATCCAATTTATTTATTTTTGATTCTTGCGCTTTTGGTGTCATGTCCAAGAAATCATTGCCAAATCCAATGTTATAAAGCTTTTGGTTGTTTTCTTCTAAGGGTTTTATAGTTTTATGTATTATATGTAGGTGTTTCTTTCATTTTGACTTAATTTTTGTAAATGCTGTAAGGTTTAAATTTATTTTTATACATATAAATAGCCAGTTTTTCCAGAGCTATTTGTTGAAAAGACTATACTTTCTTCATTAAATGCTCTTGGCACTCTTGTCAAAATCATTTGATGATATTTGTGAGGGTTTGTTTCTGGGCTCTCTATGCTATTCAACTGGTCTCTATGTCTGTCTTTATGCCAGTACTACACTGTTTTGATTACTGTAGCTTTATATTGTACCAGTATTATATCTGTCTTTATGCCAGTACTACATTGTTTTGACTACTGCAGCTTTACATTTTGAAACCAGAAAGTGTGAAGCCTGAAACTTTGTTTTTGTTTTAGGATTGCTTTGGCTATTTGGGGTATATTGAAATTCCTTATGAATTTTAGAATGAATTTTTGTATTTTGGCAAAATACACTGTTGGGATTTTGGCATGGATTGTTCTGTAGATCTATTGAGACCTTAATATTAAATCTTCTTATTTGTGTGCTTGGGATATCTTTTCACTTATTTGTGTTTTCCTAATTTATTTCTGCAACATTTTGAATTTTCAGTGTGCAAGTCTTTCACTTCCTTGGTTAAGTTTATTTCTAAGTATTCTTTCTGATGCTCCTCTAAATTGTTTATTGTTAGTGTCTAGAAACAACTGACTTTTGTATGTTGATCTTGTGTTCTGTAACTTTCCTACATTTGTTTATTGGTTCTAACAGTTTGTGAAATCTTTAGAATTTTCTATTATATTGTCTGCAGTTAATTTTACTTCTTTCTTTTCAATTAGAATTTTCTTCTTTTATTTCTTAATTGCTTTGGCTAGAATATCTAGTACAGTGTTGAAAAGAAATGGTGAGAGTGAGTGCCCTTGTCTTGTTATTAATCTCAGATGAAAAGTCTTGTCTTTGACCATTAACTATAATGTCAGCTATGGGATGTTCATATATGATATTTATTATTTTGATGTAATTTCCTTCTATTTATAGTTTGCTCAAAATGTTTTTGATTATAAAAAGGTGTTGAATTTTGTCAAATACTTTTATTCATGAATTCAGATCATCATGTGATGTTTTCTTCATTCTGTTAATGTTGTATTTACATTGCTTGATTTTAAGATGTTGAACCATCCTTGCATTCCAGCAAAAAATTACACTTGGCCATGGTGTGTAATCCTGTTAATGTGCTATTGTATTCTGTTTCCTGGTATTTTACTAAGGATTTTTGAATTAGTACTTACCACGGATATTAGTCTATAGTTTTCTTATAGTATCTTTGGCTGGCTTGATTATCAGGGTAGTGATAGTCTAATTGAATTAGTTGGAATTTTAAACTTTTTGGAAGAGTTTGAGGAATATTAAAGTTAAGTCTTTATTAAATAAATGATTTGTAGAATTCACTAATGAAGACTTCTAGGACTTAGTCTTTTTCTGTTGTTGAGATTTTGATTACTGATTCAATCTCCTTACTAGTTTAAAATCTGCTCAGATTTCTTCGATATTCAGTGTTGTTAGTTTACGAGTTTCTGGAATTTATCAATTTCATCTAGGTTTCCAATTCATTGGTATATATTTGTTCAAAGCATATTTATGATTTTTTACTTCTGTAAAATTGATAGGAATATTTCCTTTCATTTATAATTTTAGTGATTTGAGTCATCTCCCTTTTTTCTTAGTCAATCTTGCCAGACATTTATACATTTTGTTGATTTTTTTTAAGAACCAACTTTGAATTTTGTTGATTTTTCTTTATTGTTTTTTCTATTACCTTTAATTGTTTATCTCTGTCTTAATTTTTATTTTCTTTTTCTGTATCAGTCAGGGTTCTCCAGACAGAATAAAGCCAATAGAAAGAAAGTAAAAGAGAGACAAAGAGAAAGAGAGAGAGAAAGAAAGAAAGAAAGAAAGACAGAAAGAAAGAAAGAAAGGAAGGAAGAAAGAAAAAGAAAGAAAGAAGAAAAAACAAAAGAAAACATTTATTATGAGAAATTATGAGCTATAAGTCTCATGATCTGCCATCTGCAAGCTGGAGACCCGGGACAGCCAGTTGTATAGTTCCAGCCCAAGTTTGTTATGGCTTGAGAACAAGGGAGTCAATGGTTTAAATCCCAGTCTGAGTCTGAAGGCCAAAGAACCAGGAGCACAAATGTATAAAGAAAAAATTAAATAACTTAGCTCAAGTAAAGAAGGTGAATGTGCTCTTCTGCCTTTGTGTTCCATTTGGTCTCTCAATGGATTCCATGATGTCCCCCAAATTTGGTGAGGACAATCTTTTTTATTTAGTCTATCAATTCAAATGCTAATCTCATCTGGACACACTCTCATAGACATTGGAAGAAATAATATTTTACCAGCTATCTGGACATCCTTTAGCCCATTAAAGTTAACACATAAAATTAACCTTTACATTTTCCTTCTGCTAGCTTTGGGTTTAGTTTTTAATTGTTTTCTGCCTCTTTGAGATAGAAATTCAGATTTTTGAGACTTTCTTCCTTTTTAATGTAAGCACCTGTGGCTATAATTTTCCCTTTTAGCACTGTTTTCACTTTATCCCATAAGTTTTGGTATATTTTGCTTTTATTGCCTTAAGATTTTTCTAATTTTTTGAAAATTTTTTTCCTTGACCCACTGTTTAAGAGTGTGTTGCTTAACTTCCATGTGGAATTTGTGGATTTTCCTGTGTTCCATTTGCTTTTGATTTCTAGTTTCAATCCATTATGATTGAAAAATATAATTTGTATAATTTTAACATTTAAAAGTTTATTAAGACTAACTTTGTGACCTAATATATGGTCTAACTTGGAAAACAACCCATGTGCACTTGAGAAAAGTATGTGATCTGCTATTGTTGGTGGGTTGTTCTGTATATGTCTGTTGGGTCCAATTGGTCTATAGTGTAGTTCAAGTCCTCTAACTCCTTATTACTCTTCAGTCTGGTTGTTCTGTCTATTCTTGAAGGTGTAGTATTGAAGTCTTATACTATTATTCTAGAATTATCTATTTCTTCCTTTAATTGGGTCAGTGTTTACTTCATATATTTAAGTGCTCTGGTGCTTGATGCATATATTTTTTATAAGTTGATACATAGTGTACATATTAGGTGCATAATGACTTTTGATACATACAATGCATAGTGATCAAATCAAGGTAATCAGCATATCCATCATTTCAAACACTTATATTTGTGTTGGGAACACAATATATAAGTTGAAGAGATTCTTCAAACTTTGAAAATATATAATAAATTATTATTGACCATAGTCACTCTACAGTGCTGTAAAACACTAGAACTTATTTCTTCTATCTAGCTGTAATTTTGTATCCTTTAACCAATCCTTCCTTATTCTCCTTCTTTCCTACCTACCGTTACTAGCCTCTAGTAACCACTATTCTACTCTCAACTTCTATGAGGTCATCTCTTTTAGCTTTTGCATGTGAGTGAGAACAAGTGCACTTGTTCTTATTATGATGACATTTTCTTGGTGCAGGGACACTTTTATTATATAGAGCCCTTATTTATCTTTTGTAACAGTTTTGACTTAAAGTCCATTTTGTCAGATATTCATATAGCCACCTCTGTTCCCTTTCGGTTACTATTTTTATGGAATATCTTTCTTATTATTTCACTTTCAATCTAATGCAGTTCTTAAATCCAAAGTGAGTCTCTTGTAGACACATATACTTGAACATTTGAAAAAACAGCTACCTATGCCAATTTTGTGGATTGGCTCATCCAAGGGAAGACATTCACTCATCAGCATGGTGTGAAATCTTATGCCTTTTCAGGTCATTTCTAAACATATGTATTTACTGAGCCTCTGTGTGTTCTTCTTCCTTCTCCCAAGTCCCGGTATACACAGCTGCTTTTATATATCCTATTTTCCTTAAGAGCCTTACTTCTGATTCTTTTCAGGACCTTAAGTCTTCTATTGTATTCCTCGGCCTCTACTCTGTTGCCTCCAGGACCCCATAGGTCTTGAATTCCCCAAAGCTTTAATGTGTTGTTGTGCCTATTGCGGCTTTCAGTGGCCTGAAACCTGATTTTCAAACTATATCATCATTCCCAATTACTCTCTGAGTTAGGGGAGAAAGAAACTATTCCTCTAGGAAGCCACAAAACAAGGGAGAAGTTCTACTCTTTTTCTTCCATTGTAAAGGAGGAACTCATGATAGAGACAGGAGACAGCCAAGGGTCCCTGGAGAAACCCTGATTTCAAGCCTAAAACAGCCTGAAAGCTGAAAACACTGGACTGCTGGTTGTGGATGACACCCACACTTTCTCAACTAATTCTTTCTGAATAATGCCCACCTGCACACTGGGAGGATGGGGTGGAGCCTCGGAATTCGTGCCCTTTGCATGGGGGAGGAGCGTGGCCTTGCCTGTTACTATGTGACCTGGGATTCAATCAGTGAGGCAGGAAACCTGCTAGCAGGACTCTCTCTGGCTTTGCTGAGTTGCTCTTGCCTTTTTTTTCACCCAGTGCACTCTGCCCTACTCACCCTACAATGTGTCCATGTGCCTAAATTTTCCTGGTCGTGTGACAAGAACCTGGTCTCTTCTATAACACGAGGAATTGAGTGGCTTCCCTCCTGAACATGCCAGGGAGGGGTGGGGGCACAAGTGAGCAGAAATGACCCCAAATTTCCTACCATGTTGAGTGTGGCTTTCTCTTGATGGACATTATCTTGGTTGCTGCAAATCCTTAACTGTTTCTAAAGTTTCCATAAAGCTATTGTGGTTAATATGTTGTTTACTTTGTGTTTCCATGAAGGAACAAGGACCTGGAGCTTCCTAGTCCACCATCTTTCTGATATTACTCCACTACTCTAGTATATTTTTACTGACATTTTTCTATAATTTTTTTTCCCTCTCATTACCTCTAAATGATGCCACAATCTTCAAGAGTAAGCACTGGCCTTTTTAATTGGATTAATGTGTGATGACACAGCAATAAAAGTCAAATCACTTATGACCTATGACCAGCACATTTAGGAGTTATAATTTATCAATTTGAATGACAATATTTTGGTATGCTTATTTAGCTTAGGTATTCTGCTATACACCTTATTTTATAGATCTTTATGCCTCGAGTGAATAAAAGGTGTCCTATACATAACTAATGCCCCAAAATTGATGACCATCATGATGGCATTTGTATAGTCTATTTCCCCATGAGCCCAAATCATAACCAATTGCTTACAGGGTTGACTTCTAAGAATCAAGTTGACTTCATGGTTTTCAATACTTAATGGAAAAAAAACTATAAATCTTCTGTAGATCTCTTATGATTTCCTGGATACTTTGTGTCCTTAGAAGAATATAACAGTTTTGGCTTCCAAAACATCCATCTTAGAATAGCGGGCATAGGAGACAGATTTATTTAGTTTCCTCCCATCAGGAGGATCCATCCTGCTGCAGCCAAAAATGCTTCTTTAGAAAATACCCACAAGTATTTGCTTAGGATTCTATGTTCCTCAAATATACCCTTCCAGCTCATCTTAAAATATCACTTTTTAATTATTCCTATTTTCTATTCTTTAATCTCCTTGAAGAAAGCATATACTGTAATAATTCTTTCCCCATATATAGTTATTCAAGAAGTCACTGGAAGTCATTCTGACGTTTCTATCATATATGCCTCTTCTAACTCTCAGCCCCTTTCAGCTCTCATCTCCCCACACATCATTAATTTCAGTGTCATCATCCCACTTAAAAACTCCACCTTTCCTATTGGGTAATGGTCACCCTCCTTTATGACCTCCATAGTTTAGTTTCAAACTACATCTCATCTCCACATTTATACCCCTTAATCCCCTTGATAAATCCTGTGTTCCCTCTGACTACACTTGTCTTCACATATTTAAAGTAAGCTGTTCTTCCTTGAATGTCCAACCATCACCCCTCTTGCCAAATTTGCTGATTTATAATTTTCATTCATTCAGAATGTATTTATTTTCTCATTTCCAAGTCCTGCTTCTTGCATTATTCTTACCCAGCTACTTTAGTCTTCAATGGGTTTGACTTCACTAGCACCACACAGTAATTTCTCTACCATATTCATTTGGTACTTTTGAGTACGATTTCTTGGCACATTTTTTTTGTCTATGTAATATGTTCTCAATTAGACTGTATTTTTCTTGAGGACAAGAAATTTACCAACTTCTTTATTGCTTTAATGGTTTCAACTAAGTGTCTATATTTATCTTTCTGAATAGTTACTGTTTTCCTTGATCACAAAAGCAATGATGGAAAGGATAGTGATGATGCTTACTCAGTAAGCACTGAAATCAACACACACACACACATAAACACTGTTCATAAGCGTGCATTGAAACATTTAATGTTTTATAGGTCAAAGTCAAGGGCATTCTCTATATATTCCTCTGATACCTACTGGCAATTTTTCAGGATTTGCCAAGAAACTTTTAAAATTCAAAAGCTTCTTGGCTGGTCTGCAAAATATTTGACCCAATAAATAATAATGTATGAATCCAGAAAGTTAATTATGCTAATTACATTTCCTTGGGGACTTCTGAATGGCATTGTGTTGACTCTTTCTTTCTATAGGATCATCATCACTAGGTTGATGTACTTTTCTTTCCTGTCTTTAACCCCTTAATATTTCTATTATTTCCCTAGATCCTGTGAAGAAGGGGAGGCTAAAGAGATCTTTCCATTTCTCTAAGCATCTGTTAGGGAGGAGAAAAACAGAATGAGTGGCTCTTGTCAGGAAAAACTTCTCAAAAGGGTATTTTTATTGCTGTTTGGGAGAAACTCAGATTCCTTAGATCAAAAATATGCTGCCAAGAACAAGCTGTCTTTCTTTGTTCAGGTCATTGGGCAAAAATGGCATGCTGGTTTCTTGTTATGTCATGGTTATGTGCTAACAGAAAAGTCACCCATACATTTAACTAGTGGTGCGCTCAGCCTAGAACCTGGCTCAGTTAAGGCCTTCCTTAAATATCTGTGAGTGTGTGTCAGTGGCACCCTCTGAATGTTTATGCAAATTAATGAAGCAGGCTAGTTATCTGTGATCTAATGATTAGTGTTGAAAATCAGTGTACGGCTTCCGTGGTGTCTCCTCTACTGAAATGTTCTCAGTCTTGGTGGTGTTATTTTCCAGTAGTAGTAAGCAGGGGTTTGAGAAGAATCATTTCTAAATAAGATTTTAGATTAAGCTTTTTCTCCTTCCACAACTCCCTTATAGCTCCTTCCCTTTGGGATCTTGCACATAAGCTTAGGTGTTCATAACTCCCATTGTGTTATCATCACTTCTTTGCTAAGAAAGAAACATGCATATTTACTAGAAGCCTTTTGGAGACATGGTAATGTGATAACTTGTAGCAATCATTCCAATGAGAGGAGTTTGGAGAATTCAGGTGACTATTTGGGGACTTTTTCTCCATTTCTCAGTTCATAGTTGAAATACTATCACCACTTTTTAATAATGGGACAGAGGTCCTGTTTTTCCAACTTACTTAAAAGGAAAAAGTCTAAAATGAGTAAAATATTTTTAAATTAATTGGCTCTTCTATTACAAAGAAAGACTGTCATTTTCAATGCAGTATGAAAGTGAATGAAAACAAGTGGAAAAACAAACCACAAAATAAATATGTGAACTCTAAAAATGACAATTATTTGGATATCATCTATTTTATTACTAATCTCTAAAATTTTATTACTAATCTCTAAAAACCAAAACATAATGCATTTTTTTAATGAATTTTCAGGAAGATGATGCTCTAATCTTTATTAAGTACATACTTAAAAAATTAAAAAAGAAAACATACTTGAGATGTCAAGATTAAATGTGTTTATTTTGAGTTAGTTAGTGAATACAATGGTATATTAGATACCAGCACTCCAAGCTACACCTATGTATTTGCCTCTAACTTTCACACGTTGTCAGTTTCCTTCCCTCTAATATTCCACCACTGGGCCTTCTATTTCTAGCAAAATCATGGTTCAAATTAAAAAGAAAAAAAAATGAAAGCAAGATTGGTCACCGTATTGTGCTTCCAGTGCCCCCAGAAGGATTTTAATTGTCTCAAATAGATGTTTATTGTTTTCATTAAAGGGGGGAAAAAAACATGATCACTAGTAATGGCACAACTAGAAGAGGAAACAGAATGCAGATTAAAAGAAGCATTTTAGGCTGGACTAGTTAATTTCCCCTCAGTTAAAAATCGACATAATATCACGGATATAGACTTCAAGGTTAAATTGTTCAATTCATGGGCCACACACTTAAGCGTATTGGCTAGTACATTTTTGCACTGAAACAGAAGCAATACAAGTTTTATGTTCTACCATTACACTTCCAGATTTTTCACTTATGCATATACCTGCCAACCTAATGATTCTTGCATGCATTAGAGTTTGCTTTTGTAGAGTTAAGTTTATTTTCCCCATCCCTCCCACTCCCATAAATATTGCGCCAATGCGAACTCTGTGCCCAATTTTATGAGAATGTTGCAAAGGACAGCTCTGTGCCACCTTAGTACAGGAATGTCCTGTCTCCTTCCCAGGCTACAGATGGATCAGTAGTATTGATCTCATCTCATCTTACATGCAAACAGACACTGTTCCCTTAATTTCCCCATGCCAGAGGCATACGAGCTGGCAGGTATGCATACAAAAATGGAATTAAAAAGAAAAAGAAAGAAAGAAAAGAAAGAAAAAGCTTTCTTGTTAAAACCTATCGTCCTAGAAGGAATCCATTGCTTTGAATTCACTTAAAGCCTGTACAGGCGAAATGTGTTTCTTCTGAGAACCTCGTCGAACTCGTGTCTGGAATTCTTCAGGCTTTTCTCTCTTCACAAGGGGCTTCTTCTCTGGAGCCTTCATCTTCCAAGACACAACAGGTGAGTTGACAGCTGCTGTCCCATAGACCTTCTGGTATTTGGTTGAGGCCACATAGGATGCTTTCACCGTGAGGACAACAGCATTCATCAGGTTTTTAGCTGCCTGGATAAGCGATGTGGCACTGTCCAGCTAGAGTAGGAAAAGAATGAGATACATGTGGGTTAATGGAGGCCCCAAATTCACAAAATGGTGATGTACTTTCACGGTTAAAATAATGTTTTCCTTGTGCAAATAAATAGTATTGCTGAAAAGGAGCAAATTATCACAAGTTAAGGTTTTTAAAATCTCAATACAGCTAATGGCAAAGCCCTCATCTTAGCAGGTAGGAATTCCAAGGTAACAAAAGTTTTCCAAAGTAGAACATCTCATATTATTACATTAGGGTAATTAGCAATGGTGACATTTACTCAAATGTTGGACAAGCATTTGGCAGACACTAAAGAAAAAAAGTTATAAGGGGTTACCTCTCAATTTTATGGCCCAAGAAATGGAAGTATCTATCTATAGGCTATTTCTGTATCTTGAGCTCAGGGTTGGTGAGGATACAGTCATTTAGGCAGAAGAACAATCCATGGGTGTTCTTGCTTCTATGAGGTGTTAATTGAGCTTGGAGTATCAATTTAACTATTAACAGGTCCTCAGTATACCTCCTATATAAATACTGATACTTATGTCAGGATCTCATAGCATTCAGTGAGACCTTCTCATACATGCATTAATGAAATATTCAGTATTTACTATGTGCCAAATACTATTATGAGAAATTTGTATTTTCCCACTTAGCTCTTGTTAACAACTCTATAATATAGGCATTATCGTCATGCCCTTTTAGAATGAGAGAGCTGATACATGCAGAGGTCCAGTAACTAGCACAGGTTTTAGTCTTTAAAGATACTACTCATCTGTACTGTCACCTTGTTGGATAGGATGGCTTTTAAAAATGCCAAGACAAGTCACAACTTGAGAATAGGTTTAGAGGCCCATCACCAGACTTTTAGGCCAGGAATATTTTGGGTTACCTTTTTTCTGTCTTTAAGTAGTTAGTGTGGTATGTACTGTATACTAGATCATTCAATATCTTCTTCAACCTTCTTGCTTCACTGCCTGCATCACAGATGCTGGGGTTATGTCTCAATGTTATAGCCCAACCAATGGAAGTACCTATTTATCTATACACTATTTCTATATCCTGAGCTCAGGATTGGTGAGGCTCAAAAATGCATTTCCTAGACTCTCCATCAGCCAGGAGTCTACATGTGAGCTAGTGAAAGAAAAGAATTAACAGCTGAACTGCAAATATCATTCCAGCCTCAGGGATGTTTGAGCATAGTCTGATCTTTCATCAAACTTCTTGTAACATCAACTAATGAGATATATCAATTACAGTTAACTGAAGGAAGCAAAGATGTTCTTAAGTATGCTGTTCCTAGTTGGAGAGATTATTTGTTGTGTAGCCTGTAATTCATGAACTTCATGAACTGTAGCTGCATTAAGCCTTCTGGGGGCTAGGTGACTAAGAAAGTGTTTAAACTGAGAGACTGTAGATCTTATGGTTCTTCCATCTGACGTGACTGGCATTCACTTTAGCTTCGTATCATTTCTTATTAACAAAATATGTCCCACGCAGTATTGAGGTTATCAGAAGTTGTATCTAACACAACTGTGATACTGTTCCTTTGGCTGCTTTTTGTTCCATATCCCTTATTTAAGCTAAATTAATGTTGCGCTGTGTTTTTAAAAATGTCAATCAAATGAGCTCAATTTTTCCATCACCAGAAAAGCTTGTAGTCTGACCATTGGGGAAAACAATGGAAGATGTTTTATATAATTGCTTTGTGAATTAACTCAACCAAATGGATGGAGTAACCCACTTACTTGATCACTTCTATTATGCCATACAAAATGCACGTATACCAAAATCACTGCTGAACCCCATACTCTTTCGTTTATACAGCCCAAATTTCTAAAGATAGCTAAGGAAAAGCAAACTCTAGGTTATTCATGTTAACAGGAGAGAAGCCAAGCATGAATTAGTGGGGTGATTCTCAAAGCCTAGTCCCTGAGGTGCAACAGCATCAGCATCACCCGGGAATCTGTTAGAAATCGCATTTATCAGGCCCAATCCAAAACTTACTGAATCAAAACCTTGCAATCTTTGTTTTAACTAGCTAGCCATCCAGGAGGTTCTGATACTTGCCAAAGTTTGAGAACCACTGGATTAATGAAACCTAAAGACTGTCTTGATGGTTTACTTTATCCAGTGATTTCAGGACTTCCGTCATACACAAGTTTGGTAATATCATAGCCAGTTATCTCACATGAATTTTACTTTTTCGTCTTTCCCATCTTACCCCCAGGTAGAAGTGTAAATAATGAAGGACAGAGATGAGACAGCAAAATGTTGGGAACAATCAGGAACAGATAAGTCACAGTTTCTTTAGAAGCTAAATACCTAACACCTTTGGCCAATGCACAGTTCTCTGTAAGTCTGTCAGGTTTCAAAAATGAGTAATGTTAATTCATAAAATTAGTTAATTCTATCGCATGCTATGAGTAAATAAAGGGTAAAATATGACAGGGACGTTTCATTGATTTGCTTTGGGCAACAGAATTAGTAGAAATAGAACAAGATGATATTGCTCTTGTATTATTAAATGGTCCCCAAAGAGTGAGTCTTGGGAGAATTGAGCTGATCTGAAGAGAAGGGATTACAAGTAAATTTGGAGATTTTTACCACAGATTCCATTTTCAAATAGATGGTGTTTAATTCTGCAGCAAAAATATGAGAGCCTGTCTCTTCTTCAGAACCCCTTTGCCTTTCAAACCTGATGCAGGAATCCTGTAAATAAACCTAATACACTGTTTGAGAGTGAGATAGCTTTGAAATATAAAGCCAAGAATTTTATTCAAGCCACCTGCTAAGGCAGATCTTGAATTTGCAGCAAGGTAAAGTGAGGAGGTGAGAGATCCAGCCAACTGAACTGGAACAAATATTTCCACAAACAATAAGCCCAATTTAAAGTTAATACAAAATTTGACTTTTAAAAAAAGTTGAATTTCCAAAGGTTACATTTTGCCCTTTTCTGTAGATGCACTTTCATGATTTAGATCATTATCAGCACAATCACAATTCTTTCCAATTTAAAAATGGGTTTCTTTATGCCTTTCCAAGATGGTGCCAAAACTCTGTTTTCCAATTGGCAAGGTTGGCTAAAACTTCACTTCCTAAAGAAAAGATATTAGAATAAAGCTGCATGGCAACAGTTTTTAAATACCAAGTTTAGGAACATTTATTTAACATAGTTGCATTCTCTTTTGTGACTTATTGTAATGATGGCGTTTTCAACAAGATAGGTAAGTGAATACGTATAAGTTTTCATAATAATCAAAATTCAGTGAGCACTTACTAGACGCCTGACATTGAGTCCTTTTAATTGTGTGATTTAATTTTCAAAAATTCTCGAAGTAGGAATGATTATTACTCCCCATTTAATAAGTGAGGAAGTTGAAGCTTAGGGAGGTAACGTAAGTTGTTGTCCCTGCAGTCATTGGCAAAGTAGGGATTAGGACCACTACTATCTCTCTCCAAGGCCCACTCATCTGAACCCCACCATGGAGCAATGTTCCCCCGAAGCATCACTTGATCTCTCAGGTCTTGTTTTTTAGTTATTGCCTATCCAAAATGAACTCTTTTCTACTAATGAACAGGCTGGAAGCCTGTCCCCTAAACCTGGCAACATCCTTTTAACATCATGGCTATGTCTGATAAGTGCTTCATCTCTCACAATCTGTGATTCTTAGTCTCATCCTCATAGCCCAAATCCTTGCTGACTATAGCCTCTGGCCTCAGGTATGTTGCTGCCCAGAGCTCAGCCCTTCCTTGTTCTTCCTGGCCTTGAGTCACCCTTATGGAAATAAATAGACACTGGAAACTGATCTCTGCTAATTTGTCTTGGATTTGCTCCATTATTCTGAAGCACATTTATACTAGGCAGGGCTCAGCTACTCTTATTAGTCATCTAATCCTTTACCTGGTCCAGTCTTGCTAGTTTTAAAATGGCCTCAAAAATCAACCACCTCTCAGCCCTTCCTCAAGCTGACCTGAATTACAGTGACAGGCCTTTTCAGCAGAAAGACATATCCATCTTTTCCTGGTTAAGGGCCTTTTATATTCCTATAGGATATCCCATTAAGTTCCTGTATCTAACCTAAGAGAAACTGCTTATTTTCAGCTAGTTTAAAAACAAGGGCATACATTTAACAAATTAGACCATGTGCTGTTTTCTGAACTAGTTCCCTGAGTTTCGTTTATTTCATTCTATCTCACAACCAGCCCTGAGACAAGGCTTGACCAATTGAGACTTAGAAGCATATAGCTTGCCCATTATCACACTGCTAACATGTGGTGAAGCCAAGATGTAAACCCAGGCCATCTAACCACTGAGCCCATGATCTTACCATTCCTCCATGCTATTTCCCAGAGCCATCCAGAGCAGATGAATCCTCAGCCCTCAAAATCTACCAAGATCTGCTACACTCATTCTCCCTATTCCATCCCATAGGTATCTGCTGTCCCTAACCACAGGAAATTAGACTTCTGCTAATTATTATGATTCTCTTAAAACATCAAAATACTATGTTTAAAAGAAAACAGATGTTTCCTCCCATCTTGTGCTATTACAGTCCATGAAAAGCAAATAGGGGCAGGAGAGCTGTTTTATAGGCCTTTCTATAGGACATTGTCTTTTTTTCCCCTGCCTCTATTCCTACTCTTCTTAATACCACTCAACTTCTAAAAGATTTCTGTTCCCTATACTCTCCTCATTTTGTGTTTTGAATGGGCAGAAAGACTGGAGCAAAGACTTATCTGAATTGTGATTCTTCCATTTATCAATATTTGTGCAGCCTAATTCCTTATATCACCAAAGCTGAAGAACATCGTAATAAGTATTTGAAATGACTCTTGCTACAGCTTATGTTATCAACTGAATATTTCTGAAAGCCTATGTCCTTAGCTGCATGCTACTTCATTCAAACAGGACTTATGCTGCAACAGGTGTTCAGTTTCAACAGAAACAGAATTCGACTGCAGAAGTCAACCACATTCTTTCAAAGGAAAGTGCAACTACACCTCTTGAAATGTTGAATTATCACTGACTTTTTATCCTCCAGTCTATCCCTACATTTTTCCATCTACACATCATCCAAGTATTTCTTCAGACACCTACTGAATACTTTCTGCCAACTACTGTGCTTAAGTGTTGGGTATAGAAACACAAATAGACATAAGCACTGAAACACAAGAGCTCACAATACAATGAGAAAAATAGACACAAACTAAAGGTTTTAACACTGTATGACAGTGTTTTAGTAGGATGCGAGATGCTAAATGAACAAAAGGAATAGCAATTTACCTTGAGTCAAGTAGGGATAGGAGAAGGGAAACAGCTTCATTGTGGGCATGATATCTAAACACTCTTTAATAAGAGGTTGTTGGTGACTGAATGGTTAACAGTGACGAGGAAGGACAATTCTCAAATACCTAACTAGTCCAACTTAGTATACATCAATGCTCTCAACCTAGATTGCGGAAATATAAAGGATGTTGAAGTGCTACAATGCTGAGTATAACTTTGGACATACCGAGTTTGAGGTGTGTATGTTACATCTAGGTGATTTATCAGAGGTCCAGTTGTATTTATGGGAGTAAATATTAAAAAAATCATGTTTTGCTTATATTGATCTTCCCAATTGTTTCATGTAGGGTGATGTTCTGCATACTGTAGGTGTATAACATGTTTGATTTTGTCCTTTCATATTCCTTACTGTTTTTACAAAGATTAAATCCATACACAAAAGTTCAATAAATTTACCAAAAAATTTCTCAGAATAAGACCTTTAAAATCAATATTAATATCCTTTTAATAATCTAAGATATTTTTAATAATCTAAGATATAACGTCATCAACAAGTATTTTACTTGAATAGAAAATAACCTTCCTTGGTTAAGTAGGGAATAGTTAAGTAATTAGCAATCTTTTACCCTTCAGAATGGTGAACTTCCTGAGGTAAGATAGAAATAAAATAAATGCTATTTTGTAACAGCTTGCTTTAAAAACAAATAATAGTATTGTCAAAAGTGAAAAATAATATAAAACAAGTAGGGGACACATTGCAGATGACATGACATAGTAAATGTCTTAGAATGTTAACTTGTGGAGGCCGGGCATACGATTAAAGAAGAGAATTAGGATTTGACTGTGTGTTCTGAATTCATATATTTACAATATGCATGGAGAGAGAGATCAATTTTCACATTGTATGTCTTTTTTCAAAAAAGCTGATCATCTACTAACAAAAATTAATGACACATAAATGGCAGTTCATGAAAATCCAAATCACAAAGCAATCTGTCATTGGATTAAAAATAATGCAAATGTCATGGGACCGCTGGCTAAGCTAAATAGAATAAAATAAGCCAAATCCATCTGGAAGGTGATTTTGAAATAAAAGAACTGAGGTGTTTACTTTGATTACTTCAAATGGCTTAGAAATGCCTGGAAGAAGGAACCAGTTCCATTTGGGCCTTGCTATTTTATTTTCATTTTTGTAAGTCAGAGCCAATAACACTAATGAGTTTGATAATGCTAAAATATTTCCCTAAATATGTGTAAAGTCCACTTTAGCCTTTTGCAATATTTTAAAATGGGAATAGCATAGCTTTAACATATAAGAACAAGAACGATTTTAAGGGGGTTGTTCTAAACATGTTCAGACCTAGAGTAGGTTTTCAGGGTAGGAAATTTTGATGGGAGAATTGGCAATAAATTGAAAGCAAACACCTCAAGGAAACTGGAATCTTTCCACTGGAGCTGGTCATTTATTTATATTTAAACTGTTATCTCCCTCAAAGGAGTCACATATTGCTTGCAAGGAAAAAAAAATTTTGCTACAAGTCAGCTTTGCTGTTAATGAATTAGAGGTTAGAAACCCAGAGCATTGGAGCCTATTATCCTCCAAGAAGAACATTTCATGTTTTAAAAATCCATGAGGCTTTGAAGACCTATTTGATGTCCTTAGAAACTGTGACATGTTTGAAATATCTTGAAATACCTGCGTACATTTTCCAGAGTCTATATCAATAACACTTTTTAAAAACCTCTAGAAAGTCCAGGGTAATAAATAACTCAAGCAAACAAAGACATGGTGAAAAGGTTCAGCCTAATCACATCTTTTCCCACTTAAGTTATCTCAGAATGTTTATATGTTCACAGAAAGACATTTCCTTGATAGCAAGCTCTCATTTCTGTGTTGGAGTCTACTCACTCTTTCTCATCAAACAAATTCTCATCCATAGTGTCCATGGCAGGCATTATTAATCACTCAGGCACCTTGCTCCTTCAGAATCTGCTAAGTAGTGTGGGAAAGGAAACTTATTTACCTCCCAAGAGCAGACATTTTAACAGGGTTGTCCAAAAAAACTTGATTCTGTTTATGGCACAGATATATCATCCATTGTATCACGACTTCTGTATTTGAATTGTTTGATTTCTATTGTTTGTTAGCTATCAAATATTGTCTGATACTGACTTTTTTGTTTTTTTGTTTTTTTTTGAGATGTTATCTCGCTGTCACCCAGGCTGGAGTGCAGTGGCACAATCTCGGCTCACTGCAACCTCCGCCTACCGGGTTCAAGCGATTCTCCTACCTCAGCCTCCTGAGTAGCTGGGATTACAGATGTGTGCCACCACGCCTGGCTAATTTGTGTATTTTTAGTAGAGATGGGGGTTTCACCATGTTGGTCAGGCTGGTCTTGAACTCCTGACCTCATGATCTGCCCACCTCGACCTCCCAAAGTGCTGGAATTACAGGCGTGAGCCACCGCGCCCGGCCGACAAATATTTTTATCTAAAGGATGTTGCATTTATGCTTTTATTTCCACAGCTGATTTTACAGACATATTGTGCACTTTTTTGTACTAATACCATATTATGAGTTGCTAATTAATGAAATCATTAAGGAGAAGATTTAAGTATTAACAGAAATGCAAAACATTTTGGGGATGATTTTAAATCAGGTGATAAAAATTGGTTGCATATTTTAACAAGGAAGGATGGTGTTAGAGGTAAAAGTGACCATCACAGATATGTTGTATTTATTGTTAAAAACACAGACACACACACACACACACACACACACATCAAGGCTGGGCATGGTGGTTCATGCCTATAATCCCAGCATTTTAGGAGGCCGAGGTGGGCGGATCACTTGAGGTCAGGAGATCGAGACCAGTCTGGCCAACATGGTGAAACCCCATCTCTACCAAAAATACAAAAATTAGCCTGGCGTGGTGGCAGGTGCCTGTAATCCCAACTACTGGGGAGGCTGAGGCAGGAGAATCACTTGAACCCAGGAGGCGGAGGTTGTAGTGAGCTGAGATGGAGCCACTGCACTCCACCCTGGGTGACAGAAACAGACTGTGTCTCAAAACAAACAAAACCACATTAAAAGAGTTAATATTACAACACATACTGATCCCTGATAAGTGAAATTCTGTGCGATAACTCCTAAAGAGTTTCAAATTCCATTTGATAACAGGATCTTGTAAAGCAAATATTTTACAGCTCTAAGTAGTGGATCAATTACACAGAAAAGAGGACAAGAGGTCTGTTATCTTTTCTTCAGGGCTTCCTTAAGTAATGCCAGAGAACCAGCCAGTGCTGAAGGCCAGTTGTGAGGAAATCTGTATGGAATGGCTCAAGATTAAATTGGCAAAGACCTTGGCAGGAAGGCACTGCAGGCTGTCAGGCTAAGAAAAAATTCTCCACAGCCTTGCTGAGGAATTTACCACTTGGCTCTTTGGTAACTTTCTCAACTGGACATATTTTGTGTCTTCATTTTTAATTCATTTACATAGGTAGTAGTGCTTCATAGTCGGCCAGTCCACTGATTAACTGTCTTCATTTGCATTTTTTCAATTATGGGTAAGTAAACCTTGGGGACGCCCATGAAATCTTAATTATAGTCAACAAATTTCCTAAATATGGCTTAGAGCCATTTTTTTTCTCACCAATAAAGGTGAAACAGTTTTTGCTCAACCCGAAACAAGGCATTCTTTCTAACATGGAAATCTCAAAGATAAGTGGGAGTACTGACAGGTTGGCCCTTGGAAAGTTCGGAACAGGGCCACCTGTTTATCCAGGTAGTCCCCACCTTCTTTTCCTATACTTACTCTTTCCTTGCCTTCCTTTCAGCACCCTCGCTTATCCCAACCCTTCAGGATCTCCTGCCAGAGACCTCCTCTAAGTTATTGGTTTCCATGTAACAAAAAAATCATGAGGAATTATGCAACAAAGAGAAGAGCCAATGGGCTTTCAGGCACCCCCCCCATAATTGGGAAATATTCTTGGGCAGACAGTCCTTATGTCACATGAATACATAAGGCATTAACTGTTGATCTTGTCTCTGATTCTGTGCATCAGCATGTCTTGACCACCCAAGGTTTATGTCTCATAAATAATTATGCAAGGAGCTAAGCCTCCTTTTTGCCTTACCGATAGGAGAGCCAGCTAGCAGAGCATCACTACCTTTGATCCCTCTATTTCTACCCTTCTCCCTCCCTAGGTGATATCATCATGACCAGAAGACAAATGTAAGAGGAACAATTATCTAGGAACCCATGAGAAATATGTTTTCATAAAATGGATCAAAGTCACTAAATGACCCCACCCTTTCTGAACTGCCTAACCTTGTATGAACATGGTATCTGCTGCTAAGTACTGAAGGCCATTTAATAACTTGCAAAATGGCTCCTACCCTCCAGCATGCAATGCATAATCACTGAGAGAAAAGTAGACTAGAAGAGTCAAAGGCTGCGGTTTGGGTGCAGGTTGGTGGAGTACTATGCCTGGAAAATTAGCAAAATCTGAAGATCTGGAACGATCCTTCCTCATTCTTTCACTTCTCTTCTCATCTAAGCCCTAGGAGCTATGTTCTAATGTGGCATTATTCATATGTTGGGGGAAGTAAACACCCATGCAGCCTGTGATCCTCTCCTCATCAGGTGTATGGAAATAACTAGTCAAAGGCTCTGTTGCTACCGAGGTCCAGGATGAGGAGAGAGCAGAGAGATTCCGTTCCCAGTGAATGTTTGCTGCCTCTCCTTGGGACCCCAGCCCCTTTTGTTCCTGTGATCACCTCTTCCCCACCTCTTTCTTCCTCTCCTGTGCACTCTCTGTCACTGGTAATTCATTCTTACATGCATGTTTTCATCTCTCCTACTGAGGGAAACCTGGACTCTAGACTTAAAGCCTGAGTTCAAACCTTGACTGGATGGATCACTAACTACACGATCTTGAACAACCACTAAACTTACCTCTACCTCATAAAAGTTCTTTAAAATTAAAAATGAAAATAGCACTTTCTAGTATTATAAAGCATTAAATGAGATAATGCCACTGAAGTTGAGTGCCTGGCACATGGTAAGCCCTTAATACATCTCAGCTTTTATTATTATTATGACCCATCTTTCCTTAAATCACCAGGTGAGTCCAAACATGGTCTTAAAAAATTTATGTTTCTCTTTTCCTACATCTTCATCCTTCTTTTCCTTTCAAAGTTTCCCCCATTCAGCATTTTAGATTTTTTTAAACTCTCTTCTTACTGAAGCTACCACCATCTTGGCTTGGTCTCAGTGCCTGAATATTACAGTTTTAGGGATAAGGAATGGAGAAGTTCATGAGGGGAATAGGAAAATACCAACACTTATGTATCTTTTCTAGCACTACTGAATCCTTTAGATGGAATAAAGGGGTAGTCAAGACTGAGTGCAAGAAAACATAGGAATTTTATGTAAAAATGTGACACCTAAAATATCTAAGAACATTTAGGACTTGGTAAGGAATATTGATAATAGAGAGTCAAGGTGGCTCTACTAGAAGGTGTAGGAAAGGCAATCTAGCCTGGGAAGCTGATGTTTAAACATGTAATTTGGGAAGCATCAAAATAAATAGTCTATATAAAATATTTTATACGACCACTTCAAGGACCTTAAATTCCCCAAATTCCAGCTATTCATTTTGGTTAAGAATATCATTTATAAATATCTCATATTAAAAACCAAATGGTGTTACCTGGTAAAGGATGACACCACCTTACCTCATTCGATTCTCAGGTATACACTGTTAGACCCCAGCTGAGATCCCTCACTACCCCTAAAAGGGAGCCCCCTTCTTGTTTGGAAGTGCCTACCAAACACTGAAGGCCAAATCTCCCAAAGCTCTGTGTTTATCTCCTTCAAAACACAAACACTTGGGTTCCCTAGCACTGTTTCCTAAATCTTTAACTGTATTTTGCTACAAAGTGGGTTATAAATGCATAATTTTTAATCTTTTATTCGGTCTTAAACCACTGAAGCCAGCACCTGCCATCTCTAACTAAGACTGACCTTATCTCAGCATCTAAGTCTACCAATAAATTCCCAGTTTCGAATCTACATATTCTTTAGGATTACTTGAAAATCTCATCCAACTAGCTTTCCAGAACATAAGTACAACAATCTTGCTGCCTTTGGTCCTGCTCTGCACACATTTACTAACCAAATAAAGTAGCAAATGGCAGGTTATATGAAAAGACCTTCCAAAGAACAAATCCAAGGTTATTGAAAAGGACAGTGCCTGGGCTAATGGGTGTAAAAGCCAGGAAAAGGCAAGAAGATATATATCAAAAAAAAAAAAAAAAAAAGCAATGGGCATCCTTAAGACAACCCATACTTGTCAATACTCTAAGCCCTTTCTAGAACCAATAAAACAAGGATGATTAGTGTGTGACACATTTACTGCCATTTCTTCATTGGTATCCTTAACAGATATGCCCAATCAATCAGGTCCTTTTTTCCTACTGATCCTAGCCATGGTCTCAGCATTCTTCTCAACACATAGCTCAGTCAAACACTAGCAATTGATGAGAGTTAGCAATCATCATAAAACCATTTACCATATCCAGTGTGGGCCTTCTAACTAACAGAACTGCACAGGAGAGGGCTATGATTTGACTCATGTCACCTGTGCAATCATTGCTCCAATTAAGAGTATATTAATATCACTTCTACCTCTAATATAATTTCTCCTCACATAATTCATAACGAATGAGCTCTTAACTATAGCACAGAAAATTGAAGTAAAATGTTAGACACATATGTAGCTATATAAAATAATTCACTACATTAACCTAAAATTTCAACTCTTTTTTCATTACAGAAATTAGAATTAAGAGGAAATGCTATCATCATTTAAGGGCTCATAAGAGGTCTTTAGTATAATAGTTTAAAAATCAGTAATTTTAACTAAATTAGTTTTAAATTTGAGCAGTCGATCCATGGGTTTTTAATAATTGAACTTTTTCTGTCTTCTTTAAAATATTTTTTGAGTTGACACAGAATAATGCCCTCCAAATCATTTTCTTTTTTCCTGGTCACTGCTTTTTCCATTGTGAGCTGTAAATCCACCACTAACATTAACACACATTCAAATAATTTTCAAATGATTACTGTGTACACGATCACAGATGCAGGTAGGGGTTTCCTATTACTTTTAACAATGAGTTGTAACCATTCTATTATCTATCTTCCATCTAAATTATACTTCAGGTTCTTGCAAGAGTTATCTTCACAAAGACCACCTCTTGACATGAAGAGAATGATCTAAGCATCCGTAAGCCTTTTCTTGTAGACTGTTCCCAACCTTCCAGAGACAGTGAGAGCTCTATGATTAACTCCACCCTTGCCCCTAACCTGACCCTCGTGCATGCCTCTTCATCTCAGTTATTGGCAACACAGTTCTTCCCAATGCTTTGGTTAAACACCCAGAATCTTATGCTATACCTGTTTTCTCCAACTCAACATCTAATCTGCCATCATGTCCTGTCAGCAATATTTTCAAAACATATCTATTACTTGATCTCTTTTCATCTTCTTCACTCTTATCCACTTGGCCAACTTCTCAGAACCTCTTACTGGCTTGTTACAAAAGCTTCCCCTAACTAGTTTCCTTGCTTCCCACCCTTTACCCCGTTTATTCTCAAATGGAAGCGAGAACGATCCTGTTACATGAACTCAATATCACTTATCTTATCAACAACCTTGAGTGGCTTCCCAATCACAGACTGAGTTAAATCCAAATCTATCAAAATGGTCTTCACATGGGGCCCAATACTTCTGATTTTGCTCTCATTAACTCAATTCCTAAATACTGGTTTCTTGTTTACTGCTCAGAAAGACCAGTCATGTTTGCAATGTAAGGCCTTAGCGCTTACTATTTCTTCTGCCTAGAAAACTCTTCCCCACCTGAGATACCTGTAAGGCTTGCTCCCTCACATCCATCTGAACTTTATCCAAATATCAGCATCTTGGTGAAAACTACCCAAGCCATACTTTTCAAATTGCAGCTCCATTTCCATCCTCATGCCTTAATTTGCCATTCTTTCTCTATTTTAATATTCTTATATACTCATATTTTTATGTTTCTTGTTCACCACCTCCCATTATATCCCAAACATCTAAAACAGTGCCTAGCATATGAGTCCTCCATAAATATTTGCCGAGATGTTGAAGCATTGTAATTTTATGGGTGGGGAAATAGGACGTGAAAGGCTTGTCCAAAGACACAAAGCTAGGGCACAATGCCTAGTTCAGTATCCATTCTTACTACCTATTCATTCTTGCAAATACATGAGATTGTCAGGAGAGTAAAATTTGGAGAAATAAAAGAGAAAGTAAACTTCAGCCAAATTGCAATACGTATCTATGTCTTCTTCCTCTTACTGTACCTTGCATGTAAGCATTTCAAGATCAGTCTTTGCTCAAAAGACAGCCACAATTTAAAAACCATCTCCTCCATTAATAGCACCAGCATCTAAGAGGCACAGAATTATGTTTGCTAGGTATAGTGCTGGTGCCTTAATAAATTAATCTTCATAACATGTACAAGTTGAATACCATCATTGCTGCTTTATATATGAGAAAACCGAAATAGAGAAAAGTTAACTTTTTTTGGTCTACTTGAAGGCTCATAAAATTCATTTCTGGGTAGAACATGCAGTCTTCTTTGACCAGGCAGATCTACCATAGGCTTTTCCTGCCCTAAGTCTTTATTCCTGGCTATTGATGCCATTTATGTGGAGGGAAACATGCCTTATGATGTGTTTTAACTGTTCACAAGCGTGAGTCATGTGACGAAGCAGTCATGAGGTGAACTTCCTTAAGCCATAAGGGGAGAAAAGTTGTACAAACTCCCAATCTTGCCATCAGGATTCACCTGAGATATGAATTAGTCAAATTGCAGGGAACATCATCTTCCACTTTTTCATTTTCTTGCCAGCAGCCAAAAAAGCTGTCTACATGTTCACAGAAAACTTGATTAAATACAATTAAATACAACTTCTAATTCTCCTTATCCCTAAACGTTATATACCACTTATTTATCAAAAAATTTAAAAACTTTTAAAACATAATCTTTTAATGTGTCATGCAGCACACACCACGAAATGATGTGAGGCTGATAATATAATTTATAAGAACCTAATACATATTACCTGTTATCATCTATACCATCTGAAACATGCTATTCCCTGTATTTCTTGTTCAACCACTAGTCTACAGAGCACAGAGATACCAGCACCATCCTTACACTGCACAAAGCACAAGATAATACATTAGAGAAACTGGCTCTAAGTCTTGGCTGTCCCACTTACTGGCTGTGAAAGTTTGGACACTCTGTAATCTCTTTGAGTTTCTATTTATTTTTTCAACTGTAAAAGGGGGTTAATAACAATATACTTTTGTGAGTTATTCTGAGGTCCAAGTGAGAAAATAAAATACTTGTTAAATTTTAGAGAAGTCTGTGACTATAAAAGATTATTACATCACCTCTGGGTACCTTTGGGAAGTTCTTTTGGGATCTTCATTTTAATTTATTAGAACTCCTCGGTGCCTCAGTCCCAGGGTCTTGGCTCCACAGGAGAGGGTATTCCAACAGATGACCAGCATAGCATGAGGGCATGATAAGCCCTAGCAAAACAAGAGAAAAGTACTTCTAAAAGAAGTTTTCTTCTTCTACCTGAAGTACTCGTGGGGTAGCCTAGTTACGATCTTATTTTTTTCCAGTTACAGAGAATGGTCAGGAAATACAGTTTCCAAACTATAGAACACAGGAAACATGCTTGGGGCCCTCAAATTTGGCTTTGGAGTGCAGCACAAAAAGACAAAGAAATTCAACCAAAAACTGAAGGTAGACCATTCTTACAATAGGAGCTGTCAGCTCATTGATGAGCCTGTCCTTGGTGATTCCACCTTAAATCTGGTTGCCATTTATTCTGGAATCAAATCTTTAGTTACTTATTTACTGCATTGTCCTCCAAGACTGTGTGTGTGTGTGTGTGTTGGGGTGGGGGGGGTCATGTTGCCATAGCTAGATTTCTGAGTCTTTATGAATAAGTAGCTTCTTGCCCACCTTTACTGGTATGCTGGTATGTTCTCCACTAAGGCTAGAACCACATAAATCATGCTGGGATTCGCTGTACAAATGGAGATTATGGATGGTCTGTTCTGTGAAGGATTCTCTTATGTTTCCTTGGTGCAGGCTGCCCCTGAACATCAATTATTTATCAGTCAGGTGGTCTTATGCATCAATTTAATAATCAATAAAAGTTGATTAGTACTTCTCTATTGGTTAATATACTTTATTTTTTTTCCAGATTCAAAACATATTGACCCTCCCAACCAATTAGATCTCTCCTATATGCTACTATCACTTAATTCTCAACAACAACAACAACAAAAAGTACTACATCACTTTAGGCGCATCATTCTACAGATAGGAAACTGAGGCTTAGGGAGGAAGAACTTGCTAGCTAATAGACAATTACCAGGGATTCAAGCGCATGACCTGTATCCTCAGGTATAGTGCATTTATCAATATACCACAGTTCCAACTGCCTTTAAATAAAAGATGAAATAAAGGGCATTTAAGGTGGTTCTCCTAATAAGCCAGGATACTTCTCCATATAGGTGCCTGCCAGGGCTTGGCCTAATTGGAACCTTCTAGTCTGTTTCTCCTGGAGTGAATGTACTTCAGGGAAAATTCAGCAAAAGCGCCAAAGGGTTCCCTTCAATCTAAAACTGGAAATATCATCTCTTTGGTCCAACAAAGAGCCTCCATGGATGGACAACATATTGTCTGTTCCCTTGCAACGAGGCTGAGTTATACAAGAAACTTTCAAAACAACAGATTAAAGGAATCGAATCCTCAGCGGACTGGAAATGCATAATAGTGTTGCTAAAAAAAAAAAAAAAAAAATTAGTGGTTTCTTTGAAAGAAAGCCTCAAGTTCATGCAATTGGAAAACTTCTTTGAAAAAAAAGTACTACCTTTAACTTCCAATAAGATGACAACTTTTAACCAAGGAACAAAGATAAACATTAAAGGGCTGGAGATGGTATGATACAGTATCTTGTACCTACTAAAAATCATGCTTAATATTAAGATGAAAGTTTCCTCATGGCACAATTGCTATCTTAGAGTCCCTGTGAATCTAGCCTTTGACAAAGTTAAATCACCTCCATATTTATTACAAGATGTAAAGGTTGCATCATTATTCCTTTATCTGATACATTAAAAAATGCCAGGAAAAATTCTTCAATTATACCGAAGGTATATCTTTGAAAGAAAGCATGATTTCTGTTACATCTGAAGTCACTGCCTGTTACAGTTCTCCAATTTTCTTTTAAAAAACGAATGCTAAGCCATGCAACTTCTTCAGCTTCTACCTACAACTTGCTTGGTTTGAAGGGCTCACCCAGCACTAATTTCAACATGGCAGAGTTACTCATCATCATAATATATATTAACAAACACAGAAGCAATTTGAATCTCAAGGGGATCCTTAGCCTTATGTTCTTAACATTATTAAAATGATTATTTTAACTATCACTTTAGTTTTTTCTTATTTTTTAAAATGTAGTTACTCATTCTCTCACCATGTAAAAATTTTATTTTAACTATTTATTTTTATTTATTTATTTTTGAGACGGAGTCTTGCTCCGTTGCCAGGCTGGAGTGTAGCGGCGCAATCTCGGCTCACTGCAACCTCCACCTCTTGGGTTCAAGCGATTCTCCTGCCTCAGTCTCCCAAGTAGCTGGGATTACAGGCATGCCCCACCATGCCCAGCTAATTTTTTTATTTTTAGTAGAGACGGGGTTTTACCATGTTGGCCAGTATGGTCTTGATCTCTTGAGTTTGTGATCCACCCGCCTCGGCCTCCCAAAGTGCTGGGATTACAGGCATGAGCAAAAATTTTAAAATGTACAGAGAGACAGAGAGACTAGGTAAATATGTAATGACATATGAAAAGGTTTTCTAAAAAAGCGGTAGGAAAACAATTGTTTTAACTTCAATACTCTTGTTTGTAAAAAGTAAGAAGTGAAAGCCATTTTACCTTGTTTAAACTTTTATTTCAGACAATATTTTCACTGAAACCCTTAATTACCGTTGGGAATAGAAATACATAAGCTCTAAGACAGGAAGATTTGGGGATAACCAGGCAAAGAGGTAGATCTAGACCTCTGTACTTTGTAGAAAGGTTATGTCTAGAGGATTACTGTGGTGGGCTCTCAGGGGCCTGACTTTTAGAGAAGTGTACCTCCACCCACTGACACCTGGCTGGAAACGAGGTTGGCAGCTAAATCTGGAACTATCTTATCTGCCATCTTCCACCCTTCCAGAGGGAAGACTTGAAAGGCTCCATTTAAAGCAGTATGTTTATCCTAGGTGAAAGGTCAAGATTTCAACCAGTCCTATGGTTCTCATCTAGGGGTAATTTTGCCACCCACTCCAGGATACGTTCAGCAAAGTTTGGAGATGTTTGTGATTATCACTACTGGAGAAGAAAAGTTGCTACAGGCATCTAGTTGGGAGAAGCCAAAGATGTTCTTAAACATCCTACAGTGGATAACTACAACAAGCTCCCTATAGTAAAGAATTATCCAAACGAGGCTAGACTGAACCAGCCTGAAGAAGCAAACCCAGTTTTCCTAGAAAAGGGACTAGGAAAGGGATTAAACTGTCTGGAGAAATTCTCACTATAGCCTATAGGTTTCTCTTTCCTCCACTTCCTAGACCAGTGTTTTTTTAAAAGTGTGATCCATGAATCATCTGTATCCGAAAGATTTAGGAATAAAATGCAGATTCCTGATCCCTTCTCAGAGCTGAGTTTCAGAACTGTGGATTTCAGGAATCTCCATTTTGGTTGGCTACCCATGAGATTCGTTTTACAGAGTGAAATGTGACAATCACTGTTTCACTTCTATTGAGGTTATTCCTTTCTGTATTTTCAACTATCCCCTCTCTGTCGGTGATTCCTCAAGGACTCCCAGTGACAAAAGAATGCAATCTTGATGACAGCAGAGACCTTGATTCGTTGGTTGCTCACTGCTGTTATGTCCAGCACCTTCCTTGGGGTAGACATGATATAAGAACCGGAGGGCACCAATATTATCCAAAAGACTATATAGTCTTTTGTGGGGAGAGAAGATAACAAAAAATACCTACTCATTTATTTAGTACACCTACATTCTGGACCCTGTGCTCAATGTATGGTGCACATCAATACCATTAATCCTAACAATAACTCAATGAAGTAGATACTAATATCATTTTCACTTTACAGCTGAGAAAATGGGGCTCAGAGAGGTGAGGCAACTTGCTCAGGTCATATAGCCAGCTACTGAAAGTCAGCATTCAGTTCTTGTTCCACTCAATGGAGGGCATACACTTGCAAGAACTGCACCCCAAGCCTAACTCTTCCCAGTGCTTTTCAGATTCCTCATATGATGGGGATCATCGTGCCACTCAAAGCCTTCATTGGCAGCTTCTATCTGCCAGTATAACTCAGCAAGGGAAGGCTACTGGGAAACAAAGCCCTCTACCTCCCAGAAAAGCTGGTATGCTGTAGGCAGGAGTTACCTATCTTAATTCCCTAAAAACTGTAGAAAAAAAAGCCTTTTAAACTGTTTGCGGAACAACTAAATATGAGTATTGAGTTTCAAAAAACTACAAAGAATAGGTTTTGTATAAGGTGTAAGAATAGGTTTTGTGTAAGGTGTAAGGAAGGGATCCAACTTCAGCTTTCTGCATATGGTTAGCCAGTTTTCCCAACACTATTTATTAATAAATAGTGTTGGGAAAACTGGTTGTAGATGTGTGGTGTTATTTCTGAGGCCTCTGTTCTGTTCCATTGGTTGATATCTCTGGTTTGGTACCAGTACCATGCTGTTTTTGTTACTGTAGCCTTGTAGTAGTTTGAAGTCAGGTAACGTGATGCCTCCAGCTTTGTTCTTTTTGCTTAGGATTGTCTTGGCTATGTGGGCTCTTTTTTGGTTCCACATGAAATTTAAAGTGTTTTTTTTTCCAATTCTGTGAAGAAAGTCAATGGTAGCTTGATGGGGATAGCATTGAATCTACAAACTACCTTGGGCATGATGGCCATTTTCACAATATTGATCCTTCCTATCCATGAGCATGGAATGCTTTTCCATTTGTTTGTGTCCTCTCTTGTTTCCTTGAGCAGTGGTTTGTAGTTCTCCTTGAAGAGGTCCTTTATATCCCTTGCAAGTTGTATTGCTAGGTATTTTATTCTCTTTGTAGCAATTGTGAATGGGAGTTCACTCATGACTTGGCTCTCTGTTTGTCTCTTATTGGTAAATAGGAATGCTTGCAATTTTTGCACATTGATTTTGTACCCTGAGACTTTGCTGAAGTTGCTTATCAGCTTAAGGAGATTTGGGGCTGAGACGATGGACTAAAGACTTAAATGTAGGACTTAAAAATCATAAAAACCCTAGAGGAAAACCTAGGCAATACCATTCAGGACACAGGCATGGACAAAGACTTTATGACTAAAACACAAAAAGCAAAGGCAACAAAAGCCAAAATAGATAAATGGGATCTAATTAAACTAATGAACTTCTGCACAGCAAAGGAAACTATCATCAGAGTGAACATGCAACCTACAAAATGGGAGAAAATTTTTGCAATCTATCCATCTGACAAAGGGCTAATATTCAGAACCTACAAAGAACTTAAATTTACAAGAAGAAAAAAACCATCAAAAAGTGGGCAAAGGATATGAACAGACACTTCTCAAAAGAAGACATTTATGCAGCCAACAAACATATGAAATAATGCTCATCATCACTGATCATTAGAGAAATGCAAATCAAAGCCACAATGAGATACCATCTCACACCAGTTAGAATGGCGATCATTAAAAAGTCAGGAAACAACAGATGCTGGAGAGGATGTGGAGAAATAGGAACGCTTTTACAATGTTGGTGGAACTATAAACTAATTCAACCATTGTGGAAGACAGTGTGGCGATTCTTCAAGGATCTAGAACTAGAAATACCATTTGACCTAGCCATCCCATTACTGGGTAAATGCCCAAAGGATTATAAATCATTTTACTATAAAGACACACACACACACGTATGTTTATTGCAGCACTGTTCACAATAGCAAAGACTTGGAACCAACCCAAATGCCCATCAATGATAGAATGGGTTAAGAAAATGTGGCACATATACACCATGGAATACTATGCAGCCATAAACAAAGAATGAGTTCATGTCCTTTACAGGGACATGGTTGAAGTTGGAAACCATCATTCTCAGCAAACTAACACAAGAACAGAAAACCAAACACCGCACATTCTCACCATAAGTGGGAGTTGAACAATGAGAACACATGGACACAGGGAAGGGAACATCACACACTGGGGCCTGTCAGGGGGTAGGGGGCTCGGGGAGGGATAGCATTAGGAGAAATATCTAAAGTAGATGACAGGTTGATGGGTGCAGCAAACCACCATGGCATATGTATACCTATGTAACAAACCTGTACGTTCTGCACATGTACCCCAGAACTTAAAGTCTAATAATTAAAAAAAAGAATAGATTTTGATTTCCATTCCCCAAATTCTTGCTTACTTCGAATTGAATCTTATAAGGGTAATTTAATTCTTATTCTTAGCATCCTGTCTTGGTTGCTCATCTAATATTCATTTGCCCTTCTCTTTATTTAGTGGCATCTCAATCTTAATCAGAGCAGCAATGTGCTGAGCTAAAACATTGTGTTTACCAGTCTCTCTTGCAGCAAACCATATGTATGGTGATGAAAGTGGAAACTGAAGAAGGGCAGAGGGGTGGAAGTTTCCAGGAAGCCTCCTTAGAGGGTACTAACATAGCTAGGAAGCACCTGGTTTAACCCTCTCACCTCTTCTTCCTACATGAAAATTGGAAAGGTGGAACACTAGCAGTCATCTTAGACCAAAAGATGAACTTGAGAATAGATGGGCCATAAAGTTAGGAGGTGTCAAAGTCCTTGATGACTCTGTGTTCACTCTACTCTCCCTGAACTACAGACAGATGTATTCCATGTGAGAGAGAAATAACTCTAGTTGTATGTTTCATCATTTGTAGTTGAAACTATATACAAATTTTTAATACAATAGTGGGCATTAAATATTTAGTAGACTTAAGTTAAAATATTTCATATTTATATATAATTATATAACAATTTGTGTGTCATAACCTTTGCATAAGGGGGCAAATGAAATCAACCATGTTACTTTCAAATTTCTTTTTACAATAAATTACTAATTTGATTCATTCAGCTTTTTGGGAAAAAATTCTGTAGGTTTCTATGGCATAATCTTTTCTTAAAAAGGGTTTAATATATCTGAAAATTTAACAGAGTAAATTATAAAGAAATTAAGTTAACTAGAAAAATAATTGCATTTAATTACTTGATTTTTGGCCCCAAATCCTAGTTAAACAGTGCATTTCGAAATCTAGCATTTGAAGTCAGATGCTTTCACATAGAAATAAATGAATGAAAGTATGAATGACTGATAGACTTCAAAATCAATTATTGGGACTTTTTGGGTGTGATAACTCACTACAATGGAAGAAAGGATGATAAAGAAGCTAATGTGTTAAGCATAGATTATGTGTTCATTATGCAGGGAACCAGGGAAAAAAATGAGCATTCAAACATATTCCCTGTTATAACTAGCTTACAGACTAGTTGAGAGAAATATAATGACATTTAAGTGTCATACAAAAAATGACAGAAAGAGTACACCATGCTGTTGGAGAATATCAAAGAAGTCTTCCTGAAGCACTAGTGTGTACCAAACACTGACTTTGTGACCTCCAGGAAGTTTCTGAACTCCTCTGAACCTCATTATTCTAATATTTTCAATGGGGATGATAGTATTTCCTCCAGAGCACAATTGAAAAAACATATTTCATAGTGCATTTTAAATGCTTCATACAATGCCTGGCACATACTAATCCTTCAGTTTATGTTAATGTAACTGTTGATATTTTGATATTTACCATGGGCAATTATCCCTCTGAGTAGCTATTGCTATTCTAATAAAAAGCAAAAGCCCAGGGAGGTTAAGAATGTTGCCCAGTTTCATCAATTGTACAAGAGAGTTGGTTTCTAAATTCACACCTAATAGCAATATCACTCTTATAATTTTAACATTATTTAACTTATATTCTTCAGATCTGTAACAATCAAAACCACATAGCTGTTGCTGTTCTCTGCTTGGCATTTATTTAGGTAAAAGAATAGGCCTTGAGGTAAATAATTTTGCCTGGAACATCTTTTTAGAACCACCCAAGGTTGTATTTGCTTTAGTTGGTGTAACAAGGGCAATGACAGAGCCACAGATCATTGGCAAGAGATATCTGTAAGAACTAAAATTAACTACATATATCTATATCTAGATACCTAGATATAGATACATATATCCTTAGGTCGTCAACCTTAGTTTGTTCACTTAATGGCAGGCACTGCCTCCTACCAGTCAACTGATTCTAGAAAGTGACAGTATCTATACCCAAGAGAAGACACTGAAATTAACGGCAGAAAACAATTAAAAATAGGGTTCCCCATCAATCCTCGACTTCCAAACAAAGCTATTCTCAAATAAAAAAAATAAATACAGAAGATTCTGGCAATCTGGAAATGATACGTTGTATGCAAAGCAATTAGGGGGCTAAATTAGAATCAATCCTTGTTGCTGTGAACTAAGACTCACTTTCTTCTCAACCAGGGCTCATTTTCATGTCTCAGTAAAATGTAAAATTCCTTTCTAGTATCTCCCTCTCCTTAGGTCTTTTACCACTTCTCTAACTTTCTACACAGATTGATGGGTGTAAGGTAACAGCTGTTGTTCACGAAAAAAAGAAAAACAAACAACAAAGAATTTAGCACTTGTAAGTGACTATTGATTTAAACATACATAATTAACATTTTCAACATAGACCATATAGGTCATATACTGCATGGGCATGAAAGTTCGGTTCTTCCAGTCATGATGAGAATGCTGACATACACGTTTTTTTTCCAAGGAAGTTCACTTAATTAAAGAAGTCAAATGGCCCTACAAAAGAATACCATCCCCAAACAAATGTTACTCTGGATTATTGCCCCTATCTCTTATCTTGGCACAACTTGGAAGATGTAGAACAACTTAGCTTCAATCTTCATTAACTCCTTGTATTGGAGCATGACAAAGAAAAATGAAGGATGGTCTCTTGAATGTTTACAGTTTCTTGTCTCACTTTCAAGGAGATTCAATAGCATCACTGATTATTTATATTTAATAACCATCTTTCTTAGTTCTCATGCTTAACCACAATTTAAACCAATTTTCTTGAGAATATGCTTATACTACCCTAAACTATTTTTCCCAAAATCTTTTAATAACATGATACTTTAATTTTTTACTCTGAAACTGCTTCTAACAACATAGAAACAGAATGAGTCAGTTCTGTTGCCTTGCAGGGATTCTAAAACTTTGGTGTGAAAATGAATCACCTGTTGTGTGCTGGGGAGTGGGATGGGGTAGTTAATTACAGACTCCAAGAACCTACTCCCTACCATTCCTGATTCAAGAAGTTTTTGCAACATGGCCCAGGATCGTGCATTTTAGTAGTCTCCCCCAAACCCCTTGCTTAGCTGGCATGCAGATAATCCTGATCATTTTCAATGCTACTCATTAAACTCAGCATGGTCAGAAGAATTTCTTTGATGTCCAACACCAACCTCACATCTTTTACTTTTCTCCATCTTTCCAGCCCTCTCTGACATTTTCAGCTTCAGTTATCCTGGAATACTTATATACCTCAATGTTATGGATGTTTCGTTTCTTTTCTGAGATATTCCTCCCTCTCCTTCCACCTGGAAAACTCCTATTCAGTTATGTGTGAAGGCTCAAAAAAAATTACACCCCTTTATCCTTTTCTACAAAAATGGTCACAATATGTCTTTTAAAATGATTACTATCATCATAGTTACTAGTTCACGTGCTTGTTTTCCATGCTAATTCTATGAATGCATCATACGTAGAACAGGGAATATCCCATATTACATACTCAATGAATTTGTTGAATTATAGCTCTGACTGATGCTTTATTTCTAAAATGACCTCCAGAGACACTTAGGAGGAAGAAAGGAGAACAGTTGTCATCCTCATCATTTTTCTCTTGAAACAAACATAATCTAACTTCTGCTTGAACTTTTTTTTTTTTTTTTTTTAGAAACTAGCGCTAGTAGTCTTGCTTTGTTAAACTACCTTTGATCATACTACTTCACCATCCCCAAACAGAAAAATTTAGCCTTTGAAAGTGATTTCCTGAGAAAACAAATTCTAGAAGCTAATTCTGATGTCACAATAGGAAATTAGAAGCCATGTCACTGGGTGATCTAAACTGAGTCCTTGTTTACTTACTAAGTTCTTATAATCTGGTAAAGGGGCTAGGTAACAAAGCAGTTCTAATCGTGGAATTCCAGTCTTTTAGAATGGCCAAGGTAATAACTTGGAAGAGACTCGAATGGCAAGAAATACAAAAACAGTTTTCCCTACGTGAGGCAAAATATCCACCGCAAATCTTCTGCAAGTCTACAGCAACAGAGAGGCTTTCAAATTAAGTGTTCTTCGTCAGTGTGAATAAATCATACCCAAATCAATAACCTATTCCCAAGAGTATATGGGAAGGAGACTTGCATAATCATGTTCAGTTTTACTTAGTGTTAAAACCTTGTCAATATTGGCTGTTAAAGGATGGAGAAACTGATGTTATTCTTGCTTAGTGCCCAAGGAAATTGTTTGCTTTATAAAGTCATCTTGGTTACACGGATTCTCATTAGCTGATGGACATTTCCATCACCATCTGACGTTTCTAAATCTGTTAATGATACCCCCAAATGATGATCTCTTTCCACTTTTATCACAATACCAGAATATCTCCAAGCTAGAGTCTTCCTCTTTCCTTCCTCTGCCTGTTATGTATTTCTCTTGCATAGTTGTGGCTGTGAGTGATCATGTGGAGTTTTGTGTAACTGACCAAATGCCTGCCTGATTATATCTTTATAATTACTCAATTCACTCACTTGCTGCCTCCTAAATTCTTCCAAAGACATGTATCTCCTCTAGTACAGTCAGCATATGATTTAGGGGAAAGGGGTTCAGAAAAAGTATGAGGTTGAACTGTAAGCAATACATTTTGATTTTGACACATGTCATGTCTGAACACAAGATATATCTTCAGCTCCATTTACAATTCTGTGGTCTTGAAGACCTGGAACGCTTCCCTGTCCTTTTTATATACAATAACACAAACATCTAAACCGTTCTGTTCTCAGCTAGCTAAAAGTATCAGCTTTTTATAAGACTCCCCAGTGCAATCCAGCCCACCCAGGCCACAGGGATATTTATTTTGGCACTTACTGTATTCACTTCCAAGTCGGCACTTGGCACATGTACAGACTCCTCAAAGAGGTTGCACATTCCTCAAATTCAGGAGCAAGGCTTTACACTTTTTTATCCCCCATAGTACATAGTTCCATACTCACCAATTCCCTACTTATCAACCCTTCCAAAACCACCTGGGATTTCCTGCAATATTACATAGGTAATTTTAAACTTTGAAGCCCCAGTAAGATCAGCTACATCTATTACCTAGTAAATGTTTTTTACATCCCCAATAATTAGAATAACACAAAGGTATGGAGTTAAAACATGAATCGGTCTTCCAAAATCATTATGTAGCTACCTATCATGGATTCTGCCTCTCTTCAGGTATCAATTTATATATAACTTTCTAAGTGGTTTAGATTTAGCAGATTAATCAAATGACGTTGTCTATTTAAAAGAAATGGCTCAGCCACATCTATTATTAACCAAATAGCAGTATATCAGGTAGGCAGCACATTTTAAAACCTTGTTTAAACTGAATGTTTTTTCTGGATTTAATAATTGTATGTACAAAATAAAAACTGTATTTCATCAACTATTCAGTCATTTTCTCATAAACCATTTCTTCAATAATATACCATAAAACCATAGATTTTTAGAGCAGGGATGCATTAGAATATCTCTTTTTGATCATCTACCATCATTTTACAGATGAGAAAAACTGAGGCCCGAGAGATCTAAGTAATTTGCTTTGAGTTACCTAACAAGTCAAGCGCAGAGATAGAACTAGCATAGCAAGTGTTCAGACCCCAAATTAATGCAACCTCCACTCCATTTCACTGTCTCCTTTAGAGCACAATATATGTATGTATTTTAAAATTAAACTTTTAATACATACGAAATGAATTTAAAAAACACTGAACATCACTATAAATGAAACATGCACATGAAGATAAATAAGTGCATGCACAATGCATTCCATGATAGACTCTCTGAATTTGCACAAGCGCACAACACAACCGTTCTTAACTCACGAAGTTTAAAGATGATTGTGTCCCAAGGGTTTGAAAATATGAGCATTTCTTACCTGGCAGCTGTATGAGGGGTTGATAAAAGACATTAAAAACTTGAGCTATGATTAGACATCAGATTTTTCTGTCACTGAAGGTTTGCTTCTACCTGGGTTTCAGGGGTCTAGTACTTTTAATGGAAGGTAGGTCAGAGACTTAAGAGGGATAAACCAACATATAAGACTCTGGCATTATTGCCCACATTGCAATATTAAGTTGCCTGCAGGGGACTGTCATCAAAATCTTCCTATTGGCCAGTTATGGCCCTACCTTTCTTTATCAGGCCTGAAATCTTTACTGTTATAGTCACTTATTTAGGTTAGAAAACTTAGGTATCAAATAACTTCAAAACCCATTCCCCAGCCCCAGGGTACTAAAGAGGGCAGTATCAGCTGTAGTGCTTTTAAATATAAAAGTGTATAACTTTGGGGGTCAGGGATTTATGCATAACAAAGAAGCCGTTGATGAGACAGAAAGGACTCTTCATTTTTAAACCGAAACCAATTCTCCAACACAAATGTTCATCATGGCTAGCCAACCAGGGATGTATATTTAGGAAAAAAAAAAGGGATGATACCCTCTTTATATATTTTATAATACTCATAATCCACACCAGGATGCTTTCATCCCACCCTAAGAAAAAAACAGGGTTTCACATTCTGGTGGTCAAACCCTTCTAAGAACACCCACCCTAGTGCTTTGATATCCCTTAAAAAGTCAACCACCTCCATGAACTCCCTTTACCCTTTTATACAAAAGCTTGCATCTTGATAGTTTTAATAGGTACCCAGGAGAGAACGAGGAAAGAAGTGGAGAAAAGTGCCCGCTCCAGTTGATCTTTTCTTTCTAAATACTAAGGCATATAAAAGAACTAATCAGCAATATATAGAAACCCAAATGAAACAATAGCAGCTTTTCATGCCTCTTAACTAGCAAGAGACCCTATGAAACAGCATCAGGGTTAGGACGTGCAACAACAAAAATGGGTAGTAAATCTGGCTGTGACACCTTGAAATGGCTGTGACCTTAAACTTGCAGGAGTTGTAACTTTTTTCAAAAAATGAACATTTTAGTCACTGCATTAGAAAGCTTTTATTTGTTAACACCCAAAGTATTTGTTGATAATCCTCATGTATCATCCTCATGCACATTTTAACCTCCACAGTTTTAGAAGGGCCCACTGATTCTCATGGCAAACATGAGTAAAGGATATTTCATGACCCTGAAATCTTCCAAACAAAGAAGAATACATCCTTCTGACTACCCTTCCTTAGTGAAGCTCACAAAGAGACTATAGAATGGATTCATTCCACATATGCCATGACTTTCAGTCCCAATGGGAAGAAAGACTGAGAAATAAAGAAATAAAAATACCTTTTTCACTTCTCAAGTTTAGACCACAATTGAAGATATATCTGTGCTGTGGAATTTCTGACCCACATAAAGAATAAATAAGTCCTTTGCCCAAAGTTGGTTAATATTAAGAGGCCTTCAGTGGGCACATTTTTATTTCCCTAAAATCCAATCCCCCCTGCCTTCAGAATTCATGATTACAATGAAAGACATTAGATTAGAAAGTCAATTTACTCACCATGGAGGAATCACTGCTTCCACTCCCGATCGGAGCTCCCTCAGCACAGGTTGGGAGGTGGGTAGAAAGTTGACTAGCCCTGCCCCCATCTATGACATCACAATCTACCTCATAAAAGGTAGTGAAAGTGCTCTGAACTCCTGTCTGATTTCCGAGAGATACAGAAAAGAGAGAATGAGAGAGAGAGCAAAAGAAAAAAAAAAAAAGTACCCTACTTGGGAAGGGATTAGGGAGTGGAAGAGGGAATGGGTAATTGGGAAAAAAGAGGTATATGAAGGAATTACGTGCTGAAAGAGATATACATATGGGCTTTCTTGACATTAAGCGGCCTGGCCATTTCGATTTCTCATTGGCTCTTGAACAGATAAAGGAACCATGTGGGAGGAGAATGAAGATGCACCCTGCCTTGTCAGGCACTGAATGGGACAACTATAGTGGGGCTCAAAGGGGGTGAATCCCCTATTTAAAGTGTTGAAGATCACCAAGAGAGAAGGCAAGGGCTGCAGCTCTTAAAGCCTGGAACGGTATGTGGGGATCCCTGATGTCTTTCTTGGAAGTTCCATCGCCCTGCTGTGTGACCTTCCTTAAGCCTTTGGCCTCTGCACATCCAACCTCTGTACATGGTCCTCTACTAAGGGGATACTTACCTCTTTCATTGGGATCACTGAAGGACTAATGCATTCATTGTTGCTACAATTGCAACTCTTTTGACTGTTCCTTTTAACCCAAGGGTGGATTGTGTGAGGGGCATAATTTAAAGGATAAGCCAATAACCAATGCCCTTTTCTACCTTTAGAGTCTTTTCATAAGATTCTTTCAATATAAAATGTTACAATCTTGACTTTTTCTGCGTGTATCAAATATACAACTAAAAGGAGTAGTTAGAGTTCATCTTCAGAACTGTAGAAAAAATCAAATGGCAAGTTTTCTGCAATCATAAAAAAATGCACTGTCACTCTCAGAGGTCAAGTTACATGACCCAGTGATGCCAACTGACCAAAATGTTTTTGTCATGGACGATTTCTGCTCTAGTCATAGCTTTATTTACCAAGTCTAGTTTTCATAGAAAAACAAGAAAAGGCATGAGAATAGTATGTAGACCACTAAAGTATTTTTTTTCAATGAAAATTTAGGAGTTTAAAATAGAATACTCAAAGTTATTGATTATGGCAAAACAAAAGTAACAGACACTATTGAAGAGCAGGCACATCCTGAAACCATCCACATAAAAGGCCTTCATCTGACTAGTGGAATACATGAAAAGTGAAACCATCTCTTTCCACAGAAAAAAATTTAGGAAACCTAGACATTCAAAACAATAGCTTGCAAATTATGGCATCATAAATGGCTAAAAACCAAAGCCTGTTTCTATATACAGATAAACAAAAATCTTAATTTGGGATTTTTCTGTTTTAAGCCAATATAATTCTATTTCTAAGCCCATCATTCTTAGCGTACTAAATACATAAGTGTATTACAATAATTGCAATTTAAAATTAAGCAAAATTGGCAGATGAGAGAGCAGTTTGAAACACAGAAGCTACTAAATTCAAACTGATTATGGATTTGGCAACATCATGTCCATTTTTCACTTCAAAATAAATGTTAGAGACATTTAAAGAATGTCTTTAAAGAATTAAAGTAAATAGAAAAGAAAAAAAAGTCTTGCATATAAAAAGATGGGTGTTTTGCCTATATTTGACTTTTTCTGTACTTAACAGAAGAGGCAATGATACTCTGCATATATTTTCCTTGCTGTATCATTTATTATTTTTATTTTCAACAATTCTAAGTCTAAATTCAAATTATATATTCAACAGCTTTTTTTGTGTGTGAGATTTTGCAATTAATGGCCCTATGAAGTTTTATTTTCTCTCCACTTTTACATATTGGATCATTGACTAGTTGGCTTATCTTTGATTTTTTATAACAATCTCATTTGGTTTTATAAGTTAGGGATTTTCTGATTTTTCCCATTGTAGGAAATAAATTAGTCACTTAGCACAATTTCTCAGTTTTAAAAATTATTACGTATTAGAAACTTACTTGGATCATCTCATAAAAAATTTAAAGTTCATTAAGATTAATGATGCAATTGTCCATTCTTCCAATAAACACCTTAAGTTTTTACTACCCAATACAGATGGTACAATTCTCCCAGCATTAAGATATTAAAATAAAAATGGAGTTAAACACTTTTAAAATATTGAAATAAAACAAACTGAACTTAGATTGTCTATTGGCATTTCTTATAATTGCCTATTGTCTCTTTGGAAATGGAAAATGACTTCAGGAACCCAATGCAAAACTAGGCTGCATCAAAAGGATGCAGAGTGGTGAACTGTGCTGACCTCTTAGGTGAATTTAGTATGATTGATTGTGATATTATAATAATGCCTTTATATATGATATTAGTTAAAATAATAAAACTGCCTTTGATACAGGATGCAATGCCAGGATCAGATAATTTCCAAATCTCAGGATCTAGCCTCTTGACATTTTTCATGAAAACTAAGCTCTACTCCAACTGTAGATTAGCTGTATACTTCCCATGATATTTCAGAAATGGGTAAGTAGCCCTTTAAGACAAGATATGAAGTGTTTGCAAGATTTCAGTAGTCAAGACTCCATTATTATAGTCACGGTAGTAATTTCATTCTGACCAGACAGATGTAGGGCTGGTCTCAAATCTTTGAGGTTAATAAAAAGTTGTTTAGCTTCTTAGCACAAAAGATTGAGAAAAGTCAGGTGGAATAACATGTGCATTCCAAAAGAACAATCTGCAGATGCATTCATCATGGAAGACAAGGTCAGGCATTTTTTTCATGTAAGTTGATCAAAATGTTATAATTGAAGAGAAATATCTCAATAAGAGGGGCTCCAATAAATGTGGATAGCAGCAGATTCAAATTGGAAGTTCTCGGATAAAGAGATGTTTTGATTTTGTTTTATGGTAGCGTCTCACATACAGAAATTTGGGCTGACAAACGTACATGGTTCTTAAAAGACGATGTTGACCATAACTTCTCCAGGATATTCTCAGTTGCAAAAGAGATTTGCCAAAGAAAATGGATGAAAGAGGTCAAGAGACAGGTTGTTCCGATTTGACAGGACATCTAGCCAGAGTTCCAGTCAATTTCATTATCAGCAAGGCATCTGCACAGATGAAGGTGTTCAGAGAAAACTAATAAAACAAGATACAGTATTGATGATAAAAGAAAAGATTAAAAGTCTGAATTAAGAAAGCTTGCCTTCAAGAAAATAGAATTAGGATGAAGTATTTGAGATATATTTATAGCCCAGAAGGAAAATTACTATTTAAGATAGAGTAAGACAATGTGTTCCGATGCAGTAAAAGAAATCTGAACAAAGAAACTCCACATTGCCCATCCGGAAACTTTCTTATTTGTAAGATACATGGGCCATAAAGTGGCACATATTTCTTTTCTAAGGGCTGCACTCAAAGTCATATTTTATAAATGATTTAACTTAGGCTGGAAAAAGCACTTGACAAAATAATCTGCAGGGACAGAATGTAGACAACAGTAAGTTAAACACACTTTTATTTCTAGCATATAGTAAACCAAGAAAACAACGAATGCACAGAAATAGCCATCAACAGATACTCTGCTATTCTAGCTGAAAACCCTATTTCAGTAAGCTGAGAAACTAAATGGAAAAAAAATAAACATAGACTACACAGTCTAATAAAAACACAAGGGACAGAAAAATTTATCCTTTTCATGAAAATTATTTGGTATTAGAGATAAAGAGACTTTAAATTCCCAACTCAGTCAAAATATATCACCGTGCCTTTTACATAGTAGGGATGCAATGGAAATGTTGAATTCAGTGAATGAATCAGAAAATATTCTTATGTGAACAACAAATAAATGCAGCTCTTTGAATCTCTGATTGTTTGCCATTGGAAATTAGAAACGACTTATGGAAACTGATGTATTTTAAGAAAAATATTATTGTCAAAATGTTATCAAATCCAGTACTGAATAAAAAAATCCTGACTCAGTTTTGCTATGGATTCTATCTTATTTTTAACCAGCTAAGGTAATGGAAAGATGTGTAAAATCAATGACAAAATCCCCAGATAATCTTTAGCATATGATTTCAATATCCCTTCTCTTTTGCCTATTCACATTATATCACCTTGTTCACATATCAACTTTTTTCTTCAACAGACTTCAGTCCAGGAATTCCTGGGGTAAGCCCCAGTAGAAACAAGAAAAAAAAAATCACAATGCATTTAAGTAACCAATTCTAAATAATCTGTTTCTTGACTAGAGCTGAGAACTGAAAAATTCAAGTGTTTACAGGGGCTGAATTTACAGACACCATTTCTAAATAAAGGTCTTCACTCAACACTTTGGCTTCCCATAATTATTTGGTTCAATGTAAGGAAACATTACATTGAACGTATTTGGATTTGCTCTTACAGATCCAAAACTGGTTCAAAACTGGGGAGAGGGTAGCTTTTAAGACACTTCTCAAAGCAATAATAATTTGAAACATTATTTGAAGTATTTTTAAATTATTTAAAAAAAATCTTGGAATGAAATCAGACTATTCTCATATATGAACAAGTAGTCAAAATTAGGATATGTCTTATGGGGAAGCTTTATAAAATAATACTTCTTAAATAGGTTTGTCTGGGTTTTACACATATCCCAAGATACAGTCATCCCTTGGTATCCATGGGGGATTGGTTCTAGGACCCTAGCAGATACCAGAATTCAAGGATGCTCAAGTCTCTGATATAAAATGGCATAGTATTTACATGAAACCTACACACATCCTCCTGTATACTTTAAATCCTCTCCAGATCACTTATACCTATTATGATGCAAATGTTACATAAATATTATATAAGTACTACATTGTGTTTTATCTGTACTATTTTTATTGCTGTATTGTTACTTTTATTTTTTTCCAAATATTTTCAATCCCAGGTTGGTTGCATTCTCAGATATAGAACTCACAGATACAGAAGGCCAACTGTATATGCAATCACCTCCCCTCATCCAGGTACCTCCCATGTGTCCAATTTCCAAGTTTTCAAAAAGTATTACTGCTAATTGGCTACTAAATCATTCTCAGAATATCAACTGAAATCTAAGGCATTAATTGATAATAAATTAAGTTGTCAATTATTTACCTTTCTTCTTTTAATTAGAGCATCTCAAAACTTGAAAAAATTCTAAGACCCAAAGGAATGAAATTTTACTGATTGAATGACAAGTAATGGCACTGATATCTCAGGGGACACTCTTCTTAAAGCTACTAACTCCTGCTGTTACAAGCAGTAATGCCCTCAAACTAAAATAGAAATTACTCGTCAGCCCACAAGTTTAGGTGACACAATCAAATCCATCCACAGAGTAGTAGATCGAATTAAGGTCAATCCATGTCTCCAGTTAAGGTAAGAAGAGTTATTTGCTTGATTTGCATCCTAGCTTTGCCACAACACAGTATGTTTTCTTATTTTAAAATGAGTATATTGGAACATAGTATTTCCCTATGCATTAAACAATTCAGTTAGATAACCAACTGCTTTAATTCCATCAATGAATAACTGATTTTTTTTAATGGCCATAACTGATTATATTGGTAAGTTTAGGGTGACCATCACAGAAAATGTAACTGAAGAGTCACTTTCTATAGTGGAGCAGTATACCAGACTCCTTCGTACAAGACTGTCTGAATTCAGAGAACAGACACAGGTGCAGTGCAAAAGACACAAAGCTTTCTATGATGCCCAGCACCCAAAGAAATTTTTACTTTCTCATTAAAATTCCTATTAACTTCCCATTTCTTCCAAAAACAAGTCTTGAATTGGTAAACTGTCACTTTTAACACTCTGGGGGAATGAATGTTCAGTGAAAAAAACCATAGAAAGGTTATTTCCCTCTGAGGGTGTCTATAATTTGGGTTGTGCAGAAATCAATGACCATTCATACTGGTATGAATGTAACTAAGGAAGACTTAATGCAGGAATCAGAATTTAAATGGTTATAGTTTCACTATCAACAGATTGGGGAATGGATTTTGGGGAAAATATGGAATCATGCAACAACTCATTTTACTAGCAAAGTATATGCAAAGAACTACTGCCATTTACTCTGTAAAAGGTAACTACTCATTTCATTTGTCACAATTTCTCCACTATGCCTAACATCCAGATTTACAATCTGAAGTTTGTTTTTATCTTACTCTCTCTAGGTTTGGACACTGCAACTTTTCCTACATAAGGGAAGGTCCTTTAAGCACGGAAGGTCTGGATAAAATTATTTTGAACTGCTATGAATTCCTAGAACATCTACCCTTTTGTTCAAATGAAACACTAACATGCATTCCAAACCCAAATTGAAATAGCTAGCACTTTAGATTTTTTTCATTACTGTTACACTTTGATCCATGGAGATCATGAAGAATTGACTATAGACAAAATAGAAGATATAAAAATTAAGAAAAAAAGGTTGCTTAATGTACAGGTCTACACAATTAGATGCAATTCTTGTTTCAATGGCTGTTTTAGCTCATTACAAAATACTGGCACTTTTTAAAAATAAAAGGAACACAACGCTCTTCAAATACAATGTAATTCTCATCTCAACAAACCATATATATATTATTGTACAAAATATATCCCACATTTTCTTTTCCCTAATTTGTATTGGATCAGATAGTTTATACTTATCAATCTTGTTCAGTTCCTGACCACTTCACTAAGGTTTATTGAGGGTATAAGAGTAAATATCAAATCAATTGTGCTCTGTGTTTGTATGTTTGTATGCACATATGCATCTTTGAATATATGACAGTGTCAGGTAGAGTTGATTTGAATATTATCAGTTTCCAACATTTTTAGGAATGTATATTACCTATATCATGAATATTCATGTTGATTGTAATTAGAGTCCAATTTTTTAAAATAATGTGAAACGTGGGCAATAAGAATTACTATAATTGACCCCTCAGTCTCCAATCTTCTCTTTACCAATTCAAATCCTACCAGTGTCCCAAGTTAAACTTGCTCACCTTGTCAAACCTCTCCCCTAAACCCAATTGAGAGGAATTCAGATTTGGAAAAGAGATATTTAAATGGCAAAGAACAAAAGTACATATTAGGGCAAGCTTCTCAATCTCTCAGGAATAGGTCAGTAATCCATTCATTCAGCCCAAGGACTTAAGCAACTAGCATTCCTCACCTCCAAACTTGACTCAAATATTTTGTTAATACAGAGACATTTATATGTAATAAAATCTATTAAAATTTGTACCATTTTTGTGTACATTTGGCCATAAATTACATCCTGAACATTGAATTCCTCATCAAAGTAGGGTTATTGCTGTTATGTTCTGACTTCATTGTTATAATGAAGCTCCTGTTATCTTTTAACTTTAAAAAAACAGTTTAGGTAGGCTTTATTAGGTTTATCAGAATGTTTGATATTCAGTATGCTAATTTAAAAGTCCTACATTAGTATTTCTAATATTGTTCAGAATCATACGCTCTGTATAAATCTTTGGGTAGCTAAAAAATATTAAAGGTCATGGAATGATTTTTATTTTTCCAGATCCATGTATACATCTCCATTTTTAACTTTAAAGGTGCTGATTAAACCCTGTGAAACCTAGCAAACAAAAATTAGTCAAAAACATGATAATTAAATATACAGGTAATACCCATATTATGATACTGGAACATATTTGTATTCAAAATAGTATTTACATACTAAAAAATATATGGCTTAACTTTTCTCCCATAAGATAATGCTGTCACATTTAATGGACATTACTTGCACTAAACTAATTCAAGACATGTTATCTTTAACTTTCTCTTTCTTTTTTCTTTTCTTCTACCTTCTTCTTTTATGCCTCTTCTCTTCTACCCTCCCCTCCCCTCCTTATCTTTCTTTCTGCTTTCAATATTCTTTTTCTCAAAAAAGCCTGTAAACTGGCTTAAGAATTCAAGCAAACATTAAACTAAGCAAATAAATAAAGCCAATTTATAGACGGTTTAATCTTCTGAAACTCAGTTTCCTCTACTTTCACTTTAACAATTCTATCATATTTTTTCTTTTCCATTACTCCCTTAGTAACCGGGTTAAGCTGAATTGGCTCACAAATGCATTTTCTACTTTGAGATTTAATAAGAATGTCACTTTTTGGTTGAGACAGGTTTAAGCCAATGACAAAAAAAAAAACCTAATTGCCAGGTAGGAAACCAATGGTATTTCTTAGATAGCAGTTGTGTGGATGAGCATACACAGAAACACATCCTGGACTGCTTTATTTCTCCAGATCGCCGTCATGATGCCTGGAGAGCTTTTGTATCCATTCTCCTCCGTGACCTGTTGAATTATCTGTCCCCACCTCTCAAGCCAAAAGCAGACACAAGACAAGAGGCCTTTCTCAGTTTGTATACATAGAATCACATAAAACAAAAACACGCTGACATAAGACATAATTGCGCATTTTGCTTAACATATGTTCATCATGCCAGCATAAGACTAAAAACGTGGCTCTCTGTTTTGACATCAAAATCATTTTTCTTGGCAAAATGGAAATAATATGTCCAAATCTCTTCTGTTTGGGTAGAGAGGTTGACTTCTAACAAATGTAACTTTCCTGGGGGCTTTCATATATTTCAGAGAAGCCGTGGCTTTGAATCCCATGTGTATAAACACAGGGAAAAAAGAAAGAAGATTTAAGTATTTCTTTTTTGATTGTACATTAAACTATGATGGCTTCTTCTGAAAAAAAACAGCAACTTTGCCATGCCACATGACAGAATAAATGGGTGTAATTTTCTTGGCAAAATCATTGAAAATGTGTGTGTATGGGGTCTCACATTCTTGACTCTTTCAGAACTTTGAAAGCAGTCATTTGTGGCTATTTTGCACAGTAAGCATATTCATTTTTTTTCTCCATTGGCCATCAGTGAAGGAGCATGAAGAAAAAGATGGAGGCAGAATTGGCAAAGACAGCAGACTATAGATGTAGGTGTGGCACCAAACAGCAATCAAGCTTGGAATAAATCATGAGGAAGCCAAGAGCAGGCCCATGACAGAGCATATATAGCAAATATTTATAATGCATTTGCCTCAGAATAATTATCAAGTTGAACAACATTCTTCTAAAAGAAGCCTTCTCCCATGCAAGGATTTATGAACTTTACCAACAAGACTCAAAGAAGGGAACAGGCTTCTTGATGGTGTTCCCAATCTCAAACACCTCTATAAAAGCCAACAGTGCAAGTGATAAAAGCCAGTGATGGTTTGGACTACATCTAAATGAGAAAAAGACAATGGAAATGAAGCTTTGGAGGCAGTGACAAACAATGGGTACTGAGAGGATGATGGAGAGCGGCTCTGCTAGTAAAAATTGCCCAGATGAGGTTGTGGAGTCTGAGATCCACAAAGATGCTTTGCGCATCCATGTAAATAATAAGATTGGAAAGTAACAAATGAAAGCACACAAGGCAAGCTGAACAAAAAGCACTCAGTTCCACAGGGGCTATATACAGATGGACATGAAAGCTGAGTGGTATGGGAAACTATACCATCAAGGCTGAAGATAAGAAAGGCAGCAAGGAAGATGCAATGATTTGATCACTTCTTGGCGAGAGAATCTTGGTAATTACCAGCTTGGCAGAAAGGACACATTGCAAGACAGATTGCTCTTGGTTGCTGAAGAATGTTGAAGCAGGATCATTTTGGAAATGCAAAGAGGTGACTGTGCTTTGGGAAGAGGCACAAAATAGCCAATTTACTGGGCTCTAGGTGGGACTGCATGAAACAGGCTTTCCAGATGGTGTCTCTATGCAAGCCAGATCAGTTCTTTTCCCAGCTATGTTTTCTGCAACTCAAACAATATGGGAACAAAAACAGTTGGGTTCAAGAATGATTTGTTCACGTGTTTTTACCAAATGGCCAAACTTCTAAATTTCCAAAAATGGCTTCAGGAAGACCTGAGCTTTGTGACTAGTCTGATTTTCATAAGGTATTCACCACGCTGATAATATTACGTGCCTGGTAATTACTCACTTGAAATGGTAGCATCATCATGTCTGACTGGGAAAAGAACTAAGGTGTCAGAGCCACATTTCTGGACTTGCAAATAATTTGCAACAAATGGCACCCTGTGTTGAGAGAAAGGGGTTGAGGGAGGAGAAGAAGCCAAGGTGAAGAACCTCAACACATATTTGGAAATCTTGCCAAGAAATTGTGATTCTTCTAAATATTCATTGAACTTATTTCTATGCATTTGATAAAAATGGACCAGATAATTATATTTTCATGAGAAAGGAAACACTGCAGTGATTGAGCAAAGAATATATAATTGTTAGTGTTCGACAATTATGTTAGTTTTTGGCAACAGCACATCAACCTGTATTAAATTCAAACATCTTCTGGCTTTCAAGGGTTACTGATAACCTAGTATGCATTGGAACCTGATGAATGAATTCCTATTGTTTTCATCATCTCTAACATGTGAACACAATCCACACATAGAGAGGCTGGCTCCTGAACAGAGAATGAAAATTACTAGGACTAACAAAAGGAAGTAGACTCACAATGAGTAAATATACAAAAGCCCCAAATAATTACAATAGTCACAGCTTGGCAATGAGTTTCCAGACTACAAAATTAGTTTTCTTGTGAAGAATGGAGATTTTACAAGGCTAGAATAAACACAGGGTAATTGGAAAATCAAATTGCTCTTTGTGAGTTATTGTAAGGTCTGGAATAATGGTGATAACATTTATTTAAAAAAAGCCCTCCCTATAAATCACTGTAGTTTGGTGTTTTTAGCAGTACTGTTGCCAAGAATGTTTGCCTTGGAAGTGCAACGGTGGGAACTTTACATTGTGAAGCCCAAGTCCAGCTTACCCCTGACACAATGAGCTCTCCTCCCAGATTCTGCACTTCTGCCTTCACCTTGCTGCAGATATTAAGCTGATGGCAATACAAGGCAATTCGTTGAAGGTAGGCTAATAAATCCTGCTTACATGCTGAATCAGGACACTATAAAACATTAAAAGAGTGATCTTGATTAGTAAGTACTCTTCAGTTTCTAACATTTGTTATAGAAAAGCTGCAGGAAGAAAAGTTTTCAGTGTCATATACCTTAATTACATTCATTTAACTTAACTTTTTCACAGTGCATTTTAGAAAGGCCACAGACTGTAGTTTAGAATGGTTGGCTCTACTTTAATAAAATTTTATCAGAAGAAAATTGAAGATATTCCAGAAAGTTTTATTGGGACTTCTATACATGTTTATGAGTATTTTTACCTGCTGTCTTCTAAACTCTAAAGAAACCTAAATATTTTACAGTTTCCTTCAACTTTCACTATGTGAAATGTTATTTTAATGCAGAGGACCAAAGGATGCTAAAAGTAAATCACTTTGTGTGGCACTCTCTGCCAAGCATAATGGACAGTTTCAATCCAGTTAGTTGGGGGAAGAAAATCAATTTGTTTCCTTTGTTCTCTAATAAATGTATCATTCACTTATAAAAAATCTATTACACTTTTTGGAATTTAATATTTATCAAAATGTAAGCAACATAATAACCTGCCTTTAAATGAGAGACTGAAATGGTTCATGACTACTGTAAGAAAAACAGATTTGACAGAATGTATCTGAAGCCAGCTGAAAGAAGTTCATAAGAGTAGCAACAGAGTCCTTTGATGGACGCACCGGAGTCAACTCTGGCTAAGGAGTTTGGATTTTCATTATGACCGAAGTAGGCGGGTGTCCATCAAGCACACACAGAGCTTGGCTGAACACTTCTAGAGACATTGACATGACTCCTGAAAACATTTCTGAGGCTTCATTGCCAATGGCTACCGAGGAATTGAGATGCCTACATATTTCTTTTGCTATCAAAGGTTCAGCTTGAGCTACTTCCAGGCCATTTAATTGTTCTGTATCAATTTGGTACTTGTAAAGGACATAAAATCACCAGATCCTTAATACTATAAGAAATAAGTACCTACAGCCACAACTGAAGTATCTTATTTAGAATGAGAGGATGGGAGAAAGACTCTGAGCTAAGTTTCCCTCAAGCTCAAGAAAGGAAATTCTTTTATCAATACTGTAAAGCCAGTGATTACATATAACCATCTACTGAATAAATGATAAAGGGATATTTTTTATATTTAACACTTACCATTGTGGTATTTTTTCACTAACTGCATTTATCAAGAAAGAATTCCACAGAGACTGTTTTTAGCTTCTTACAAGTACTTCATACTGTAATATTTATCCTACTCCAGGGACCCATACACGGAAAGGGATTAACTTTAAAATGATATCTCCCCAGAGGGCTGACAAGGCTTTTGATACAAATACCTTGCAGCAAATTAAACTGAAAGTTCTATCTCAATGGAACAGTAATTAAAAATGCAACAGTCCGTAAAAAGTTTATATGGCATGCATATCTCAAATCTTTATAAAATATTTTCCGGCAAAATAAATGTAACCAATCCAGTCCTTGATAATACTCATTCTATTCTATTATTTAAACCAAAGCAGTTAAAATACACATTTAAAAAGGCATGTTGAATCAAGGAAAATAACTCCTAAATCATGGAAATAGGTGCAGAATTTGATAACATTTTTTTCTGAAGATTTCTTTATCAAAAATTGCAAGTTATTTCACAGCTAATGACAATAATAATGCCACAAAGAGGATTAGGTTTAAACTTAATCCGTTTATTTTGAGTCACTGTGAAATAGTAGCATTTAAATACTCTGTCACTGAATCTCAAAATAAATGTATCCTGGGGGGTGTGTGTGTGTGTGTGTGTGTGTGTGTGTGTGTGTGTGTGTGTGTTTGATGTGTTTTTCACATATCAACTGTTTTGAGTTATGCTTTAGGTTGCATAGTTGAAAATAAAAGCCCAAAAAGGTAAAATCAAAAACAAAAGTCACAACCAAAACTATTGAACTTGAAGGGCCTAAAGATGCCGAGAAATACTTTTGACCATTGAGATTTAAAGTGTAATGAAACAGCCATTCAAACTCCGCTCATTTTCACTCCCAAGAAGTCCTTCCTAACAAATTGGTGGATGGCCAATTTCTGGTCACTCTACACGTCCCAACTCTTCTCAACATCTGCAGAAAAAGAATGTGGCCTTTTCTAGTTGGTAATTTTTTTGTATGCATACTTTCAAGTAAATTCATTGTCTCTTCCCTCCTCTACATGAACTTTCTGGAATACTTATGGAAGTCTGTCAAAAAAAACCCTCAGTTTATGCTGTGAAGCCTCATGGTTGATATTGCCCTGAAATTAGGCAATAGCAATGGGTTAACACTCAACACCTACAAATTGTAAGCAGTTCTCAAATTCTCATAGTACTTGAGTTATCTCAACCAATAAGCATTTCTCCAAAAGTCAAAAGTTAAAAAAATTTCTTGGATTAGCCATCTTAAATGTAAAATAAAATTAAAATGAGAATTCGTTGACTCTTGACTCTTAAGTGCAATCCTGATAGTAAAATCATGAGGGGTTTTGTTTGTTTTGTTTTTTCAGCCTTTAAAGGTGTGTGAATTTGGTATTGACTTGAATGAAGGATGTTAGAGCCTGGGATGCTGAGGCAGTAAGTATTTAGAGGAGCAACCCTTATATATAGGAATGAGGGAGGAAAACTACAATAAGCAACACAAAGACTCAAAAATCATCAGATCATCAGAGACTAGAGCCATATATGGAGAAGGATGCAATTCTCTTTCAGTATCTCCAGCTTGCATCAATGTACTGCAGTATACTAAGCAAATTCATGTTAATATTTCCATGTAGATAGTAGCATATATAATATTTTATTTCCAAAACTTATATTTTATGATACAATCCATCCAAAGTGGTTCAAACTGTAAATCACTATTGCTTATAGGGATAACTGTTAGTTACCTGGAAAAGTCTACTACCTAAAGCACTCTTAAAAGAAATGGACCATAATTGCAACAAAACATTTAGAACAGGATTTTAAAGTTCCAATTCAAGCCAAATAAAACGAAAAGTATGGAAATAAACATTCAAGGTGAGAACTCTTTTAATGTATATCCTAGTTTGGTTTGAAAGCATTAAGAGATACTCTGAGAATTTCATTTATCTCTGATGCTTCTGAGTCTGGGTTAGAATAAAGCTGAAATCTGAAGGTTCTTGATCATGTGGAATAATCCCGTTTATGGTGGAGCATAAGTTATTATGAAGAATATCATTAGAGTGAGAGCCATATTAAATAAGAAAAGGTGAAGTTCTAGTTTCTTATTTCTACATTTAAAAACATGATGTTCTCCCAGATTCTGCAACCTGTTTCTGCCCTTTGATCTCCAAATGCCCCTGACTGTCCTACCCCCAGTTTCCATTCTACTCCTGGTAGAGTCCGCGACAACTTTTTAAAGAAACCATCAAATCATGACCCATCACATCCCTAAAGCTCTGCTAATTCAGTTCCCTGACCACAAGGCAGGTTGCTCTTTTCTCTCCTTTATTCATTCTGTCAGGCAGTTAAAATGTGCAACCTAAATTTCCTGGGGGCAACAGAAAATAAAAGTAAAGCAATAATAAATATATATTTTTTAAATGTGATAAGCACCATGAAGTAAACAAAAGAGGGCATTAGGTAGGAATCTCTGAAAATATATTTAAACCAAGAGCCTAACAATGAAAATTTAAAAACCTGCTTTTCCCCCCTTCATTATGCAGTATAGTTGCCTTTCTGAATGGGGAAGCCTGGGACAATCCGTGACTCTTCAGGGGCTGATGTCTCCTAAGTAGTATGTTCTTCTTTCTCAAGGAATTTTGGTCAGAAGCCTTAGCATTCTCTCCTGAGCTAAATCTACGTTTGCCACTAGCACAGTGTCAGGAGAGGCAGATACCAGTGTGTAAAATATCAGTGATTCTCCCCTCTGATTCATTCTTCAGAGGCATTTTATAGGGTGCATAAAACTAGTTACAAAACCCAAGTGCTAATTAGTGACTCCACTCAGCATGTGCCCACCCTTCCCTCTTCTATTACCTGATCAGCCACAGCACGAGCTAATTTGTCCATTCGAGAACCTGCTTCGGCAATTTTCTTGGCAGCATTAATGACATCAGATGTATTTTTCAATGGGCCTTTGCCTCTGAAACAACATATACAACATAATTAGAAATCCACTTAATGACGGGAAAGAGACCAACCTACCATATCCTTTGTCCAGGAGTCTAGTGTTGTATTTTATTTGGCACTGGCCACATTAGTCGAATTTTGAATATTTTCCTGCTTAACTCCAGTTTCTATATTAGTAGTCGTTTTTGGAAATATTTTCCCATATTTTTATGTGCATGTTCACATTTTATCTTTTACATTAAGTTCTATATTTCTAAACAATGGCCAGTTATAAAAGATCATCACAAGAGAAATGAAAATTTTATAGTTGCTTACCGTGTACCAAAAGCTGTTGTACAGACTACCTCATTCTGACTTTATAACAACTCTACAAAGTAGGTATCATCACTCCCATTTAGAAAATAAAATGAGCCCAAAATGATCTAGTAACTTATCCAAGCTTATACAGGTCATAAGTAAAAAATTCAAAATTTTAAGCAGACTCTAGCCAAAATAAATGCATATGCTTTATCTTCCTACTCATGTCCAGCATATTTATATTCTATTATTTAAATTTTAAGTCCAGTTTGGCACTTTGAGAAGCAATTATCTCTTGCACATAACTGGGAACTGTTTGGCCAGAATTTCAGAGTTTTGTTGGCCTGTGGGCTTCCGATACTGATTTATGAAAGAACGTACAAAGCACTGAGTGACAGTAAATGTTTTTGTGCTTCCAAACCATCACCCTAATATTTTCATATAAGGTTTGCAATTAGGTGAAGTGTTTAATATTATATGTCTTTTAAATATTTATTATAAGGGAAATGGAAATTATGCTGCATCATAAATCTTTAAACAAAATATAGCATGTAATAACTTTTCTTTCCCTTATTGTGAGAGGTAAAGAATAAATTATGTTTATCATTTTTAGCATCGTTAATTAACCTGGTCTCTTTATGTGCATAAAAATCAATGTGTTTTTTAAGGCTGTAAGATTACATTCCTGTAGTTAGAAATGTGGTGAGCTGTACAGAAAAACTATTCAGAAGGGATTTATTCAGACCGTGTAGGGTTATACAGAGAGGGCAATGATTGCTATTGTTACATAATAACATTTTATAAAATAGAAGACAAAATGTCTTTCAGTAAACTAATGTAAATGAATGATATTTTGTTCCATTTCTCTACTAACTCACCTTCTTGGATTTTTCTACATTAGTCAGTATAAGTAAAATATACTGGGTTTCTATTAATGTTTAAATACAAAGACAGACACACAACTTAAGGTATTTCATTTTGTTGTAGTGACGTTAACTCTTCCACAAAGTAGTTTGATTTTGCAGTTGCTACTTAGATTTTAAAATGCAGACAGTAATTTCACTTGTGAATTTTATGTAATATGGATGAGTTAAACATTCTGTGACAATCTGTTTGCTATTCCCTAACATATTTTTATTAGCGCAAAATAAATGGTTTTTATTTTTTAAGGAACACTTGGATACAGAATCTGTCAATGTTTAATAATATTCTCATTATTGCATATTTCTTTGTAACTTCTAGACCTTAGAAAATCTATTTTCTGATGTTTACTCTGACACAATATTTGTTGTAACTTCATCTTAACCCATTCAATAAGACTGCATTCTGTTTGATTCTGCATTGCTAACAATTGTGTATTTCAAGAATTTCAAAGGATCTTGGAAAATGCTTCCTCATGAACGTTCCATAATAACTTCCACCAGCTGATTGATTCTGACAAAATGTTCCAAGTTAATGAAGAATGTCTATATAGATCCTGAATCTGCTTGATGCTCAGGCCCCCATATTGTAGACAAAGAATGAAAAGAAGCATGTCTTTTTGATTACACCGGAGACTACAGTTCATAGACTTACTAGTATGTTAGGAAAAAAAAAGTTTGAGACTTTAGAATTCATGTTGTAGACTCAATTCAAATTACTGGAGTCGCAACATGGGTATGAGGGTATATTTCATAAAATTAGAGACCAAAATAGAAGTTCTGAGATCAAATATTTTCTCATTTTCCAGTTGGGGAAGCTGAAATCTAGGGAGGAAGACAAAGTAACATGCCCAAATGACACTGCTACGCACAGAGAGAAACAGGATGGAAGTCTGTGTGTCCTGAATCATAATTTAGTACACTTTTTTTCTAAATATGATTCATTCTTAACAGCTAAAGTAACGTGCTCAGAGAAAAACAAGTAGCCTTAACTACATACATTAATACACACGAAGTTACAAAAAACACTAACTAAATAGATGGCTCAAGAATTCAGAAAGAAGAGGTTGGAAAAAAACTAATAAAATTACAAACAGATATTAATGTGTCAGAAAACAAAACACTAGAAATTATGGATAAATCCTAAAACTAGCTCTAAACCAAAAAGATATAGAAAATATATTTAGAACACTATCAAGAAATAATAGGAGAAAAATATCCAAAAGTAAAAAAGATAAGACAGCAATAACCTTAGAAAACAAAAAAATGTATCACAAAGCTGCTTTCTCAAATATATGTAAGTAAATGTGAAAACAGATGAAATAAGTTTCTAGGAGAATATAAATTATCAAAACAGACCAGAAAGGAGATTCTGAAAAATCAAAACAGTCTGATTTCCATGGAAGAAACAAAGTTGTCAGATAGAACTCATCAAAAAAAAAAAAAAAGAAAGAAAGAAAGAAAAAAGTCATTAAATCCAGGTGGTTTCTTACAGGAGTTAACTAAACCTTTAAAGAGAAGATAATCTCAATGCTATTTAAACTCTTCCAGAATATCAGAAGGAAAGTAATTTCATTCAGTTACATAATATTGATATTCCCAGAAGCAACTAAAACAAAACTATTTAAAGATGCTCACTTAGGTGGTACACACACACAGACAAAAAGAAGAAAAAACCCAAAGAAATGACAGAATTGACATGAGTGCTGGAGTAGGCTTATACATACGAGAATTATTTGTTAGGTTTTTAGGAACTGGGCAAGCCAGTTGAAATGTTGGGAGCTTGAAATCTGCCATAATGGGAATATTTACTTCCTGGACATCAGCAAATGCTACAAAGTTCAGGGCTTTTTCCCCTGTAGACCGTCATCAGATCTTGAAAAAGCTCAAGGTAATAGTTACAACTAGTCGAGAATAAAGGTATTGGGACTTAGAAAAGGTTTATGAAGGTTTCTTGAGCTGGGTGATAGTTGTACAAGTTACTTTAATTAAAGTCGTATACTGACAGGTGCCTCACACCTGTAATCCCAGCACTTTGGGAGGCAGAGGCTGGTAGATCACTTGCCAGGGGCTCAAGACCATCCTATAGTCCCAGCTACTCGGAGGCTGATGTGAGAGGTTTGCTTGAGCCCAGAAGGAGGCGGAAAGTGGCATATTTATTTTTCTGTAGATATGTTCAGTCGTTTAGACGTTAAAATGTATTTACTTTTTCTTGTCAAGCTGATGGTTATTAAAAAAATAATTTTCATTTCTGTTATGACAGAGGAGACTGAGTCTCTTCATCATTTATTGATCATTATTAATGATTTATATATTTTCTCTGAGTTGTCTTTTCAAATCTTTTGCATATGTTTCTATTGACTCTTTCTAAATTGCTTATCTAAGCTCTTCAGATATTTTGGATTCTGATCTTTTGTTATACTGCAAATTACTCCTAGTCTTGGTCTATATGTTAGGTTTCTTTTTTTTACAGTTTTTAAAATATAAATTTTAATTTTATTGTAGTCAAATGTATTCATCATTTACACTACTGTTTGTGCTTTTCATACATTCCTTTAAGAAGCTCTTCCTTATCCCAAGGTAATTGAAAATATCCTTCCATTTTATTCTAAAATTTTAAAGTTTCCTTTTTATATTTAGATATTAAATCCACCTACAGTTTATGCCTTTTGTATAGGGTGAGATAGGAATCACACTCTTTATTTTTCCAACCAGTAACCAATTGTCCCTGGACAATACATTGAAAAGTTAATCCTTTCCCGAACAATTTTATTTTTAAATTTTATTCCCTTTTATCTTTAAATTCTGTATAAGTAAATGTATTACTATAAAATATAAACACAGAATGCAAAAATACCCAGAAAAATAACATGAGAAAAATTGTCAACTACCAAATTCTATTGTCTAAATATTCATAAAAATTTGAACTACTTGGGGTGGGGGGAGTGGGGAGGGATAGCATTAGGAGATATACCTAATGCTAAATGACGAGTTAATGGGTGCAGCACACCAGCATGGCACATGTATACATATGTAACTAATCGGCACATTGTGCACGTGTACCCTAAAAAGTATAAAAATAAATAAACATTAAAAAAAATTTTGAACTACTAAAATGCAGTTAAAGTCATGTGTAAAATAAAGAAAATTATTTGAATCATCTGGGAAATCCTGAATATCTCATATGTGTTCTGAGCATGATGCAACACCCTTCTAAGAAAGTTTCAAGGCCCAGGTTTCTTTAAATGAGCACAAAGTTAGTGACATGACCCAGTTTCCCCACATCATGAACAGAAGAGAAGGGAAATAGAAAAAAAATAGTTGTGCCATTTCTGGAGGTAGGGGACCAAAGTTACTCATTTCCTTTTGCTTACATAACAGATTGTGTGGCTGCCCTTACTGGTAGCTGAAGAATAACTGTGGAATAATAACCATATCTTTAAAAGAGAAGACCTTGAATTTGGCTTATGTAGCAAGGGTAGCATGTTCTTTTAATGCTATCATCGCATAGGTTTCAAGTGGATTCTAAAGCTCCTTCAGACATCCGAGTGCCTATAGCAATTTTAACAGAATTTCTGTAATGATGTTCATTCTATAATTCTGCACTATCCAATATGGAGTCACTAGCCACATGTAATTATAGAACACTTAAAATATGGCTAGTGTGGCTGAGGAACTAAGTTTAATTTTATTTAAGTTTGTCTTCTATTTTTAACTTTTTATTTTGAAATATTACAGATTCTGTGGAAATTCAGAGATATGTATAGAAATGTCCTATTCACTCTTCTCCCAGCCTTTCTCATGTTAATATCTTGTATGACTGCAGTACAATAGCAAAACCAGGAAATTGATACCGGTAAAATCCATAGGGAATATTCATCTTTCACTATTTTTTATGCACTTGTGTAAGTATAGCTTCATGTAACTACTACAATTGAGACACAGAACCGTACTATTACCACAAGTTTCTCTCATACTGTTTATACCATTTAACCCACTCCTAACATATTCCTAATCATGAATCTCTTCTCCACCTCTACAAGTTTGTTATGTCAGGAATGCCATCCAAATGGAATCATACAGTATGAAATATTTGAGATAACTGTTTTTCACTCAGCATAATTATCTAAAGGTTTATCCAAATCATTGCATGCATTTTTATTGCTGAGTAGTAGTCTGTGGCATAGATGTAACATAGTTTGCTTAACCATTTAACCATTTGCCCAATGAAGGACATTTGAGTAGTTTCCAGTGTGGGACTATTACAAATAAACCTGACGTAATTGTTTATGGTATAGGGTTTGGGGTGAATACAAGTTTTTACGTCTCTGGATAAATGTCTGAGAGCAAAATATCTGGGTCCTGTAGTAAATCCCTTTTTAGTTTTTTGAGATTCTTTTTTTTTTTATACTTTAAGTTCTACGCTATGTGTGCAGAATGTACAGGTTACATAGCTTTATATGTGGCATGGTAGTTTGCAGCACCTATCAACCTGTCATCTAGGTTTTAAGCCCCGCATGTGTTAGGTATTTGTCCTAATGCTCTTCCTTCCCTTGCTCCCCAACCCTTGACAGGCCCCAGTGTGTGTTGTTCCCCTCCCTGTGTCCATGTGTTTTCATTGTTCAACTCCTACTTATGAGTGAGAACATGTGGTGTTTTTTTGTTCCTTTGTTAGTTTGCTGAGAATGATGGCTTCCAGCTTCATCCATGTCCCTGCAATTAATATGATCTCATTCTTCTTTATGGCTGGATACTATTCCATGGTGTATATGTGCTAGATTTTCTTTATCCAGTCTATCATTGATGGGCATCTGAGTTGGTTCCAAGTCTATGCTATTGTAAATAGTGCTGCAATAAACATACATATATGCAAGTGTCTTTGTAGTAGAATGATTTATAATCCTTTGGGTGTATGTCCAGTAATGGTATTATTTCTGGTTCTAGATCTTTGAGTAATCACCACACTGTCTTCCACAATGGTTCAACTAATTTACACTCCCACCAACAGTGTAAAAACATTCCTATTTCACCACAGCCTTGCCAGCATCTATTGTTTCCTGACTTTTTAATGATCGCCATTCTGACTGGCATGAGATGGTATCTCATTGTGGTTTTGAATTGCATTTCTCTAATGATCAGTGATGATGAGCTTTTTTTATGTTTGTTGGCCACATAAATGTCTTCTTTTGACAAGTGTCTGTTCATATCCTTTGCCCACTTTTTGAAGGTGGTGTTTTTTTTCTTGTAAATGTGTTTAAGTTTCTTGTAGATTCTGGATATTAGACCCTTGCCAGATGGGTAATTTATAAAAAATTTATCCCATTCTGTAGGTTGCCTGTTCACTCTGATGCTAGTTTCTTTTGCTGTGGAGAAGCTCTTTAGATTAATTCGATCCCATTTGTCAATTTTGGTTTTTGTTACAATTGCTTTTGGTGTTTTAGTCATGAAGTCTTTGCCCACGCCTATGTCCTGAATGGTTGTGCCTAGGTTTTCTTCTAGGGTTTTTGTTTGTTTGTTTGTTTGGTTTTGGGTTTTACATTTAAGTCTTTAGTCCACGTTGAGTTAATTTTTGTATAAGGTGTAAGGAAGGGGTCCAGTTTCAGTTTTCTGCATATGGCTAGCCAGTTTTCCCAGTACCCATTTATTAAATAGGGAATCCTTTCCACATTGCTTGTTTTTGTCTGGTTTGTCAAAGATCAGATGGTTGTCGAGGCCAATATCCCTGATGAACATCGATGCAAAAATCCTCAGTTAAATACTGGCAAACTGAATCCAGCAGCACATCAAAAAGCTTATCCACCATGATCAAGTTGAGTTCATCCCTGGGATGCAAGGTTGGTTCAACACAGGCAAATCAATAAATGTAATTAATCACATAAACAGAACCAGTGACAAAAACCATGATTATCTTAATAGAAGCAGAAAAGGCCTTCGATAAAATTCAACATCACTTCATGTTGAAAACTCTTAACAAACTAGGCATTGATGGAACATACCTCAGAATAGTGAGAGCTATTTATGACAAACCCATACCCAATATCAAACTGAATGGGCAAAAGCTGGAAGTATTCCCTTTGAAAACCGGACACAAGACAAGGATGCCCTTTCTCATCACTCCTATTCAACATAGTATTGGAAGTTCTGGCCAGGGCAATCAGGCAACAAAAAGAAATAAAGTGTATTCAAATAGAAAGAAAAGAAGTCAAATTGTCTCTGTTTGCAGATGACATGATTGTGTACTTAGAAAAACCCCTTGTTGGCCTGGTGCGGTGGCTCAGGCCTGTAATCCCAGCACTTTGAGAGGCCAAGGTGGGCAGATCACGAGGTCAGGAGATCAAGACCATCCTGGCGAACACGGTGAAGCCCCGTCTCTACTAAAAACACACAAAAAAATTAGCCGGGCATGGTGGCGGGCACCTGTAGTCCCAGCTACTCGGGAGGCTGAGGCAGGAGAATGGCATGAACCCGGGAGGTGGAGCTTGCAGTGAGCCGAGATCACGCCACTGCACTCCAGCCTTGGCAACAGAGCGAGACTCCGTCTCAAAAAAAAAAAAAAAAAAAAAAAAAAAAAAAAAAAAAAAAAAAAAAAACAACCTTGTCTCAGCCCAAAAAAACTCCTTAAGTCGATAAGCAACTTCAGTAAAGTCTCAGGATGCAAAATCAATGTGCAAAAATCACAGGCATTCCTACACATCAACAATAGACAAGCAGAGAGCCAAATCATGAGTGAACTTCCATTCACAATTACTACAAAGATAATAAAATAACTAGGAATACAACTTATAAGTAATGTGAAGAACCTCTTCTATGAGAACTACAAACCACTGCTCAAGGAAATAAGAGAGGACACAAACAAATGGAAAAACATTCCATGCTCATGGATAGGAAGAATCAATACTGTGACAATGGCCACACTGCCCAAAGTAATTTATAGATTCAATGCTATTCCCATCAAGCTTCCATTGACTTTCTTCACAGAATTAGAAAAAAACTACTTTAAATTTCATGTGAAACAAAAAAAGCCTGTATAGCCAAGACGATCCTAAGCAAAAAGGACAAAGCTGGAGGCATCATGCTACCTGACTTCAAACTAAACTACAAAGCTACAGTAACCAAAACAGCATGGTACTGGTACCAAAACACACATATACACCAACAGAACATAACAGAGACCTCAGAAATACCACCACAGGTTTTTAGCTTTAAAAAAAACTGTCAAACAGTGTTTCAGTTTTATTTCATCTTAATGAAAATTTTAAAACCCACAGCTTACTTTATTCATACTCAATGGTGAATAATAAAAGCTTTACCTCTAAGACCAGGATCAAAGCAAGGATGCCTGCTCTTGCCACTCCTATTCAACATAGTACCGGAAATCCCAGCCAGTGCAATCAGGCAAGTTAAAGAACTAAAAGGCATTCAAATTGGAAAGGAAGAAGCAAAATTATCTCTGTTAACAGGTGACATGATCTTACATGTAGAAAATGCTTAAGATTCTTTAAAAAAAGTCCTGGTAAAACTAATAATTGAATTCAGGCAAGTTGCAGGATACAAAATGTTTCTAGACACTAGTAAATAAAAAAATCCTAAAAGAAAATGAAGAAAATAACTCCATTTAGAACAGTATCAAAAAAATAAAATGTTTAGGAATAAGCTTAACCATGGAGTCAGAAGACTTGCATGCTGAAAACTACAAAATATTGTTGAAATTACAAAAATAAATGGAAAGTCATTCAATAAATGTGGATTGGAAGACTTAATATTAAGATGTCAATACTACTGAAAGAGATCTACAGATTCACTGTAATCCCTATCAAAACCCAAAGGCATTTTGGCCAAAATTTAAAAATCCATCCTAAAATTCACATGGACTCTCAAGGCAACACAAATAGCCAAAGCAATCTTGAAAAGAACAAAAATTGGAGACCTCACAATTTTTGATTTTAAAACTTACTATAATCAAAATAGTGTCATACTGGCATACAGACAGACATAGAGACCAATGGAATAGAATGGAGTTCAGAAATAGATCCTTATATATATATATAAGGTCAAATGATTTTCCACAAAGGTACTAAGATTTTTGCTAAGATTTGGGTCTTGGAAAAGGGCAGTGTTTTCAATAAATGGTGCTGGTAAAACTGGATTATCTACATGCAAAAGCAGCAGCAGTCCTCATGTTATACCTCATTTAAAAATTAACTAAAAATGGATGAAAGACCTAACCATAAGAACTAAAGTATAAAACTCAAAGAAGAAAACACAGGAGAAAACTTCATGACATTGGATTTGGTAATAATTTCTTGCATATGACACCAAAAGTATAAGCAACAAAAGAAAAAAAAAGATGTTGAACTTCAAGATTAAAAACTTGTGTGTGTCAAAGAACACTATCAACAAATAGTGAAAAAGAAACCAATAAAATGAGAGAAAATAGTAATTCTTTATCAGGAATTTGTAATTCCTGATAAGAAATTAATATCCGGAATATACCAAGGACTCCTACAACTCAACAACAAAAAAGCAAACAAACAACCCAACTAAAAAATGGGCAAAAGACTTGGATAGACATTGTTCCAAAGGAGATATACAATGCCAATAAGCATAGGAAAGTTGTTCAACATAATTAATCATTAGGGAAATACAAATTAAAACCACCATGAGACACCACTTCACATCCATTAGGATGGCTACTATCAAGAAAAAAACAGAAAACAAGTTTTGGCAAGGATGTGGAGAAATTTGACCATTGTGGAAAAATTTGAACACTTGTGTATTGCTGGTGGGAATGTAAAATGGTGCAGCCACTGTGAAAAATAATATTGTGATTCCTCAAACATTTAAAAGAATTACTATATGATCCTGCAATTCCACTTCTGGGTATACACTTAAAAGAAATGAAAGCAGGAACTTACATACTTATACACTCATGTACAGTGCAGCATTATTCATAATAGCCAAAAGGTGGAAGCAACCCAAGTGCTTATTAAGAGATGAGTGGATAAAGAAAATGTGGGTGGTACATGCATTCAATGGAACATTATTAAACCTTTAAAAGGAAACGCATTTGAGTATATGCTACAATATATGCATGAACTTTGAAGACATTATGCTAAATGAAATAAGCCAGTCACAAAAGGACAAATATTGTGTGACTCAACTGATGTGAGATACCTGTATTAGTCAAATTCATAGAAATGGAAGGCAGATGGGGAGTTTACATTCAGTAAGTACAGAGTATCTGTTGAGGAAGATGAACATGTTCTGGAGATGGAGGGTGGTAATGGTTGCACAACAGTGTAAATGTACTGAATGCCATAGAAATGTACACTTACAAAGGATTGAGATGGTAAACTTCATGATGTATACCATAATAGAAAAACAATTTAAGTAGTCATATATGGCTAGTGGCTACTGTATTGGACAGCACAAGTCAAAATGAGCTACAGTCATTTAGATAATGTGAGGTGGGGACTGAAACAAGAAACAAATAGCCAACAGCAAAACAAACAAACAAACAAAAAAACAAAAGAAAAAAAAAATCACATCCATGAAAGCGTCAGAAGTTTGAGTCTTCCTATCCGTGGAAGACAATATCGACAAGAAGACTGGCCACGTTGGTTGTATCTCCCCATTTTAAAATTGCGACCCACAGCCCTTGTGTTTTCCTACCTTAGACCAGATTTTCTATTTTGTGGGTTTGTAAAAGATGCTATGGGTAATCTCATGTTCTTAATGCAGGAGCAATCATATTGTCCCATCTGGAGTATGTTTTTAGTTTCCTTGGAAAGAGCATCAAGTCATATAATTATCTCTACTTATATAGATTCTTGAAACCTTCTCTCTTTAGGACATAGGTAATTCTGATGCAAAGGTCAGTATCTGGAGTCTTTCCCGTGAAGTGGTCACTCCAAAAAAGAAAGTCAAGGAAAAGTATTACCGCATTACTGCTGTCACATCACCATTTATGAACTAATTCACATTTATTTTGTGAGAAGGTAATAAGTACTAAGGTGAAAAATCTATGCCTCAGTATATTCTGAGTTAATATAGTTAATATTCAAAATTCAAATTCTGAGTTAATCCAACGTATTTTTTATGCCTTCTCAATACCTCTAACATGTTAATACCAAATGTGACTCTCCAATGAGATATAGCACATAAAAAGGGTATTTGCAAATGTATCGAACCATAAAAGTCACTTTTCAGAGGCTTCTGAATATGTTTGGGAAATTTTACTAATGAGCTGCATTTCACTAATCAGCTGAAGCAGTATGAAGACAGCACAGTAGAACAGCTGAGTGAATCTGGGGAATTTCGAGAACTCAGGTGGAACTGCAGAATCACAAGTTGAACTATTCCAGGTACTTTTTGGAATAGGTTGTAAGGTCAGATGTTAAACATGTACAAAATTAGGACAGAAGCCTAAAGGTCAAGAAAGGTAGGCCTTGGAGAGCAAACACAAGGATTTTTATTTTGTGAAAACAGGAACTAACGAAACTTTTGGTGCAAAGGAAGCTGGATGGTTGCCCTTCACTGAGCAGATGTGGCCTGGATGAGTAGAGAATTGGAACTGAAAGACCAGTAAAGCGCTCCCTAAGCTGAGGTACTGAGCATGTGAAGTAAGCCAGAAAATCAAGTTTGGGAAATATAGAATGATTATATGATTTTTGAGTCTAGTGCTCAGTATTTTACAGTCAGTTGTACTCTGAAAGTTTTTTTTTCTTAGTCTCAAAACTGTTGAAGATTAGAACTTAAGTTTGATTCTAAAAACAGCTTTGCTCTTTGCTGTACAATTAAACTTGAGCTGTTGCTATCTGCACGCCTTTTGTTATTGGGACACAAGACTAGCAACATGCGATTTCTTTCTGAAAAATGACATGAAAAGAAAAGCATGCATTCACTCCATGCAGGATGGTGCTTCTGCCATTGTCCATGAGATGGAAGTCAAGAACTGAGTGGGAAAAAGACATGAGGCCTAATCAGTTTTATCTTCCATGAAGAAGTTATTACACATATAATGAGGCAGAACCCTCCCAATTTTAATAACAATGGAGTGAATATCATTGAGATTACTGAATCAAATTAATGAATTAGCTAGTGATAAGAATAAAACAACAAGATAATAAATGCCAGGGTATTGTGTACCCACATGCCCTTTACACATACACATTATGGAGAGTGGCCAAGTTTCAATTCCTAATCAGCTACATCCATTCTTTAAATAAGAGAAAATGGTACTTAAGAATGTTTAGAGTTATGGAGCTAAAATTATTCCTCCTTGAAGTGGAATATGCAAGTGGAAGGGCAATAATAACAATGTATAAGGTCAAATATAGTGAACTTAGGTGAGAGGCCACAAAGAAAGGCACTAGTCAGCTGTCTGTTTGCAAAAAAAAAAAAAAAAAAAAACAGGCTGTGCAGATGGAGGCAGCAATGAAGCCTCAACTTCCTGTGTTGCATTTCAAACGCACAGTCTACTCTGGTTCTCCAGTCATTCATTACTATACTCCTCCCTTTGCCCTAACAAAAAGAACACAAAACGACTCATCATGCAGTGGGAAAAATTGTAACTAGTAGCTCCCTAGACATTTCATTATTTAAATCAGCATAATGATATGAAATCCCTATGAAACTGAAGACACCTTCTTCTCACTTTTAAAACTATACTTTGACTAACAGACATGTGTCTTATTTAACACCATGTAACAAGACCCCTCAAATATATCTTTCATAACTGTGCCTTGACCACAGTTATATAATCTAGAGAATTATAAAATGTGCTCCTGATCAAAACTAGTAACATGACCAGAGTCATTATTCACTTTACTGAGATTATTTGTTCAAGTGATGCTATTAATGGACTGGATAATAACCATCAGGTAAAGTACTAATAAAATGTTGAAAGCAAGCAAATTAAGTCATCACAGGCCTTGAGAAACAGTGACTGAGGCTGCCATAATCGTCTGATTTGTAGAAGTTTCAGGCTGAAATAATGGCTCAGACTTTTTTCCTGCTGTTACGCTTTGTGAAATAAATGTGTGAAGTCCACAAAGACTAACCAAATGTACAAATATGAACTTCTAATGAATACAATGACATTTAAAAGTCTCAAAGGGCTCCTTCATAACAGTAAAATCATTCCACTGAAGTAAAAAAAACAATTTTAAAATATTGGGAAAAAGGGCCAAGCTATGTCATTAGTACATATTGGCCAGAGGCAAAGGGGGTGACGCAGAGATGTTCCATATTAAATTATAACTTATAATCAATTCTAGCCTTTTCTCATTAGAAGCATTCAACAACCATTAAAAAAAGTTGTCACCCATCAGATGATGTCTTGACATTCCCATATATCTTACATTATTTCAATAACAAATGCCACGTTAAATCATTAAAACATCTTTGCATATGTGTGTTTTCCAGAAAAAAAAACACTACAGTAAAACCATAGTTTATATCTGTATAACAGCATAATTTATACTTGCATTATCTCTTTGGATTTTAAAACTCTCTTCTGAAGTTGATAAGACAAGTGTTATTTCACCATTTCGCAAATAGAGAGTAAGAGACTTGCCCCCAAATCACCTGATATTCTGACTCAAAATTCAGGGAGGTTCCTACTGAGTTTTGCTCTCCCTTGGTTTGTCCTTTGTGTTGAAAGGGCAGAGATATCATCTTCTTTTAAAGAAGAGACCAAAATGCAATGATAGAAAAGAGCACTAACCCTTGTTGAAGAAAAGTCTCCTGACAAAATTCTGACTGGTCACTTGATTTGTCAAAGGTACTAGCTCAGAGCTAAAGGAAATAAATCTTATACAACTTTAATTTCTCTGTGAAAACAATGGAATCTTAGATTGTTGTATCTGATTCTTAATATGTAAGAATAAAATGTGAGCTTAAATTAATGCTAGATCACAAGCTAATATTACAACATACTATATGTATACATGCGCGCGCGCGCACACACACACACACACACACACACACACACACACACACACACACAGAGGTACATATTTTTCCAAAGGTATATTAACAAATCATTCACTTTATCTTCAGAATAATACTTAAGCATATTGCAAAATAGCACAGACCAAAGATGAGTCACCCGTCCCTCGGGGTTTGATTTTATGACTGCCTTAGGGTAGATAATTATAACAACAATAATTACAACATTGAATCTATTCTCCTTGACCAAAAAGATATACCTATCTGCTAGGAATTAAGTGCAGATCATTTTGACTTATACATGTAAATTTATAATACCACCACCTTGCGTTGGTATATTTTAATTTTTCAGCAGGCTTTCACATGCTAATACACACTGCTACACTTCTGGGTTTAATGAAAAAATCTTCAGCTCCCTGGCTCTGGGCCTCACCTTGTGAAGTCTGTCATTTCCATCATGATCATACACATCTGCTTGGCCAGTACAATGATATCATTGCCGCTGTCGTCCCATTTGGCCACTTCTGCATCCAGCTTGCTTTTCTCTTGATGGAATATCTCCACCTGCTCAGCTATTTTTGCCTTCTCCTCCTGCGGTAGTTGCGCCATGATGGCCTGCGTGGGTTACAGAAAAAGCGTGAGTGACGGTGACAAAGGAAGTACAGACCGTATGTTGACTCTGCCTTCTGCGGATGGCAGAGCCAGACCCTGCAAAGGCTTATGAGCTACCCTGCCATTCCGGAAAGCACGTCTTTCTCCATTCCAGGGAGGCCACGAGCACAGGCTGATAAGCTCCCCAAAGTCCCCGTCCCACTCCCATATATGAAAAATACAGAGATATCCAAAGCTACGTGCGCACTGGCAATAACAGAACTTCTCTGCCGCTTTGATGGCATATGTTTGTTCAAAAGAAGCTATTCTTGACAATTTTTATATTTGGTCTCAGGAAACTTTTACCAGATGAAAGAATGCACCTCTTTCAACACTGAAATCTGTTCAGAGAAGGGAAAAAAAGAAAAACGGCCTTCTGTCGCTGGAAAGGATAGGAATTTTAAACACTATCTGAGCATCCAAGTGGGGGAGGATGGGGCTACTTTCTATGAGTGTAAGTGAAGGTGTCTACAGAGAGATGCCCAACAAAAATCCCCTGCCCAGGGCACTCCAGGGACGGTGTGCCTACTCTCAGCCCTCCCCCATCTCCTTTAGGGTGGTGGCATGCCTGCGGCTCCTTGTTAAAGCCTTTGAGTACGTAGGCAGAAAAGTTATAATGGGATAAAGGATAAAATTAGGAAGCATGGGTTCATTTTCAATAACTGCTAGGTAAGAAAATGTAGAAAAAGGAGAACTGCAGTCTTCTTATTCATGGATTCTTCATTTGCCAATTTGCCTACTCTCTAAAATATACTTGTAACCCCAAAATCAAGGCTTGTAGCATTTTCGTGGTCATTTGCAAATGTGGGCAGAGCAGCAAAAAAATTGAGTTGCGTGACATGCACATTCCCAGATGAGGTTGAACAAGGCAATGCTCTGCCTTCCTTTTTCAGCTCTCGTACTGTAAACAAGTGTACTTTTTGCAGTCTATTTAATGCTACATTTTTCATATCTTTGTGCTTTTTGTTAGTAACTTTGCTGTTTAAAATGGCTCCAAGCATGGTGCTGAAGTGCGTCTAGTGTCCCCGAGCACGAGAAGGCGGGCATGTGCCTTATGGAGAAAACACATGTGTTAGTTAAGCTTCAATCAGGCATGAGTTACAGAGTTATTGGCTGTGAGTTCAATGTTAATGAATCAAAAATATAAAGTGTCTAAACAGAAACACCCATTAAACATAGTTACTTATTGATCAGTTGAAGAAAATGTCTTGACTGGCAGCTCTGAGGAATCTACTGCTGTATTTCCCCTAGGACCAATGATTAAATATTTGCTAATTAAATGTTCATGATGACTTTATAGAACATAACTATCAGGAGTAATGAGAATCAACTATATTTGTTAAACACCATTTAGGTAGCAAGCCCCGAATGAAATGTCTGTCATCACCGTATCACATCCTCCCAAAACTGTATGCAACCTGCTTCACAGACAGGGGAATGTGAATAGGTACTTCCAATTCCCCTGCTTCTAGGATGCACATATTTTCCATAAGACAGACCAAGAGGGTACAGTTTGGGGGACTGCAGTTTCTGCAATGAACAAGTAAAATAACACAAGAAAAATGCTTCCTAAATTATAAATCTTCTCCCTGTGTGAGTGAATAAATTTGGAAGGACTATAACTAAGGTCTAATAGAGGTATCAGGCAATGTGAGCTCAGAAGAACTGGGTTCAACAGGGGCTCTGTAGCTGACATGGGTTAAGACTTCACTGTTACATGGATCTATCGTTGATCTCTTCAGATAGAATATGGGCATAGTAAATAATTACCTCAAAAGGTGATGGTGGGCAGCAAATTAAATAATATGTGTTTTTTCAAATAAAATGAAAGTAAGCATGTATAGAATTATCATTAACATTATATTATAACTGCTGCCATTAATTTGCCTTTCCAACTACCCCTCTGGCTCATTTCTTAGTTGCTATAGGGAAAGGGATGGGCTCGGGGTCTATGCAACTATCTACAAATAGAAGATTGTTATGATTCCTTATGTATATCCACAAGTACTGGGTACTGTGCTGAGGCTTATGTATGTCAAATAACAATCTACTTAATCATTCTGATACTATTACTATCCCCATTTTAATAATAATATCTAGGCCTAGAGAAATTCATAGAATTCCTAATATCACACAATAGGCTCTAGGAATAGGATTCAAACCCACCTGAACTAAGATCATTCTTAACCACTCTACACAACTGGATCATCAGTTGTGCCTGGCCATGCAACTTACCCACTGTCCTGGGGTCCTCAACCAAGTGGGGCAAGGGTCACTGATATCACTAGCACTGCTCGCCACACTGTGCATCCTGGTGGATGCCATAGACATGAGTTGCCTATGGTGTCTGATTTGACTAAAGGTATCCTTGAACCCGTGGCTGCCCAGATGCTTCTTACTAGTAGCCACATCTACTGACTTCCATGGATACATGTATGTGGCTTTAAATAGCATGTGTATGTATGTTTGGATATGCGTGTGTACGTGTAAATTTTAATCCATATTTAAAAATCCAGACTTGTATGAATACTATTAAGATATCTAAAATACTATATCTTGAAAGATAAAGTAGCTTTAAAAACTGTATTTGAAAAGGTGCTTGATATACAAGAGTTTATTGTAAGCTCACATTTGCAATGTTGTGTTCATAGCAAGACAGCTATTCCACTATATTTGAGATATGTTTGATTTACAGAAATTATATATGCACTTTTTTCCTTAACTATTCCTTTCTGATGACCTATTGCTGTTTTTGGTTTATTGTCCTCCTCATACAGAAGAGCGAATCATGCTTTACTTAGACCTCACAGGTCCTAAACCAGCATCATTTAAAACATTCGCTAGGTGCTTCTCTGAAAAAGAATCCGTAAAACTACCAGCAGACTCCCAGACTCAATGTTCAATCCCCAGATGAAAAGCAATGCACATTTCATTGTCCCAACACAAGGTTAATTTGTGCACTGAAAAGTGTATACTTCTCTGTCAACTATAGCACTTGCATCTCCATAATACAATTTAGCACTTGAATATTAACTGCTTTGCTTTGCTCTCTAATTAATTCCTATTAATGCCCTACTGCTAACTTCTTTATATGCTTCCCTAGGGTTTAGGCTGCCATATCCTGCCCAGAGTAGAAGCTTAATAAACATCTTTTGACTGCTTAAACATTTTTCCACTCACTGCATTAACATAACTCAAGAGAAGTTGCCAGAACGGACACACACATTCTAAGGACACAATTCTGAAGAAAAACTATCCCCTCCAATGCAAGTTTGCAAAGGAAGATATTATTTTGACTCTAGGGGTGCTCGACCTGCATAATACACTTAATGGTGTGTGACTTGGGTGAAAGCATCTTTCCATTTGCTTCTGCTTATGTAGCTATCAATGAGCTGAAGTCTCTTCCTAAATATTCTTAAAATGCTCTTGCTTTTAAAAATTCATAATTGACCTTTTCTGAAACTGGAATTTAAAAAAAGGTTATCTATAAACAGTAGATCACAAACTGTGAAATTTGCAAGTTAATCAAATTAGAATTCAACACATGAGTTTTAATTAGGTCTTATCAATGTAACTCAGCAGTTTGAAATGTTAACACATTAAGGCCATTCTAGCTAGAAAAAAATAGAAGCCAGCTACATTGAAATCAAACTCAATATAAAATACATAACATGCAATTGTTCATTCCCTCAAACTAAGGGAACATGAGAAAAATTATCTTCATGGCCAAGAGGAAAGGGAACATATCAGATTTTGTTTGTATGATATGATTACCCAGGACAGGTTGAAGTTTCTGCTTTTCACAGTAGCAAAGCACAGCTCTCCAAATTGTTGATCTGCCTGATGTGGGGTTCCAAATTAGTGGTATCAGAGATATTAATCCAAAAGGATTCCTTCCCCCTACCCCAGAGTCCCTCCCAGCCTTTCCTCTGAACCACCAACCATTTTTCGGTGATTGTTATAAACTATACCTATTACACTAAAAGTGAAAATCACTGATAAAAGGAAACAACCATTCAGATAGCACTGAATCCATTCTTCAATTTAAATCTCAAGGAGATTTTGATATAATTATCTTCCAATTTCCAGAGAAAAAAATGATTTTTAACGTCTATGGGTCCCCAAACTGACAAGTGTTCATTTCTTAGCCTAGAGCAAGAGGCTAACATTAAGTTTCAAGTACAAGAATGTTTATAAATAACAATTAAAGGGACTAAAACTCAATGTGCCTGTTTCTACTTACTTGACTTTAAAGCAGTATAATAAGTAGTTAAGGAGTGGGTCCTTTGATTCTTACCAGTCTCTAGCTGTGAAGTGAATTGGAAAATTGAGGTAGTTGTCCCATTAACTCAAGTAAAAACTCTCATGATTGCCTGAATGATCCAACTCTTTTAGGTGAAATTATTTAGTCAGCCTTCTAATGAATGATTAGCTCAAGCCACAAGCATCATCACCATTACCACCAACTTAATTATTACATATTTATATGATAAATCCTGTGATACATTTTATCATGGAATTCTCCCTACGACCTTATGTGGTAGCATACGAGGAGATGAAGTGTGGAGAGGTTAAGAAAGTTGCCCCAAAGTCACACAGCTTCACTAAGTCCATATTTAAAATCAGGTCTGTGTGACTCCAAATAATATATTGTATCACCAAGGTTAAGTGCCTAGCAATTGTCACTAACCTATTTTAACTATGCCAGACTGTGGAGAAACAGTTTATATTATGTCATGTCTAGGATCAAAGGGTAAGATCACCTCCATATTTTATCAGATCACCACCATCCATATTGATTCCCATTCATTCCCCCCTCCTAAACCGCCCCCCGCCCCCTATCTCCTCTCCCTCAGAATGTTGTAGGCAAGCAGCAGATATGGGCATATAAAGGACATTTTTGAAATACTTTAATTCCAGAATTTGAGAGCAATGTTGGATGGGGTTACTAAAAGCTTATCTCCCACTCAAACCTTCTTATAGATTAATTTACCATTTTTAGAAAGGGAGACTTTCTCTAAATGTGAACACAAAGTAATATCATTAACATGGGAGGACTTGCTGCAGGGAAGAGCAAATGCCTCTGTCAAAGACAAAGTTCGCCTCCTTCAAAATTTGGACCAACTTAGCACACTTTGCTGGTCAAAAGTCTGACCATCTATCATTTCAGCAATTCAATGCACCCTCTTATTTCCAACTTAACAGCCATAATTCCATGTCTCTGATTTGTCATCATATAATTACAGGCTAAAATAGGCTGACTCAGTAAGTAATGCTGTCTGCTGCAACTTAATCGTACAGACCACATGATAGACCTCAAAGTCAAATGAGCAAGTGCTGAATTTGTAGGAGTGCTCTGTTCTTACTATCTTGGACCCTGTTTATAATTCATGCTGAAAAAAACTCTCAGAAAAGACACTAGTGTGAAGAAATAATAGATGATAAAGACAGGAGTCTCCAAATTGTATTTCCACCCATCATCATTGACTTGAAGTCTAATGTAAATGAGACTAGAATTAGGTTCCCAATGAAACAGAAGTATATTGCGACTCTATTCTTCCTTGTAAAAGTGGGACTGTTCATGCCATTTTGACAAGATGGTGCTTATAAAGCAAGATGAGTTGTACAACCTGTCTTTGTCTTTAAGAAAACTAGTCAGTGGATACTAGGCTGTATGTATACTGAGTTGCAGTTAGTCAATTAAATTGACTTTGAATTGCTTCATGTTTGGATGAATTACTCAAAATTGCCCTTTGTCAGTGACATAACAATGCTGGTTTTACTTAATTCTGAAGATGAATTGACTGTTTAATTCATCTGACGTTTTGCCAACACAGAGTCAAAAGATTTTCAAGTTACTGACCTTTCCAATTTTCAACATTTTAGGGGGGATTAAATAGAGTCTGCAAGGAATTTTTGAAATAGGGGGCTCTATGCCAACTTTTCTGTTGTCCCACCATCATGTGATCGGAAAGGATTTCTCTTAGAAAGGATGATAATTATCACGGTCATCTTTATCGAGCACTTACTGAATGTCTAATATTGTGCCTATTATTTTACAAATATTAAGTAATTAAATCTTCATAAGAATCCTATCAGGTAACCCTGTTATTCGCATTTTAGAGAGAGGTCTGAAACTGAAAAATCAAGCAACATGTAGCTTTGAGCATGGTTCTAATGCTGCCCTTTATAATTCAAAACCAAATCTGTCTGAAATCAAAGGCTTTGTCTTTAATATTCTTTAACCTTCACATCCCTCCTATTAATGTTTGTTTATATCTTTTGGGTCACTTGATTGTTGAGTGAGAATATCAGGGCATAAAGCACATAAGAGAAACTGGGTTTTAGACACAAAGTCTTTCTTGACTAAACATCTCCCTCAAGTCCTCTTTATTTTAACCTCTGATTATTTTTCTTTCATAATTCTTAAGGCAGTGTGGGCTTTCTGGCGTTTCCCAATTTCTATTTTAAATTACCTTCTCTTTCTCAACCTCTTGCTTTCTATTCATTATCTTTTATTTAAATAAAACTTAACAAAGAAAATTAGAATATCTAATTCTCAGTTATACTATAATCTGATTGTTTTTACTCTTTGGAAACTGAGCCCTTAAGGGGAGGAAAATTTCATCGTCCTATGCAGTCTCTAAAGATTTCATCTCTTACCACCGGCCTTGATTACGTACACCTACTCTCTGGGTGATACAGCAAATCAGATTGATCCAAATTTAGGATGCTCTTTAGACCAAATGCATTGGTGAACAGTATCATGGAGTACTCAAATGTCAGGCAGAGCTGGTACTCTCTCTGTTGCTTCCTGATCCTTGCCTTAAACTTGAATATTTCTAATTTGTCTCTATTTTTCTATCATATGGCAGACAGATCTAGGAATACCACCATGGGAGTAGACAGGCATCATGAGGAAAGAAAAAGTTCTCTATCTAATGGCCTTGAACCAATTTCAAAAGATACGGTCTTAGATATCATAGAACATAGGCCATTGTATGGAGCAACAGCCCAGCTATAAACAAAGTAGTGCCCTGATTCCTCATTTGTCATTGCCTCTTGTGTTGACAAGCTTGGAGACTTCAGGAAGAACAATGGTGACTGTGCCAATGCAAAATTTGAGTATTCCAGTGTCCCCTATCAGTCTATCATCTAATTCTAGTACCCAAACCCAACAAAATCAATTATACACATAAAAGCTTGCTGTGATGTGGTTGCTATGTTTCCAGTGATAGCAAAAGAGAGGAGTTAGAGGAATCAGGAGCAGTGGTGGTTATTTTCACTGTGTAAAATGTGATTTGCTATAAACAACCTCAGATGAGAGCACAGATTTCTGACCCATGAATCTCTGGGGTACCACGTGTCTGGAGTTTAGAAATACCCTCAAACCATTTTAGTAAACACGGTCCCTGTGTGCCAAGCCAAAGTCTTAGGTGTCCACTCACCCGTGCGCTCTGCCCTGCAATGAGCTGGTCATCCTCAGTCTGAACACTTGTCCTGCTACGCACATCATAATCTTCCTGCTCAAAGTCAGAATCATCCTCTAGTTCTTCTGGGGTCTAAAGACAAAAAGATATAAGTCAGCATACTTAAATTGATAATCTTCACCCCCATCCACACACTTCATTGCAAAGGCTAAATATCCCCCAGCAAACAGAGCTTATAGCATCCTACATAGCACCCACACAGCTATGTGGGTGAGTATTAGCCGGAATGCAGTCAGAAAAATCAAGCTGCCCTAATTTACTTTAAAAAATATATTTTATTTATTATTTCCTCATACAGGTATAGTAAGTCTAACTTGCAGTGATATGCTAATTTTAAGAAAAATGATATCTGTGTATTATTTCCACCCATCCAAATCTATTGAAAGAAAAGATCCATCAACAACAAAATTTACACCTATACTTCTATAATGCCACTTTTGCTCTATAAACAAAAAAGTTGATTATCTCCAGGCCAAAGGCTAGACCTGATGGAATATCTGATTTGGTCACAAAGCCATAAGGTATAACGGTTATAAGCACAGGCTCTAGAGTCAAGACTGCCTGAATATGAGCCCCTATGTGCTCATAAATAAACTATCTTACCTCTCTTAGTTTGACTTCCTCTGTAAATTGAGGTTGATAATAGTAGCTACCTCTATGATTGCTGTGAAGATTAGGCAATGTATTATCTGTATAGTATCAGACACAGAGTAGGTATTTTTTAAATGTTTGTCATCATTATTACTTAGGGTTTGTTGTTTTGAGACAGGGTCTCACTGTGTAGCCCAGGCTGGAGTGCAGCAGTGGGATCTTGGCTCACTATAACTTCCACCTCCCAGGTTCAAGTTATTCTTGTACCTCAGCCACCCAAGTAGCTGGGATTACAGGTGTACACCATCATGCTTGGCTAATTTTTGTATTTTTTAGTAGAGACAAGGTTTCACCACGTTGGCCAGGCTGGTCTGGAACTCCTGGCCTGAAGTGATCTGCCCGCATTGGCCTCCCAAATTGCTAGGATTACAAGCATGAGTCACTGTGCCTGGCCCATCATTATTATTAGGATTTTTAAATCAATTCATTCAACAAAGTTTATGAAATGAAGCTACTGATTACCACATACCCATAAAGGATTAAATAACTTTTACATATGTATTATCAATTTAGCTCAGATGAGCACAGTGACATTAGGGATCATTCTCTATTTAGAGGTAAGTAATACAAGGTGCAAAGAAGTTAAGCCATTTGCCCCATATCCCTAAATTAGTTAATAAAGAACCAGAAGTTAGATCTAAACACCCAGGTGTGTCTGACTCCAAACATACTTCTCATTATTAGTTTTTGTTGTAGTTTATTCACGTTACAAATTTAGCAAGAACTGAAGTTATAAAATTGCTTAAAAAGAGTAGAGTTAGATCAAGATCCTTTCCAATCTATAAAGTCAGTGATAAGGAAAAGATAAGAAAGAATCCATAAGCCCAGGAACAAAACACCTTTCCATCTTCAATGGCAATAATAATAGATAACTGTGCATTAAGTGCTTACCATGTATGTGTCTGTCAACGTTTTTTCTAAGTGCTTTACAGGCACTAACTCACGCAGGTTTCTTAACACTCGTATGATGTAGACATTATTTTCTCCATTTTCCAGGTAGGAAAACTGAGGCATGAGACGTTATAGCTTGCTCTAAGGCTTTGCTAACTCTATGAGGTTAAATTCGAACGGTAGTAAGGATGGTGCACAAAAGTGAGTGAGTGAATCAGTGTGAGATTAGCCTGACAGGTGATGGTCTTCCACAGACTGCCTCTTGGCATACAGTAGGACCACATTCCAGGGCTTTGTCTTTCAAAAGAAAAGAGCAGACCACAAGGAATACCGATGATGTAGTTGCCCATTCCCCATCCAAAAGGGCACATTTTTATTCTGCTGGTTTCTTTGGCTACCACAGTGTAATTAATCAGGTGTGGTTATTGATGAAGGCTTGAGATTGGTCAGACAGGCATAAAATGGGGTCCTTCGTGCCAATAGCACGTTATGCCTAGTAATTTTCCAAGCTTTGGCATATCACTCTTGTTTTTCCTTCTCTCTCACCATCAACCTTATTAACATTCACTCAGTCATCTACAGATGTTTACTTTCATAGGAATATTAAAATAAGGAGAGAAGAAAGAGGTTTTGTTCTCATATTTTATTAACTAAAGCAGGGCTACAGTAGGCAGAGCCCAGTTCAAGTAACTGGTTGTATTTTTATTGTGGACAGAGACAATATTCTCTGATCATTTCTCCCTCTTTTGCAGTGTACTGTGGGACAATTATAGCAAGTTGGTAAATTCAGCTGACAGATGAGATGACAAGATTACAAGCGCTTTTTGTCATAAGTTCTTGAAAGAGAAAAAGTAAATCGAAAAATCTCATTCAACAAAAATAAGCAGAATATGACAGTTCTTATAGTACTGTGCCCAAACATTTCAGTGATCTGTGCATTCAGTAGATGAGTCAATGACAAACCCAACCTGGCAGCATAAGGCTAATAATGATGAGTTTTTATTCAAGAGACAATGGCCCAAGAACCAAAATAAAGAAAAACATTAAAATCAAAAGAGGTATTAACCTGGACGAGGACTCAGGGGACCTGCATGTTTTGACCTAACTCTGCCATTCACAAGCTATATGTCTTTGGCAAGTCACTTAGTTTCACTACTTCTGTGTCTCCCTGCTCATAAAACGGAGATTATAATTGCTATATGCACTTTCTGCCCCACAGGACTCCTAAGCTTAGATGTATAGGAAAATGCTTTAGGAACCATAAAAATTAACTAAATTCATAAATGATGGTGATAATTACTGTGCTTAATAATAAAATATAACACCTAATAACAACAACAGCAATAATAATGGCAATCATTGTTTACCACCCACTATGGGACAGGCATTCAGCTAAAGAATTTGATCCTTACAAAAACCTAATGAAATAAATGTAATCACCATTTTATAGGTGTGTGAACAGGCTCAGAACTGTTGAGTATATTTTCCAAAGCATCACACCTAGCAAGTGATGGAGGCGGGCAACAAGTTGACGGTTTCAGAGCCCATGATTTTAACCATCACAAATACCACCAGGCAAATAGATGAGCTTAAGCTATTTACATGTACCTTAAACACGCAACAAACCCATCCAGCCCATCCATATAAAAAGTTCTGTGCATGTGCAGTTTGCTAATTGCATGTGAGTGTGTCTCCTACTCGTGGCATTCTTTTTTGAATTACACATTTTTAAAACTATGAGTGCTATTTTTTAGTTGGTCAAAGACCTCCATGAATTAAAGGAAACATGGAAAATTACAGAGGGTCTGCAAATGGGCCCAGGAAGATTACGCTTCTATCATTAGATAGTGTTACAGGGTAAAGGAATAAATAAAATAAACAGTTCGCTGTACTGGAGGATAGAGACTGAGGGTGAAAGTTCTATGTGCTCTTTGGGAAGGCTTTTTTCAATAAACAGAAACTATTTAAAGTCTACTCCTAGTTTCGTGGTTCCACTATTTTATGTTTTGTTATGGAAGTGGGTCATATCTGTAAAATGGCACCAAGTATTCAGACTCCAGATTCTCTCCTAAAAGTCTATGAGATTAACTTGTGCCCATTACAGGGGCCCAGGGAGATCATGTGGCTTGACCAGGGTCATACCACATGTCAGTTGCAAAACAGGACCCGTTCACCTGCTGCTGGTGCTCTATTCCTCTGCAACAGCCTCTATAGAGAAACAAAGTGAGAAAGTATTGAAGGATTCAGTCATTTCACCTGGACATGTGAGTTGTTGAGTAAATTTTACAAATGAGTCCCGGTGAAATGACTCTGAATCCTTCAGTATTTTCTCATTTTTCATAAAATGTAATAAGAACCATTGAAAGAAACGGCCCAAATGTGTATGAGAATTTCACTGGGAGAAGGCTGAGAATATAGGTTGGCAGGAGAGCTTGAGAGATGCATGAGGTAGGATTTCCCAACAGAGCTCAACACCACTGGAATGGGCTGCAGACTAGAAAATCAAATTAGAGATCCAAAGGTAAAAACAAAACAACAACAACAACAAAATGAAAAAACTCCCTAGTCAGGAGTGATTGGCGACCAGCAAGTCTGGCCTGGCCTGGATTATTCTGGAGGTTCCTAACTGATCTTGCTTCTGCTCTTGCCCCATACATTCTGTTCTCACCAGCATGGCCATGGTGGTCCTTTTAAGGTCTAAGTCAGATCACACTATTCCCCTGCTCAGAACCCTCCAGTGGCTCCCAACTCATTCAATAAGGTCCTTAGGTCTCTAGGTCAAGTTCCTGGCTCCAACCTTTGCACTTGACATTTCCTCCGCCGGAAACATGCTCCACCTGAGTACCGTTAGGGCTTATTTCTTCTTCCTTCTCCCAGTATCTTCTCAAATGCCACCCAGGTACCTCCTTTCATGAGATCCATGCCCACCAGAAGCTCTATCCCCTTTAGGATACTTTGGTTTTCTCTGTGGCATAATGTTTGACATTATATTTCCTTGTTTATTCTCTGTCTCCTACCAGAGGAATAGAAATCCTGTGAGGGTAGAGACTTTTGTCTGCTTTGTTCATCCTGTATTCAGGGCAACTCCAAAAGTTTGGACATCTAATAAGCTTTCAGCAAATAAATGAATAACCAAGACAGAATTACCAATTTTTAATCATACTGAACTATTTCTAATTAATAAAACTAGACACCTTAAGAGGCCACGTTGATTAACATATTTCATACAGAATTCAAGAGATGTCTATGTGCTACCCTTGAAATTTTAAAATATCTGGCAATGCTCCAGGGCACCTTGATACACAGTTTGGGAGACGTGAAGTTAAACTGTAACCTCCGCCTCCCAGGTTCAAGCAATTCTCCTCCCACAGCCTCCCAAGTAGCTAGGATTACAGATGCACGCCAACATGCCTGGCTGATTTTTGTATTTTTTTTTTTTTTTTTTTTTCAGTAGAGACAGGGTTTCACCATGTTGGCCAGGCTGGTCTTAAACTCCCGACCTCAGGTGATCCACCTGCCTCGGCTCCCCCAAAAAACAATACATATTAAAGAAGGTGTCTTTGAACACAAACTCACATAAAACAAGGTTAAGTATTGATCAGTTGATAAAAGTGTGGCCAGAAGCTCACAGTAACCTAACCCTGTATTTCTCCTAGAAGCAATGATTCAAGATTCACAAATTTCGTGTTCACAGTGAATTTGTAGAACACTAACTACTGTAAGAAATGAAAAATGACTATATGTTGGTCTGCCAGATTTGCATATATATTTTTAAGCCACTTTGTGGGGATAATCAGAAAATTCCTATGTGCCTAACAGATCCCAATGGACAAGCCTCAGGAAGAAGCAAAAAAAAAAAAAATGGTTTCATGGAAGAGGGGTAGATTGCTCCAACAGAAAAGGGAGGTCCTGACAGCTGAGGCTGGAATACAGTAAGAACAAGCTTTGTCTACTTCAGAGGGTTGCCTGGAGCTGGCCTCAAGCACTTGGATACCAACATCACCATTAAATATGTATTGACTGCCAAGAGACAAGATGATAAAGAATTTGACCCTTCAGGATCCTTTCTGTATTGTTTTTGGGAAAAGAAAAATCTTTCTTTGCAGCCTTTGGGAGGGAAGGAGGTATGGTCAAATGTTTTGGGAAAGAAACAATTCTACTTGTCTTATTGTTTATCTTCCTTAGCACAAGGGATTTTTTAAAGTAGACTCAATCATTACATTCAGAAAGAAAACCAAGAAATTATTTAAGTGCAAAATGAAGCCATTTGGGTGCTGAATGGAGAAGGATTTTAAAAATAACAATTTGTACATACTGTACATTTCTCTCCTCCTAAATTTTAAGTGGTGTGAAATCCGTCTAATCAAACTACTTGAAATGTCGAGATAGAGAAATGACACTTTATGTGACAAAGATACGACATTTTATCTAAAATTGTGTGTGTGTATGTGTGTGTGTGTGTTACAGCTCATGAATTAGTAAGTGAATGATGGCTATAAACTTTCTCATCCTCCTAGGTGAATGGTTGTGACAAACATGTGAAGGCCAGCAAAGCAGAAAAATGGCAAAAGAGGGAATATATCTTGAGGATTACAGTGGGATTTAGTACCAAATGCTTTGAAAATACAATTCTCATGGTCTATTACTTTATTTCACAAGTTAGTACAAAAATGATCTAATTTCTTATGGGCCTAAAAGGCTGACTATCTTTCCTTGCCCTCTCTTCCAATTCTTATATCTCTTTTCTCTGTCCCCCTCCCATATTTCTAGGCATCTCTCTCCCTCTCTTACACACACATACACGCACACACACCCAGAAAGAAAGAGAGAGAAAGATTTAGGCTCCGTGCCAAACAAAACACCATAGTGTGCCACAAAATGATATTTTGGATACATTTGGTTAAATAAATTTTTAAAATTATAATTAATTTCATCTTTTTGCTTTTGTAGTGTGTTTACTAGAATATTTTAAGTTACAAGTGTGGATACCATTCTACTGGACAGCATGCTTTTGGGATTAGAACTGCAGAAGCCCCACCTCTGCTTCAAATATAATAGCAATAAATGTGCTTTTGCATATGCAGTATATTTGAAGAAATAAAGATTATTATGTGGCTAATAAATATGTTTGGACATTACTATGCTAAACTGTTGGTAAGATAAGGAGAAAAAAGTCATCTTATAATGGATTATACAGCAGTTAAATAAAATGAGGTTAGCTAGATGTCTTAACAGACATATGTGAATGTGCCTTGTGGGTGAACAAAAAGTTGCAAATGATGCTGTATGAGTTTTTAAATCAACTACAATATATATTTTCTAGGCCTGTGAATATATATATTAATTATTTAGACAACATTTTGGAAGACACACCTACCTAACAACAGAAGTCTGAAGATGGGAAGATAGTGGAGTGGGTAATAAGAGGTTTGATGTTAGGCTATCCAGCCTTATTTATAATGTCTGAATTATTTTTATACAAAGAGAATGTAATTATGTATCACTTCATAGTTGCATGATAATAACTGTTACTATTATGTGTTATTATAAACACTACTATGCTGTGTAATCTTCATTTCTTTCCAGCCCATGGTCTTCAGATCCTGATGGGAAGAGTGTTAGCAAGAGATACAAATGGAAAATAGCAGGGGTATGCCTAAAGGTTGTATGAAACTGAGGAAGTAATGCATGCAACAAGTAGGCAGGGTGTTGCCCTTCAGAATATTCAGTGCTCACTTGAGCTTGTTGATATTACTCATCCCTTCATAAGTATAAAGCTCACCTTGTCTGACTAATAAGGAGCCAAACAGCTTACCAAGTTAAACTCAGTAATTACAAAATAAATAATAAATAAGACAGTTAGCTCTTTAGTTTCCTACTAGGAGATCTGACCAGCTCTGAGCTACAGAGGCCTCACATACCCTGATCATCAGCACAGCCTTTCTGATGTCCCGAACGCCATCATACACCAGGCGAGAGGCATCGATGAACTCATTCTCCTCAAACGGTTGAGGAACGTTGGCACTCAGGGCTTCAATGGCAACCTCTACTTGTTCAGCGAAGCGTGGCATCACTGGGTTAAAAATAAAAAGCAGAGGATTAGGCAATTTCTCTCTCACTACCTCTTATTCCAGCTCTTGGGCGAAGTGGCAGGTCCTCGGGCATTCTAAAAGTTAAGTGGAGCAAGACACTCATCTGTCCAGTTTGAAGTGAGCCCAATTTAGTAGTCTTTATGACAGTTACCTCAGGAGCAGGGAAAGGAAACTTTCCCAATTGTTATTCTATGCATGGTGATGGTTTGCAAAAGACAAAGTTTTTAAAACCTGCCCACAGTAGTGTGGTGTAGTGTGTGAATATAGTTTTCATGTTACCCTAACCCCAAACTGAGTTGCATTTCTGCTGGTTGCTGCTGGTTACTGGTTACTGTAAATCCTTGGCCACGTTTTAACCTGTTTCTTTGTCTATAAAATGTAATAAAATTCTACTTCGTGATTCAGTGGGAAAATGCAAAAAAGTTTTGGGTGGAATCTGGCCCTTTGGAAGTATCAATAAATATTTAACTAATATCGGATGTTACAGTCATAGCTGGTGAGTAGCAGACCTTAACCCAAATGGCTTCACAATCAAATGTGGATGAAATGATACAACCCTTCCCACTTTTGTCAGAAATGCTGGACTTGAGACATGGGGGAGGGGAGGGTGGAGCAAGGGAAGATGGGGAAGGAGTGTGTAATAGAAAAGAGGGAGACAGACACGGGACATTTCAGCAGAATGTCCTATGGAAAGAGAAGACCAATGGGCTCAAAGATAAAGTGTTCCATCTTACCAGGACCACCCGGATGTGAAAGAGCATACGTATATAAATTTCTAAAATGCTGACACTTCGTTATTTTCACAGGGATCCTGCACACACCCTAGAGATTAGTGGAAAGTAAACTCAGCGGAGCGTCTGGAACACCTCCACTAACTTCTTAAAAGATGCTGCTGATTCACTGATTCTCAAAAATTATAATTCAATTTTCTCAGCTTTTATCCTGTAACAATCAATTTGTATAGTAAATGAAAGCCAAAAGCATATTCGTTTTATTTACAAGGATGATAAAATAGAAACATCATTCATCTATTTCCATTCCTGAACTTTCATGCCTGATTCCTCTTTATACTCACTTTCATCCTCTGTGGATACTTTAATATCCATTTTAATCCCTCTGTGAGAAATTCTGCTAAATTACTTTACTCTGTAGGGTCAGAGTATTCAAGATAAAACATTCCTGGAAAAATGTATTTCTACCAGGAAAAGACAGACTTAAAAAAGGAGGGGGAGACAGCAGGGTTAGAGGAAAACTGTGTGCCCACACTTTAGTAGAAATTACCGAAACCACAGCATGCATGGGGAAATCTCCTTCTATGGATGAATTACTATAATTGGTTCTCTATATTACTTGAATTTTTCATTTGGGCTTTTAAGCTATATTTAGATAAAAGAATTTGGGAAATATTAAGCTGTACTGCCACAAATATGAATCAAATAAAACTATATTTCTAAAAACCACTGCATTAAACTCAGACTATTTGAGTTATTCGTGTTGGGAATAAACTTTTTTAAATGACTCAATAGTGAGCATGAAATTATTTTTGTACATATTAGAATTTGAGAATAAGTATCTTCTTAAATATAATTACAAGTTCCCTCTTTCTTAAACTGAGTTATATTAATGCCACTCCACGGTGTCTACGTTGCCATAAGTATGACCATCAGTGATGTTATAGTTCTATGTAATACTACAAGGGAGCTTTCAGAGGCATAAAACTGTTTATCCCTATGGATATAACTGATAAAGAATTAGTACTCCTACATGTATATAAAATAAATAGACTAATCCCACAAATCAATACGGAAAAATATTAAAAATTGACAAAGAATTAGTACACTCAGTTCACAGAAAAGCAATCCATATTGCTGATAAATACACAGTAAGACTTCACCCATAATCAGAGAAATAATGCAAACAATGAGATGTAATTTCATACTTATAGGCATAGGTAAACAAATTAAAGCATAATAATATTAATCATATTGAGCATGCAGACACAATGGTACCCTTCTACTACAGATGGGAGAACAATGGTTACACATCATTTCGGCAAGTGCTTTGACAAAATCTAGTAAAATCCACTCCCTGTGATTTGGGGCATTCTCTAGGGGCTTGGCCAAATATTAACTTCTAAAGAAATGCTGATTAGGAGGGGTAAGTAATTGTACATTGGAGTCACAAAAATGTTTTTGTGTCTCTATAACCATAGAGACAGTTGTTTCCTGCTAGGTTATATATTCAAAGAGTTAAGAAGAAAATTATACAAAACCTGAGAATGAAAATAATTGCTTTAAGGGAGCTCTGTCTACAGGCTCTACCCCAGCCCTATTCTGAATCCTCCAACTCAGGAACCACTTTGATATGCTAACTGCAGATCCACAGACAGTACATCTGGGTGGGATAAAACAGACTTAGGGATGTGAGTCAGGGGACAGTCAATATATTAAAGTGAATAAGCCCTGAGGTCAAAGTTCGAGTGGGAAAAACAATATCGTGTGAGTAGGAAAAGAAACATCGTTTGTGAAAAATTTTTAAATACACAAATGAAAACTGTGCATTATTTAAACATATACATTTGTACATGTTCTTACATGTTCTAAAAGGATATATACCACTTTAAATATAGTAGTTACCTTTGAGATGGAAGGAGAGACATTTGTTTTATTAGTCTTTGTTCTTTTTGTATCTTTGAATCTTTTCATAATTCACATGTTTAAAAAGAAATCAAATTATTCTCAAGGTTGTACTTCTTATAGAACTGGGCTCTGAAAAAATAAAGTTCTATCACATGGCCCACAACATGATAGAAACCGATCTGAACAATATCATTAAGTGAGGAAGTCCCTCAGACATTATGACTGTGATCAAACACTTAATATTCTGCCTTAGTAACTGCCAACTAAGAAGTTGAGTGGGAAAATGCCCACCGCTCAGACCCCAACCTGCATGAACACACCTCTATTTGCATGAAGACCTTTCTCGAATATAAAGGGGTGAAAAAGGTTATGGTGTTGCTTTGTTTGTGGCAAGGTCACCCTGAGGAAGAGATGGGGAGGAGGACAACGTAGAAGGTGACATGCTATTAGGTTGGTGCAAAAATAAATGCGGTTTTTGCCATCTCGCTAAAACCACCTCCTGGCCTGATACTTCCCGCAAGGGTGAGAGGAGAAAGCTAAAACCTAAATGGACTTCATAGGGGATGCTCTGCAACTCAGAATACATCTAGTAATGCTGTGACATACAGTTTGGAGAAGAGGATTCTATTTGCACCAGCATGGCATACATTATCTCTCTAGTGAGATTTGGATGGTAGGATTTTGGTATAAACAACAGTGTTATTGACCTGGGGTTGTCAGAAGTGGCAGAAACAATGAATTTTTATGAAGAGATTGGAACAGAACTACCATCGACCTTTCAAGGAAGAAAAAAACGATAGGGGAGAGGGTACAAGTTCTTTATTTTTAAAATAGAGGCTCAGAGTGCAATTGAGCCTTAATATTTAAACCATCTTATTATATTCTTTGGCCAGTAAAACATAAAACTCGAACTCATTCAATTCATTATATTTACTGTAACTGACAAGACATCTATTTTTTTCCTTACCATAAGTCAGTGTTTTTCTGGGTCTGACCCCTAAGAAACTCTTTCTCTGAGACCAATCCTAAGCACAGTTCAATATTTATTTAGGGATTGGTCAACTGCTACTGTTCTTTAATCACCAATACCTCTGCTCTCCACATTGCTGCTCTTCGCTCATTCGGTCTTATCCTATTCTGCCTTTAAGAGTGATGAGGCTGGGCACGGTGGCTCACACGTGTAATTCCAGCACTTTGGGAAGCCAAGGTGGGTGGATCACCTGAGGTCTGGAGTTCAAGAATAGCCTGGGCAACATGGTGAAACCCCACCTCTACTAAAAATACAAAACATAGCCAGGCATGGTGGCAGGTGCCTGTAATCCCAGCTACTCGAGAGGCTGAGGCATGAGAATCGCTTGAACCCAGGAGGCAGAGGTTGCAGTGAACCAAGATCGCACCACTGAACTTCAGCCTGGGCAACAGAGCGAGACTCCGTCTCAAAACAGAAAGAGTGATGAGACATAAAAACAAAAGTTTATAGAACAATGACCCATCTTGACAGAACCTAAGATGTTAGGTTGACTATTAATTTTTCTAATACTTTGGTAATGTCTAAAAAATCTAGGCCAGGCGCCTTGGCTCATGCCTGTAATCCCAGCACTTTGGGAGGCCGAGGAGGGTGGATCACGAGGTCAGGAGATCGAGACCATCCTGGGTAACACAGTGAAACCCCGTCTCTACTAAAAATACAAAAAATTAGCTGGGTGTGGTGGCGGGTGCCTGTAGTCCCAGCTACTTGGGAGGCTGAGGCAGGAGAATGGCATGAATCTGGGAGGCAGAGCTTGCAGTGAGCCGAGGTGGTGCCACTGCACTCCAGCCTGGGCAACAGAGCAAGACTCCATCTCAAAAAAAAAAAAAAAAAAAAAAAAAAACCTAAATACCCCAAAAGTAATACTGAGACAGAAAAAGTTTCAAACTTCCTCAAATATGATGCTGCTTCTGCCTCTCACTAATTAGGACAAAACGCAGCATTGCCTTTGTGATGCACACATTGTGTATTAACAGAGTTTTTGATATAGGAATATAAATAGAAGCTTCTTTCTGCTTTCTGAATTACATCCAAAAACTGTAGGCACCACTTTACAGTTATTTATCAGAAATGCTGATTTGTTCTTAATAGCTTATGTCTGAAAGGGTGATCAAATTCAGAGATAAACTTTTGAATTCTAGCTATATTTCTGTATGCAGCGCACACACTAGGCCACAAAACGATGATATCCCTAGGAGTAATGAAATCAGAGTTAAGTATGCATATAAAAATCAAGGTCGCATCATTCTAGTGTTGATCGAGATCCTAAACCAGAGGTGAGAAAGTTCTGGAATAAATTCTCCTGAGAGACGTCAGGGATGAAGTTTCAGAACACAGGGTGAGTCAGTTAAATGAATGAGAAGTTGTGTTAAATATTCAAATAGGACTGCTGACAACCCAAAGGGCAAAATGCAAGGTCAACCAAAGGTAGCAGAGATGAAGAGTCAGGTAACCTCGCTACCCTCAGGTATATAAAAGGTCCTTACCCCTGCTTTAAGTATTCCAATGATTCCCTATACTACAGAGAACTATAAAACCTCTTTATCAAGAAACAAACACAAAAAGCATCTATTATCTGCCTATATGGTTCTTGTGTCTTTCTGTCTCACCCCTTATTACCACATATTCTCAAATGTTCCAGTTAGACAGACTTTAACTTCAATATCTCCAAATATGAAATGGACCCACAGCAACATATCCATGAATGATTTATTTTCTCATACTGAAATGTACATACTCGTCTTTGGCCCAGGTGAACTCCTACTCAATCTTCAATCTCCAGTGTAGAACTAATTGCCATTGTGAAGCCTTCTTTAATCCTCAGAACCCAAAGTAGACAGTTCTCTACAATTCTCTGTAATTTTATAGCATCCTAATCTCACACACACACACACACACACACACACACACGCACACCATTATAGCACTCAGTATACTGTATTAGGCTAGTTCATCGGTATTTCTGTATGTCAACTGTTTCACATATGAATCGCCTTCAGGCAGAGACCATCTCTGCTTCATTCTTTGCATTTAAACCCTTGTCCTGCTTCTAGCACAGACAATCTATCCAGTTGGGTAGAGAAGGATAAGAAGTAAAAGAATAGGACAGGAATAAATGGGGAAAATTAAGATGAAGAACTCCTTTGTCATCCAGTATTTCACGGACAAAGTGAGTAGCATCACATTTCACATAACAAGTCTCTCTTTTTCTGCCCATCATTTAGCATTGGTTCAGTAATTTTATTAAAAAGTATCACGAGTCATTTAACAAGTGATTAGTGGGCATTCTGGGTTTGGTCTGTAGGGACCTTTCAGAAACCTGAGCTCAGGATTCTTTCAGGACTCTGCTTCTTCAGAAGGAGCATCACCATTGAGCAAGAAAGATTCATAATTCTATTCTCAACTAGTTCGCCAAGGCCAGTCAAGCACATCTGCATGCACAGGGGTCACCCAACTGTGGTGATGCAGTCATCCAACACACTCTGAGTGTGTTTCTTGCACAAATTTTATTATGGAGCATAGAGAAAAGAAAATAGACAAAGCCCCTGTTCGAGAGAGATAAACAGTTTAGTAACTGTTAACATAAAATAAAAAAAAGAGCATTGAAAGGAATCTAAAAATAACATAAAATATCACGACAGGGATGGAATTGCAGCTAATTCCTGTGCAGGAATTAGTACAATATCCTCCCCCCATCACAGACAGTCACTGAGCCTCTACTGTAACAGTTGGAATTCGGTAAAGATTAGGGAAAAATCAGAGTAATTGGAGCCAGAAAATATTAATTTGGAGGATCACTGTGGGGCCATTCCAGTGTCCCCTATACCAGGTAAGTGATGTTTGATGTTATTTCTACAGGTAAAGTATTCTTTCCCAAAAATGGTTCCTGTCAGACACTGCTAAGGGATTATTCAGGAGGCCCCCTAATTAGATGACAGAAGAGAGGAAAAAAGGGTAAAAGAGAGTGTGATATCAACTACTGGGGCCCTAAAGTTGCCCAAAGGGGACTCTGACTGGCATCTATAAGGCACGGGGTGTGCCTTGACAATTCCACACATCCATGAAGCATAATCAGTTGTAAGAAGACCGAGTCTGAAGTTCCAATTCACAGTCAATGTAGAAGTAGAAACTACCCCAAACTGAAGCCATAACACATCTCTCCCTTTAGTTCCACTTAAGAACAGATGACAAATCATAGAAGCTGGCCACCATTTTATATTAGTGATTTTAGTAACGAATGTCATGATCATAAATTAATAGAAGGTCTTTAAGTATTCCCCCAATTCACCCCTACACGGGGGACTTTAAAAATCCTCAGCTCAGAATCTTTTTAGAGATGTTTGGGTGGGAGCATTACCTACTAGGCAAATGGATCTATACGTCTACTTCGCAAATAGTGACTATTTCATTTCCATATGTATTTATAGGTGTGTGCCTTCCCTAGGAGGTACGAGGATGGCTGGAATCTCATTAAAGCCCTTGGCTAAGGGTTCGTACACTGTTCAGAGCTTTCACTTCCACCCCTAATTTTACACACATGCACTCGAATCTTGGTTATGACTTCTGACACCACAGGCTAAAGAGCTTCTTCAATTAATGTTCGAATCTCTAAACCTAAGTCAAATAGAATTTTTCCTGATGATGCCATTAGTTTTTTATTCCCTTTGGCATGCACACTGATCTTTGAATTATGTACCAGCTTTGTCTATGTACCATTCCCTGACTCTTATCTGTTCTCTTTGACTCCAACCCACTTCTCCAATCACCTTGAATGAATCTAGGCCCTTCCTTCTCCACGATCTAGCTCTGTTATTCCTCTGTCCCCTCCTGTCCACATACTGTATGGCTTCATATTGCCTCAGTGGATCTTTTGTGCTCTAAATGCCACTGCACAAGGTAATAGGGCTATTATACCAGCATTTGAATATGTCCTTATTAAGTCCATGTTGTGGGATTTGTCCACACACCCTAGGACTGTTTTATCCAGTTATGCCATTCATTACCCTTATGGTCTCTCCTATCCTCATGTATTTGCAAATATGTATGTGTGACAGATGCCTCTGAGAGGGCCCCCAGTGATTCCTCTTCTCCTGGTATTCATGCCTTTGTGTAATCCCCTCAACCTTGAATGTGAGCTGGAACTAGTAATTCACTTCTAACCAACAGAATATGGCAAAAAAAGATGGGATGCCACTTCTGAAATGAAAAATGATGCTGGCTTCTGTTTTCTTACTATCTTGGTTACTTAACTCTGATGGAAGACAGTTGCCATGTTGTAAGCTGCTCTAAAGAAAAGCCCACGTGGCAAGTTAAATTTGCGGGTAATTTGTTACACAGAAATATATAACTAATGTAGTATGCTATGCCATAAGTAAAACTATCAGTAAAAATAGCTATGCCCTAAGTAAAAATATTGGTAAAAAACTAGCTAGCAGGACACATGAAAATTTCTGTTTAATTGTAGCAACGATGCTTGATCTACGTTTCAAGCATATTTATTGGTTCCAGGAAAATGTGTAAATGAATCTTGATATTTAATTTTACACGTTATTAAACCAATTTAAGCCTCAGTTTACTCAGTATAAAACAGAAATAATGATCATTGCCCTTCAGGGTTTACATAAAGATCAGAAATACATTCAACAAGTTTATTACTAAATTTTATATGCAAATCTAAGCAGTACTCTAGGCACCGGGAATCGGGAATCGAGTGGTAAATAACACAAATACATTATGCTTTGGAGGCACTTACAAACAAGTAGGATGCATGTCAGATGATTACCACACTGCCTAGCACATGAAAGAGCCATAGTAAATGCTTCTTGGGGCTGTCTTCACACCATGACTTTCTGCATTTACCCATGCACACACTGTTTCTACCAGGCAAAATCACCTAGTCTCTTTTGGAAAGAACTTGGAGGTACAACCACACGATTCACCATGGAAAAAAAAAAAAGGTGAGCATAATGGGACACAGCACACCAATTAGTGCTGAATCTGAAAACCGGGAAGTTGGTACAATTTGTTTTGCAAACTGAGCTTCCCCAGTTCTATGCCCTTCTCTCCCCTCAGCAGCCCCGTATCATCCTGGTGACAGTGTTGCATTTTTAATAAGGAATTTCCTGTGAAATAATCTGCCCTCAGGACAAGATTTGATAAACTTGCTCCTAGAACTTTGCTTTTTATCTTGCTTGCCAAGAAGGCCAATGTTAAACATGGTGTTCCATTATGACCTCCCCAGATCCATGAGGAAAGAAAGTCTTTGAAAGCCTTTACCAACAAAGTAGTAACTTCCAGAAAATAAAAACAAAACAATTCAAACTCAGCTTGCCTAGCCCAGTAGAAACACAGTTTCTACTCAGCCACCCAGTTTCATCCAATATTCTCTTGAAACTATTTCCTTTCTATCTCATATTTACACCACTTTAATTATTTAATTTACATCACTTGATTGAATTTAAATCTTAAGTGTCTTCAAATGCTTTTTTAAAATGTAGCAGAGGCAATGTAGAAATAAACCTTACATACTTTCTCTAAATTTCAATCTTCCTCTGCCTAGACCAATGATATACTAGCTTCTCTTCTGTCTTGAGACATCAGGTTCGAAGTTGAAAATTGGAATCCAGGAGCAAGAACAACAGTACCCTGGCTTAATCTGCTCCCTATTTGCTGCTATTTGTCAGCTGTTTCTACCTCTCCAGACAACTATCATCATCTTGGCCAGTCCCAATTCTTCCTGCATACATTCTTGGACTTTCTTTCATCCGAGTCAATCATCTGTTACCTCTGTGGGAGTTTCTAAAGGCTGCCATTTCCATAAATTCATGTTGGGAAAATTATAAATGTATATTTCAAACATAAATCAAATTTAAGTTCCAGAAGGCAATACATAACCCATGAGATGAATTGTTTGATAAAAGATGAAGAAGGACTGCCTAGAAGGAGGGGGTAAAAAAAAAAAAAAAAACTCTCTAAATTCCATTCACGACAACTACCCTAAAAGAATCAGGGAGCATCCATCTGCTCTTGTCTAGACACAAATTCCTTTTCCTGAGGAAAGAAAATGCTTGCTTGGAAAGTTTTCTTCTATTTTAAAATAAGCATTTCAAAAATAATCACAAATGGTTTATAACTTAAAAGGATGGCACATTTAATTCTGAAACTTAAGGAACGAATAAAGTATTGAGCATGAGCATGATGCCTTATTTAGCTTAGTGTTTGTCAAAACCTAGCTTAATAAATACAGTCTAATTTGGCATCTGTGATGTTTAAATACTTAGATTGCATTAAGATGTAATAAAGTGCTTGCTAAAAATTTATTGCACATAACTTAAAAGATTCTTATCTTGATCATTAAGTATGCGATTTAAGGAGGGTTTAATCCCCCAGAATAAGGTAACTGTGTCATTATGTTACTCATTTATATTAATGACATCTTTGAGTTTCAACTCTTAGTTAAAGCTGCAGGTAATGGAGAGGTAGACTCAGATCTTAAGAGGTTAAAATTTAACAAAAACATGCAAAAAGTCAATACATACACACATGCCTCAGGTACTAAGATGGACAGAAGACAGATATAAACACTAGGACAGATATAAACGTAAGTAGAAAAGTGGGTAACAAGGAGTATGAAATACTTGGCAGTATATGGTAGGTTCCAAATGAGTAACACAGATAATAAGAGTAACAGGTACACCGAAGAGTGGGCTTCTCTGGTCTGGTTAGAAAGGGGACTTCACTGACAAGGAAGAAATCAGGTAGAATTAGAGGAAAGGTAAAATACAGAAAGGCAAACCAGGAGCCAAGTGGGATGGGCTCATGCCTGTAATCCCAGCATTTTGGGAGACTGAGGTGGGGAGAATCACATGAGGCTAGGAGTTGGAGACCACTCTAGCCAGTATAGCAAGACCTGTCTCTACAAAACAAATTTAAAATTTGGCAAGGAGGTCATCTGGAGACTACTCTGGCCATATACAGTACTTCTGTTGTTCTTTTGTTCACCTGTTATTTCAGGCCCTCCGGCTACATGCAAAGGTTCCCATTTTTTCATTACCAAAACTATTTCTGGAATACTCCAAGGATGTACCACATGTGCTTCCAAATGAGTGGCTGTTAGCATATTCTTCCTCTGATTCAAACACCTATCACTGATGTGGCAGTTTCCCCTCCGTCAGAGAATCTGGGTGACAGGACATTACTACAGCCTCAGTTGTGCACAATTAAAGCATCCAGACCACCAATTCCAGTGGACACCAGCACTGACTCTGCTAGACACAATATGTAGGCCCCTAATTTACTACACTGCCATTACCACAGATGCTGGTCTCTGATGTCCTTGAAGTGACAAAGAAGCACATGTACTCTCCAGTTCCCAGGATTCTGAATCCATGAAGAACTGGAGATTCATGTCTTTCTTTTTTTTTTTTTTGGTTGTACTTTGACAAACAGGCACTAGAGAAGTGCTGTTTGTTCTGCTGTGTCACCCCAAATTTATGGCCTATACACACATGCAGTTGTGAATCTTCCTATGTTTACCGTACCCTATCTCCACCTTCACGTTAAGGGTTTTATTGTTAGAATAAAATTTTGTATCTTACTTTCTCTTCCTGTGTTATATAATTTACCTTTTTTGAAAATAAATGGAACATGTTATACATACTTTTTCCACCTCATTTTTTAACCTAAAAATATAGTCAGAGATTGTATAGTTATTCCCCATTCTGTTTTATAGCTGCATACTACTCCACTGTGTGATTAGACCATAATTTATTCAACCAGTGCCCTAAAGCTAGATATTTGTGTTGTTTCTAGCCTACAGTCTTGTAATAAATAATCTTGTGCATACGTTTTTATATTTTTTGCCAGTACATCTGAAGAACAGATTTTTAAAAGTGAGATTGCTTTCCAAATGTTAAATATGTTCTGTTGACAGAAGATGTCAAATTTCCTCCATTTTGCACATCTACAAGCAAAATATAAGATGACTTTTCCTAATCCTTAACAGAGTATATATATTATAGAACTTTTGGATTTTTGCCATTCTGATGGGTAATGGTTTCTCAGCGTAGTTTTTAATTTGCATTTATCTTATGAGAGAGTTCAAGCAACTTTTCTTTTGAGGAGGAATCATTTACATTTCTATATTGTAAGCTATCTGGTTATGGTCGTATTTTCTGAGGTGGTTCTTCAGCCTCTTATGCTGAGAGAGCTGACCATGTCTGAATTGTGGGAGAACACATCATTCACAAACACACCAGTGTATAGGAAATATTTTCATGTTTCTGCATGGTCAACCCTGTCTGAATGAAAATACTGGTAACCTGGTTCAAAGGTTAACAGTCCTAAGATAGTGAAATAACCTGGAGAGAGATTTATAGACAGCTTCTCCAGATATGTTTACATTTCAAAAGAGGGATAAAACTAGGAACCATGCATTTATATTCCAAAAGTTTTTAACCACTTGGCTACCTCCTGGACAGAATTTGTTTACATAAAAAACGTGGCCAGGCGCGGTGGCTCATGCCTGTAATCCCAGCACTTTGAGAGGCCGAGGTAGGCAGATTACCTGAGGTCAGGGGTTTGAGATCAGCCTGGCCAACATGGTGAAACCCCATCTCTACTGAAAATACAAAAAAAAAAAAAAAAAAAATTAGCCAGGCGTGGTGGCGACCGCCTGTAATCACAGCTACTTGGGAAGCTGAGGCAATAGAATCACTTGAACCCAGGAGGCAGAGGTTGCAGTGAGCAGAGACTGCCATTGCACTCCAGCCTGGGCAACAAGAACAAAACTTCATCTCAAAAAAAGAGAGAGGAAGTGTTTCTTTCCTGCCCTCAGGAGGAGCACCAATTTCTAAATAAGCTCCTAGATTCATAATGGTGTGGTTCCCCACCTGTAGCACAGACCTCCACTGTATGTGCAGAATCCATCTGCCCTCATCACATTGCTCCAAGAGCGGGAATGGAACATGGGAAACTGACATGCTTACTGTGCAAAGTAACGTTTGTTTTCTGAGCCCCAAAACCTTGCATTTGCTTTTAGGAAAAATTATACAGATCTTCAAAAACTTATCAGATTTCTACAATACTTAGAGTATATAGGTTTTAGTCATATAAAAAAGACATTGAGACAAATTATACGTTATCTATTTAAGGGCTCTTTACTGGATGAGGCTTCTTTCTCATTCTTCCTACACTTCCGACTTAAAATTAGTCATGCCGAAGTAACTTAGACTGTGGATAGTCCTTCCTATCTCTAATACTTAATAGTTTGTCTTCCCAATAAGCTGCCCCTACCACCTCCTTCTGACATCAATCTCATACTCCAGTCCCCCATATTCCAGCCAGAGAGATAGGCAGGTCACTCAGACCTGTCCAATCATAAAACTCTATTCCACTAGCAACAGAAATCAGTCCAACTGAAGGAAGCATAGGCCAGAAAGCCAATCAGATGATTTCCCATTGATACACAGAAATTGGTCTTGAGCTGCAAACCTGAGGCTGCTGGTAGACATATTTTCTACAGAAAAAAAAGACAAAGTGTAAAGTTCTCATTTTTGGTATTCATTTAATCAATACTTACGTATTAAATGTGTTACTGAAAACACCATTCTAGGCTGTGGGTACCTATAGAAACACTTGCCTCTAAAAACAGACAATCCTGTTGTAAGCAGTCATTTACACTGAAGAGGACATACCATACTAAATGTCAAAAGACTAATAGTTTTCTGTGGTCTCCAACTGAGACTAGAGCTATATTTTAAAGGTGAATCTCAATAAACAGATGTAAAGCAGGAGGAGGAGGAGATGAAGAACGTTGCAGGGAGGACAGAGGGAGCAGCATGGATATGTTTTGCCTGGAGAATAATGAAGGCCCTCGTCCAGATGGTGCAGAGGGTTTATACAGGGGACTCATGGGCAATAATTGCTTATGCCAAGTGCAGTCACCAGGAAGCCAGAAACAGTGATGCATATATTACGCAATTAATACCGACCCATTCTTGAATGACAAAACATTGGGCAATACAGGAAAAAACCCAAGTCCCAGAGGCACTAACTGATTTGTTTAAGGTCACAGTTAGTTGGTAGCAGTCAAATAACAGTTCTTCTGAATCCTAACCTTGGATTCATTCTACTGCATTGTCCTGGCCCAAATGTACCCTCTCAATAAGATTTCCAGTTTGGATGCTTTGTATTTGTTGGTCCTTTTATACTTTCTAAGCAAAAATATATAGAAATGTTGTAAAACGAAAAACCTTCCCATTCGTATAAAACTTTAGGTTATAGAGCATGGAAGTAAAAATTATACCATCTGCTTGGCCCACGTATTTTCCAAAATAATGGAATTTTAATCTCTGCATACAGAGTGCTCCATAACATAGAACCCTTTTTAAAATATGCTTTTTTCTTTTTTTTTTTTTTTTTTGGTCTATTGTTTCCTCTGAAGAAAAAATATCTGGCAGAATCTCACAGATCTTTTAACCTAGTCACGCTCACATGGCCACAAACTTGAGTCAGCTATCAAATTTACAAAAATGACATTTCAATATAATCCATTCAGTGAAGAATGAGCTACTGTATGTGTGTGTATATATATATATAAATATGATATCGCTGAATGTGCTTTCACCCCTCCTCAGCCTCCTGCAGCAACCCAACTTTGTAAACGAGATCTATGAAGATGGGTCTGGTCAAGCGTGTACTTACTACTAAGCTGTTTGGCAATTTGTTATAATTCAGGTTTTATTGAAGAGCCCATCAAATATGCCATGTAAGTATTTAATGGGTCTGCTGTAGATCCAATTTATTGTGTTTTCATCAGCCTAGATTGTTTTATAGAAAATGAACAGGTAAATTTGTACATAATGCTACCCTATAATTCTTAGCATACTAATAATCTACAAAATTTTCTTAAATTTAATTCAGCATTCATATCAAGACAAGAAGCACTCTTAAGCAAAGCACTGTCTTTACTAAGGAAAGAAAATAATTCATGGAAAATAAACCACAGATGTGTTATCACTCTTTGGGCACCTCTCAATTTTCCAGCCACTCAGCGAGGGCAGCCAAGTGGTAAAGTGGGAGTCTCCCTACAGTGACCTACCCATGCAGCCATTCATCTGTCTACACAGGGGTTTGCCTGTGTGTAAACACCTTCAGCAGCAACATCCAGTTCAGTCAAGGCTGTTTGATTATTCTGCCCTTTTACAGATTCTTCTTTGTAATATACTCCCAACCCCACTCCCTTTTCACTATGTCCACAGTACATGGGCTCCAATCTGTCCTGTTTGAACTTGTCCCTATTTTGGGTTATTTCTTTACTTTAGGGCAGTAATGCTCAGTGCACATTATTTTGCCCACCAGGACCCACTTCCTTCAAGGATATCTGGCAATGTCTAGAGACATCTTGGTGGTTACAACTTGGCATGTAGAAGAAAGAGATGCTACAAACATTTAGCAGGTGGAGTCCAGGGATGCTTCTAAGCATCCCATAATGGACAAAACAGTCCCCAGAACTCTCCCCAAGAAACAACTGTTCAGACCAAAGTGTCAACAGTACAGAGGTTGAGCATGTCTGACTCAAGGTCTTGAATCTAATGGCACAGAATTTTTTAAAAATAAAATATCAAACAAAAAAATCAATGGGCAGAACCTAGTAGGTGTGGCAACAACAACAACAACAAAAACCATGACATTTTGTCTTCTTTCTCCTCATCTTTCCTCTTGGCATTTTTCCCTTTTTTCCCACTACCACCCTCTCTCACCCTACAATGTACTCTCATGACAAAATTTGATAGATTCACATAGAAAAGTGGCCAATTCAACATGGCTCTAAAATTGTTTAAGTCAGAAACAAAACTAAGCAAAAGGTAGATAATTTGGCATCAGGGACATGCACAGGGTTTCTATTTTGAGGACATATATCTTATGTCTCCTTAGCACAGACATACAATGACATTAGAAGTAAATCACTTTAGACAACATATATATATACACACACACACACACACACACATATATACACACACACACACACCAACAAAACTTTGTACAACCATAATTACAGAACTGATCCTGTGGTCATCCTCAAACTCCACGTGTCTACTTTATGCAAGCACATTCCCCAGCAATTCTCATTAGCAGTCAGTGAGTTAATAGCTGAAGTTTTTTTCTTTCATTTCTTTGGCAACCTCTCTAGTTATTCACAAAATAGTAACATTATTCCTGTTTCAGAAAGAGAAGAACAATTGGGGACAAATACCAAAGAAATTGTATACCTTTGTATTCTAGCTCTTAGTCCACTGACACCCACTTTTCCTTGACACTTATTCCTATATTTTCAATTAAAGTTATATATAAGCTGTCTATTTCAGTCTCTGCCTGGTTACTTTCCTAGTTAACTTCAATAAATCCTGAAAAGTAGAATTTAAATGTCCTGCTCATCTACCGTATTCAATTAGGAATTGGATATGGGCATCAAAATAAGAAAGGTGCCTTTAGTTAAGCCCCCAGAGTGCTCAATCATTGCAAGCCAGGATAAAAATTGTAAAAACTCAGAACAAGTAAGAGCAAAAATCTTGATTAGCAACAACAATCCAGGATGAACGACTATTTGTTTTTTTAAAAGTAGAAAAATCAACCAGAACATTATTTACATATCAAGACTTTGGGTGAAAATTATGTTAAAATATTACAATCAACTAAGCAATTGTCCTTGCCTTTAGATTTTGACCTAGTAAGTGGCACTCCTGTTGTCAAAGCAGTCCAAGATACAATAAGAAAAAGTTCTAAAATGTCATTTGAACAGTGCCTGAGTTATCTGTGGGTAGAAAGTCACATGAAAATTGGCAATATGCTCTGTATCTTTCATCTGCCACAAGTGTCCTTCCCACCAGTCATGAGTGGGCAGGAACTGAGTCCTGTCTCTAGGTCTTCAACACTTCTCTGGTATTATTTATCTAGTGACAGACCCAGGTGAGTGTTACTCTGTCAGATATCTCACATGAAGCTGAGACTTTGTACAAGAATAGAGCTGATGGGCTGGGAACTGTAAGCCACAGAAATGTGAGATGGTCTCCCTAAAGGTTACTAATGAAAAAGTCCTTAATTTGGAGAATTAGGGAAAAAAATACCTTTTTATAACTCTTCCAAGTGAGGAAAGAAATACTGTATGGCTTGCTTTGTGTTGCTCAATTGAATGCAAAGGGCAAGCTTATGTGAAAGAAAGCAGTGCTGACTCTCAGCTAATTCAAATGCAGTCATATCTTGTCATTATTTTTGTTATTATGTCTAAGTCTAAGTCTGTAAGGATGTTCCAAGGGCAACAGTCTCTAGATGTGCTCTTTATAACATGATACCACACTATTCTGTTTCTGCTTATATTTTAAAGAGAATGACCAATACCTGTGTTTATGTATTGTGTTTTACTTGCTATTCCAGGCTAACAAATACCTACAGAACTCTTTGTAAATAATCTTTTCCCCATAAAAAGCAACATATTTCTACCAACACATCTCATCATGCAGAACTTGGAACATGGCTATATCTGACCTTTCAGAGATGGCTATTTTAAAAATGCCTGGTGGCATCCAAAGCTCATAGGCAAACCTATGAAGGTCCCCCTTAGGGTTTGAGGGGAGAGGCCCTTCTGTGCATATATATGCACCAATTCATTATTCATTAACAACCTTATCCAATGTGGACTTACATTCTCTTTTTCTATTCCCTAGTTTCCTCTCATTCCTTGGACTATATATCTTATCTCATATATATAAATCAAGGCCTGAGGAAGCCAAAAGACATTGGTCAAGAGGGGAGAACTACTAAAAACAGGCCAGTCTTATATATTCTCCAGAGTTGTAGATTGTTCTAATTCAGTGGAAGCATTTTTTTTTACCCCAATGCATCTGCAAGCTCTGACAAGCTCCCATAAGTAACCATACCTGACCATAGCAGTGAGTCCTGTGAGCAGCCACATGCCCCTGAAGAAGGGCATGTAAAGCTTTCCTAGAAAGAAAGGGAATATGCTGAAAGCCTAACTCTTTGTCAGCAGCCACCACCTTTCTTTGAGCACGTCATATCCACTCACTATCTAAAACCTTTATGCTTTCCACTGGCTGGTTCAGAGTTCTTCCTTAAGGTCCTATCCTCTCAAGCAATAAATGAAGAAAAGGTTAAATTACAGATTCCAAGTTCTTATCACATCTGCACTATTTTCTAACCTTGTGACCTCATTCCAGTCTCTTAGCCAATTCAAACCATAATTTTCTCAAGTCATAAAATTATCTCATCCATAATTGGAGATAATTAAGTAAGCAGAAAAATTTTATTGTTTGTGAGAATCAAATGATCTATATGAAAAGTATAAAGAAATATATGCATGCAAAGCAGTACAACTGTCATTCTCCTAATATTATTCAAATTCAAACTCAAAAAACAAAGAGAACACTCAAGTATTCCACCCATTCCACAATTATGTGCAATTTAGAAGCATAAAGGCCTACAGAAATCAATGAAACAGATTTATTCAGTTATAGAAACTAATCAAGGCATTAACATTTTGGCCAGACCCAATACCCATGCTTACCTGTTTCAGAAAGCAATTTTGTAGCTTCCAACACCTTCTCAGTATAAACCCCAGCTTCATAGTTCTCCATCTCAGCATTGATGATGTGTATGACTCGAGCTGCCCGGCCCCTGATGGCCCCTGCAGTCCGGTCCAGAGTGTCCACATCGCCCTCTTGGAGGGCTATCACACACTTGTTCACATCCTCCAAGATGTGATTTTCTATGGAGAGGACACATACACATTTAGATGACTTTACATAACTCAGAACTTAACCAATTAAAATTGATTCAACTCTCATGAGCCCTTGCCTTGGACACATCTCAATGCATGCCTAATAATACTAAAATTGTATGTAAAGGACATAGTTTATAATTACAACAGTGGTTCTCAAACCTGAGCATCAGCCAGAGGGCTGGTAGCATCACATAGATCGCTAGGTGCCACTCCTAGAGTTTCCAATTCAGTAAGTCTGGGGTAGAGCCCAAGAAATTGAGTTTCTGTCAAGTTCCCAGGTGATGCTAATGCCACTGGTTTGAAGACAACATTCTGAGGACCACTGACTTAAAGAATATCCCTTCCTTTGTTTTGAAGTTTGATACTTACACACGACAGGGCCTTTTAGAAGTTGTAGCAGCCAACATGAAGTCAATCTGACCAAGTATAAATGTCCATAAATAAAACCAGAGTCAAAGCTTTGGACACATGTTTCTTTAATCATGTTTTCATTACGAAAACATTTGAGGAAAAATAAATATCACGCAGTTGGTCTTTTAAAATTATGTCATGCACACGGTATATGCAATGGGAAAACTGATTAGGTGAAGACGATCAGTTTCCCACAATTAAAATACAATCCAGTCTTGTGGCTGGTTCCCTCAGATTATAGTCAAGATCTGCATAACTTTCATATGATTGCCCAAAGTAGAAATCAAGCAGGCATAGAGGGGAGGCTTCACTCTCTAATGGCATAGAGAAAACACATTATTTATTCCCTTGCAGTTTTAACAAGTGTGTAATTTTGTATTTTTCATGTCCAGTGTGAGATCTGTAATTCTATTCCTTGTGCATTCTTTAGAAGCAGAATTCTAAGGAAATGTTCAAAAAGTTTAGTGCTCTTTGTAAATAAGCTGAACACACACATACATGCACACACACCAACTAATAAACTGCATGTTTTTATTCCCTTAAAATTCATATGTTAAAATTCTAACTCCCAAAGGGGTAGTATTAAGAGGTGCAGACTTTAGGAGGTGATTGTGTTATGAGGGCAGAATCTTAAGGAATGGAATTAGTGTCCTTATAAAAGAGACCTCAGAGATCCCTCCCTCTTTCTACCCTCTTTCTATCCTCTTCCTATCAAGGTTCCAGTGAGAAGACTATGAGAAAGCAGAGTCCTTTGTCTTGGACTTCCCAGCCTCCAGAACCATGAGACATAAATTTCTATTGATTATAAGCAACACAGTTTACAGTATTCTCCAAAACACACCAAGACATGAACACATAAAAATATGTGCTTTTGATAAATATATTTTTAAAGTCTTAAGTAACCTGTTAATATTTTAAAATTATAACTGCCAAATCCAACCAATAGTTCATAAATAGTTAAAATAAAATATTACCTCTTTAAGAAGCTTTTAGGGCTAGTTCTGATTTTAAATTTCCTAAAGAAAGAAAGAGAGTATCCAGCAAATCCTAGTCTCCACTACCGATCTCCCCTACTTTTACTAAATTAAGCACTTAGAAAGAAAATTTATATTTTTAGGACACAGGATAGAAAATTGCAAGTTATAACTGACTTTTCATAAAGAACATCCATTTTGACCTCATACAGTGTGATTTCTTCACTCAAACCATTATAAATTGCTGATTTCTACATTCTCCATTTCTTTAATTTCAACTATAAATTAGAATAGAAAAATAATGAAACGTTTAAATTTTAGTATTTCGATTTCTAAAACTCACAAAAAGTAGTACTTCCCAAATCATGACATTTTCTTGAGACATGACATTTTAATGAAAACATGATTAAACATGTGAACACAGTATATACCTAAAAGGACATCTGAGAGAAATGTTTACTCAAATGAATATTGACAGAGAATTCTAAATGTAAAACTTTGATTAAAAGAAGCTTCTCTTTCTGTCCTGTAGAATTTCTTAAGACAATTAAAATGTGTCCTGGCCCTTGAGAGTAAGTAACTAGAAAAGGATTTGTGTCAAAATCACACATCCGGCTGCTATTTTCTTTGTATAACAGTAATACAAGAATGGACAAAGTTTCAGTGCAGAGTTTAGAAACGGTACTTTGGAGTTGAGAAAAAAATAGTGAGACGTCTGTTAATTATATTAGATACTAATCCTTCTGGAGTTAATAAGTTTGTTTTTAAATTCTAAGAAACCCATTCATGACCCAATATGTTAAAATGAAAACGTATTTTTAATAGGACTATCCAAAAGTAGAAATATGCAACTAATTTAAGAGGCAAGAAATATGTTTTTATAGGTATTATTATACCTATTTAAAATAAACCAGCACAGGCTAGAAATCCATAACAAAAACATTGCTATTAATTACTCAAATCATCAGCAAATCTGTTACATAGTCAGGTTAATAATGTTGTACAAAGTATTAGTTTTATAATTTACTAATTGACTAATTTTATTTTATTTTATTTTATTTTTTTTTTTGAGACGGAGTCTCCCTCTGTCGCCCAGGCTGGAGTGCAGTGACGCAATCCCAGCTCACCACAACCTCAGTCTGCCAAGTTCAGGAGATTCTCCTGCCTCAGCCTCCCAAGTAGATGGGATTACAGGCATGCACCATCACACCTGGATTTTTTTTTTTTTTTGTCTTTTTAGTAAAGACAGGGTTTCACCATGTTGGTCAAGCTGCTCTTGAACTCCTGACCTCAAATGATCTGCCTGCCTTGGCCTCCCAAAGTGCTGGGATTACAGGCATGACCCACTAGGCCCGGCCTAATTGACTAATTTTTATAAATAAATTTTTAAAATTTTAAGATATAGTCATGCAACATAAATCATTTCAGTCAATAACAGACCACATACTTAAAGGTAGTCCCATAAGATTATGTCATATTTTTACCGTACTTTTAAAATATTTATACATGTTTAGATACACAAAACTTACTATTGTATTCCAATTGCTTACAGTATTCAGTACAGTAACGTGCTGTACAAGTTTGTAGCCTAAGAGTAATAGGTTATACCATGTAGTGTAGGTATGCAGTAAGCAATACCATCTAGGTGTGTAAATACAGTATGTGATGTTCACACAGTGATGAAATTGCCCAACGATGCATTTCCCAGAACATATGCCTGTCGTCAAGCAACATATAATTACAGTTTACTCAGTGTTTTTCAACCTTCTCCAATTCAGGTCCCTTTTTATGAAAAAATGAGTCACAGTTTCTTCATGATAGTAGTTATATTGATGGATGGCAGACATGTAAAAGCTACTACGGTTCAGAATGTTTTCAAATAGATTTGTACTTTATTAAAAACAATCTACAGGCATGTCTTGTTTTATTGTGTATCACAGATTGGTGGGTTTTTTTTTCTTCCCCCCCAAATACAAATTGAAGGTTTGTTGCAACTCTGCGTCAAGCAAGTCTGTTGGTGCCATTGTTCCAACAGCATGTGCTCATTTCCTGTCTCTGTATGACAGTTTTGCAATTGTTGCAATATTTCAAAATTTTTTCATTATCGTTTTGATGATCTGTGATCAGTGATCTTTGTCACTATTGCAATTGTTTTGGGGCATCAGGAACCATGTTCACTTAAGAAGGCAAACAATAAATGTCGGGCGTGTTCCGCCTGCTCCACCAAGACGGCCGTTTGCCATCTCTCTCCCTCTTCTCAAGCTTCTTATTCCCTGAGACGCAACAATATTAAAATTAGGCCTATTAACAACCCTACAATGACCTTTAAGTATTCAAGTGAAAGGAAGGGTCACACATTTCTCACTTGAAATCAAAAGCTAGAAATGATTAAGCTTAGTGAGGAAGACATGTCACAAGTCAAGAGAGGCCAAACAGCCAACTTGTAAGTACAAGAAAAAGTTCTTGAAAGAAATTAAAAGTGCTACTCCAATGAACACCCAGATAAGAAAATGAAGCAGCCTTATTGCTAATATGGAGAAAGTTTGAGTGGTCTAAATAGAAGATCATATCGGCCACAGCATTCCTTTAAGCCAAAGCCCAATCTTGACCAAGATCCTAATGCTCTTTAATTCTATGAAGGCTGAGAGAGGTAAGGAAGCTGCAGAAGAAAAGCTGGAAGCTAGCAGAGGTTGGTTCATGATGTTTAAGAAAGAAGTCATCTCCATAACATAAAAGTGCAAGGTAAACCAGCAAGTGCTGATGTAGATAGAACCTGTGCCAAGTTATCCTAAAGATCTAGCTAAGATCATTGATTAAGGGGGCAAACAAGTTTTCAATGTTGACAAGACAGCCTTCTACTGGAAGACGGTGCCATTTACAACTTTCATAGCTGGCTTCAAAGGACAGGCTGAGTCTCTTATTAGTGGCTAATACAGTTGATTTTTAGGTTGAACCAAATGCTCATTTACCACTTTGAAAATCCCAGGGCCCTAAGAGTTATGCTAAATCTACTCTGCCTGTGCTCTATAAATGGAACAACGAAGACTGAAGACAGCACATCTGTTTATAGCATGGTTTACTGAATATTTCAAGTCCACTCTTGAAACCTACTGTTCAGAATAAAAATAATTCTTTTCAAAATGTTATTGCTCATTGAAAATGCACCTGGTCACCCAAGAGCTCTGATGGAGATATACACAGAGATTAATAGTGCTTTCCTGCTTGCTAACACATCTATTCTGCAGCAGATGTATCAAGGAGTCATTTTGACTTTCAAGTCTTATTATTTAGAAAATTCACTTTTTAAGGCTATAGCTGCAATAGATAGTGATTCTCCTGATGGATCTGGGCAAAGTAAATTAAAGGCCTTCTGGAAAGAATTCGCCATCCTAGTTGCCACTAAGAACATCCATGATTGATTCACCGGAGAAAGTCAAAATATCAACATTAACAGGAGTTTGGAAAAAGTTGATCCCAACCCTCATAGTCGACTTTGAAGGGTTCAAGACTTCAGTGGAGGAAGAAAGTGCTTATCTAGTGGAAATAGCAAGAGAACTAGAATTAGAAGTGGAGCCTAAAGATGTGACTGAATCTGCAATGTCATGATCAAACTTCATGGATGAGGAATTGCTTATGTATGAGCAAAGCGGCTTCTTGAGATGTAATCTATCCCTAGCTATGATAGTGTGAACATTGTTGAAATGACAACAAAGGATTTAAAATATTATATAAATGTAGTGCATAAAGCAGCAGCAGAGTTTGAGAGGACTGACTCCAATTTGAAAGAAGTTCTACTGTGGATAAAGTGCTGTCAAACAGCATCTCACATGCTACAGAGAATCTTTTGTAAAGGAATAGTCAATCAACGCATCAAACTTCATTGTTATCTTACTTCAAGAAATTGCCACAGCCACGCCATCCTTCAGGAACCACACAGGAACCACCACTCTGATCAACATCAAGGAAACCCCCCCTACCATCAAAGAGATTATGGCTGGCTGAAGGCTCAGAATGATCTTTAGCATTTTTTAGAAATGAAGTATTTCTAAATAAAGGTATGTACAGTTTTTAAACATAATCCTACTGCACAGTTAATGGACTACACTGCACTGTAAACATAACTTATATGCACTGGGAATCAAAAAAGATTTGTATGATTCACCTTATTGCAATTGGCATTTTACTGCAGTAGTTGGAACAGAACCAGCAATACGTTCGAGGTTTGCCTGTGTTTGGAAAAAAGCCATACCTGTTTACATAGACATGAACATGAACTTTTTGGTCAGAAGACCATACTTGGTGTATATATGGATTTTTGAACCCCCTGTAATAACTTCCTCACCCCCATACCCTGTGCCTTCAGGTCTAGGACTTAACAGTTAGTAAGCACGCTAATCTAGTATATATCAAGGAGGGCAGTCAATTATTTAAAGGCAGAATACACACTTCATTCACATTTGCATTCCTGACAGTGGCCTATAGGCAGCAGGCAATCAAAAGACAGACACTGAATGAACATGCCCATTGAGAAGGGGCGATCAATTACACACTTTTATTCTGAGGTGTTTTGAAGAGAAAGAATTCATGAAGTAAAGAGAGAGAGGAATGTTGCAACTAGAAAGGAAAAGAGATGAAAATAGTAATAAAAGGCAAAAGTATCCTAGAGATTATTCCATTGCTGTGAAAAACTGCAATGTTTGGGTGGCACACTCTAATATCAAGTGTGGTATTTAAACATGTCATGAAACATTTGATTGCAACATATTTTATTGTAAACTTCCTTATATTTGGCAACATTACTATTTTAGAAATGATATAATTTTGTTATGAAAAAAAATCAGTGATGACCAAACTATTTGACTGTTGTAAACCATAAGGCTACAGATTCAAAGCAATAAAGTTCACGGTGAATTTTTAAAAGAAAATAAACTTAAGACTGTAGAGTTAAAAAAAAATAGGAAAAGTTAAAAAGCAAAACTCTTGGGCATTATGAGATCAAGTTAATAGCTTTTTCAGATCTTAGCTTCCTACTACTTTGTGAGCCAAATCCAAGAATTAAACTGTCACATGATTAATGCCAAGATGCTTATTTTAAAATACTATTAAAAATTGTAGGTTTTCCAAAGTGGGAAAAAGTTTGACTGTTATCACACAGTCATTTCACTTTTTTATGTGCATAGGCCACATCTTAAAATTGGTTTTGCTCCTGTAATGTTAATAGCTAGCATCATTGCTCCCCAAACTTGTTGCATTTCATATGGACAAATTTAATATCAGATACAGAAGTTAGGGTAGCATTAAAAAAACTACAATCTTTTAAAAACAAAGATCTGTTTTTATTGTTTTTTAAATAGAGTTTCCTGACCAAAGAGATATTCCCCTAAGAAGAAACTGATACATAAAATATCATTAATGCCACTTCAAAATATCTCTTGGGCCAAACTTGCAGTTTACTTATGTAAATGTTTGGCTGTAGCTCAGAGAGAAGATGAGAAGTAGTTTCCCTAGCTATTGGGCTGTGTCCACAGCCTACCAGCAGGACAGAGTGGGCTGTATCATTATTTGTCAAACCCCGTCTGCGGAAAGGTGCCTGCTGCCTCTGATTGTCAACTCCAAAGGCATGCTCCAGCAGGCCCTGCCAAGCTGGCTCTCTGACAGCGCCTGTTCATTTTCCTGCCATGGCATGCCGTGGCACTTGTACCACTGGGGTTGGACTGCACAGTGTTATCAGCAGAAGCAAAAGCCTTTTCTTGTTGCTGGTAATAATGAGATGCACAAAGGAATGACAAGGAGAAAAGGGAGCAAAGAGGCAGGGCTCGGGGGAGGAAAATTAGCAAAAGCTTTGTCCTATTGAAAAAGTCTGAGATAAGACCTCCTCACCTTGCTTGTCCCCACCCTCAGAAATGTTTATGCATGCATTTAAAGAATAGGTTGGAAAAGTTGTAAGTTCTAAAATGATTCCTCTCTGAAAAAGGCAATGTATAGGTATTTCCTATTGATTTGAAGGTAGAAGGGGATGCAGAAGATTTCCAGGGGCTGTCAGGATGGCTGTGTGATCTGAGGCTGGTTGGAAAGGGCTCCTATTTGGAGCACCATAGTTATCCTGGAAAAAAACTGACCATATACTATAAAGATTAGTATCAGTGGCCACCTTTCTATTCCCCATCAACCAAATTACGAACATACCTATCTAAGCAATTTCCAAATACCTTATGAGAGATTCATTTTGTGGAGGTATCTTTTACAAGATTAGGACTCAGCTATCAGCAAAGCAAAAAATAAAAATAAAAAAGCAGAAATGGGCTGGGCGCGATGGCTCACGCCTGTAATACCAGCACTTTGGGAGACCAAGGCGGGCGGATCACCTGAGGTCCGGAGTTTGAGACCAGCCTGACCAACACGGAGAAACCCCGTCTCTACTACCACAAATACAAAATTAGCCGGGCATAGTGGCTCACGCCTGTAATCCCAGCTACTCTGGAGGCTGAGGCGGGAAAACAGCTTGAATCCGGGAGGCGGAAGTTGCTATGAGTCAAGATCGCGCCATTGCACTCCAGCCTGGGCAACAAGAGTGAAACTCCATCTCAAAAAAAAAAAAAAAAGCAGAAGTGACAATATATTGAGTTCTTTTATCAGCTAAGCTCTAGATATGGTGATATTTAAATGAATAGTTGCTTTCACAAGTCATCAAAAACAAAGACCTTGGGAATAAAAAACAAGACAGGTTTCTGAAAGGGATTAGAGATTGGAATGAGAATGCCAGAGGTGGGAAAGGGAAGCTGAAATGAAAGCAGCAAGCACCAAAGGAAATTTCCTTTCTATCTTGACATATTGAGAATTATAGAGTTTCTGAAAAGAGGATGATCTGGATTTTAATACCATCTCTGCCAAGTTACCTACCCTCTCAATGACTTAGTTTTCTTAAAACAAAACCTAGAATTAGTAGTACCTATTTTATAGAATTTTGATGAGAATTAAATCAAGCAGCAGAGAGTAAGGTAAATTCTAGTCACAGGCCGCATGTTACATCAATGTTCCCATCTGCCTTGGCTTGCCCCATCATTGAAAAGCTGGATTTTTGATTATCCATCAAATCTACAGATTTGACTACACAGTTCTCAGACAAGCCCCAGTGGGAATTTATTATGTTTCTTCCGGAAAAGAAAAGACTGCAACTAGAAACATTTTCTAAACATGACAGCCCCCCTCAGAAATCACTTCCACACTGTTGCAGTCAGAGGTCCTGTCTGCCTGGTTCCCACCAACAGTGATGCAATGTCTCCCTCAGCCCTCAGTCAGCCAAGAACCAGCAGGTCATCAGGGCTAGTACTGCCTGAGTCAGTAGGTGTGAGTTCCACACACCTGTGTAGAATCAACACCTGGCCAATTTGAATTTCCAAGGGTCAGCTGGCTCTTTTAACACCTCACAAAGAAGGCTGATGTTTCCAGTGACCTCCTCCTCACAGAGATTCTTCCAGGTGAACTGGGCCAAATAAGTTAGGTCAAAAGCATTTGGAAAAATGTCCATTTGCTGGCTGGTAGACAAATCTTGAAATGGACTCCACGAGTCCTGTTAAAGGTCAGACTGTCTCTGCAGTTATTCATGTCTACTAGCATCCTCCAGTCTGGCTTCATTTACAAAGAAGAAAGTTATAATTTCAAGTGATGAGCAGTTCTATTTTCTTTCACTCGCTTCCTTCTACAACCTCATAGACAAGTGCTCAAAGCCTTGATAGCTACCAAGTCCCTGCTAAGGGGTAAGTTCTGTGGCTGATATCTCTACCTGTGTTATCACAAACCTTCACTTGTTGGAAAAAAAACAAAACAAAACAAAACTTAACATAGCCAAATTGGAGTAACTGATCACCTATTTTTAAGACATAAACTGTGTAGATTAATGAATCCCATATTCCCTGGCCCTTTTTTACATGAGTGATTCAGATACATCAAAGGCCATCCTGCTTTATAAACTCCAAACACTAAAAAGGAATATAAGCCACCTTAAATAATGTATTCCTTTTTAATGCCTTGACTCCGTGTCTTGAAATAACATAAACACCGAAGCATCTAAGAGGGTGTTATAATCACATTTGCAGAGATGATCAAAAAAGCTCAAAGATCTAAGGAGTGCGCCTGAAACACAGATCCATGACATTTGCGAGACATTCCTTATCTCGTTCAGTTACCCTCCTCCAGCTGCCTTGTAAGGGACCTGTTTGTGATGATTACCTGAGACAGAGAGGAAGTCATCCACTGAGGTGATGTCATCCACGGCCTCTGTCAACACTCGGACCTGCTTCTCCCACTGGTCTTTGAAGACGTCCATGTTATCCTGAGCAACTTTGCTCTGTGGCCGGGCAGCCAGTGTCAGAGCGGCATTGATGACCTATTTGTTGGAAACAATCCAGGGACATGATGACCACACACTTCAAAAGAGGAATAAGCCGGTCAAAGACCATGTTAAAACCATGCACCCTGTACGTTCTACAGATAAGTGGGTTCTTGGTGTTCAGAAGGACAATCAAACACATAAAAGATAAAGGAGATTTTCAACTACCATTAATTTTTGTTTGCTTCTTTTTAAGACATAATAGTTTGCCTCGGGTTTCAAAAAGTATTTACTGGACAAGTCTCATGACTTAGCACAGATACAGCAGAAATGCAACTCTTGCTTTCCACATGTGCAAGTTTATGATTTAGCTGCCGAGACAAGGTAAATAGATATGGAACATTTAAATCACAACCCAAAACAAATAGAACAAAGTCAACAGGAGTGGAGAGTATAGTGGCACAATCCCAGCTCCCTGCAGCCTCGAACTCCTGAGCCCCAGCAATCCTCTCACCTCAGACTCCCCAGTAAACTGGGACTACAGGAATGCCCCCACCACACCCAGCTAGTTTATTTTTTTGTAGAGATGGAGTCTCACTATGTTGCCCAGGCTGGCCTTGAACCCCTGGCCTCAATCAATCCTCCCACTTCAGCCTCCCAGAGCACTGGGATTATAGGTGTGAGCCACCATGCCTGGCCAAGCTGCCATGGTAATTCTGAAGAGACTGGTATGGTTTATTCTTTCTGAGAAAGGTAGAACTTGAAACAGCTCATAAATGATGAGTAGCCTTTTTCAGCAAGAGGAAATAGAGAAGGAAAAGGAGGGGCACAAGGGCTGGAGTGGAGAAGGTCACTGACAGGCTTTTGAAACAAAGTGAATGAGGCTTACCTGGGGACACAGGCTGTCAATCTGGGTGGCTGCCATCCGAACTAATTTCACCCCTTCTTCATTGTTGGAGATGGAACAGGCCAAATTGGCAACCTGTATTGAAGAGGATTTTAGTGAATATTAGGTTGGGGCAAAGGGAAAGTATACTGTTGCTCCGCCTTGGACCTTCTCTGGCAGATGTCTCTTCCAGGAGAATTCTTTCAGAAATAAGATAAGGGTACCCTGGCCTTCATGTAGAACCAACTAGTACTACTTCTTATGCTAATTTAGGCATTTCTGTCAGAAAAGGCATTTCACGACTCTCAAGCATATACAAGGTTGTGTTTTAACAGGGTTTTATGAACTGTTTTTTCTTATGAACTGCCTTGATCCGCCTACACTCTCTGGAGCCTCCTAAGACTCAACATCAAAATGCAAAACCCTGTGATCTCGGCCATATCAGTACTCAGTTCTGACCCTGTAGAGTTGAGTGAGAAGAATGCTACAGGCAATTATTTGGGCTTGAGAGACTCATAGTAAGCTGACAATTATGGTGCCCTGCCCCCAAAATACCCGATCTGCCTGAAAATTTTAGTCCACTAATAGCCAACTCAAATATTATTAGAGGCCAGCTGTTATGAGCAATGTAACAAAAAGGCTCGTAGCATTCAATACACAATGGCGGAATATATAGTAAATTACAATGTGCAGATCTAGTATAAAGACATTCAAATTTGATGGCCTCCTTGTTTTCTGGCACCTTCCATTTTCAAAGCCAACAGTTTTTTTTTTCCCCCTCCTTGGTTCCTGGCCCAAATTTGAATGTCTTCTTTTCCCCTCTTCCTTGGTTCCTGGCCCCTTCCGTCTTCAAACAGTTGGCTCTGAAGATGGATGGGGCCAGGAACCAAGGAGGGAAGGGGAAGCAAGACATTCAAATTTGATTTTTAGGAACACTATGCTACCCCAAACAGCTGGACTGAATTCAAGTTCCCAGGTCAAGGGGGTCAACTTGTTGTTATTCCTTCTCTTGAAGGAGAGTTGGTAATTCAAGGTGAGATTGATTAGCCAAGGTCAACAGCCACAAAGCCACCATCAAAAGACCAATCAGTCCCATCAGGCTGGTATCAAGACAACACAAGAATGGGGATATGAAAAGTCAAAGAAGAGGAGAAGGACAGCAAGGGGTAGGAGCTATGGAGCAAACAGAACAAGTGATTAGCAGACAGAATCCCTGGAGTCTTGTGGCCGCCTGCCTTTTTGGTATCCTGCTTATGTTTAGTCTCCAAAACTGGGCTGCTCTCCTCCCATTCCTGAATGCCCTAGGATTTTAGAATGTACCACCCATGCTTATAGTTCCTAATGTGAAAGAAACCTTAGGCAGTATGACATAGTGAGAAGAGTACAGGCCTGGAGATCAGGAAGTTCAACCACTGGGCATCTTTATAAGTCACTTCACATTTTAGATTGCTGCTTCCTTATCAGCAACATGAGATGGGTTGAGGGTGATAGAATACTTTTAAAGATTACTTCAATAAACCATTAGTGTAAAGAATAGGGTTTTGGAGTTTTTAAGGGAGAAAGAGGATGCATTATAGCTATTTCAGTGAGAAAATGTACTAGGAGAAATTATGACAAGTGAATTCAAACATTACCATTTAATTTCTTATAGTTTATAGTTTACCTTTGATTTTCATTATTTTACTTAGTTTTCAAAATAAGTGTGAAAAGACATATGCCTCATTAGGACCATTCACAGATACTGCATGCCATGGGCAGGAAGGTTCTTAGATGTGGGGCAGGAACCAACGATGCAGGTCTCTTAACTTCAATTTCTTTGTTATATCATAATGTCTTCTCTCCACATTTTTATTCATCTTTGTTACATCTGTATTCTATATTCTGGTTCATTTTACAATCCAAGTGCCTGACTCAGTGCATGACACAGAATTGGTGTTTTGTACATGTTTATTTAATAAATTAAACAATAGCTTGTAAACTTAGTGTAACTTATTGTAGACAGTAATTTGGAATACACAATGGATAAATGGTGCCCTCAAAAATACAGTTGAGCTTCACCCTTAATTTGGCAAGACAAATGTTCACCTTCTAGCAGATGTTAACCAATGTTATGGTGTTAACCAATGGTTCCTACATTCTGATCTGTGGTACGAGTCCAGAATGCAGCTTCCCCTGTCCAAAGTGGCATGTGGGGGGGGGAAAAAATCAGGATAGTGGAGAATCTTCTAGAAAGATATATGTATTTAAAGTTCTACCTTTTAATATTCAATTAAATTTTTCCTATATCTGCTTTTGAACAACCTCTCATTCTATGAAATAGTGATAATTTTAGATGATGGCTGTTTTTGCCCCGTACCATCCCTGCTTGCTGTGCAAAAGACTTGAGATCACACTTTTGCAAACAGTGAATAATTGCTAGAGTTTAGCACAACAATATGAAAACTTAAAAATGCCCCAAGAATCAGGTAATTATTTGCATTTCTGTAAAAAGCATAAGAAAATACCAACACGCTTAATGAAATAATGGATCCAGACCAAGTCATCAGTGGTTAACATTAAAAAAAGAAAGAGTGACAACCAGAGATCATGTGTTTCTTGACTGAGTGACATACCACTGTCCATGAAATATTCTTGCCAAAAAAAGAAAAGGTCAGCCATTTAGGATCAATTTTCAATTTACAGAAAATTCAAGAGGAAAAGAAACATGTAAAATAAAAGTACATACATGCAATCATAAAAATCCTGATGGTTAAAAACTGCTGGAAAAAAGACATAGATCTCATTTGTGTCCTGAATAGAAAAAACAAACTATAATATATATATACACATAAATATGTAAATAAATAAGTAAATAAGACTACATTTATGAAACCATCAAGGAAATTTAAATATTAACTAGACATTTGATGATACTGAGGAGTTATTATTATTTTAAAGCATGCTAATGGTACTTTTTTTTTAAAAAGAATCTATAGCTTTTAGAGCTATATAATCAAGATGTTTATTGATGAACTGATGTTTGGAATTTGCTTCACAATTATCTGGGGTTGGGGAAATGGGTAGAAATGTAGAAAAAACAAGATTCGCCATTAGTTTATAATTGTTGAAGCTGAGTGACAGTGTATGATGGTTCATTACACATTCTTTACTTTGGGATATGCTTAGCATTTTCCATATTAAAAAACATTTAGAAAAAAAGTAGCAGCCACAAAGTATTATATCAACAGCTCTGGAAAACACTTTCTTGCATCTGTGCGTGTCTCCAGGGAGCACAGTGTAAGCTAGGGAAACCTGAGTGTGGTTTGGAGTTGAGACTTGCAGACAGTAGAGGGTACCTACCTGAGCACAAATGAAGAGTGCTGTAACTGGACTCTGTCAGTCACAGCATAGCTCCCCAGATCGCAGAGCTTCCCACTTATGCTGACTGCGAGTCACCTGGCAGAAGTCGACCCTGTGGGACTTAGAGCTCAGAAGAGCTGGACTCTAACAGAAGGAAACGCTAACTAGTAACTTCCACATAGTGAAAATAAACTTTTCTTTGTGTATCTTTTGAACTGTTTTCTCATCTTTTGTTTAAATTAAACTCTATTATTCCTTAGGCCTAACTCCTCACCCAACAGAATCTTAGTAGGGGGAAACCAAGCTAGCAATGCTTGGCAAAAATAAAGAGCTGGCACCTCTTGATAGTCCTCCAGTTATTTATTCTCTTTAATTGTACTGATCCATAAATCCTAAAGTCTGGCAGCCTATACTCTGCAACGTACTCCTGCTATTTAATTCCACTTAAAACCCAGAATTTCATTCACCTTGTATTTTCTTTGGAAACATTCTGAAAATATTTCCAATATGATGCTAAGGATTTCAGTATCTTCAGAGGCAGGCTTACATATTTTAAGTTGGTCATGGGCTCTATCCAAATCCCTACCTTCCCTTTTTTCTTTTGGCTTGTCTTTCTCTGCTTCTCACTGGACCCAATGGCCCAGTGGTGACTATCAACTTGGTTTTATATATTTTGATTTCTAGAATTTCATCAGCAAATGATCCTTAGCTTCATAGCTTGAGGCAGTCCCCAATCAATAATGTAGCTTGGGCCAGATGCAGTGGCTCACGCCTATAATCCCAGCAATTTGGGAGGCTGAGGCTCCTAATAAGCCAGGAGTTGAAGACCAGCCTGGGAAATGTGGCAAAACTTCATTTCTACTAAAAATACAAAAAATAGCCAGGGTGTGGTGGCACACACCTGTAATCCAAAATACTCAGGAGGCTGAAGCAGGAGAATCGCTTGAGACCGGGAAGCGCAGTTTGCAGTGAGCTGAGATCACACCACTGCACTGTGGCCTGGGTGACAGAGAGAGACTCCATCTCCAAAAAAGAAAAAAATAATATAGCTTGAAATGCCAGCTAACACCTCAACCTCAAAAACATCAGTCCAAGATAACTATACACAGTAGGTATCTCAAAATTGATTTTTTTTTTTTTTTGAGATGGAGTCTCATTCTGCTGCCCAGGCTGGAGTGCAGCAGCAAGATCTCAGCTCACTGTAACCTCCACCTCCCAGGTTCAAGTGATTCTCCTGTCTCAGCCTCACCAGTAGCTGGGGTTACAGGCACCCAACACTACGCCTGGCTAATTTTTGTATTTTTAGTAGAGATGGGGTTTCACCATGCTAGCCAGGCTGGTCTCGAACTCCTAGCCTCAAGTGATCCACTTGCCTCGGCCTCCCAAAGTGCTAGGATTACAGGCATGAGCCACCACACCTGCCAGTATCTGATAATTGATTTCAACAACCTGTTCTTTAACTAGATATCTGTTACAACATCAGAAACTGTGGTAAAGTAAATGTCCTATTTTTTCAAAGCTAATATTTTCTCCTACATGGTCAGTTTCTCATGATAAAGGGTGATAAGGGGAAGTATGGAGGAGGAAAGGAATGGTGGACTGGAATTACTAGACACTTGAAAAGATTAATGTGAGTGAAAAAGCAGACAATATATCATCAATACATTGCAACCCCAAAGATGTTGAACAATACAATTAAATCTGATAGAATTTTGAAACTTGCTTGATGCAACCAAGCAGGAAATGTTTATGGGATATACTTGCTCAACTGGGCCCCGCCTCTGCCTTCTCCACTCTTGAATTATTTACAACTTAACTGAAGCCACAAGATTTAATCGCCTTCCTGGAAGCTTAGAAAACAATAAAGCATTTCATTAAGTATTAAATTTTGAGCAATTTAGATTGATCTGGGATTTCTGAAAGTGGAATAGGTCATGACTATAGGTGGTAGAGCTCGTTGGTGATCTAATTGTACTAAATACCTACCAATCTGTTAGAAAGGAAAGCTCTCCTTCTTAACTTCTGAGAGCATAATGGATCTGGGGAAGTAAAAGCTGAGAAGACTAGGCCAGTCTTTCTCTGACTTAGTACCTTAAAACCAGTTATCTTGAGGGAAAGGAGGAAGCTTAGCAGCCATCATTAAATTGTGTGCTGCTGACCCCAAAAACTTTAGGATTACAGAAAAAGAAGAGACCAGTGCTGCTAAGTGGAATCAGTAAACATATCATGGAGAGGTAAACTATCCATCCTGCAAGATTTATTTTACGATTGCCTGTTTAGCACTACTTTCTAGATGCTCAATGAATATAACTTTTTTTTTTTTTTTGGCTCTTCTGGGCACACTTTGTAAGTACATGAATACTTAACATTAACAATATCATTAGCAGAACTAGAAAGAACAACAACAACAACAACAAAAAAAAAAAAGCAAGGAGAGCCTATGCCTATTTTTTGAAGAAAGTAACTTAACTCCATTAATTGAATTTGTATTACAATTGGCATCTATCCTGTAACTCTTTAATAATCACCTCAGGAAGCCAAAAGCAGAGTGACAATATTCCTGATAAGACAGTTAAAAATTGACAAAAATAACTCAGGAGGCTGAGGTACAAGAATTGCTTGAACTGAGGAGGTGGAGGTTACAGTGAGCCGAGATCGCTCCACTCCACTCTGGTCTGGGCAACAGAGTGAAACTGCATCTCAAAAAACAAACATATGCATCCCTCATAAAAATACATTGTGACCCAATCGCTACAAAGATAATAAAATAATACCTAGGAATACAATTTTCAAGGGATGTGAAGGACTTCTTCAAGGAGAACTACAAACCACTGCTCAAGGAAATAAGAGAGAACACAAACAAATGGAAAAACAGTCCATGCTCGTGGACAGGAAGAATCAGTATCGTGAAAATTGCCATACTGCCCAAAGTAACTTATAGATTCAATGCTATTCCCATTAAGCTACCATTCACTTTCTTTGCAGAATTAGAAAAAACTACTTTAAATTTCATGTGGAAACAAAAAAGAGCCTGTATAGCCAAGACAATCCTAAGCAAAAAGAACAAAGCTGGAGGCATCAGGCTACCTGACTTCAAACTGTACTACAAGGTTACAGTAACCAAAACAGCATGGTGCTGGTACCAAAACACACATATAGACCAATGGAACAGAACAGAGACCTCAGAAATAACACCACATGCCTATAACCATCTGATCTTTGACAAACCTGACAAAAACATGCAATGGGGAAAGGATTCCCCATTTAATAAATGGTGCTGGGAAAATTGGCTAGTCATATGCAGAAAACAGAAACTGGACCCCTTCCTTACACCTTATACAAAAATTAACTCAAGATGGATTAAAGACTTAAATGTAAAACCCAAAACCATAAAAACCCTAGAAGAAAACCTAGGCAATACCATTCAGGACATAGGCATGGGCAAAGGCTTCACGACTAAAAAACAGCAAAAGCAATAGTAACAAAAGCCAAAATTGACAAATTGGATCTAATCAAACTAAAGAGCTTCTGCACAACAAAATAAACTAGCATCAGAGTGAACAGGCAACCTAAAGAATGAGAGAAAATTTTTGCAATCTACCCATCTGACAAAGATCTAATTTCCAGAATCTACAAGGAACTTAAATTTACAAGAAAAAAACAACCCTATCAAAAAGTGGGCAAGGGATATGAACAGAGACTTCTCAAAAGATGACATTTATGCGGCCAACAAACATATGAAAAAAAGCTCATCATCACTGGTCATTAGAGAAATGCAAATTAAAACCACAGTGAGATATCATCTTATGCCAGTTAGAATGGCGATCATTAAAAAGTCAGGAAACAGGGCGGGTGTGGTGGCTCATGCTTGTAATCCCAGCACTTTGGGAGGCCGAGTTGAGTGGATTATCTGAGGTCGGGAGTTCGAGAACAGCCTGACCAACATGGAGAAACCCCACCTCTACTAAAAATACTAAATTAGCCAGGTGTGGTGGCACATGCCTGTAATCCCAGCTACTCAGGAGGCTGAGGCAGGAGAGTTGCTTGAAACCAGCAGGCAGAGGTTGCAGTGAGCTGAGATCATGCCATTGCACTCCAGCCTGGGCAACAAAAGTAAAACCCCGTTTCAAAAAAAAAAAAAAGTCAGGAAACAACAGATGCTTGCGAGGCTGTGGAGAAAAGGAACGCTTTTACACTGTTGGTGGGAGTGTAATTAGTTCAACCATTGTGGAAGACAGTGTGGCTATTCCTCAAGGATCTAGAACCAGAAATATCATTTGACTCAGCAATTCCATTACTGGGTATATACCCAAAGGATTATAAATCATTCTACTATAAAGACACATGCACACATATGTTTAATGCAGCACTATTTACAATAGCAAAGGCATAGTACCAACCAAATGTCCATCAATTATAGACTTGATAAGGAAAATATGGCACATATACACCACAGAATACTATGCAGCCATAAAAAAGAATGGGTTCATGTTCTTTTCAGGGACATGGATGAAGCTGAAAGCCATCATTCTCAGCAAACTAACACAGGAACAGAAAACCAAACACTGCATGTTCTCACTCATAAGTGGGAGTTGAACAATGACAACACATGGACACAGGGAGGGGGAACAACACACACTGGGGCCTGTCAGGGGGTGGGATGCAAGGGGAGGGAAAGCATTAGGACAAATACCTAATGCATGTGGGGCTTAAAACCTAGATGATGGGTTGATGGGTGCAGCAAACCACCATGGCACATGTATACCTATGTAACAAGCCTGCACATTCTGCACACGTATCCCAGAAGTTAAAGTAAAATGTATAGTGACCATTTAAAAAGGCAAGATGTTTTTTAATCACACAAAGAAAACCCCACACAGCTCACAGATCTTGATAAACTACATCGTGGCTGTACAATTCAGTTTTGTGTGGACACCGCCACAGAAAAGCAGCTCTGTCTCAAAAGAGCCACAGTCTTGTTTGAACACTCACAAGAAAAGCCAAAATGCCTGGAAGGCTGAGCTTCAATTAGACATTAAAAACCTCTGCTAATAAAGTATTTAGGCATTTAACTCCAACGTGATATGAAGTACATCAGAAAAATGAGAACATTTTCCCTTTTTCTGGCCTCGGAAATCAAATTACATTTTTTAATATTTGTGATTCTGTTCTGTTTGAAACACCAGCAAATATTCACTGCATTCAACTCCCAAACACTGAATCATTTCATTAATTTTTACAGCTTCAGGTATCATATTGGTGTTTTAAGAACACACTATTGAAATAAAGCAGAATAGCAATTCGAAGGTCCATAAAGCACTTGCTCCTCATGTTAATATTTCATCATCACTGTAAATTTGAGAATAAAATGAATTTATTTAAATAAATTCAAGGGGAATTACTTGAATTTATAGTCAGTCATGTGGCCATATAAAACCACAGAGAGGATGGTGGCACAGATTTCACGCAAAACATTTTTCTCTAAAACTATCATCACAATGAAAAGTGCTGCGGTCTCCATCTGAAGGTTTATTCATTTATCTGTGCTGATGTAATTAGTACACACGAAGATGTTAACATATATGCCTATCTTCTAGAGAACCACAAGGTTCCTACAGAACATGACTCCTATAATACAGATGGAGTTTCACAATTCAATAACAGTGGAAATGATAAACCTCCCTGAAACCTTTGAGAGGCAAGACAGAAGCAGCTGGTAGAAAAACAGGCTCAGCCTTCGATGATCAGCTTCCAGGAAGATGGGCATAGGAATAGGCTAAATGGCCACCATCAAAATTGGACTTGAGGAGAGTCAAGTCTGGCTGCCCAGAAGAATATTGTAGGAGTTGTCTCGCTTTCCTGCTGAGGTATTATGGAATCATTTTAAAATGAGCAGCTACACACTGGCATAAGTTTATCAGCCTGATTAACAGTCACTGCAGTTCTACAGGATAGAGGAAACTTAAACAGCAGGGATAATTTGATCAGGGAAGGATGCTCAGTGGATGTCAGCAGCTGGGGGCTTAAGTACACTGGGGGACAGGAGGAAGTGGAATCACTTTTTCTTGCCTCTGTTTTAAATGACCTCTATAAGGCATCTGGCACTCTTGGTCATTCTATATAGTTTAATTTTAAAAATCATAATTGGTAAGACCTGGCCTTTGCAGTCAAGCAGCCCAGGGTTTATGTTCTGACTCTTATTCTCACCAGCTGGGTGAGACGTGTTGCATCTCTGAGCCTCAATTGTGTCTCAGTTATAAAATATAAATATAAAATATTACAATGTTGCAATAAGAGATTAGTTAACCCAGCACCCAGTAATGACTTGACAAATGTTACCGCCATAAGATGCAATTTATTGAAAGGTCACTATAAAAGTGAAAATATATTTGAATGACATTATCCAATCATTGATCACTCATTCAATAAATATTGAGTGCCTATATATGACAGACATGGAAGATACAAGTAAAATATTACTTATGCCCTAGATGAGCTTATATTTTGGTGGGAAGACAGAATTTAGCAAAGTAATGCATTAAAAGTTTATATTGTGATGAGTTTTACAAAAGAAACAAGGGGAAGACAATGATAAAAACCGAAGGGAGCTCTATGTGATCACTTGCGTAGTTTACCCCTTAGTTTTGTATAAAGTTACAATTCTCAAGTTATAATTCTTTTTGTCACTGCTTATTTCAACCCGTTAGATCCCAAATATTTTATAGATTTTATATACACTTCTAACCAATATTTTTTAATTATTGAATAAGATTCCCTAATGTTGTTGCCTCATTGTTTGGTAAATTAATTCCTTGCTGTCATGCATTTAGGGGAGTCTCCAATGTTTGCTATTACCAAAAACAAAGTAATACACATCTTTAGGCATCTAGTTTTTGCTCCTGTCGGAAGTGAAATTTCTGCATCAGGAAAATTGTTATGGCACTTGTTTACCTGTGACCATAGTCCTTGCTGAAAGGTCCCTGGAATAAGTGAATTGCCAATTTTCCAGTGCTACCAGCATTGCATCCCATATTCCTCAACACTGTTTCTTCTTGACTTCTCCACCAACATATCATCCGAATGTCCTTCTAACTATTCGTTCTATAAACCACAAGTGCAAATCAGGATTGCTCAAGTAGCCACTTCACATTTTCCCAGCTAGACTGAATTCTTGCAGGACAGAATCCCTACTTTACCCCTCCACACATATCTGGGATCACAGTTGCTGAATTCCAATTTTTTGAATTTACTAACTCCCACAAACTCTCTTCATGTTGTATAGAAGACCACTCAATTTGTCATAACTTAGTCATACATAGGAGGGCACTCAGTTCTATGATCTAGAATTAGGAGGAAGTATAACTTTTCTGTATCAGTTAATCAAATAAGTTTATCATCAAATTAGCATACACCAGCTAATATCAAGTGAACCTTATACAACATCCTGCCACATGGTACAACGAAGAAATTTGTTCATGGTCCCACCAGGCATTGTACCCTTGACTACAGTTATACATCTATAAAAACACAAATCTGCATTTTCTAGAGCTCTTCTGGGATGAAGAGCAGCTCTTTTGCCTGTGTTCTTAGGGATACACACACCACTAGCAAATGCTGTTTGCATGCCTCTGCCCAAATTAAAGTGATCAGTCTGCCCTGGTGACTTTAATGTAGGTAATCACCAGCTCACATTCATGAACAAATTGATGTGCCCGCTTCATAGCTGAATCACTCAGCATAAATCTATGCCCTTCATATATAAAAACCTCAGTGGCTTAAAATAATACAATAAAGCATCACCTAATGCCTTCTTGATGCTGGCTCATCAATAATGTGTGGTTATGTGAAAAGGATAGGAGAGGCTTATCATGTCTTACCTTAAACCATGCCGGGAATGTAATGCCCTTTTAATTACTAAAGGCATCAGGGGATTTTGTTTTCTCCATCTTTACATGGAGGAACTAAAACCTTGCAACTCTCCACTATTACTTAGTTTTCAGCATCTCATGTAAGTAAATGAAATCTCAACTTATTTCCAGTGAATACAACATGTTGACCTTCATATATGTGGGCTGCATATTAGCAGGATGAAAACTCCAGGATCCATCTCTGGCAATGCAGGAGGGCTGCACTGAACCATCCGGTGCTTGACATTTAACGGAAGCCAAGGAACGTTTCCAGAATGAAGATCCAGATGAATAAGTAAGTGCAGCTATTCTCTAAAACCTGGTCTCCTACATTTCCAGATGACAAGTGGAAGTGTGGAGTCAAGGCCATATCCACAATGCAGGATGAATCTAACCATCCTAACCAATATTGGATCTGTGACTACAGCCCGCTTCACACAGAATAAGGAAAACAGTCAGGAGTCCCCAGTTTATGTCCCACATTGCCTTCTTTTTTTTGCGGAGGGGATGCCTCCGCCAATTAAACTAGCAATCTTCCAAGGTTCAATTCAAAATCCACGTGTTGCTGAAGGCATCCCATTCACACAACCAGTAGAAATAGATCTCTTCCAAACACCTTCAGGCTTACTGGCTGTGCTACCCATTGCAACTTACCACATACTATTGCCTTATCCATTATTTATTATATGGATGGAGGATACCTACACACGGAATTAGATGTATAAATCAAAGATACACACATAGCTATCATGTATCTTCAACTAAATTTCCACATCTTTGAGGATAATGGTTGTATTTTTATTTTCATCCTTGTGGCTCCCATGGCTCCCCGTTCAAGACCTTGTAAACAGTAGCTATAAACGTAGTTCCAAGGCAGCCTCCCTGTCATGGGTGCTTTCTTACCTCCTGCTCCCATCTGCCCTTACCTCTGGGGTACAGCTCTTTCTTATCGCTGTTGGTTTACCTAGAAAAAGATGCTAATTGATTAATCAAAGTAACTATTCACTAAGGTCATATTTTCTTCTCCTAGGTAATATAACACCTTAATCTAATTAAGATGTTCCTGAGCCCTTTCGAGCTTTAAAAAAAACACACACACAAACCAAACAGTAGTTCCTTCTAATCCATGGGAAATACCTTCCAAGAACCTCAGCAGATACCTGAAACCACAAATAGTACCAAGCCCTATATACATAATGTATTTTCCTGAACATGCATACCTACGATAAAGTTTAATTTGTAACCTGGGAACAGTAAGAGATTGACAATAACTAGTAATAAAATAGAACAATTGTAAAAATATCCCAGCATTATTACTCTTGCACTTTGGAGCCATTATTAAGTAAAATAAGGGTTAATTGAACATAAGCACTGGGATACCTCTACAGCAGATCTAATAACCAAGAAGGATACTAAGTGACGAAGGGGCACATAGCCTCTACAGTGCATATGCTGGACAAAGGAGGATTGACATTCAGGGTGGATGGAGCTAGAGGGTGCAAGATTTCATTATGCTATTCAGAATGGCACTCAATTTAAAATGTATGAGTTATTTCTGAAATTTTCCATTTAATATTTTCAGACCACTGGTAACTGAAACTCCAGAAAGCAAAACTATGGATAAGGGGGGACTACCATATACTGTTGAAATTTCAGGCTCCCCAGGCAGGCTTTTGGGGAAATACATAAGGACAAGGAGTTTTTTCCTTAAACTCTGTCAACCCTATCTAAAAGTTCTTTGGTCTTTTCTTCCTCTGACCACCTGTTTCTATAAATAAAGTCATATTGGAACACATCTTTACCCTTTTATACATATTGCCTATGACTGCTTTTGCATGACAATGGCAGATTTGGGTAGTTGTGACAGAGACCATATGACCCACAAGCCAAGATCTCTTACTATCCCTTTACAGAAGAAGATTGCCAACCCCCAGTTTAGATGAAAACTTGGTGAGATTTAACCATTTAATTTTTTCAGACCTGTCAAATATGCCAAAGCATCGTCATAGCAGGAAATGAGAGAAGTATCAACTTATAGTATTTATGACACAAGTAAAATCAAAGTTAAGTGGATCGAGGAGAAGCACAGGTTCTTAAAGAATAAAAATATGTGCCCCTCCCAGGTCTCCTTAAAGCACAAAGTTCTGGGGCCAGAAAACAAACAAACAAATAAAAAACCAGGAGGAGATAGGCATGGAGCAGAAGACCCAGAAGGACCTCTAGGATATTCTCCACCATCCCAAACATTGACAAAAGAAGTTTGCAGGTGAACAGAGAAGCAATTCTGAGTCAGTACTGCCATCTGGCTTACCTCTCAATGTAGCACCATCAACAACCTCTTCCTGAAACTGGAGGATCACTCTAGAGGCCTCTCTAACCAAGAGGCCAATTGTGCAGCCTTTCATCTGTGGCCGTATCCTTCTTGGATATCCACTTCCTTATCACTTACTGCTCCATTCCTGGCTTTAGCAGTCTGTATGGGTAGCCCAAGACAAAGCCCTAGAGTATATCTAATAGAAGGTACTAGTCCTCATTGGCCCCTTGGTAAACACCTGGTCTGGCCACTGCAATGGTTACTGCCCGAAGGAGAAGTCCTGGGAACCTGTGTCACAACTCCAGAGGGTTCCTAAGTAAATCACAGCAATGGGAATATGGGGTAGGGGAGACAACCTGACTGCTGTCCTTGACCGCACCAGGGAACTGACTAAAGAAATGACCTTTGAACCAACTCATTCCCCTTAACAGCTCCCTCCCTGCCCTCAGAACCTGTAACCCCTGCCTCCTATTACCTGCATTGCCTCATGGACTCTTTCCAAGCTCAACCCCTCAAACCTGTTCACTCCATCTTACCTGAGCTCTAGTGCCACCTCTTCTTTTCTTTCAGATCTTTATTGCATTTTCCCCCATGTTCTCTCATGAAGTTTTAATTCTCTCCTTAGTGTATAAGTTCAAGCTTCTTTGGGTGCAAAGCACAGCTCCCTTTTTCCATGCTTTTCCCCTGGGAGCAATCCCATCCATTCCCAGACCAGGTGGTAGGCCAGATCCCTCAGTCATCAGAGAGGGAAAAAATCAAAGAGTTCTCCATATCTGCTGTCTTAGGCTCATTAAACAGTGCTATCGAAACCATCCAAGTATTGCAGCACCATCTCTGATACTCTCAAATCCTCCTCCCACGTGGTCAGGCTCATCCCAGTTCTGCTTTCTTTATATGACTTCATACTCTGGTTCCTGACACCTGCTTCAAGTTCTCCTCTGCTTAATACCACTTATGAACAACGTTTCCTGGCTATCTAATGTCACTAACCCATCAGGAAGGTCTCCCCACTTTCATCATACCTGCAACTATTAGTTTCTTCCTGTCTGTGTCCTGCAAAACACATACACAGTCTGACAAGGCCTCCTGGTTTTCATTGATAACCAGTGCTCTCACAAGTCTCTCCCGAGCTGGAAGCTCCCTTGTTGAGTGCCCTACAACTCTTCCTTTTATGGGCCACAAACTGCTACTGAGGGCTGCAATTGCAACAGCTCCTTGCTCAGCTCTGAAATCTAATATTTCCATGATGCTCAGAAAGCAGGGCAGAGCAGTGCCGGGGGTGGGCAGGAGGGTTATTTCACGTCACCTGGGGTTATTTCACGCCCTCTCAGAAAGGGCTCTGCCACATGGAGTCCCTTTTTTTCCAAGGTGACCTTCGAGTAACCACTGCTGCCTTGTTGGGCAGCAGATGCATCCCTCACAGTCCAGAGCCATGGTCAGTAGTGGACCACAGATGCATTTGCTTTCACCTTCAGGCTCTCAGGAGACCATGGCTAGCTCTAGATGAAAGGCGCAGCTGCACTTTCAGAAGTGTACACAAACCCCGAGCCAAAGTTATGCTTGTAACCAACACCCGTAGGAGCAGGCCAAGCCCCATGGTGCCCTTCAAATGTGCCTCACCTTAGCAACTCTCTACAAGTGAAATGTTTTACTCTCATCCTCAGTAGGTCATTTTTACCCCCCTCGCTGAATCAGTCTGGGTGAATGGCCAGTCTGACCTTTCAATCTGCTACGTGAAATAAAGCTTAAGTTGGTGTTCTGACTAATAGTACCAGAGAGAAGCAAGCAATGAAATTCTATGTAACTTGCTTCTGTTTAGTTTTGTGCTCTAGAGGCTGGCTGTTTCGTTATTTAACCCCAGGCTGTTGCCTCAAATAGGCTCTGCAATCTTTTGTGGGATCCAAGTTTAGCAAGCATACTCATTGTGTGAACACCAATAATATTTTTCAGGTGCACCTAGAGAAAGGGAGAGAACAAAAGAGGGCTATAAAACTATTTGGAGGTCTTCATCAATGTAAGTGCTTAGTTAAATAAGCAATAATTGCAATTATTGTTTTAGCATTCCCTGAAGACAGAAAATTTAACTTTCAAATGTCTTAATACCTATTATTTCACAACAGATTATGTACACATAGATATACTTTTCCATTGGTATTTAGTTATAAACTATGAGTAACAATCTATGTCTATGGGCCAAATATAGCCAGTGGCTCGTTTTTGTATGGTTTTAAAGCTAAGAATGGTTTTACACTTATAAAGGGCGGTTAAAACACCTACATACAGAAAAATCTGTGAGACTCCATGTGGCCTACAAATCTGAAAATAGTTACTATTCTTACCAATAAAAGTTGGCTGACCCCAAAGTATGATGGTATACCTATAAAAACTACTCTGGTGTTTGTCTGCCTGCCCACCAGGACATGAGTTGCCCCAGATGCTCCAATCCCAGCAATCTTTGCCACTGATCAAGGAAGCCATCTCTGCTCGTATTTCCCAAGTTCCTTTCTGGTTGTGTTCTTCAAAGAGAAGGATCTTTTTATTTCTCATCTCTTAATACTTGTTTATTTATGTTTACATAACCCCTATGTCACCATTCATTATTCCACCAGATACAGCTTTTCCAAAAGTCTAATCTGTCCTCAGGGACTGAAGAGCTACAAAGTTTGAGAATGTTCCAAAGAATATGTTAGAGACTCACGAAGAATCAGTGTAAAAACATGTCAGAGGCAGCAGCCCTCCAATCTGGGCAAAAACTCCCAAAGGGTCTACTTTGAAGAAAAAAGCCCTCTCTGGAATGAGTAATTTATTTTTATTTTTATTTATTTATTTATTTATTTTTTTGGTGGGGGTTGCACCTTCTATGTGGTAGAACCCATGAGATTCATGATCATGCCTGAAGTGTGGAGTTGGGCTCACATTTCAGTGTGAGACAGTTTGGACGGCAGCTTTGGTACCCAGAGCATTGTCCACAGGCCAGTAGCAAGGGCAATACCTGGGGGCTTGTTAGAAATGTATGGCTAAGGGCTGGGCACGGTGGCTCACGCCTGTAATCCCAGCACTTTGGGAGGCTGAGGCAGGCAGATCACGAGATCAGGAGATCAAGACCATCCTGACTAACACGGTGAAACCCCATCCCTACTAAAAATACAAAAAATTAGCCAGGCATGGTGGTGAGTGCCTGTAGTCCCAGCTACTCAGGAGGCTGAGGCAGGAGAATTGCTTGAACCCCAGGAGGCAGAGGTTGCAGTGAGCCAAGATCACGCCACTGTACTCCAGCCTAGGCGACTGAGCGAGACTCCATCTCAAAACAAACGAACAAACAACAACAACAAAAATACAGCTAAGGTTGAGAACCACTGATCTATTCCAAACAAACTCTCATTTCCTTTCTCATGTGCCCCACATCTCCATCCATTTACCAAGAAGAATTGATTCTATAAGAAAATTTTCCCTTGGTCATGCAGCTAATTTGCTGCAAAATGGAGACCAAGTTACAAGCTTCCATATTTCTGTTATTCATAAATTTGGATGCACACTGAAAATGTCTGAGAAATATTAAAGATATTGATGCCTGGGACCCACACTCATAAATTCTGATGTACTCGCCCTTGTGTATGGACAAGACGTGGGCATTTTAAGCCTCTCCAGCTAATCCTAATATGCAGCCCTGGTGGAGAACTGTCTCCCTATTTGAAATTTCATTTAAATTTACTTTAAATTCAGTTAGAGTATTTCCAGGTAAATGAGTGCCTCTTTCTCTTCTAAGGCATTGGTCTGGGTCCATCAGCTTTGCTTTCTCCTTTATAGAGGCCAACCAGGGAGAGGCCTCAGAGATGTCCTCTCTCTCCCAATGACTCCCAACTTTGCCCCATCATAAGAATCACCTGGTGTGCTTGCTAAACCTACATTTCACCAGAAGATTCTGATTCCAGAGCTCTGCAATGGGCCTGACAATTCCTGTTTCTAAAAGACTCCCCAGCTGCCACTTAAGATAAAGCAGATTTCAGGTAAAACTGATCTAACACAAGTCCAGCAGCATCAGCATCACCTGGGAACTTATCAGGCATGCGAATTCTCAGGCCTCACCCCGGATACACAGAAATCAGAAACTATGGGGGTGGGGCCCAGTCATCTGTGTTTTTAGCCCTTCTGGTGGCTCCAAAGCATGCTCAAGTCTGAGACTCACAGGCCTACCACAAACGCTTCACTTTTTGACAAATAGTGCCCTGTTTTCTAAAGTCCAGCCAACAGGAATTCCCCCATACTACACTTGCTTTGCTTTCTTTTTAAAAAATTATCCTCATGTCATCACTTCTTACAACTCTATGAAAGTGAGTTATCTGAGAATTTTTTCTGACACTTTTAATTAGAAAGTCCTAATTACTATCATCTTTCATGAATATTCTGGGTAAGAGTGAGACCTTGTGTTTTGACACAAAAAGCACATTCTCCTGAGCACTCAGGGTGGTGCCATCAACTGTGTCATAGTGCTCAAATTTTTTCCCCTGAAATGCAGACATGTCCATAGACAATTTGTACAATGACCATATTCTACTACCTCCCAAATTTCAAAAAATGTTAGAAGGGTGACAAAAGGATTTTTTTTAAAACTCCATAGTTCTTGCAGGATTCTTAGAGAAGTTTGCATTCAAGGAAATCCTGGATACCTATGCAGTGCTTAAGGTACTTTCAAAAGTTCTAATATTATTTTATTCAATTCTCACAGCACCTGAAATGACGCAAGAGTTGGAATGTGTGAGTTTTAACTGTGCAAACACTTTTTTATAAGCTCTATCTTTTTTTGTTTTATCCTCAGAACACCACACGAAGAAGGTACTGTCATTATCATTCCCATTTTATAGATGAGAAAATTGAGGCACAGAGAGGCCCGGCACAGTGGCTCACGTCTGTAATCCCAGCACTTTGGGAGGCTGATGTGGGCGGATCACCTGAGGTCAGGAGTTTGAGACCAGCCTGGCCAACATGGTGAAACCCCATCTCTACTAAAAATACAAAAATTAGCCAGGCGTGGTGACGCACATCTGTAATCTCAGGACTTTGGGAGGCTGAGGTGGGCGGATCACAAGGTCAGGAGTTCGAGACCAGCCTGGCCAACATGGCGAAACTCCATCTCTACTAAAAATACAAAAATTAGCCAGATGTGGTGATGCACGCCTGTAATCCTAGCTACTCAGGAGGCTGAGGCATGAGAATCCCTTGAACCCGGGAGGCGGAGGTTTCAGTGAGCTGAGATCGCACCACTGCACTCCAGCCTAGGTGACAGAGCCAGACTCTGTCTCAAAAAAAGAAAAGAAAAAGAAAATCGAGGCACAGAGAAGTTCAGTAGATTTACTGAGGTCATACCAGAGTAAGGAGAAAATGCAGGTTTGAACTATAGTGGCCTAACTTCAAAGCACATTCTAGAGATCCCTATATGATGCTCATTTATTGCTCACCACAAACATTAAACAGATTTTTTTATTTTTCAGATGAATAACCAGAAGCTAAGAGAGTATTAGGTTGGTGCAAAAGTAACTGTGGTTTTTGACATTACTTTCAATGGCAAAAAATGAAATTACTTTTGAACCAACCTAATAGCTTGCCCAGATCATACAGCTAATAAGTGGCAGAGCCAATGTTTGAACCTGGAGTCTGTTTGCAGGTCCCAGGCACACGTATTGCACCTTATGCAATCCTGCCAGCGCGTAAGGTAGTCATTATCCTTACAGATCATGGAGCACCAATGAGGCAGCTTTTCAACTTCAAGTTACAGTCACTCTCTTAAGAGGGGCTTAGGAAAAGCTGACATGATGAGTGTGATCAAGGCCCCTCCAGAAAAACCCTAGCATAAAATACATTTTCCAAGGGACAGGCTACGATAGGAGAGAAAACAAAAGCAAACATTTGATATTGAGGGTAGAGAGCAGATGGGTGAGGGGGAAATTGGAAAGTCAGGCTTAGCTGAATTCAGGGTTTTTGTTGTTGTTTGTTTTTTTGCCTGAGGCCAGTCCTGCTCCTGAGAGTTACCCAGATACAAGCCAAATCAGATTCAGAGTCGCTGAACTTGACCAGAGTAGTTATTTCTCCCTTACTTCACAGTCACTGGGGAGGGCATCACCAACACAGAAGGGGAAATCCAGATCATTCAGATTGAAAGAGGCCCCAAAGACTTCCGGGACCTGCCCTATGAGACTCCAGCTGCCAGGCAAGGATTCTCTCTTGAGCACACTGAGCCCATCCAACCAGGCAGGAGAGGGGTCCTGAGACTGTGTGTGTTGGGGAGGCAGGGTAGCAAAAATTGCTATTAAAAAAAAAAAACTCTAGCTGTGCAATCCTGCCCCAGCACAAACAGGAACTACCAGAGGAGGAAAGAGTGAGAAGACATTGCTTGTCTTCTGCTTCATTCACTCACTCACCACATTTAATTAATCACCACATAAGCTTCTGGAAGTCATACAAAAAAAAAAGTGTATACTGCTCAGTGATGGGTGCACCAAAATCTCACAAATCACTACTAAAGAACTTACTCATGTAACCAAATACCACCTGTTCCCCAAAAACCTATGTAAATAAAAACTTAAAAGTATGAGGTGGGGGTGGCAAGGGGGAGACATCTAATGAGATAATACAGACCATAAAAGAGCGAATGAAGTCAAATACAAACGTGCTACAGTAGAGATCTATGCTTGTCAGAGTGGGACCACCAAGTGGGTGGAGAGCATTTTTTTGTGTGTGAGAGAGCATGTATGAGGGCAGTTGTTTAGGAAAAGCTTCAAAGATACACAGGTCCCTAGGCTTACAACAAGGCAGACCCTAAGATGGGGAAGGAGGTAATGGCAAAAATTAGGGGCTAGTGGCATAGGGAGACTATTCTAGGGAAGAAGAAAGAATGTGAGCCATGGCCAAAGAGACTGGGGTATTTGGAGATTGGCAAGTAGTTCAACGTGACTAGTCTGCAAGAGGGGAGTCAGCAGAAAATATGGCTGGGATGGAAGTCAGCACCAAAGATGTTATAACAACTTTCACCTGTAGGCAATGGGCAGAACTTTAAGCAGGTGAGTGACCACTGGGCAAATGTCACCTAAAGAGCACTTGCACACCTGTTTGGAAGATGAATCAGAAGAAAATGAGAAAGAGCAGGTAGGCGGAGTCAGATTCTTCTGAAAAGGAAAGCGTACACCCACTATTATATATTCAAGGTAAGAGAACAAGGAATGTGGAGGAGGATATACAAGATACTATCTTATGAGGTACCTCTTCTAACCCCTAATTTACAGATGAGAACACTTGGAGGTGAAGTACATCTCCCCTGATCACCTAAATGGTCAGGTTCAGAGCCAGGAATATTCAATGGTCTGTCTCCCAAACCAGTGCTCCTCCCACTGTGCCACAGTCCCTCTCCCCAGCTATTTCCCTGCAGGACATCTCCTGAAGGCCTGTCATCCCCATCAGCAGCTATGCTTTTGTCAGGACTACACAGGCAGGTATGACAACTCCTCAGCGCCAAGAGCAAAAAGTCTTATGCTATGCTTTTGCTTATATGATTCACCCTTCTACCTCTGCCTATCCTAAGGTCAAAGTCATGCCTCACATCATCTAGGAAGCCTTCCTCAACCAATTTCCCCTAAGTATGGCAACGTAATCTTCCCTTACTCTGAAATCTTACCACATTAGTGTAAAGAATTTGTATCAAGATTGGTTATATTAAAACGTTGTCCTCTGTGAAGACTTGCCTTCCCCATTATCAACTTTTCAAAGTCAGGGACCATCTCCTGCCTCTTCTGTATTAACCTTAGCATGAAATATACTGAGAACACAACAGACGCCAGCCCCTCCTGTGTGCAAGCTGCTGGCTGCATGTCCATGTACCACTTACACCCTTACAACAGGGGAGCCGAGCTCGCTGTAGAGCCCAGCCCCATCATTCACTCAGGACTGCAATAGAAAAGACCCCATGGTGGCATAAATACTGTTATTTAGGTTTAATATCAGCAGTAGGAATTGTCGTAGCCTATCTTCCTCTTTCCATCTACCTTATAACTTTCTCTTCACGCAGGCCTAACATTATCACCAAATCACTAACATTTTCCTCCTTTTGCTTCTCTTTCCAGTGCCCCAGTCATTCATACGGAGTTTCTTCTCTCAATTTACAGCTCATAGACATCTTTTTTTATTCTATGAAAAGTTGCCTCTCTCCATGCACCGGGACCGACTTCATATTTACTCAGCCTTTGTTGCATTTACAACTTCACTTTCCTTTCTGCTCACCCATGTATTTGAATTCTGCTCTCCCACTGAGGCTGCTTGACATGTTCAAGATTGCTACAAGTGGTTTTTTTCATTAAATAAATGTTTTCCTCTAATACACAGGTATGGCACCTATTCAATACTTCCTTGTTAGATGATCTCATTCACCCTGACCCTATTTTCATTACTGGGTTGAAAATACACAACTCATTATCCCAGACTCTGGCTTCTCACTCTTACCTTTATGTAATTTTCTGAGTTGGTTGATAGCTCCAATTGAGCAGTGCACAATCACCCCAAATGCATGAATTCCACAAAACATATGCACCACAGGACCCCGTCTTCTCCTGCTCAGTGTCACTATCAGCTAATGACATATTGTATTAGTCTATTCTCACGCTGCTACAAAGACATACCTGAGACTGGGTAATTTATAAAGAAAAGAGGTTTAATCAGCTCATGGTTTTGCAGGCTGTACGGGCCTCTGCTTCTGGGGAGACCTCAGGGAACTCACCATCACGGAGGAAGGTGAGGGGGAAAGCAAGCCGTCTTCACGTGGCTGGCAAGAAGTGGGGGCTGGGTGCTACATACTTAAACAAGCAGCACTAAGGGGATGGTACTAAACCATCCCCATGATCCAATCACCTCCCACCAGGCCCCTTCTTCAACACTGGGGATTACAATTCAACATGAGATTTGGGCGGGGACAAAAATCTCCAGGATAGAAAACTAAGATTCCTACTCGGCAATTAAAGTCCCGTCACCTTTAACAGCAAGATATCTCCAACCGCTTTATTCCTAACCCCTTCAATGCAACGGTCACAGTTCAAATGTTTATCAACACACATTCTAATTATTGAAATTAAATGCAATCTATTTTCTACAGTATCTGAAGTCCTCCACTGTCTGACCCCAACTTGGATCTCCAACTTTATTGCTCAAACACATCACAGCTCCCATCCTCTTGCTACAGAAGACTGCAGCACTCATTAAGACTCTCTTTTGAGGATCCTTGAGAACAGCTGAGGCTCACACTAACTACCAATCACCCTGACAGAGCTGACTCTCTCTGCAAATGAGTAGAGCTCCATGAAAACTGTTTCCGAATATGGACTTTGGACATGACCTTTGTTCAGAACCAGAGAATGCACAACACACTTAAGAGAAACACAGGATCCAGGTTGGCCTTGTGGGGAGCTTCTAGAAAGAAATATGGACAGATAACCTGATTTAGATATGTAACTGTTAGGTTGAGAAACCACTTGGGGCTGTATATTCTTAAAGTGACTTCATTTTTTGATCTCCCTCTCTTCATTTAAGTTACTCCTTGAGGCTAATTCTTTCTCTACCTATGACTTTTCTGCTTCTTCTGAAGTAATGCAGTTTTGATTTAGTTATTTAGTGTGTTAATTTCCTACTGCTACTGTTAAAAATTACAACTTTAATGGCTTCAGACATCACAAAATTTATCTTACATTTCTGAAGGTCAGAAGATTGAAATGGGGCTCGCCGGGCTAAAATCAAGGTGTCAGCAGTGCTATATTCTTTTCCGGAGGCTCCAGGAGAGAATTCGTTCCCTTGTCTTCTCCCACTCCTAGAGGCTGCCCCCATTGGCTCCTAGCTCCTTTTTATCTCCAAGACTAACAACGGCTAGTGAAGTCTTTCTCTCCTTGCATCACTCTAACTCTCCTGCCTCCCTCTTTCACATATAAAGACCCTTGTGATTACATTGGGCCCACCTGGATAAATCCAGGCTCATGTCCTGACCTTAAATTCAGCTGATTAGTAAATCTTAATTCCATTTGCAACCTTAATTCCCCTTTGCCACATGAAGTAACATATTCATGGGTTCCAGGGATTAGGATGTGAGCAACTGTGGGGGGATCAGGGAGCAATGATTCTACATAGAGTTCCATGTAAGAGTTAAAACTTGCATTTTGTTTGGAAATAAAGACTCCCATCTCCTTCCCTGTATGGGGCTTTGGTGAGTATAGCAGGTACGAGGAGGCACTCAGTTTCTCTTTTGTTCTTCCACTTGGTAGCCTCAAATCCTGTTCCCTCAACTTACTAACTGGTCTCCAGGGTTAGGTAGAGGAAGGGAGAAAAGAATGGGGAAATTGGAACATCTTTGCTCACTACACAGGGACGCGGCCCCAGCACAAGGGCTGTCAGGGCTTCGTGGGTGCTCACAGCTGGCTTTCTCATCAGTGATTTGTTTCTCTCACTGAGGGCCAGTGCATCTCATCCTCATTCACCTGGTACCCCTGCCTCAGCCCCTGGCCATGTAGTAATACCTCAATATTTCTACTGAGGTTTATCCACTCTCCAAACAGCCCTCTTGAACAGGACCTTGGATCATTCCACACCAAACCTCTCAACTCACAGAAAATACCACTCTTTTTTACTGACAAACTCTGGCAGTGTAGGCCAATCCTAATGCAGCCAGCTTTTCACCGAATCAATGTGGAAGCAGGTGCAGCCGGCTTCTTGCTCTTTAGAGTCTCTCAGTACAATACCCCCAAAATTAGTATGTGGAAACCCTAATTCCAATGTGATGATATTTAGAGGTGGAGCCCTTGGGGGCTAATTAAGTCATGAGAGTGGAGTCTTCATGAATGGGAATAGTGCCTTTATAAGCAGAAACTACAGAGCAAACTAGCTTTCTTTCTGCAAGGTGAGGATACAGTAAGGAGTTAGCCACCTGCAACTCCGGAAAAAGGCCCTCATCAGAACCCGACCATGCTAGCACCATGATCTTGGACTTCCAGCCTCCAGAACTGTGAGAAACACATTTCTGTTGTTTAGGACTTCCAGTGTATGCTATTTTGTTATAATACCTGAACCGACAAGGGCCCTCAGCCTGAAGTAAACCCTATTTCTCTGTGTTCCCCGCTGGCAGGTCGGGAATTTTTCCAGTTCTCTCCTTGCACTTCTATCAAGGCCTATTTCCTTTTGATAATGAAAAGGGGATGGCACAGGCCACCAACAGCTTTCTCCAAAAATGTGTCCCATCTAGTATATGCTTATTGATCCCTTTATGTCTCTAGTGTGGGTGAGTATATTCAGAGTTCATTCACCATCTTTTAGCCAGCTGCTTAGAAACACACACCCTCTTGGTCTCACACCTCACTTTGGAAAGTGACTCAGCTGAAATTTCTATTTTAACAGCATTCCTGGAGGAGGAGGGATGAGGAAATCAGGGAAACACAGGGGGTGTTCCACTCTGTGGGGTGAAAGGAAAGAGGCTTCTAAGCAACAGTGGATCAATGATGTGACCCCATCTTAGAAAGATGAAGGACAATGCACCATGTGGTGAAGGTGTGACAGGCGTGACCAGTCTCCTGATGTGGTCCACTGCATGTTGTTCCAGAGGATGGTCTCTGGTGTCACTTCCCCAAAGTGAGGACACCTGGCCATTATGGGTCTGCATCTGATGAGCAGCTGAGCCTCTTAGGACTTAGTTATTTCAATAAGTTCAGTAGAGCTATTCCCAAACTACTGTGCTATGGGCTATTTCAGCAGGAAAGTAAAGATACTAGCATGTAGTTGTCCTCTACAATCTAAGGGAAATATTACCAAACAGAAAAGTCAGCCTTTGAATAAATATAAAAATTTCTAGGACGTGGAATTCAGAGGAGGTCAGAATAGATCAGGTCAAGGAATTAGTTCTGACCTATTATTCTCTATTGCTCAGAGCTGTGCCCAGGCACATGCTGGGGAGTAACAATGCTGTTGCCAATATTTATGCAATATGGAAGCATTTTTAAGTGACTCATGATGTGAAAACTAGAAGGGGGTGTAGAGAGCATCCAAATGGAAACCTAGAGTGTGATTTTTTTTCAAAGATGCTCTCTCTGTTCATTAGTGACCAAACCAGATTTCAAAACCAGGCACCCTAAGTACCAGTCCAATGATCTTGTCACTTTTTCGGTCTGGATTTGGCAATGCGTTTCTGTGTTTTATTGTTTCATCAGCACAAAGCACAATCCATGATAGTGTTCAAAAAATGCTTCTAGGACTTCACAATGCTAATCTGTTTTCCTACAGCATTTTCCTTTTGGCTTTCTCAGCTACATTTTTCTATCTCAGATGCTCCTTGATTTTATAATATAAATCACACATACATACACACACACGTACACACACACACAAAAGAGAAAGAGAGGTGTTTATTCTTGTATTCCCTTATCAAATCAAGCTCCAGGTGTTTCATATTTTTCACTGCCCCATGAAAACTTACTAATTGTGGATTCCCTTCTTCTAAGCAATGCCAGATTTCAAAAAAAAATCCCATTTATGTGTTAGTAAGTAAATTATCTTACCCTCTTAATTATCCAGGGGTGGAAGTGAACAGAAACCAGGAAAAGAAAATGCACAGATAAGTCTATTACAATCAGATACTAGGTTTAGATTTGGTTCCTTGAGAGCTAAGGCAAAAAGGCAAATAATGGGCTATAGAGTTTTTTAAAAAATATTTTTAACAAAAAGAAGCTTACAGATTCCTTCAGGAATCAAATTTTTCCTAAAACTAATTCACATTTACTCATATAAATAGTCAAGAATATTTGAGAATCTAGTAGCAAAAAACACATTAAGTGTGTTTTTATGGTATATACAACATGCCATTCATATAATAATTATTGATGAGATGAATAGTGATCACTAAGAACCCGACACTGCAGACCAGCTGAAGACTGAGTATCACAGGCAACCAGGAAGCAGAGCCAACCAAATTCCAGGTTTAGGCAGAAACTCAACAGAATATAACTTCTGTGCATTTCAACATGTCTAATATCCATGATGTATATGTTGGGGCAGGGGTATCATCCATCATCCTCTATCCATAAAGACAAGAAGGACATGGAATGTTCTTGGACAGTTGGAGACGTCCCAGTGTAATAACCAAAATCTGTGCTTCTGTGGGTGTAGGAAGAAGGGGAGAACTTGACAGATTGGGGAAATGATGTTCCAATACCAGAAGACCAGACTGATCCAATTATTCCATTATAACATTCCACATCCACTAGAGATCATCAGCTCACTCTGCTTTTAACTAAATAATATTTCATCATTTACTTAACTGAATATGAAAAATATGCTTGAAGAATCACCTCAATAATCCATTGAGATTTCAAATTGTCAAATCACAGATCAAATTCAAAGCTTTTAATATAAATGTCTTTGAGTGAAGGACAGCATTTCCAGCTATCTGCAGTCTAATGGCAAGTCTGGTGTCTTGCCTTGGAGCAAATGCTTGCATTTACTGCCCGTCACCTGAAGGTGTTTTACTTGTAATCCCTAGAAATAGCATACTTTAGGGATGTGAATTCTGGCAAATATCTGGTTAGTGTGATCCATACTGACAAGCCAATGTTTTCAATACACTCTGATCATAAAATGAGTTTCCTGGATCAGTAAAGTAATCATGCAGACCAAGTTTAGGCAACAAACAGTAAAATAAATATTGTCCAGAAAATGACTCAGTGTTGATGCAATGCAAAAAGCCTCCAATGTTATTAAAACGATTTGGGGTTATGTGGCCCAAAACTTGTCCTGAGCACCATTTTGTGGCAGGATTCCCCAATATTACTCTCGGCTCTAGACATTCTCTCTACAAGTTCCTCAATGAACACTTCCTTGACATCACCCATCCCCTAGGAATGTTCCTTGCCTGGCAAAAGGTATACAGTTACACAAGATTAATAGACGCCTGTAAGTGGTCCTGTCATCCTTTAACTCAAAGGAGTAACTCCTACAGATAAGGTCAAGGACTGGGGCCAGCAGAACAGTGCACAGCTGGGCCCCAGGGCAACTTACATACTTCCTCCATGGCAGCAGCAGACCACTGTGATTACAGACAAGGCAAATTCTTGGTGGGAAGAGTGAAAGCAAGGCACCCTTTGCAGTGCCCCTGAGCAAATCCATCCGTGGTCCCCACCTTCCCCAATCATTACAAGTTAACTGCTCCTTTTCCTCCTGATACTGCTGATGGGAAATGAGCCTCCAGGGCTGACAGCCAAAAATTAATTTGATCGATTTATTTTGTGTTCCATGTTTTGGGTGCAAATGCTTTCCTCCACCCTGATGGAGCACACTTATGCTCTCCCATTTGCAGAAAACAAATTTATAGTGCCTAACTGAATTCTTTCGCTGAAGGTCAGAAACAAATGTTCCCATCCATCTCTTTTTACCTTTCTGTGCAGCACCAAGTTGCCTTCCTTCTTCATTTCAGACAAACAGGAGGATTGTTTTCTGGGGAGGGGTGGGGTGAGAGAAAGCAATTGGAACTTAGAAGTTTCTACCAAAAACAAAACTTAACTTACCCCTCATGAGAGGAATGAAGCAAAGAAATAAAAATCTCTTCTGATTTCACATGGAAGAGAAAACTTCAGTTATGCCTTAACTCAAGTAAAAAGAACACCATTAGGTAAGGACTATTAATTTACCGTTGTTAGAAAAGTGGAATCTGGCACTTAATTTGTCTGTATTTCTTGCTCACTTGAGACCAAATTCTGTCCTTGGCAGGTAACTTCCAAAGACTACAGAGAGAACTAAACATAGATGATCAGGACTGTGAATGGTTAATCCTGTTTTCTCAGGGTATAAACTAACTCTGCATTAAGATGAATAGTTTTCAGGTGTTGCTTAACACTAAAAAAGTTCACATGTTCCTGAGAAAGAAAAGTTGATATTCTCAGCCCCTGCCACGTGCTTAACCATGTTTGAAAAATGACCTCCTCCCCTCAGCCAGAGTTAATCTTGGACCTATTTGAGGTGCTTTGAGGACCAGATGGGGAGCATTAATGGGGAGAGGCAGAGCTGTGTAGGGTGAGACAAGTAGGAAGCTCATTTGCAGCCAGTCACCCTGGCCTGCACAGGTACCCAGCTGAGGCAAAACGGTAAGGACCGCATGGAAATCACATAGCTTCTGCGGCTTTTATGTAAATAGCATCCTACATATGGGTAACAAACACCATTCTGTTATCTTCCATCTCTCTGCTTCTGCCCTGAGAAAAAAACCCAATGTTGCTTAGATATTCATGGCATGAGGTGGCCAAAGGCAAGATGCATATTAGCCAATCAGCTCAGTCTGGACACAAAGGCTTTCCTGAGCACATCCCCTTCCTGCCCCAGAGATGTTAAGCTTGGGTGGCTTCACACACTCTGCCTCAGGGAGATATGTTCTGCATAATGAATCCCACTGTTGTCCGTAATGAGAAGGAGGTCATCTATACACTTGACCTGAAAGGAGTAGAGAAAGAGAGAGAGAAGAGACAGAATAGTGTGAAAGAGAGGTGGATAAGGAAAAACACACCCAGACCTTAGCAAAAACCATCAAAACTGGTTCCTTTGATCTGGATTTGGGCAAGTTTTTGTCCCATCTGTAAGGATGAAACAGACATGCAATTCAGTGATACTGAGGCTTTTGCCATTCATATGGAATCTGAAGCCTCAATTGATTTCGGCTGAAGCCACCAGACCTTGGCCATCATCCCCTTCTGCTTTATTTTCCACAAAGCAGAGCAAGAAGTAAATTAGGTCTTCAGTTTCTATGTTTCTTTACAAATCTGAGCTCATGTGGTGAATAATAAAAAACACATTTCAAATTTAAAGAATATGTAACAAAAGTTTCTTTTAAGCATTAGAGAGGGATGAATGCCTTCTCATTCTAATGCAGCTCAAGAGAATAAGATCCCAATGTCAGCCTCTGGCAACTGAAATAATCAATTTCTAGCAAAATAAAGAGGCAATAATATCTTTGAGGTCTCAAAAAGTTATCTAAGACCCAGGTACTCCTTCTTGAGTCTCAGCTTTAGCTTCTGAGTCAGAAATACTATTATGTCATTCTGAGCTATCCAAGGGAATAAAAGAGAAGATTGTGAAAATCCTTCTTCTGTTCTCTCCCATTAGCAATTAATTTATCATCTTATCTTTTTTTCATATGGGAAGCCCTGAGACACAGAAAGAGAAATTTCCATCAAAGAAGAACAGAGCTGGGCATTCTCTTGGTGATGGTGGGTCAGTTGACAGAATTCAATTCCAAGAAAAAAATCCTATTTGAAACTCATGAGAATGGTCCTGAAAATGAGCAGTTTCCAAGGGGGAAAAAAAAAAAAAAGATGGGCAATTCACCTAGAAATTGTTGGTACCATAAGATCCATTTCTTATGTTTGAAGGCTTTTAGTCACCCTAAGAATGTGTGCTGCAAATCTCCCTGCAAAAGGAGAAATCAAAGGACTTGACACACTCCTCTTCATAGAGGAAGAAGGCAGAGAAATTCTAGACAGACAGGGGTAGGTCCCTGATGAAACCGCACCTTCAAGCCAAAAAGCCTAAAACCTGCGGCCCAAAGTGAGAACTTCTATCCCTGTGTGCCCTCTCTCTCCTGATTGGTTCTTTTTGAATAATGTCTTTTTATCAATCAAATGTTGCCTTTTCCAAAACTACCTACAGCTTGTCCCACCCCCCATCCTGTGCCTATAAAGATCCCAGACTCAGTCAGCAGGGAGACAGAAGCGGCTTGACTGGAGAGAGGTGACTTGACTTCAGAGGGACGGCTGGACTTTGGAGGAGAGATGGCTTAACTTTGGAGAAGAGCTGGCCAGAGACGGCCTGACTTCAAGGAAGTTTACCTGCCTGCCTGGTCACCTCTCCCACTCCCCTCTCTTCTGAGAGCCTTTTCCATCACTAAATAAAATTCCCCACATCTAACATCCTTCAAGGGTCCATGTGACCTCATTCTTCTTGGACACCAGACAAGAGCTTGGGACTTACCGAGTGTGGGTACCCAGAAAAGGCTGTCACACTGGCCGTTTGCACTCATTGGTAGAAGGCGGCCACCACACAGGACAAGGCAAGGGGCCCACTGAGATGATAACACCCCACTGTCCACGAACAGAGGAGCTAAGAGAGCATTGTAACATGCCCTCTGGGACTTCAGAGGTCGCAGGCACCCAACCTGGGTGCTGCCAGGGGGCCTGCACAGAGCCTGCTCCTTCTGGCACCCAAAGTGGACAGCTGGATCCTGTACTTGCTCACTCATGCACTCCCTCCTTCAAGAGGTTGAGCACGGCTGGCCAAGTAATCAGAGCACCCCCATCGCAAGTCCAACAAAGGGGTTGAGAAAAACTCCTGCATCACCCTCAATAAACCAGGTTACCTAACACAGTGAGTGCCTAAACAGGACAGATATATAAAATCTAGTTAGGAAATCAATCTAAATCAACAAAATAAATAAAAATAAAGATTATGAGAAAGAGAGACGTTCAAATCAAATGGTAAATGATTGCTGAGAAAAAGAATGTGATTCAGGAGAAGAAAGGAAAAGACTTTGTATGGTAGAAAAGTTATAAAGAAATTATAGATACTGAAGAAGAAATATCCATCTATTATGCAGAGGGAAGAATCCAGAAAATAGAGAAAACCCTGGTACTATCCTATGGTATCACTAGTTCTGCTAAGATCTAACTCTCCTCTTCTTTCACAGCAAGTAGAGTTGCATTTTCTCCTCTCTTGCAGTTGGATGGGATTATGAGACTAGTTCTGCCTAACAATTTGGGAAGATAAATTATGCGTGTTACTCCTTTGCTAAAATTGAGACCCTCCAGACTATGCGTTCCATCTATCATGTGACAAGAAAGATGGAGATGATGGCATCAAGATTTTGGAAGGTGTTTTGTTACTGCAGCATAACCTAATTTATCCTGACTGATATGCAACCACACATTCAATAAAAGAAATACAAAGCTATATAGTGGCCACAGATTCTCTCTTGAGGAAAGTGAAGAAAACCGTACCTAAAACTGATATGGTATCCAATAAGAGTGTTTGTCTTCTTGTAGTATACACCTGAGGTGGTACAGAGAATCTGTCAAGAAAGTGCTCACACACATTTGCTAAAGCCCAGCTAAACAACTGTTATTTCTTGAAAAATAAAGAAAGAAACTGGGGCTGTATCTTTAGACTTTGGCCTGGAGGAAAAAACTGAAGGAAGGGAAGAAGCCAGGTGGTATTGTTTTTTCTCTGTTCTTTACATTTATGTTCCTGAAAGAGGAGCTAATGGGATCTTAATAGTTATGCATATGAATTAATGTGTAGGACCCCCCTCTGGTGTGGACCATGTAGAACCTAGTTTCTGGTATCAGGACCACAGGATCTTGCAAAGCAAAGGATGTGTCTTTAGCACACCAAGAGAGGAGCACTTGTGGGTATACTCTCTTGTGTAAGCAAGGGAGCTACAACACAAAATGTTAAGGGAAAGAGAAGATGCCCCAAAATAGCTCAAATCTATATATTCTGCATAGAGGAAATCAGTTGTAGCATAGATATTTCATTTTCAAAGGGACAAAAATTGATTCTTGGTGGATGCCAAAAAAGCTTAAAGATTACAACGGCCCTCCAAAAGGCCATAGTGCATAAATAGATATGCAGTATATCTGTGGTATTAACATTATATATAAGAGGTGATTACGGGGAAAGAATGTTTTAAAAAGACTCCTTAAGGGGACAGTGATGAAAAAAATACTAAAAAACACTGACATAGGTGAACAAATGTAGTGATTCTTGGAGGGAAAACAAACAAACAAAAAAAAAGAATTTAAAAATATTTATAGCCATATATATTTTCCAAAATAGAAAATGTATATATAATAAACCAGGTCACTCTAAAATGCTATCCAGAATTAAAGACAATTTTAAACGTTAACCTGAGTCTTGGTAACCATGAGCCTCTTCTTTCATCTTCTATACACGGCCCAGAAGCTCATCAGAGAAGGCCCATCCCATTTTCTCTCATTCAAACTATTTGCAGCAACATAGTCTGAACGTTTATCTTTTAAACCTACACAGCCAGAGTCTCAGCCATGGAATTATTACCATTTTCCTTTGAAGTTTTATTTTTATATCTGCTTTTGTGAACTACCCAGCACATAAGGTTCCATGCCCTATATTCCTTTTCTTTGCTATTATGAACTTCAAGAAGTTATGGGCATATTTTTCCAAGACTATTTATTTGTATATTTTTAAAACATCTACATTATCTAACAGATGAGAATTAAATCCAGAGCAAAAGTCACCATTATGGTTTCCCATATACTTTTTTTTTTTTTTTTTTTTTTTTTTGAGACAGAGTGTTGCTCTGTTGCCCAGGCTGGAGTGCAGTGGTGTGATCTCGGCTCACTGCAACCTTTACCTCCTGGGTTCAAGCGATTCTCCTGCCACAGCCTCCCAAGTAGCTGGGATTACAGGTGCCCACCACTATGCCCAGCTAATTTTTGTATTTTTAGTAGAGACGGGGTTCACCATGTTGGTCAGGCTGGTCTTGAACTCCTGACCTCAGTTTATCTGCCCACCTTGGCTGCCCAAAGTGCTGGGATTACAGGCATAAGCCACCACGCCTGGCCCTCCTACATACTTTTAACGAAGTGATTTTGTAAAATCATTCTAGACTATAGGAGATGCTCTACTTCTAAAAGATACAGATATGTAGTTGGTATATGGAAAAGCAGAAATATCCTATCACTATTAAATTTGACCTTGGACACAATTCTGTAATTTTTAGTAGTATTACAGTACTCTATTCTCTACCAGATTATGTAAACTATAGAAAATAAGTGACTTCGAATCTCCTTTTAATTTTCACTCAGATATTTTTAGTATGTCCCTATTTTGAGATTCAAGGATTTTGACAATGATATATATTTTGTCAATATACAATGCCACCACCTCATGTAATAAAATAGTCTTGGCCCACCAATGTGTTAAGAAAGCAGTAAGAGTACCATCTGTTTTAAGAGGCACTCCCTACACTGGGATAGAAGTTGTATAAGATACAACAAGCATGTTTGAACTCACCTATAACCATGACAGACAATGCTAACAATCCCAACGTCTTGCTCACAGTACCTAGAGGTAGCCTCACAGTTGTTTTGGATAAAGGCTTCAAACCGTAACACTGATGTTGATAGACAAGGTAAAAATTATCCTGGAAAAATATCTCTAATATCTTTCCATCTCTAAAACTCTCATTATGCTTTTGAATTTTTTACAATTTTGCCTTAGGTTGACCCAAGTAGATGCATACTGAGGATTCACATATAGTTCAGCAGGCATAAAAAGGTAGGGATGAATATAGCAGGAATTTATTAGTCTACTTCCCAGAGAATGACTGGATACCCAAAGCAAAAACTTTGGCTCTCTAAAGTTGCTCACAATTCTTTGCAATTGTTTTGTAAGTTGCCACCAAAGCCTTCCCTTCCCTGAGAGATGATATTAAAGTGCAAGTACCCTGGGAAGGGCAATACAGTGTCTCTTTGCTAACAAAGATAAATAACAAAGAGCAGAGTCATTACTGTGAGTGAACGTGATAAAAACATATAAACAAGAATCTTCTGCTATGGATACAGAGAATGAATGTGGAACAAGGGGTAGAGGACACACGTGACCATTTAGCAGAAGTCAGTCTATTCCAGGATTATAGATTCTACTGTTTTATTTTATAACTCTCACGTCACAAGGATCCTATATTCTTTCCCTGAAACCTAAAAGTTATACCTTTTCAGGTTTCTTGCCTGAAAATTGATTTACTTTCAATGGCAAATGCCACTATAACAAATGATCATCAATAAATTGCAGAGAATATGACCAATTTTTTCAGCATATATTCAAAAGCAAAAACTAAAGCCAATACATTCTCTTGAGAGATGACCCAGGAAACCATTGGCATGTATGATATATCAAGGTGAAGCTATGGTGATTGTTGAGCTGGGTCTTGAAGAATGAATGGGAAGACTTCATCAGATGTATTTAGAATCTGACAGGCAGGTCAGCAAGGGTGGAATACAAGGTGCAAGATGGTCTCAGTTAAGACGGGTGTCAGATAATCAATAAGGAGACTTCACGTAACAGTATATTTCAAATGAAAGATGATGAGGTCTGAAGCAAGAGGGCACATAGAGAAGGAAGTAGCTTCATGAGATAATCAGAAGGACATCTCTACAGGTAGTAATCATCAACATAATGAACTCTGTATGGTGTTTTGTGGGGTTGGTTTGGTGATAAAAATCAATGAGCGACTAGGCAGACTAAAAAAGTTTAAGTATACCAAGGAACTCATTTTTGAAAGTTAACAGGGAGATACTGAATTCATAAGCTAAATGTTGTTTTATTAAATATCTGTTGTATGCCATAAACTATACTAACTGCTGCAGGCTACTAAAATTAATAGAACATAGGCATTGCCCTATAGAGGGGCAGAAGTATATGCAGGTCAACAAACATAATAAAGGATTAGGTACAATGAGAGTAGAACAGAGGAAGCTGTTATTTCTGTCCTGAGAATTTCTCCAGGGGGAATACTGCTTCTCAAGCCTGAATATCTATGGCCCTTTAACCAATGTAATGCGACAGTGGAGTGAAGAATGGATCTGAGGACAGGAGCCCTGCGTTCCAGTCCAAGCTCTATTACCTTATAACTAATGTGTGGAGACAAGGACTGTCCAATTTGGTTCAGCATGTACTGTAGGTTACCTGCCAATAAGCTAGCTAGGACTGATGACAACCATTATCTCAGCAGAGGGGGACCACATCTTCCCTGGGTGATAGAAGGGCCCTGGGTTCCTCCTTCTCTCATTGGTAGTACTGTGCTGAACTTGGCTTCCCAAGTACCCACGGACCCCAAGGTTTTCAGGTGCCAAACAGCTGGCATTTCCTAGCACACTCTTAGACAGAAGACATCCAAGTTCAGTCTGCCTTTTTTCTGAGCTCAATATGTTAGATAACCCTACAGAAGGCCATTTTCACACTTATACCATAAGAGCATCAGCAGGACAATTTCTTGTCCGTAGAGTATTACTTCATGGTGTATCAGCATTGTCCTGGCCTCAGTGTACCTCTCTTAGGGATAATGAGGGATTAGGGGACTGAAAAGCTCCTCTTGCTGAACCTTGGCTGGTAAATGTTCCTGTTAAACCCAGACCGCTGCACCTTTCAAAACCAAGCAACATGCAGCAAATCACTTGCCTTCCCTGAGCCTCAAGTTTCTGCATCTGTAGAATGAAGAAAATAAAGAACTTCACCACACACTTCACAAGGTAGTAATAAAAATTCAAAGAGTACTTTGTAAATTGAAATGTGTTATACCCACGTGAGGGGTTATTTTTATCACAGAAGAGTGAACAGCCTCCTGAGCACAGACTCTGCTTTTGGCACCTAAACCTTCTGTTTACCACACATTGCTGCTTGGTTTGATCCACAGATAATTAGAGGTAGATCAGATGCATCCATGCAATGATATGGAAAAAATAACAAAGATAAAAATGAATATCAAATAAACGAAAAAGAAGAAGAATAAAATGAGGATGTGTCACCCATGTACATATTGAATCACTAGTCTGGGCCAAGATTCCTAGCCTGCAAAGTCGAGGGGAGACCATGTCAGATGCACACCTGCCAGAAATAGTAGGAAAGAAGCATATTCCTCAGGGAATTCCTCAGGGAACATGGCTTCATGGAGGGAACTCTGTATGAGGAGGTCAGTGGTTTCCTTCACTACATAAACACAATCAACACAATCTCAAATTTGTTTTTTTTTTTTTTTGCATAAATCCCATAGCACAGTTCAAGGAAATTTATTCCATAAAGGACCTAGCACACATGGTCTGATAAGAGTTGATCCAGAGATAAAATATAGACTAGAGAGAGTCCATATGTTGTAGGGTAAAGCTACGGATTCCTTAAAAAACAACAAGAACAACAATAACTTTAAGATACACTTGTTTGTCATATTTTTTGAGACAGTCTGGCTCTGTTGTCCAGGCTGGAGTACAATGTGAGATCTGGGCTAACTGAAACCTCTACCTCCTGGGTTCAAGCTATTCTTGTGCCTCAGCCTCTTGAGTAGCTGGGATTACAGGTGTGTGTCACCACGCCTGGCTAATTTTTTAAAATTATTATTATTTTTAGTAGAGAGAGGGTTTCACCATATTACCCAGGCTGGTGTTGAACTCCTGGCCTCAAGTGATTGTTCCATTCCTTTCCTCAGCCTCCCAAAGTGCTAGAATTACGGGCATGAGCCACTGTGTCCAGCCCCACTTGTTTATTCTTTAGAAAGCTTCTGGAAAGTACCCGTCTCACATTTAACCAGCAAGTGTAAAAGTTGGGAGTTAACTTAGATATCATCTAGTGCCAACCCAATTTAATGAAAGCAAAACTGAGGCCATCCAATAGGAAATGTCTTTTCTAAAGTGGCAAAGGCTTCATTGCTAGGACTGATCCCAGGTCTGGGCCTCTCCAGGATGCAGTGAAGTGCCTGTCTTGCCAAATCTGAGCAATCACAGTGCTTAACGTCCCTACACAGGACTCAATGCTCATTAATCACCCATCAATGCCAGTTGAGTCTGCCTACCTTGACAGCCATCTATTTGACTCAAATTTGTTTCCATCTTCATAACCCTTAGCCCAAAGATGGAAGCACTCAGTGGATGCTTAGTAATGCCTGCATAATAGATTGAGCATGGTAATATTATACATTGAGCATTTTCTATTGCAATTTAGAGACCCAGTCTAAGTGCTAAATTCGAGTCTTATTCCTTAGTTCCTGACAGTGAGCAAGCCAACTGGGGGACAATAATGACATTTCCTACAAAATAGATTATGTGAATACCAAAGCCAAGAGATATTTCATAATAAAATTTCAGCCACAATAAAGAAAAAATTAGCACTTTTACCTTCACTTCATAGTCATAGGTTAAAGGTATTACACAAATATAAAATTAAAAGATTAGTAAATGTGTCATAGATTTTTCTCTTGAAACATCGAGGTTAATTTAGCAGGCAGAGTAGTTTTACATTATGAGAACTCAAATATAGGTAAGAAAACCAAACTATGTGGGGAGCATTTCACTTTTCATATAACTAGTAGCCACCATATACTACTCTCAAAAAAAGTAAAAGGGATAAATAAAAGAGTTGCCTAGGTGATGATGGTGGTGGTAGTGGTAAAGAGTCATTGGCTGTTAAGATACATCCGTCGCTTGCTAAGTACTTTACATGTATTTCCACATTTAATTCGTACTGCAACCCTATGAGGTACATACTATTGTTATCTACATTTACAGATGAGGAGACTAGGGAACGAAATGGTTAAATTGCCATGGTACCCTAACAAGTATCTGATTCAGGATTCCAACTCTTGGAGTTTGTCTGAGAAATGCAAGTTTCAGGGCTAAACTCTTTCATCACAATAATCACTAACGTATACTGAACACCTAAGATGTGCCAAATACTCTTTAGTGCTTTTCCGTGTATTAATAGGTGTGATCTTTGCAATACTAGTATTCTCACCCCTATCTTACAGAGAAGGAAGTTTGCAAAGGTCACATAGGCAGTTCTTAAAGAGTCACACTGGGGCAGTCTGGCTTCTATAGTCATTTTATAAGTGGCATGCTCTATTCCTTCCCATGAAGGGAAAACAAGTACAGAAGCTGTGCTTTAACTCTTGTCCATCCCTCCCACGCTAGACCTGCTTATGACTTCCTCATTGCTAGCCTGAATTACTTCAACAGCCTCCTCACTGGCCTCCTGCCTTCAGAGTTGTCCCACTTAATCTATTTCCTCCACACAGCATTTAAGATAGACTCTAATAAGAACCCACCTGAAAAGCAGTTCTATCTTTAACTCTGCCCTGACTAAAACCCTTCAGTTGTTTGCCACTGCCCACAGCAAACTCCTTTAAACTGCCCAATTTAAATTCCTTTAAATTGCCCAACAAGCCATTGTGACCTATGTAGACCTTATTCCCTCTTTGACCTGACCTCCCTTACACTCCCTTTCTCACTTCCCCACAGGTCAGCCTCCAACAGCTCTGAATTGTTTGAAGTCCCCCACTAACATTATTTTTTGCCTGCCCAGCCTTGTTTTCTCACCGGTCTTCCTGTGTGGAACCTATTTCCCCACGACCACCTTCCATTTTATCTCACTTCTACCAATCGTTTAACGAGTCAGCCCAAGTGCTGCCTCCTCCAGGAAGCCTCCTCGACTCCTCTAACCAGTAACTGTTACTAACAGTTGTCTGATTCCATTGGTCATTCAAGTAGTCATGCAGCCCACTAGTAACCACTGATGCTTCCACGCTAACTTCCTCAGAAAATAGCTCATGCACTGTATCTGTAAATCATGCTGAGTCTTTTGAAGACTCTTTGTTTCCAAAGAGTTTTCAGGTGTATGCTAATAATAAACTGAAGCTGATGTTGTTGTAACTTTTTTGGGAATACGTGACATCTAGTAAAAACTAAACAGAACTATAAATTGCCTAGCTGATGAAAATTCTCCACATATCCCTTGAGGCTGCCTTACAGATCTTTTATAACTGGATCAAACAGCTGCAGCTTTCTCAAAAAAGGTATAGCACTTACAGTTAACTTTTTAACTAACTTTAATAGCAAGAATAGCTAAAGAAAGCAAGCACCTGGAAATTTTCATATCCAAGTATATTTGTGGGGAAGGAAGTGAGTTAACAAGGTATCTGCAAAGTTGAGCTATTGCATGTTATATAGAAAATGGAAATGTACATGAGGCTTACTGGACGTTGGGAACAACTTGAAATGTCTTTCTCCATATTGGAAGTATACATATGCCCACTGTTGTGGAACTTTAGATATCACCCCTAATTCATGTTCCCCTTCATCCACCACACTGCTGATATAAACCATAGCCTTCAATGTAAGAAAGACATAGGCTTTCAGTTTTGAGAAAAGTGGACAATTGTTGATATGCATGATCTCAATTTACGCTAATGGCACACATACGTTAAGAGGCCAATGGCAGACTTAAAGAATATGTAAATTAATTAGGTTTTAATTATTTTAAAATTAGATAAGATCTTGACACAATGTACGTTAGTTACTCGCTCCAAGTTACTTGCTCCCCTGATGTGAGAAGAGAAATGCCTTTAGGCAAACCAAGAGATAAGCCGAGCCCTGGGGTGGGAGCTTTACGTAAATTATCAAGAACACTTTCTTCCTGACTTTGACAATCCAAATTCTACCTGCTTTCAGATGCCAATTCAAACTTCATGTCATCAGGAAATTTGAGCCAACCCTGATGTTCCCTTTATTTATTTATTCATTTATTCATTCATTCATTCTTATTCTCCAATGTGAACATATGATGCTCCCTTTTTAGCTTGGGGCTAAGGCTTAATCTTCTGCTTAGCCATTAGCCTCCGTAAGGCATGCCACCAAGGCAAGCCATGAGAAAGGACCCAGTGCTCTGCTGGGTGTATGTGTGGGACATCTAGGAGCGCCAGCACCTGCAGTTCATCGTCCCAATAAAGAAGTTCTGAGCTGCTTCATGACCTCGTATTTCTTAAAAGGGAAAATATCTTTCCTGACTGGAACCCTTAAGCCAATACAACTAACAGAGTGCAGGTGGTTCTTGAAAGGTGAGCCACAGGCCACGTGTTTAAAAAGCTGGTATTCATTATGAATTGACCCTAGGTCAGGCAGTGATGAAGAACTTTTGTGTATACCTCCATTGAATCTCCATCACAATCCCCGGAGCTAAGTATGATTACAATTCCATTTTACTGGTAAGGCGTAAAGGAGACCTAGAGAGAGTTCCCCACCCAAGGCCCTTCAGGTTCCATGTGGTAGAGTCTGTATTTGAAGCCAGAAAGACTGTCCTTGCTCTCTCTGGCTTCATTCATGTTGTAGACAAAATTCTAAGACCACCCCAAGGTTCCCGCACTCTGGTGTACATTCCCTGTATAATCCCCTCCCCTAGAGTATGGAAAGGATTCATGAATACTACGGGATTGTCATTCCCATGTTGAGGTTACTAATCAATTTACTTTGGTCAAGCAAAAGAGATGATCCTGGGAGAGCCCAGCCTTATCTATGGAGCCCTTTCAAAAGATGGTCAAGCATTAAAGTCATGCTCTCCTAATAAATTAAAAAACTCGCTCTACAGTGGAGAGAACCATGTGGCAAGGAACATCGGGTGGGAACAAAGAGTAGCCCCTGGCTAACGGCTGGCAAGAAAGTGAAAATATCCATTCTATAATCTCAAGATACTGAATTCTGCCAACAACCACAGGAGCTTGGAAGAAAACACTGAACTTCTCAAAGGAATAAAAACTGGCTAACACCTTGATTTAACCCTGGTGAGGCCCTGGGCAGACAACCTAACTAAACCATGCTCAGAATTCTGACCCATACAAACTTTGAGATAATACATTTTATGTTGTTTTAGGCCACCAAATTTATAGTAATTTGAGCTGTAGTAATTTCTGCAAAAAATAGCAATGGAAAATGAATACCATTCCCTTAACTTTCCTTCCATCCAGTTCTAACCCAGCTCCTGAACCTTGGCTCAGCATTCTCTTTTCAGTTCAGCCCCTTCCACTTGGCCTTGCAGACTATTTCCTAGACTCCAAACTTGGCTTGGAAGCTCAGGGCTCTGTTCAGCCACTATCTGGTTCTTTCTCCAGCTTCCCTGATCCTCTTTCCAGGCTCTGGACCCAAACTGACACTGACCTGTTTGGCCAGAGCTTCCCTTTTTTACGGGACATTCCAAGCTTGAAACACATGATCGGGTGCAGGACTTTCTAAACAATATTAATCAAGCTCCATAATAAAGGCCCATCAGAAACTTAAAGCACTGAATTAGGTCTCTAAGAGCCATTAAAAGTTTGTTTGTTTTTCAAGAGGGAATTTGGCACAGAGCTGCAAAAAGAAGAAAGGGGTATAGATTTGATTTTGGGCTCCCCATCTCCCACTTCATACGAATTAGGTCCAGTTGGTATATTTCACAGCAAGATTTTTTTCAAAACAGAGGCTATAATGCTAATAAATGAATAAAAGTCTGGCAACCATTGTTGTCATAGAAGTGTAGTTGCTAGCATTGTCTACTGTGTGATTGTGCGGAAAACATCTAAGCTATGTAAGCTTCAGTCCATTCTTCTCTGAAATTAATAGGTGGGACAAAATGATCTCTAAAGCTCCCTCCAGCAATAATATCCTATGATTGAAAGATTTCTAAAGCCTAACGTTTTGCAATTGGTAGAATTTCTTTCTTTTATTTTTATTTATGGTTTTTTTTTTGAGACAGGTCTTGCTTTGTCATATAGGTTGGAGTGCAGTGGCACCATCATGGCTGAGTGCAGCCTCCACCTCCCAGACTCAAGCAATCCTCCTATCACAGCCTCCTTAGTAGCTGGGACTACAGTTGCATGCCTCCATGCCTTGCAAATTTGTAAAAAAATTTTTGTAGAAACAAGGAGGTCTTGTTATGTTGCTTACACTGGTCTCAAATTCCTGGGCTCAACTTATCTTCCAGCCTCAGCCTCCCAAAGTGCTGGGATTACAGGCATAAGCCTCCATGCCCTGCCACAATTGGTGGAATCTCTTGATTTGAAAGAAGCTTGAGCTAATGAATGACTCGGGAAGAAGGTTCTCACCCCAGCCAAGACCAAGGAGGGCCATGTTTTTCCATCTGGCTACCTGGGTCCCAGAAGGGCCATTTGTCTTCTTTTAAAAACCACGAGGGTACACATGGAGGGTTTTGGCTGAGAGATGCAGAGGGTAGCCTGGATCCTGACCAAATGATGAGCTGCCTGACAGCCTGCTGACCACTAACTGCCAGATACCTTAGGATCAGGGAATGCAGTAGAGAAAGTAAAACCAGCTTTGAGGAAGAGGAAAGAACACAAAATAATAATTGTAGGTCAGGAGCTTAATTTGGAAAAAATGAAAATAAAAGCAGTGCTTTCTTGTAATTTGTCTTTGTCTTTAGACTTCCTTGAAGAATTTTCTTTCAAGGGTGTGTGAAAAGAGGGCCTGCATTGTGGGCAGGCTGAGTGGGCAGGTGCATCTGCAGAGAGGACTCTGGGAAGAAAAAGGACTTTCTGTTTCCACAAATAAGCATACCATAAGTATTTCTCTGTTGCCAGGAATCATTTGAAATTAGGTTAAATCCCATTATTTTGCAGAGAAGTAAGCTTGAAAATTAAAATCTTCCTGGAGGAGAAAAGTCAAAAACAAAGATTTAAATGACTTATGGTGAAAAAGTTCCAAATATTAAATTTTATAGAAAGCAGATGTGTGTGAGGAGGAGCACTGCTGATTTAATGTGTATATATTTAGGGATGGTGCTATTTACTCTAGGCCAGGTTTTTCTATTTGCTGGCATATAGCAGGGTTAGGATTCAATCCTAGGCCTCTCTGACTCCACAGCCATGTTTTCCTTTCTACTACTATTCCAAAGGACCCCAGAATAGAGTGTGTTATAACAAACTTGGAGAGTTTTACAGAAACCAACCTCTGACAAAATTTTCCAATCTTGAGTTCAGCATTTCAGTGCACTGAACAGTACTGGTACCCCATGCAACTCCCTGTAGATTCCTTTCCAAGCATGGTGTGTTCATCACCCACCTTCCATATACTTAGTACCTGCACCCCTTTAAGGATGGATGGTCTCTTGTAAGTTATGCTCCAGAGCACCTTTTGGGATAGATCTGAGTTCAGGTAAAAGCAAACCTTTGCTTGGCTTTCCCCGCATATCCAATTTTGCTTCCCCCACTCCCTTAGGGGTTCCTCCTGAACGCACATTCATAATAAATCCTTTGCACCCAAATCTTTCACTGAGCACTGTTTCATGATGAACCCAAGATACAACTTCATAAGAGAATTTTAAAGGTATGATATGGCAGCTTCCTTGTTATTTTACCTTATTTAATGAATTTCTCTTCCATGGATTCTTTAAGGAGTTTCTAACCCCAGTTCATATTGTTTATGTTCTTGAGCTGGTAGAGAACTAAAGCAGTTCTCTAACCATGTCTTTCAATGTGTCACACTTAATTCTAAAGCAAATGTCTAAGGGATTTGTTAGTAATACAATGTCAGCTTTTCTCATTTCAGTTATCTGTTCAAAAGAATATGGCTCTATCTTTCAGAAGAAAAGAGTTACGGTGATATATTTTTGATTGTGCAGGCTCAAGTTATTCTCTTTCTGAGATGGTGAAAGCATTCTGACTGCTTCACATAATGGGTCATATACTGGCCTAAGCAATCAAGTGTATAAGGGATATAATCATTAAGATGTAATTGATCCTTGTATCGGCATTATGCCAAATAAAGCAGAAATTGCAATCTTTGGACCTATTCAGTTTTCCATTAAGTAGAAGACTAAAGTGAAATAGAGAGATGTGATATTTAACAAGAATTCCTGTCTGGCTCAAGAGATTCATTACATTTGAATTCATCTTAGAAATAAGGAATCAAAGTGAACCTGACCAAGTATATAGACATTCACTCCTCTTACCTGTAAATCAATCAATCAATAAGAAGAAAAACTGCATCTAACCTTGTTAGAAAATGAGCCTTCTGGAGGAGAGATAATAAGCTTGAAGCTTTAATGAAAAATAGCTTATTAAAATAAACGAAACAAATAAAAATGTATATTGCAAAACAAAGTTCCTGAAGTCTATAGGGCTGCCACATTGCACAACTTGAGGCAATTTTCTGTGCACCTCTACCCAGTACACACTGAATCTAGGACCCTTTGTACATTCTGTCAGCAAGAGGGGGAGGGAGAGAGAAAGTGGGGAAAAGGAAGTATAAGGCACAATTGCAAAAAGCTGTCTTCAAAAGTTTGAATGTATTCCGCTGCACACTACTCTCCAATCTCTGAACGACAGATAATTTTTCAATGTCCTCTTTCTCTCTGGATCATTGAGGTATTATGTAAAGAAATTCAAATTGGGTACTGGATCATCCATTAATGCTTGGCAAATGACAGGCACTCAACTGATGTTTGTTGGGTCGATGAATATATGGATGAAGAAATGGATGGACAGATAGATGGGTAGGCGGATGGGTGGATGGATGAATGAATGAATGGATGGATAATAGATGGATGGGTAAATGAATGAATGAATAAATGGATGGTGGATCATGGCAGGGAGCTGTTAAAAGAAGTAGCAGGAGGAAGAGTTTTGAGAACAAAACAAAAAGAGTAAACTTTTATTCTGCATTTTTGCGGATCCCATTCTCACATAGCTTCTGTCTTTTTGATCTCTGCACGCTTTCTTTTTTATATATTAAAAAGTATCTACTTATTTATTCTTCTGGGCTGCATAATATGGCTAAATGCTATGATTTGTAAGCACACGCTTCTATTTTGGAAAAGGTTTAATCATATTCCATTCTTCTACTACATAAACATTTTTTGCATTTGGATTTTTTGTATAATAAGTATTTAAGACTTACATGGCAAGGATTTGTGTGCTTTTAACAATCTAAAGCTGAATTCCTTTTATGTTTTAACCTTTTTTTTTTTTTTTGTAGAACGTTTCAAACATACACAAAAGTAAAAAGAAAAGCATAGTGAATCCCCATGTAGCCATCTTGCAGTTTCAATATCAACATTTTGCTAATCTTATTTTTTATTCTTTTGAGATGGAGTCTCACGTTGTCACCCAGGCTGGAGTGTAGTGGCATGATCTCGGCTCACTGCAGCCTCTGCCTCGCAGGTTCAAGCAATTCTCCTGCCTCAGTCTCCCCAGTAGCTGGGATTACATGTACTCACCACCACGCCTGCCTGATTTTTGTATTTTTAACAGACAGGGTTTTGCTGTGTTGGCCAGGCTGGTCTCGAACTCCTGACCTCAGATGATCCTTCCACCTCAGCCTCCCAAAGTGCTGGGATTACAGGCATGAACCACCATACCTGGCCATGCTAATTTTGTTTTAATTAGCTATAGCTCCTTTAAAAAAAAAAAATTCAGGCCAATGACACTATAAAGCAACCACACAAACAAGTCTGCACTCTTTCTAATCAAACATGCTTTCAAGAGAGGAACTGATAAACTCATTCCCATGAAAATATGAACATTTTTAAAAACTTGAATAATGTACAAACAAAGCAGAATCTTGAGCATACATCCACTAAGTTCACTGCAGCATAGATACAGCACATCACCAGGGGGCACCATTCACATAGAATAACATGAGAGCTGTACGCCTTCAGAATTATAAAATATGGTGGCTTGGTTTATATAACAGTTTGAGAAATACCAGGTAACTCCTTTCTCGGCTTACTTCCATTTTTATAGGGGCCAGAGGAATCATTACATAAATATGGAATATTGGCCATCAATAAAGGGACAGAGTAGGGAAATATTATGGAGACAGCCCTTCCTAACGCTCTTGAAAAATTGCCCCACATAGACTTGTCTCAATCTACGAACAGGGCAATTGAGAAATCACGTTACTTACTGCTTGATAGACACCTTTATTTTAAGTGCATCTGGGTTATGTGTGAGTGCAAACTGACTGCCTTGAATGATTGGGAGGATATTATTTTATGCTGTGAATTTATCTACCTCACAGAGCTGTAAATATAGCTCCATAAGTCAGAAGCCAATTAATAAAAACCCGACTATTTAGCAAGAAAAGGGTTACATATTCAAATCCAGCACCCCCAAATATATCAGGGATGTTGTGAAAAACATGAATTCAAACATATTAAGAAATCGGTAAAAATGTTTTCCAATTTAAGAGAGAGATGGGGCATGGAATGCTGAAATGCTGGCAGGAATGCCAGGGTGGCCTTTGTGATGCCCGTTTATCTGAGCAAGATACACTTGGGTGGAAAAACAATATGAAATTTTTACTGGATGATCTTTTCTTCTTCCCCTAAGCATATAAAAGGCATCTTCATGTATTCACTCTAAATAAGCAATATGCTGAAAGGGCCCTTTAGAATGTACATTTGGGAGAAAGGTGGGGGCAGCATGGAAATAAAGGAACATTCAAGATCAAGGTATTCTTTGGTAGGGAAATACATAGGAGATTGCAATTGGCCTTAAGAAAATCATTATAAGGACACATAAAAGAAGTGTGAAACAATAGGCTTTCAGTCAGTCACAGGTGATTACACAAAGTAATTGCTCCACGAAATCAGTAATAGCTCAGCTAGGCTCATCTAGAAAGTCATGTAGGCCATGGCCATGTCCAGCTATAAAGGGGCTCCCACTGGTTTTGTGAAAGTCTGTGATAATGGGAGGCGGAGAAGTCTTTTGTGAGTTACTTGAACAAAAACAACTTGGGGTGTGGTTGTGCACAGAGTGGTTTTTTTGGTTGTTGTTTGTTTGTTGTTTATTAACTAAGAGACTTGATACCCTGCTCCTGGAAATTGGAATTGTATTCATTTTTTATTGTTGCATAACAAATAAATAGAAATATAGGGACTTATAGCAACCCACGTTTATTATCTCACAGTTTCCATGGTTAGGAGTTCAGCATAGAGTAGGTGGGCTTTGGGAACAGGGTTTCATGAGGCTGAAATTAAGGTGTCAGCCATGGTCTGATCTCATCTGAGGCCCCTTCCAAGCTCACTGGTTGTTGGCAGAATTCAGTTCCTTGCAGTTATAGGACGAAGCTTCCCACTTTCTTGCTGGCAGTCCATCAAGTCCCATGCTCAGTATTTAGAGGCTTCCCACTGTTCCTTCCCCTGTGACCTTCTCCACACATACCAGTTGGCTCCTTTAAGGCCAGGAGGAGAGTTTCTCTCTGTCAGTTAAGATGGAGTTTAATATAATGTAACATAAACAAGTCAGTGACTATCCCATCATATTCATGAGTCCTGCCAACACCAATGGAAGGCATTATGCAGGGTGTGTAGAACAGGGGACAGAAATCTTGGGGGCTATCTGAGAAGTCGGCTTACCATCAGCAGTACAGTATGTAGAAGACTACTCATCTTCTGCAATAGGGAATTCTACGTGATATTCCCATGAGCATAGTCAAAGAGTTTAGTGTTTAGTGTAGGTCTTAAGAAAGGAGGAATATAGACTTCTTCAAGCCTATTCTCTTTGAGAATTCTGGAGCTAGGAAGGAACTAGCTTCTTGCCTTTCTAACCCAGGCATGGGTACATTTCTTTCCCTTGCACTAGCCACTCAGAACTGTGGCCTCTGGTATTTCAGAAAATCAGACTCAAAAGGGAATTTTCATACTGTCCTCAACACCCTTGTGCCTCACACAATGGCACTGTGGTTTGGCATTCCTGCTGTGAGCTCATATGATAGTAAAATAAAAAGAGTTTGAAAAACTAAGTTTAAGATATACTGAAAATTAATGAATCAAACTCAAGCACATGCTCAGATATCTTTTCTTCAGCAAAACTTTTCGGGCTCTACTTCAAAGGAAAAATAAATGCAAATGCTCCTCCTTCATCCTCAACACAACCATCTCCCCACCCTCAAATTCTTTCAGGCGCTTCGTTCATGCTTCTCCTGAGTCACATATTGCTTTAAAAGGCATCGTGTTGATGATGAATTGGTGAGTCATAAACATGGGGGATTAATAGTCCTTTAAATTTAGTAGCAGTTCAAAAATAAAAGTGGAAAGCACTAATTTTTCAAGTCTTAAAATGTCCAGGATATAAAGAGAATTTTAAAAGCAGTCATCTTTCTCCTTATGAATGCAACGATTATAAATTCAATTGTTTGAGCAAATATAACAATTACAAACTCCCTAGCAGCAATGCAAGTCATGAAGCACTAATATAATAAGAATCATCATGCAAGAAGAATAAAATTACAGTAGTTACTAAGTATCGGGTGCTTACCCTGTACCACATGATCACAGCCATTGTTTTTCATCTTTACCCTGACCAGAAAAATGGTTTTATCCAGAAAACAAATAAACAAAAAAAAAACTGTCCTAAGTCATACTAAGTCATATAGCTAGCTAGCTAGTGGCAGAGCTTGGATTTAAACTCAGATTTAATTCCAAGTCACGTTCCTCTCATTATGTGGTAATGCAGTCACTTGGTTTATAATTTACAGGTTCTAAGATAAAAAAAAAAAAAAAAAAAGACAGTGAAGAAGACTAATACTTAATTAGTGCCTTGTATTTGCCAGGCATTATATGTGTATAACACATTACACCCGGCTCTTCACATTTAGAACAATGCACAGAGCCAGCCCATAGAAGAGAAATTTGTCTATATCCCTACATTAGTTTCCTGGGGCTGTCGTAACAAAGTACCACGCACTAGGTGGCTTAAAACAACAGAAATGTATTGTCTTACAGTTCTAGAGGGAAGAAGTCCACAATCAAGCTATCATCAGAACTATGTTCTCTCCGAAACCTATAGGAGAGTCCTTTCTTGCCTCTTCTGTGCCTCTGGTGGTTTGCCCAGCAATGTTTGGTATTCCTTGACTTGCAGCTGTGTCACTCTAATCTCTATTTTCATTATCACACAGCCTTCTCCCTATGTGTCTCTGTCTTCAAATGGCCACCTTTTTTTTTTTTTTTTTTTTTTTTTTTTGAGACAGAGTCTTGCTCTGCCGCCCAGGCTGGAGTGCAGTGGCATAATCTCGGCTCACTGAAACCTCCGTCTCCCGGGCTCAAGCTATTCCCCTGCCTCAGCCTCCCAAGTAGCCGGGATTACAGGCATCTGCCACCATGCCCGGCTAATTTTTGTATTTTTTAGTAGAGATGGGGTTTCAGCATGTTGGCCAGGCTGGTCTCGAACTCCTGACCTCAGGTAATCTGCCCACCTCAGCCTCCCAAAGTGCTGTGATTATAGGCGTGAGCCAACCGTGCCTGGCCAGAATGGCCATCTTTTTATAAGGACACCAGCCATACTGCTTTAAGGGCCCAACCTACTCCAGTATGACCTCATCTTAATTACATCTCCAATGACCCTATTTCCAAATGAGGTCATAGTATGAGGTACTGGGGGTTAATACTTCAATATTTCTCTCTTTCTTCCTTTTCTTTTTTTGGTGGTTGGGGGAGGTAAAGATTCAACCTAAAATAGCCCACATAATCTTATCTTCTACAGTTGTTTCTTTTTCCAAGTCGAAAGCGCTTTAAGAGACAGAAGAGAGTTTAGTTGGTGAATGTCAGACAAATAAGGAGAGAACTAGAATCCAAAGGGCAGGTAGATTCTCAAGGCACAGTGAGAAACACAGGAAACCCTCATAAGCTGGGGAAGGACAGTTGTTTGTATTAATAGGAACTTGAATTTGTAAAAGGACCCAGCTGTAGTGATACAGGTTCAGGAGCTGGCTCCCTGAGTGGTGAGGTAATATCTTAGAATTTTGAGGTTATTAACTATCTTTAAAGTCATCCTGGCAAACCAACTATCCTATGAGTAAACTTTTTCTACAGTATCCCCAACAGGTCATCATTTGGCTACTTCTGGGTCATTCCTGGTGCCAAACATCACGTAGAACCAGGAGCCACCACAGTTCATGCTGCAGATTGAGAACAATATTTCTTTGATAATATTTTTGGTCAAAAAGAGACACTCTAGGGGAAATTTGGGAATTCAATGGAAAATTACGCCATATCTGATTCTGACTCCTTGGGAACTATTTTGCAAATCTGAATTTGTTTATTCTTTGCATTTGCCTTGGAACTGGTTGTAATACCTCACCAGTTTCCTCATTAATGAGTTAAGTAAGATTTTTAACACATACTTACTTTTATTCTATGAGTCATAAATTTGCCTTTTATTAGAAATTATCTTTTAACACCACAGAGACATAAGACATACTTAATATGAGCTAAACTGTCCCTTCGTCTAGCTTTTCTGTAAGCAGTTCTAACTAAATCATGCAGAATAATTCTAATCTCTTTTCCACATCATGACCCAATAAATATTTGAAAATAGCACTCCTAACTCCTCTTCTGCCCCCTAAGTCTTCTCCACACAAGAATCCTCTGTTCTATTTTTTTTGAATTAAGAGAAAAAAAAATCTATGTATAGTCCCCCCCACCATGCATCTAATACTAGGTTATTATAAAAAGTCATTAAAAACATCACCTGTCATCAGGGACAGCCACTGTTACTCTTTTCATGAATGTATTTGGAATCTGTTTCCCATTCATATTTGTCTGTTCTTTAGTCCACAGCCATCACAGCTTTCCTGGGGTGGACTGTGTGCTTCCTGTCCAGTGACTTTGCCTTTTCTTTTCAGTTAGTATCATTGCAGGCACTTTCAGTTCAACTCTCTGTAAAAATTATTGTTTATTACTGTCCTAGTTTTCCAAAATACACTCCTTATGTTTAAGACTCTCCCAGACATTTTTCTCTCAATAATTTCCCACTTTCCAATGCCTCCTTTATTACGGAGTTTGATTAATTTAATACAACCCTCCTGTTCTAGTCCTATCAGGGCAAAATAGAATAGGTCTAAGACTCCCTACTGTGTTTCTCCTCCCAGAAGTAACACTCCTTTCTCACGCAGACCACTTATCCACTTATCCAACCTTCATTCAGCTGCTACGTACGTACCATTCCACTGTTTACAAAGGTGAAAATTATAGTGTAGAAACCACTTCTTTGAACACTCTCTCAGATCATATAACTTTTTAAATAGCCATGTTATACTTTGACTCATTTGACTTTTTCAGTGTTTCAAAACCACCCAAATGTCCTTTACAAGTTCATCAGCCTATTCTTTCAGCAGCTACTCTGTGATTACAGCATGCCATGTTCTGTGTTGGAAACCAAGAACACAAATGTGTATAAAATTATTTAGCTAGTGGAGAGGACAGATATGCAAACAGACAGTAAATTAGATGTCCTTTCTAAGGAAAAATTAGGCTACAAACAGACCTCCTTAGTCCAAGTGATTCCCATAAGATAATAATTAGGAACCCAAATGGATTCACTAAGGACTCAAAAAAGTCCACTTATTAATCCTTTGTAGAATTCTGCTAGTGAGTGTCCATCTTCCAAGCCCATTGGCTGGGAAGTCCATCTTCCCATTTTATAAATTCAGGAAGTGTTATTGAGTCTTCCAGGACTACACATGCCTTCCACAATTATTCAAAGATCACCAACTTCTATTCTCCATGTTCTCTGGGTACCCTGGGTTGTATTTAGAGAGGGTTCCCAGAGAAACCAGAGACGCTGATCACCGTGGCAACATTTGCACTTAGAAAATGAAACATGTGTATTGATGAAAATAAATTACAAAGCCTCTCTGGAGGCCACAGACAATTCTTTCTCCTTCTTACCAAGCTGAAATGGGCCCGGTCACTGGGCCACACAGATTCACACTAATTTAGCCCCACATAAAATTAGCATGCATTCTGTACCGTGCTCTGTGTCTTATTAAAATCCCTATCACCACTGCCTGCATATTTATGTTTTTCCTCCCAGAAGTAACACTCCTTTCTCATGAAGACCACTTATCCACTTATCCAACCTTCTTTCAGCTGCTATGTACCATTCCACTGTTTACAGAGGTGAAAATTATGGTCTCTGCCTCCAAGAAGCCAATAACCTACTGAGAGAGAAAGACAAGGAAACTATCAAATGAAATTCGGGGTCCCACATTTTAGAACTGAAGTCCGCCAAGGGAATTATGGGAGTGGTATGAAGGATAACTCAAACAGAAGATTAAAAAAAGAACTAGTAAGAAAAGAAAACCAACTTCCACTCTGATTCTGAAAGGAAAAACCAGCACAAGGCTGGTAGGGCAAAGCATTCCAGCCAGAGGAAACAGCATGTGCCCAGTCACAGAAGGGCAAGAGTATGGCGCCATAAGGACTGCAGGCCACTGAATATTAGAGGAATCTACAAGATAGGGAAGCTGTGGGCAACTAAGGGAGGACAAAGAAAAGACAGAAGCTAGGCCATCAAAGGCTCTGTATGTCAAGTTGAGAAGTTTTATTTTTCCTTGATGTAAATGAGGAGTCAAAAAGGGTTTTAGAGAGAATTGTGTTTCAGAAAGCCATTTCGAGTAACAGTATGGATATTAGACTGAAGTAGCATGAATGTGTATAAGGGATAGTGACAAATTTCAAAATACTATGGACTGTCCCATCTGTATGAGTCCATTCTCATGCTGCTATTAAGAAATGCCAGAAACTGGGTAATTTATACAGAAAAGAGGTTGAATTGGCTGATGGCTCTGCAGGTTGTACAGGAAGCATGGCTGGGGAGTCCTCAGGAAACTTATAGTCATGACGGAAGGCAAAGGGAAGCAAGCATGTCTTACATGTCAGGAGCAGGAGGAAGAGAGAAAGTGGGAAGGTGCTACACACTTTTAAACAACCAGATCTCGTGAGAATACACTCAATATCACAAGAACAGCAAGGGTGAAATCCACCCCCATGATCCAATCACCTCCTACCAGGCCCTGCCTCTAACACTGAGGATTATAATTCAACATGAGATTTGGGTGGGGACACAAATCCACACCATATCACCATCTAATTCCATTCCCAGACAAAAAATAGTGTGAGGACCTGAGGTTCAATATCATGGCTGTCTGTTTGCCCACCTCTCTCCTCACTTCCCATGGACGGTGGATACCCCCACCAGGTGGCTCTGGAATAATCTAGAATTGATACTGGAGTATACGGGTTGGCTCTGAACACAGGCAACAAAACCAGATCCTGCAGTGTCAGGAAAAAAGAGCAAGACCAACTCACAGTCGGAAGTGAGATCAAACTTCTGAGTCCTCTAAGATGACAATGTGTCATGTGAACAGAGACATTTTTGAGGGTGAAAGGGGAGCTTTGAGTAATTATGCAAGTACAACAGGTATAAACCAGAACTCTCCCAGGCAAATTGAATGGCTTCTTAACCACAGCATCTCATAGTTGCTCAATAAAATGCCCTGGAAAGCTAATTGCCTCTTATTTCTCTCCTTTGTCTTCCTCCAACCAGATATTTTAATTTTCCCTTGTTACATCCTCCAACAGTTTTCTGATATATCCCTTCTGAATTATATTAGCAAAAGTCATTGGATTGTAACTAAAGAACCATAAATCCTACCTTCATTTTTCAGATGACAAAATTCAACTCAATAACTAGTCTAACTACACATGGAACAGTAAAAATTAAAACCGTTGTCTATCTGTCTTCAAAGACGGTGATCATGCCGTTCTCCCACCTTGGGCTGGAGTTAGGTCTGCAAGTAGCAGCCATGGATCAAGGGAATAGGGGCCATTCACGTCACTATACAAGACAACTGGGATGCTCACGTGTAATTCCTCCTTTACCATTTAAAGTCTGCTCTGAAGCCATCAAACTGGGACTGATAAACAATCAGTTTGCCTCGCTGCTGTGTTTCTTAACCTAAGGTATGCCCAGACCTCAGGGTTATGCTGGCAGTATGGCAGGTCACAGAGGAACTGCATATTTGTTCAATGACTTAAAACAGTTTGTGTACCCTGAAATAAACATACCTATCTAGTGGTATAGAATGCAGAACTGACATAATATTTTAAGATAAAGCACTAGACTTCAGAAACAATTTATCAAATTAGTAACTTGAGGCCATGCCCCTAGATTCCCAGAATATACATTCTTTCTCCTCTATCTTTAATGGCAGTTCATACGAAAAGATGGCATCTGCATTTTAACATAAAACCAAATAAATATATTTCTAGTATTGGAATTTGGGGAGAGGGCATAACACAAAGATGTAGTGCTCACTTCTCTGACAAATCAGGTTAGCAGCAAGAAAAAAATTGTCAGCGACCAATTATTTTGTGGGAGAAAACATTCTGTCCTTTAAAAAAATCATGACTTTTTTTCTTAGATATTATTTAGAAAATGTACTATAGGTAAATCTTTACACCACTGTCCAAAGCAGCACAAATCAGTGGTTACTGTGAATTATCTAAAACTGAGCTCAGCAAACTGCAGCCCGCTGTTTAAATCTGGCCCAAGGCCTGTTTTTGTATAATCCCACAGACAAAGAGTAGTTTTATGTTTTTGAATAGTTAAAAAAAATCTAAAGAGTAGTATTTTGTGACACATGAAAATTATATGAAATCTGAATTTCAATGTCCTCAAATAAAGTTATTTTAGCACAGCTACAATCATTCATTCGCACTTTGTCTGTTTCTCCTTTTGAACTAAAATGACAGAGTTGAGAACCTGTGTTAGAGACCAGAAACTGTATGGGCCACAAATCCTAAAATATTTACTATCTGGTGCTTTACCGGGGGGGGGGTGGGGGGGGAAGGAAAAAAAAATGCCAACTCTGAATCTAAATTTTTAGATTAGAAATTTAATTACTTTCAAATAATTTACACAATTTATCCACGGTCTAATGTGATGAAAATATAAGAATGATTTGTAATTGACATTCTAATTTACATCTCTAGATATGGTTACTGTTCAAGAGTCTGAGAGCAGCTGGTTCACTCAAATAAGGAGAAAGCATTTCATGTATTGATATTCATATAACTGTTTTGCTTAGTAATTTTTGACAGGTATTGTAAAGGTTAACTTTAACTCAGGTCTGATTCATATCCCTTTTCCATCCCCTCGGACCTGTTTCCTGTCACTTGGAATGAGTTATGATTCACTTCTCGGAAGATTTCAGGACCCGTGTGACCTCACCATGAGTCTCCTCTTATATTTTATATCCTATTTCACTGCCAGAGCAAGGCTCTAGGTTGAATTCTCACACTGTCTTTCCACAATCAGCATGTCTGAACATTAAAATAAAATTCATTTCCATGAGAATACATCTTGAACTGATGCTACTAGGAAGTAAGTTTACAACCAAGAAGAAGAACTGTGGTGTCTGCCACAGAGATAGTTTTATTTCCTCCTAGATAGAACCCAGTTCTATTAAAATATTCAAAACACATTCAAAAACCAACCTACCAACATTCACTTTTCAGAAACAAGAAGTGAAGTATTAATTTCAATATCAGAACACCCTTATATAACATGGACTCTTAACAATCACCATGCCATTATTTTGATTTCCAGCAACCTGAGGCTAATATGTTCAGGATGATCTACTGAAAAAGAAAGAACCTAGAATACATTATCAGCAGTGCATTTATAAGGTAGCTTGTGTTTTTATTTTTTTCTCAGTCTCAGTATACCAGATCTTAGAATTTAATGATGGTTTATCTTTTTTTGATTGCCAATCATTAAAATGAACTGATTTTTACTTTCTTTTCAAAGACTTTCATCAAATGCTGCTTATAAACCCCCTGGATTATATCCCTTTTCCTTAAGAAAGCAGTAATTTTAAGCCTCATTGTGAACATGATTTAAAAGATTTCTACGGGAAATGTATGAAAAAGACCTGCAGAAATGTCCATCTCAGAGACTTATAACTTGCTGAATGCTGTCACCTCATTCAAATGGGAAATCTGACCAGCATAAAATCACCAGGTACATGTTACAAAGGTACATGCAAAGACAGAAGTAAATGCAGTTCTCTGGGGTCCAGGACTCCAAACCTTATAACCAACTCTGCATAAATGCCCTTCAAAGAAATCCAAAACCAAAACATGCATCCAACAAAGAAAACTAATAATGTACCATGCTGTGTGTGTGTGTGGGCACACGTGTGTATATGTGTATGTGCATGCACGTGTGTATGAGAGAGTGATGGTGAATTGGATTCCTCATTCCTACTTTTATTCCACTAAGAAATGTGAATTTAATGGTTGATTTATTCTGAATTCCTTGTATCCATCTTTGGCAGGCATTTGTACAAATACAACCTGGGACTTAGTTCTATGACTATAAAGTGGGATTTATTTAGTTATCTGGGGTCAGTGGACATGTAACATGCTTTTATAAACTGATATTGAGCAAGGAAGAAACTGTATTAGAATGGAAACTGAATAACAACAAGCTGAACTCAGAGGTGGCTATCTCAGGCTCCTGTTCATTTTGTTTGTCCAAGTAGGAAATAGCATTGATTTTAACTCTTTGCCTAGCCTGAACTTCACAATGGATGTTAGACACAGAGTTACAGCTTATGGAGAGAAGGTTTTTTTTCTCTTAGGGTTTTAATGTATTTTATAAAATTGATGGCATCTGTCCTATAATGATCCCCAAAAGACCGTAGTAAAGTTGAGGGACTTAGGGAATTTTCCCTACCCAAATAGAAGTGCTAGTGAACAGACATATACCCTATTAACCAGGCCAGGTGGGAAAAAAAACAAAAATAAATATAACCAAACAAAAAAATATAATCAGTTTTGGTAAATTTATGAATTTATGAAATGAGTAGGCTTCAAGAACAGAATCTCAATTTATAATCCTGCGCTGTATCCATAGGAGGTAAAACCATCTTCTGTTGGCTCATTTTTTTAACCATTATCCAAAAACTAATTCACTCATCAAAAGAGGATCACTGCTATTTTTATTCGGAAACTCGAAAATTGCAAATAAGGTATAGGATTCCAAATACTTGCTTTAGCCATTGAAACTGGGATATTCAAATAATTTCCTTAGCTTTAAAACAATACAAGTCATCAGAAATAAAAAGATCTACAAATTTAATCATTCACAAAGTAAGAACTTCTATACAATGAAAATTAGCACAACTAAAATTGGAGGAGGTCAATGGTCACAGAAAAAATATATCAAAAGTAACACATTTGTGTCTGTTATACAGGGAACCACTCTAGGGTAGATGAAAGAGCCTTAGTTTGGCGTCTAAGAGACACAGGTCATAGTGAAGATTAAATCATACAATGCATGGAGATAAGTTTCTTTTAGGATTCATATGAAAAACATCAATAGTCAAAAGAGGTTTACATAAATTATACTATTGATATGGTTTGGCGGTGTCCCCACTGAAATCTCACCTTGAACTGTAGTTCCCATAATCCCCATGTGTCATGGGAAAGACCCAGTGGGAGGTAATTGAATCATGGGGGCAGTTATCTCCATGCCATTCTCGTGATAGTAAATGAGTTCTCATGAGGACTGATGGTTTTATAAGGGGCTTTTCCCCTTTTGCTTGGCACTTCTTCTTGCCACCATGTGAAGAAGGACATTTCTGCTTCCCTTTCTGCCATGATTATAAGTTTTCTGAGGCCTCCCCAGCCCTGCAGAACTGTGAGTCAATTAAACCTCTTTGCTTTATAACTACCCAGTCTTCAGCAGTTCTTTATAGCAGCATGAGAATGGACTACTACAACTATACAGACTTAATTGATTAAAATTGTGCACTTTTTTTTTTTTTTTTTTTGAGACAGAGTATTGCTCTGTCGCCCAGGCTGGAGTGCAGTGGTGTGACCTCAGCTCACTGCAACCTCTGCCTCCTGGGTTCAAGCGATTCTCCTGACTCAGCCTCCTGAGTAGCTGGGATTACAGGTGTGCACCACCACGCCCGGCTAATTTTTGTATTTTTAGTAGAGACGGGGTTTGGTAAAGGTCACGCTGGTCTGGAACTCCTGACCTCCTGATCCACCCGCCTCGACCTCCCAAAGTGCTGGGATTACAGGCATGAGCCACCACGCTCGGCCCAAGTTTTGCACTTTTTAAAAGCAATATGTCAGAGCTACATGTGCAGATATGAAAAGATATCCAAAATGCCTTGTTACATAAAACTAAACAAGCACTACACACAATGTGGGATCCGGGATCTGAAAAAGGACATTAGTAGATGAGCTGATGGAATACAAATAAAGTATGAAATTTATTGAATAGTAGTAATGTACAACTGTTAACTTCTCAGCATTGGTGTAAGGTCATATATAAAATGTTAACATTAGAGGAAGTTGGACAAAGGGTAAATAGGATCTCTCTGCATTATTTTACCAGTCTAAAATCATTTCAAAATAAAAAAGCTCATGAAAAAACTGATTCCAAAATAGTACAGACAAAATGTACCCAAAAATTAATAGAATGTAAGTATATACATAAGAAAATTTTCTGGAAATGTAAGAACTAAATTCTTCAGGGTGGTTACATCAGTATTGGAGATGAAATCGCAGTGAGCCTTCTCTCATTTTATTTATTTTTTTCTCATTATTGAATTTTTAATAATGAACATGTACTACTTATATAATCAGAATTATATAGTATTACAAATGTGTTTCCATGGTTATTATGGTTTCTATTTACTGGAGAATACTATATCTCAAAGAAGTCACAGGGTTTGTGAATAGTGAAACAAAACAAGATTTGAACACAAGCCCTAATTGCAGAGCCTGAACTATTAGTCACTATGTGATATTGCCTTTGGAACCTGAGCTTTCTGGGACAAGGATGGTATTTTATTTATGGCCATATTCCCCACACTATCTAGTGCAGCACTTAGCATGTCCTAAGCAATTGATATGTGTCTATCAACTGCAATTGAATTCCAGTATGAACATTCTGTTTCTAACACAAATGTAATAGACTTTCCATTTATAAGAGCATAACTATGTACAGCTGATTTCTAATATGCTTCTTGATTGCACTTAGGAACAAATGCATCTTTACAGAGTCTGAGGGTGTAATTAGGAGCTGGAAAAAGAATGGAACCAAATTCAACATGAATAATGTCACACAAATGCAAAAAAAAAATATGGTGAAATCAAAAGCTAGACTCCTAAAGCTTAACTTGCTTTGCAAAATACCATCATGAAGCTCAAGATAAAACACCATTAAAACAATACTCAAAACCACTGCTGTAAGTAATAGAGAGTGATTGAATGTACCTTGGCTGATGTATGTTTAAATTGCTTCATCCAAATCTGTGAAACTAGAAAGTGCCCTGGCTGGACTTTTTTGTGATTCTGTTGTTGTTATTGTTGTTTGTTTTGTTTTCCAATTATTGTTTTCAGTTCACTGGTTAAGGAATCAAAATGTTTCAATTTTTTAATAAAAAATATTTATTAAAACTAAAGGTTAAAACCTTGCTTCCATTCTTGTTCTACTGAAACACATATGGATTTTGTCACAATATAATGGCATTTGAAATCTGAAAAAATGTTATTCCTTAAATGGACTGTCTGACCTTTTCATTCATTATTCCATTCACAAGTTGTTTAACAGGTTGTCAGGCTGGATGTCCTCATTCCAGGCTCCAGGGTGAATACAACTTGACCACTAAATAAAATCCCAAATTGTTAGGAATGCAAATGAACAGAGAGGTTCGGAGAAACCCTGTATGGAGTTATCAGAAAAGTAATTCTTGGAATAGTCAATGTAAGAGTAAAGGTATTTTTTTTCCTTCCTGGCACAGGGATGCTGATTATATTTGGCTCAAAAGGATGAATGATGTCACTTAACTTCCAAAAACAAATATTCTGATCAAAGTTTCCTAGAATATTTCACAGAAGTTAGTTTGACAGTGGATGAAAATAAGAGTAGAATTTATATACACATTCTTTGCCTGATTTAAAGGACTTGGGAAAACACCCACAAACAACACACACGTACACTTACAAACTATTCTGCAAAACAAATGAGTAAAGCATTTTTAAGATTCATTCATAGACCCATTATTATTATTATTGTTATTATTATTATTTAAGACGGAGTCTCGCTCTGTCACACAGGCTGGAATGCAGTGGCACAGTCTCGGCTCACTGCAAGCTCCACCTCCCAGGTTCACGCCATTCTCCTGCCTCAGCCTCCCGAGTAGCTGGGACTACAGGTGCCCACCACCTTGCCCGGCTAATTTTTTGTATTTTCAGTAGAGACAAGGTTTCACCGTGGTAGCCAGGATGGTCTCGATCTCCGGACCTAGTGATCCGCCCGCCTTGGCCTCCCAAAGTGCTGGGATTACAGGTGTGAGTCACTGCGCCCAGCCAGACCCATTATTTTGTTTAACAAAAACTTTCTGCCTTTGAATTATAAGTATGTACATTATCACAGAATGAGTTCCATGTTTATTATTTGGTATCAAAACAATGATAGCTGTCCTACAGCAATTTCTCAGGTTTGCATTCCTTTCTTGGAAACTGCTCCCCTTCTCCCTCCCATTCATGTGCTATAGACTAGGACAAAGGCTATTTCCTGTTCCATATGCATCAGAGGTTTGTTTACATATTTCAATCATATTCCTTTTTCGCCGAACAGCCAATGAGCCAAGTATTATTACTATTATTAATTTTAAGACACTAGACACTGTTTTCAGTCCCATTCTGCCCATATTCACTTATTCAACAGCTCTCTAATGCACACACACTATGTATCGGGTACATGCCCACATATACCTCTTTAACTGCTCTTTGTGGAACATCTGCTACATGTCTGGATTATCATAGGTACGTGTTATAAATCAGTATCACAAATCTTGCTTTAAATGTATTGACCACAAGCGCATTCAGAATTCCACACATAAGTGAGCATACTTTAAATTAAAAAAATTAAAAAACCAATGTTTGGTTTTCTATATATTTCTTGGTGGTTCCCAATACTTTGGTGGTACTTTATTTCTAACTCATAATGGACTAATGTCATTAGTGAACATTCTTCAATGACTCTTTTTATACAGCATAACTGACAGCCCAAAGAACATCATCTCATAATAATTTGTATTCTTTTTCCTTCAAGCAGCTACTTCACATTTACCCATGATGAAGTTCATTTATTGCCTTACAAATCCTTGCAAGGTTTTCTCTTCATTAGTTTTTGTCTGCTTGGCACCAAGCTACACTGTACAGCCCTGCACAGGTCTTTAAAAGACTGAAGTCTCACTATTCATTCTTCAGCACAGAGTACTTTTTCAGATGTTAAATAAAACATCCATGACTCAATTTATCAAATCACAGAATTTCCTATTTATCCCAATACTTTGTTTTCTGAACTGAAACCAACTCACCACTCATTTAAAATAAGTTTTTGGTAAAGAGTTGTGTCTTCCACCATTCTCCTTAGTTCATATATGGACTTATTTGTAAATTCAAAATATTCTGTAGATAAGATTCTCCATTTCAAAGTCTCTGTTTACTTGCACCCCTCTTCCAAGACAGGAACTCTGACTTTACATTTCAATGCCCAACACAGTGCCTGGTACATAGTAGGATTGAATGAGTTGAATTAAATACATTGAATCATGTAATTAAAATCTCACATTCAGTGCAGACCTGATCATCTTTGATGCACAATAAATAATCTACTTTTATTAAATATATACATATGTAAATATATATATATATATATAAAACAACAACATGACTCTAGATGGACAAAAAGAGACTGCAAATCATCTGATTAAAAGATATAAAATGCTGAAGGATAAGAATAGAAACATGTACACTTTTTCTGGTGTACTAGATGGGAATGAAAGAAAGAAGGGAGAGGGAAACAGACTTGAAAACTGATATATCATTTTAGGATGGCTGTAGGAAATGAACAAAAGGTACAAAATGTTCACTACTTCTAGAGCTCAGCTATGCTACTCTCTCAGAGACACTAATACTATTGTACAGCCATATATCAGTTTGCAAAAGCATGCCTGGTCCTCAGCCTCAGTGAGCCAAAATGAGATAGCTTTCAGGAACAAGGAGTGAAAGAGGAAGAAAGATAAGATCTACTAAAAAGTGTTCACAAAATCAAGTTCTTCCAGGAGCAGAGCCAGGGCAAGACAGGTAGTGTAAATGAAGGAAGTGGGCCTGAATTTCTGGAAGGCACCAGGGAATGGTGAGTATTGTGGAGAACAAGAAAGCAAGTTCTTGTTCTGAAGCGGGCACAACTATTGTTGCTGTGGAGGAAGACAGATGGGTGTTACCAGATCTTTGCATGTTTTTCAGATATCAGATTGCATATTTGTATGTAAAAAATCTCCTGATTTTTAAATGTTGGCAACTAGTAGAAAATATGAACATCATGGAGATTGACACTGTGGAATCAAAAAATAATACACCTTCTAGCTTAATTTGGCCAGTAGCTCCCTGTTACATTAGCAACCATTTCTCTAGATGAAGGGTCAGCAAGCTATGGCCCTTGGATTAAAGCTAGCCTGCTGCCTCTTTTTGTAAATACAGTTTTCTTGGAACACAGCCATTCTCATTCATTTACCTATTGTCTATAGTTGCTTTCACATTACAATGGCAAAGTTGAGCAGTTGTGACAGACTGTCCGTCTCATAACGCCTAAAATGATCACAATAGGCCCTTTCCAGAAAGCTAGCTGACCCCTGCTCTAAATATTCCTTTTTCAGCCACCACCTACCAGTACCAGGAACTGTACTCCTGTAATTACCACGCATGTCAAGAGACCCTTTAAAAGTTAGAGTTTCCTTATTGGAGGGATTACATGAAGCTCACACTCAGCCACTTAGGTTTCAAGGTGTTCCCAGATGAAAATTCTGGCCCAGATTCATGTCTGACAGACTTTTGGGAGGAGGAGGAGGAGGATTGGATCACCAGATTAATCAAAGTCTGTTGCCTTTATTTCTAAAGACTATTACATGACTGAAGTAATTAAATTAAATTAAATTAAATTAAATTAAATTAAGACCTTGGGAAATACAATTCTAAGTCTTAACATTTTGCATATGTTGTTAAATGTCCATGATTCATAGCAAATGAGATCTATTTACTGGAAGTAATCTCCCCGATATGGCCATCTAAACTTGGTTCTCCATCAGATATATTCTTGGGAAATTACAATTGTTTTTTCCAACAAGTAGACACTTGTTTACCTTCTAGGTTTGTGGAAGGCATGAAGTCCTTTATAGTATCATTTTTTTTCTTATTTAATATTTACTGTCATATATGTTTGCATGATTAAAAGGAGGCATTAAACCTTGGTTCTTAATTATAATCCGTGATCCATAGAGGCTGCAAAGCAAAAGCTCAACAAGTTTGTAGTCCTTAATAATAGACGACTGCTTTGTTTCTATCTGAAAGATGATGTTCCCTGTACTAAGAAGCAGAATAAGACGAAAAACTCTGAGGTCCTTTGACTGGTGAGGGTCCAATAAGAAGGTCAGGTTTAACATCCTTCTAGTGTTAGACCAATCTGTTTACCAAGCGATTGTACCACTTGTTAAGAAGCATAATTTCCTCTGATTAGGTACTTCTGTTAAAACAAACATTATTCATACTAATAATACCTGTCATGTATTAAGCCTTTACCGTGCACCAAACACTTTTAAGTTCCTGACTGAATTATCTAATTAGTTCCCTTAACAACAACCCTATGAAGCAGGTACTATTATTATCACCATTTTACAAACGAGGAACTTGGGAATGGGGTGTTAAGTCAATGTATACAATACCCCAAAGAAATGAGAACAGACATATTTGTACCACGACTCCTCTGCCATTAGACACTTAAACATGATTTGAGTATAAGGAAGCACAAAATAATAGAGATTACTTTCACAGCTAAACTTCTCTCTTGCACTAATTTAGCCACCAGAGTTACTGTCATTCTTGCAGGTTTCTGGCATATAATTTGGCATTTTACCTCAACCAAGGTATATTAGTAATGAAAAGGAATGTCCAGGTAACCAAATGTGGCTCAGTTTTCAACTAATTAGTAGCTTGGATGGACATTGCATTTTGCAAAACTCAGAAGTGGCTCAAAAGATGCTTAGGTTTAGAGCTAGAAAATACATTTCACTCACCTGTTCACCCACCTGAACGTAAATGAATTCCTTGGTGTGGGATTCCTAGGAGTCATTTATTTATCGCAACTATCTTATTAAAGTGCTTTCCTACACATTTATTTCTCTAGGTATAAAAGCCATGTCAGGGAAAAATAGAGGGTCCTTTTAGACACATTTGGCAAATGAGAAAACTAGCATATAGAGGTGATAAGTGAATGGCTTGCTGTCATGTGATAATTAGCGTAAAAGCTTGCAAAGGGAAGCTCAGACTTCTACCTCCAATCAACAGAGCATCCTAATTTTAGGTAGGAAAGGTTCTGAATTATTAAAGACATCTCACATAAGCCCTGGATTGAAAATTCAAGATGCCAATTTAAGATTACAAAATTTTACATCAATAGGTTCAGGTCGCACAATAGGCCTAGTTTTCTCACAAGCAACGATACTTACATCTCATAGACTGGGGCAAGTCTGCAAACTTACCAGTCCTACTCCATGATGAGATAAACATAGGAATTGGGTGTAAAGATTTGGAAACTCTTACAGGAATATTAGACACTAATTTCATGTCTGTTAAATCTAATTTTTAAAATTGGGGCTTTTATTTTATAGGTCTGAAAAAAATACCATTCATCTAGATTTTATAATAAATTTTAAAATTATCTTTTTTTACATTTTAAAAATAAAACACTGTGCCTTCTCACCTCTGGTAGATGAAAAGCATTGAGTTAGAGCTCTTTGTCCAATTCCATGTAGGAAAATGCATAAAATTTTTCATTTTGTCAACTTTTAAAACTTTAATTTGTGGGAAAAATAAATTATAAATTATATTAACATGCAAATAATGGGTAAGGTTTACATTTTATTTTTTATTGGGCATATGATCAATTAAATTAGAAAACTGCTGGTCTAGAAAATTATGTAAGGAAAAGTAGTGAAAATGTTACATCTATTTCTAAAACCATATAGAAGTAAAAGGAAGGGTTAGTAAAATAAGTCTAGATATCTTCCTTAAGTGCTACTTACATACATTCATAATGTTGTATATGGAACCAAGCTTTCTCCAAAGTTGACAAAAGAATGAAATTATTCAAGCTTTGCATCTGAAAGTGGCCACTTAAATTATTTAAATGACCTTTCCAATGTGGACTCCAATTTCCTATCACAATATCTGTGATTAAAATGTTTTCAATAAATCAGTTTTGTATAATAATTAGAGGACATCCCTTTCTAGTGACTAAGTTACATTTTAGTTATCTACAGATGAGAATTTACCTTTTTTTAGGGCAGTACATTTCAGCTTTGTAGATATCTTTTAGAAAGCTTTCCTCCATATCTGCCTATTTATAGTTTCCACCTGTTGATCCAAGAGCCCTACAAAAATAAGCAGAGCTAAGTGTAACCCATCTTATATATAAAAGCCCTCTAAAAACTTGAAAGCAGCCATTAGGTCTTTCCTTTGTCTTCACTTCATCATGCTATACATCCCATTCCTTTAACTGTTCCCCATAGGGTTTGTCAACCTTGGAATTATTGACATTTTAGGTCAGATGATTCTCTGTTGCTGGAGGCTGTCCTGCGCACTATAGGATATTTAGCAGCACCCTAGTCTTTACCCACTAGACACCAGTAGCATCTCTTCCTTTTCATCACCATGTCCGGCAGCCAAAAATGTCTCAGAACGTTGCCAAATGTCCCTAGACATTGCCAGCTGTCCCCCAAGGAGCTAAAATCTCTGATCGAGAACAACTGTTCCAAGATACTCTAAGAGTTGGTTATAATAAAATGGATCCTAATAATGATCAGAGGAAAAAAACTGTTAATAAATAAAAATTTAAAAATACTTATATGTGTTTTTACTTAGGAATATATGTAACCAAGAAGGTGAGAGATCTCTACAATGAGAACCACAAAATATTGATGAAAGAAATTATAGATGACACAAAAAAATTAAAAAAAAAACCCATGCTCATGGATTGGAAGAATCAATACTGTTATAATGGCCATACTGCCCAAAGCAATCTACAGATTCAATGTAATTCCTCTCACCAATGCCAGTTTTCACAGAATTAGAACAAAAATCCTAAAATTAATATGGTACTAAGAAAAAACCCAAATAGCCAAAGAAATGCTAAGCAAAAAGAACAAATCTGGAAGCATCACAGTATCACCTAATTACGTCAAATTATTACAAGGCTATAGTAACCAAAACAGCTTGATACTAGTATAAAGGAGACACATAGACCAATGAAACAGAATAAAGAACCCAGAAATAGAGCCAAATACCTACAATCAGTTGATCCTTAACAAAGCATACAAGAACATACCCTGGAGAAAGAACACTCTATTCAACAAATAGTGCTGGGAAAATAACTGGATAGCCACATGGAAAAGAATCTGTCACCGTTTACAAAAATTAACTCAAGATGTGTTAAAGACTTAAGTTTAAGACCTGAAACTGTAAAAATTCTAGGAGAAAACCTATGAAAAACTCTTCTGGTCATTGGCCTAGGCAAAGAATTTATGACTAAGACCCCAAAAGAAAATGTAACAAAAACGAAAAGAAATAAATGGGACTTAAACTAAAAAGCTTCCGCACAGCAAAAGAAATAATCAACAGATAAAAAGACCACCTATAGAATGGGAGAAAATATTTGCAAATTATGCCGCCACCAAAGGACTAGTATCCAGAATCTACAAGGACAGATCAGCGAGAAAATAAACCAATAACAAATAATCCCATTTAAAATGTGGGCAAATGACATACACAGACATTTTTCAAAGAAGATATACAAATGGGCAATAAACATATAAAAAATGCTCAATGTCACTAATCATCTGGAAAATGCTAATTAAAACTATAGTGAGACACCACCTTACCCCAGCCAGAATGGTCATTATTAAAAAGTCAAAAAACCACAGGTCTTGGGGCAGATGCAGTCAAAGGGAATGCTTATACACTGTTGATGAGAAAGTAAATTAGTACGACCTCTAAGGAAAATAGTATGGAGATTTCTCAAAGACCTAAAAGTAGATCTACTATTCAATCCAGCAATCCCACTACTGGATATCTACCCAAAGGGGGGTAAAAAGTCCTTATATCAAAAAATACCTGCATGTGTATGTTTATCACAGCACAATTCACAATTGCAAAGATATGGAATTAACCTAAGTGCCCATGAACTGATGAGTGAATAAAGAAAATGTGAGATACACACACACACACACACACACACACACACACACATTCACACCATGGAATACTACTCAGCCATAAGAAAGAATAAAATAATGTCTTTTGCAGAAACTTGGGTGGACCTGGAGGGCATTATCCTAGATAAAGTGATGCAGAAGCAGAAAATCAAATACCACATGTTCTCATTTATAAATGGGAGCTGAGCTATGGGGATGCAAAGGCATATAGAGTAGTATAACGAATGGAGACTCAGAATGGGAAAGGATGGGTGGGAGGTGAGGGATGAAAAATTACCTAGTGGGTACAATGTACACTATTCTGGAGATAGGTACACTAAAAGCCCAGATTTTGCCGCTACATAATTCATCCTTATAATGAAAAATGACTTGTACCCATAAATCTATTGATTTTTTTAAAGAAAATATTTCCCAAATTAAAATTTATTTCTATTTACCAGGAACAGACTAGAAAGCAATCAGTTAGTATTGACTGTTATTACAACCACTTAAGATAATCAGAATCAAAAACAAGTGTTCATTTTTCAAAGCCTGTTTTTCTCCTACGTAGTATGCTTCTGTGTATGTATGTGTGCGTGTGTATGTGTACCACATAGGTACAAATGTATTCTATTCCTTATCAGTGCCACCACATCTGCACATTCCTGTTCTGAAATCTCCATACTGAGACTGATTATCTATAAACTCTAGGCCAGTCATTTTACAAATCCAACCCAATATACTCTAAATAGTAATTATTCTACCAAAACAAAGAACTTCTGTTATGCATGAGAAATGCATGATTTTTGCTTTTTTGCCTGGTAGTAAAAGGCCTCTTTACTCTAAAATTAACAGATAATCATCTCTCTCCTATGAATCCTGATAACATGGCCACTGCTATCAAGCAATTTTCTTCTTCAACAGGCACAAGTCATAAGTCCACCCTCTGAAACTAAGCAGGTGAACAACATGTAATTAGCTGTATTTCATCCTTGGAGGGCATTCTATTTTTCATTCCATGATGCCCCCTTCATTCCCAAAGAGACTGCTCCTTATGTCTGAGGCCAGAAAGCAAGAGAGGGGAGGAGCATTGTGGTGTTGTCAGTAAACCCGTCTGTGAGCTTGCCTGCCTGGTTGTCGTCTGAGTTTCACTTCTTATAAATAGAAAAAATGTAAAGAACTGAGCCAAGGGAGAAAATACATTTAATAATTCTTAAACCCCTCAATACACATAAATAATTTAGTTGTAAAACAATTGCCTGGGAAAAATGCTTTTTTTGCTTCTTGATGCTATGTTACTTCTGTCACTTTGTTTTCTGAGAATTGACTGATTGTCAAACACTGAGTTAAAGTCCAGTTTCCTACAACTAGTGTATCAAATTATTTTTCCACCTTTTCCCCTGGAGAAGTAAGTTGAAAAAGAGAAAATTTGGCAGTTACGTGAAGCTCATCTGCCATTTGGGTCTTAAGGAGTGTGCAAAATATGTTTTCAACAAAATCTGTCCTAATTGACATGAACATGAGAGAGTGTCCCCGAGAGCCAAAAAGCTCCAGCCCGACTTCTCAGATATCTCTACACATTTGTTTTGCCTCCTTGGGGGTGAATCAGACATCATCTGTGGTCATGGGTTCAGCTAATTAAAGGACATAGGTGCTATTCTCAAGAATGACATTTAGCTCAGTTCTCTCAAGGCAAGTAATGTAAAAAAATAAAGAGATAAGTGACAATTGACATATCCTCAGTGCCAGGAGATCTGGTGACTGGGTGAACCTTGAGAAGGGCACACAAGGGCAAATCCATCTGTGCCCTAACATTATTGCTCTAGTCGATAGGAACATGACCCCAGATTGCCAGAATTGATTTTTTTTTTAAGAAAAGCACAAGCCATTATTTTTTTCTTTTAGAATATGCTAAATGTTTAACTATTTGTAATAAATTCTGTTTTTTCTTTCCCCTTCATTCCATATGTGGCAATATTCTGTGTACTGTAATCATTTCCTCAACAGGCCTTATATGATACACAGACTGGCAGTTTGAGACCTCTCTAGGAAGATTTGACTGTTAGTAAATTAGAACATTATTTTATGATTAAGGCAGCTCTTCAAATGCATATGTGAACAAAGTCATCATGTCAAAGAATAGTAGACCCTGAAATAAGTCCCAAAACACCTAATCTCCCACCTCCACTTCACATGATTTCATAGGTGTTTGGTGACAGAATAGCAGATTTCCTGATGCCCACACAAGGGATATTTATATCTCATCACTTGACCTCATATTTGTAGTTGAGAGCTCCAGTCCTTTACTTATCAAAATAAGTAAATAAATAAATGTCCATTACTCTTTTCTTAATAAATTAAAAATATCTTTATGAGCTCCTTATTTTGCACCACCTCTCAACTTCTTTGTTAAATCAGCAGTTATTAGCACATGTGTATTACATGGACCAACAGATTTACCCTCAAAAATAAAGGGGAAAAAATGCCAAAATATAAAACCCAGTATGCTCTAATCCTTGTTAACTCAACATACAATGACACAATTTACACTTTCCAGTGGAGGGATACTGTTGGCCACTTCATCATTGGCACACGTACTTATTATTAACACCGAAGAATGTGTGAATGAGATCGTTAAGTTATTTGAAGAAACATTTATCATATTTTTTGGAAAAGGGTGCTGATGACTGTACAGCATCATCTCTAAAAATGGCAAACAGAAAAATTAACATGTTGAGTAAAAATCACCCAACTCACAGACACCTCATTTGCTTAGGTGTCTATATCTCTGAGATCTGGGCCTGTGAGATAATTTTTTTGGTCTTAAGAATGACTATTTTGCTAAGTCATCTTGGGTTTGACCTTCCGATGAATGGCAAACCATGTGCTCTTCAATTCTCCATCCCCAGGGAAGAATGCTACAAATAATCTCAATATTCAATTTCCTTGCTTTTGTCCTTGTATTCAAAAATTCTACCACGGTTTTATTTCTGTTTGCAAATTTAATTTCCTGTCAACACTTCCAAGTAGCTATCTAACCAGCCTGTCTTCTGTTGATATTTACCCTAATAACAGAGAATTCATGGCTCCACAGGAAATTTCAATAAAAAGCACCGAGGAAGGCCCTTTGGTTTGTCATTCAGTCATTATCTAGATAATAAAAAGACTTTGCATTTTATTGGTTTGATAGGAAATGGTTCAATTTATGGTAGGAAAATGTAGGTATGTAACAGTATAAGCTATGTTGGAATGGGAAGGCAATACTGAAATTTACCTCTTGCCTTCTAAACCAGGAACTGCCCAATTCTGGTTTTGTTGTTGCTGTTGTTGTTTTGGGGATGAGATGGGATATGGTGGGGGTGGATCCTCACACACAGGAGTAGGCTGTGGATATGGACACCCACCTCCATTCTCTCCTTAAACTCTTCTTTGCTGGCAGTGTAGCACCATGAGGAAGATCTTAAGGCTCAGGGCAAAGCAGCAAAATCTCCAGTGCCAACAAAAGCCAACCATGTCACTTGGTGTCTGCAGTCTGTTTGAATAGTGTTTCCACAAAAAATATGCTTTCTCATTCTTCTCTCAAAATATATGGTTCTTCTGATGTACCTTCTTATTTTTTACTGTTGTTAAAACATAGATTTTTAAAAATAGGTCTCTACCATTAAGAAACAAAAACTGTTTTGGTAAATGACAACTGCCTTGGCCTCAGCGTCAGGAAGCAAGAGTGAATTGTAAAGACTGCAGAGAACTGATCATCCAAGGGGCAGCTGTGCCTGCATTGAAGCTGTGTGTGGCTGGGCAGGAATGTAAGACAGATGGTTTTGGAAAGAGAAGCCAGGGATTCAAATGTTTATACATAAACTCTGATTTTTAATGTTAGCTCAAGTTTTAAAAAATCCTATGATGGCCAGAAACTACACAAAGACAAAAAACAAACACACATCTGTGAGCAGCCAGTCAGGGACCCCCAGGCTAGAAAAATTAAAGGCCCTTTACTGCAGCATCAAATCTATTCTCTAGAGATATTTTTGATCACTCAGGATGTACAAGCACCCATGATCGTAAGACTGAATATTTTTCTGTTGTTGGGGAGCAATAATGGAGATTGAGAAAGTTTAGTAAAATGTAAACTGACTGCTGAGCAAACTCAGGCATGCCAGAGTCTGGAGCTTTCACTGGTGAGGTGGGTTCCAATGAGTACAGCATTTATAACCTCTTCAAAATGTCCAGACTTTCATTTTAGCATGAATTGCTTAAGTGCCTGTATTTTATAAAACATATTACAGAGGTTGTATATTTTCATTTTAGGAAAATTAGAATATATAGGTAATGACCAAGTAGAAACTCTAAATCACCCATTATCTAGGCACACAAAGAAAATCGACATTTTAGAAAAAGCCCTTCATGATAGTTTTGTTTTCTTACAAATACTAGCTTTTATTTTGTATTCTGTTTCGTAACTCACTTTGCAACGTGCCAGCAGCTGAGGGCACCATAGCCTGACCCCTGTAGCCTTTGGCTCCTCTGTTCCTTCCACTTGGAATGATCTGGCTTCCAGCTCAATCGCTGAGGAGCCTGAGGCCTGGGGAGTCTGGGGTCATTATCACCAGTCCACACCGAATGCCCTTACTCTCATCAGAACTGACCTTCCCTAGCTTCAGATAAGGATGCAGGTGCTTCTTACCTTTAGTTGTTCTCAAATAGTACTGTCCTTAAATTCTCTTTTCTTAAACTGTAAGCAAAAGTTGTACATATTGACTTGGTGACTGTGTGATGCCTTTAAGGGGTCCAGCAGACAAGTGGGCACAGTAGGTACCTAATACATTTCACTGACAAGCTGAACGAGAAGGTGGGATGGGGCGAGGCAGACCTCATCCTCTCCTAGCCCTTTGACACGTGTAATGACAATAACTGGAGGCCTGTTCACTAAAATAATAAACCAGTGATACCCTCCCTGTTCTACGGGAGAATGTGTCAACCAGTCTCCTTCCTGCTTAGCCCACAAGCCTTGTTTAATTCTGTCTTGTGCTTGACTGGCCCTGCATAGGCTCCATCTCTCCCCACCCTAGATCAAGAAAAATGGGCCTTCTTGGGTCCCAGTCTTTTCTTGGGCATTCAACCCTCAACACAGTTCCTTCCTCCTCCAAGAGTTGTGGGAATCCAACCCCGTGAATGTACATGAAAATCTGGTACCTAATGGACACAAACTTTATTTCATTCAGTCAAAAGCTAAACTAAATTGGGAAAGCATCCTTCCTTTCAGGTAATTTAGTATTGCATGTTCAGAGTTTGCTTCCATGGCTCCAGCCTATGGGTGCCAAGATACCATCTTCCCACTATAATTGCTTCAGGTAGAATGTGCTGCAGGATTCAGAATGAGTAATGTGGCACCTTCTCCACGACCTCCCTCCAAGTCAGTCTTCACTGGGAGTAGGTTGACTGTAAGAGATTACCATTTATTCATCAGCCATGGCTAGATACATGCAGTCTGTGAAATATAGTCCTTTTGGTGCCACTGAGCTGCCAGGATCACCATAATCATCCTATCCCTAGGCTCTCATAGTAACTCTCTTGCCTTCCATTTGCCTCCCTGCAAGCCCCACCCTTATCTGCAGGTCCTCTAGACTTCTAGTTCTGCATATTTTCTAACCTTTTTTTTTTTTGAGATGGAGTCTCGCTCTGTCACCCAGGCTGGAGTGCAGTGGAGCAATCACTGCAACCTCTGCCTCCCAGATTCAAGTAATTTTCCCTGCCTCAGCCTCCCGAGTAGCTGGGATTACAGGCATGTGCCATGACACCCAGCTAATTTTTGTATTTTTAGTAGAGATGGGGTTTCGCCACATTGGCCAGGCTGGTCTTGAACTCCTGACCTCACATGATCCACTCACCTCGGCCTCCTAAACGCTGTGATTACAGGCATGGGCCACTACGCCCGGCCACCTTCTTTATGCATTTTTTTTTTAACAAACTTGAGGACAAAGGACCACTTTCCCGCCAACAGACAAACAAAAAACCTCTACTGTTACTCACCCTTCCTTTTTTATCCTTACATTATGGTATATCGAAGTAAATAAGCAATCAACATTTAAAAATTCCTCATAGTCTAGGACTGCAACAACTGGCTCCTATGAGGTCATATCCCATGGCCATATCCATGAGTTAAACTGGAAATTAGGTAAACCTTTGTTTTAATACCACTCTCCAGTGATAATTGCCTCTTCTTGGTTCCTTCCTCAGTCCCTGCTCCCTGGCTCCTGCCTCTAAACAGAATGAATCTCTCCAGATATTTTTAGTAGAGACTGTGCCTCCTTTACCTTTGGATCACTGGCTCCTACAGTAGGGTTAAAAACATACGCCATGCTTAATAACCATATATTGGATAATAAATAACAGGATAATAAATGAGTACAGCTTTTCTTCACAAACAAAGGTAAGAGTTCCAGTCTTTAAGATTTAGCAAACGCTACCTTATGAGAAGGAAGATATCTTATCGTGGAAGCACCCTGGCTTTCTCATGGATAAGAACAATCACCATCGTCTCTTGCCTGAATTCTTACAAAGGGCCCCCTACTCAGTCTTCCTGCTTCCGTTCTTCCAAAGATTTCTGACATGGGAGTCAGAATGACCTTTTAGAAATATAAATCATACTGTGCTTAAGGCCTCCATGGCTTCCCACTGCAATTAGGATAATATACCAACCCCCTATCATGGGCTGCTTGCAAGGACCTTTATGATCTGGCTCTGCACATCACTCCAAGTTATGTCCCACCTCATAGCCTTTCCACATGTTGTCTTCTGGGCTGGAAACCCCCCTCCACTCCAGTCTTGCATGGCTGCCTCCTCTCCCTTCAGGACTTTGCTTAAATGTCACTTGCTTAGAGAGACCCAACTGGAGTAGCTCATCTCAATGAAACTCTTCTCCCCTTTTTTATCTGTCTCCAGACACAGTTGCTTAGGTGCATGACTTTATCACTATTATTTCATGATTTTATCACAATCAGAAAATCTTTATTAATTGGTCTTCTTACTCCTATCTTCTGTATGCTTTCTCTATTCCTCAGGTTTCAAGAAGTAGGAAGCACATCCGTCTTGGACAGCATCTCCTCAGTATCCATACACACAGCCTAGCGCACAGTAGGTATTCAATGAATGTTTGGTAAATGAATGAATGAAGTAATACTGACAACTGCCCTTCTTTCTAACCTCATTGGCAAGTTCAGTCCAGTATAGAGCAAGACCCTGGCCAGGAGGAGAGCTGGGTGTAGGGGACACTGCTGTTTTCCGCAGGCTTACTCATGACATTTTTGGGACATAGAACAAAAATCCAAATTTGGAATTCAAATTTGGATGACTCTGATGCCTTGAAATTCTGTACTGGCATGTGAAGGCAGGGGGCCAGCTGACCTGTGGCTCCCAAATCCTTATCTGGCCCTTTATCTCCTTTCCATCCCCAGCCCTGTGTTGCCCTATAAGGGGGCAACTCCAACCTCTTCCCAACAGCTGCCCTTTGACCACTGCTTTGCCAAGAAGTATGTTCAACAGCAGCTCAATCTGCCTCAAGAGAAAGTGGTAGACAAAGTGGTAGGCAAGAGATCTAAGAAGGTCCCAGAATTAGATCTAGACTATTTGTCAGGGATTTCTGAGTAGTCTATGTCTAAATGGCACTGGATGTGGGCTCTGAATGAGCATGCTCCCTTGGCCCCAATGCTTCTCTCCCCCGCACGGGTAAAGGAATGCTGAAGGAGGGCTGGAGCAGAGTCCTCTGAATGAGAGAGGCTCAGTAGAGGAGCCACCCTTGCCCATGTCTTAGGGTTATATTGCTATTGCCCCATTCTAAAAAGTGGGACCTTTTCAAGGTATATTGACATGGCCATTGCAAGAACATGATGAAAAAATATTTTGAAGCCAAAAATAAGATAGTGAGATACTTAGAGAAGTTAGTGATAGGATGACCTCCCTTTTGCTTAAAGGTTCCCCACCAACCAATGTCATAAGCCCCTTGCCTACCACCTACTTCCTCATCACTGCACACCAGCCCCTAGCCTAGACTATACCCCCCATAAGGTACCAACATGTCTATGCCCATCCCAAAGGTCCAACAGACAGACATACTAAACTCTGCAATGAAATCCAACCCCTGACCTTATTAGCCAATCTCAGGGGCACCTAGAAGCCAACTTCCTATTTGTGGCTTGTCAGTCTTTCAGTGTTCAGCAAGAAAGCTACTAGTACCTAATGTCTACTAGCTACTAGTGTCTACTCTCCAGAAGCTGCTCTATCCAACTTGTGGATTAGTGTCAGATATCACCAACCAAATTCAGTAAACTCCGTAATATCTGAGCTGACTTTTTTCCCAGCTGGAAAAGTCTGTCTATCTTTCAGGCAACTGATATTCAGCAGCCTCCAACCTGCCAGAAACACGGCTTTCCATCAGTCACACTGGGAGACACAAGTCTGTTTATCAAACAATTATCAATTACTTGGAGGTTCTGGCTGTTCAGGCATATAATGAACTTCTTGGGTATTTGTTTCTATGATATTTCTAAGACAGAATAGATGTCAGTGCAGTCTCAAGATGTTAGCAAAATGACCAAAACCTCAGACCCTAAGAAAAGAAAGAGGAAAGGACTTTCTCAGAGGTAAATTGAGGGGGAAAACCAAAACTCTGTGCCACAGTAAGACCCCTATAAGCCGTCACACCACCACCACACAAACAGCAAATCTTCCTGATCTCACCTGCACCTTCAGCACCTTCAACACCTCCGTCCTGCCTCCTGACACCTGCTTCAGGATCCAAGTTACTGAATGGCAGAGCTGAAAAATTTAGCTTTCATTTGGTTCAAGCCCTCTGTTATTTGGATAATAAAAAAGGCTCAGAAAAAAATAAGGTACTTTTCTTGGGGCAAAATTCATCATCCTCCTCCATCATGATTAAAGCTGCTAAGTTTTAACTGATCACTTACTAGTGAGCAGGCCCTGTGTTAGGCACTTGATAATCATCATCTCAATGTGATATTGAATTCTGCGTCTACAGAAATGGGTACTAATATTAAAAATAGCACATGATGGCCGGGCACAGTGGCTCACACCTGTAATCCCAGCACTTTGGGAGGCCAGGGTGGGTGGATCACAAGGTCAGGAGTTCAAGACCAGCCTGGCCAATATGGCGAAACCCCGTCTCTACTAAAAATACAAAAATTAGCCAGGCATGGTGGCAGGCGCCTGTAGTCCCAGCTACTCAGGAGGCTGAGGCAGGAGAATCACTTGAACCGGGAGGTGGAGGTTGCAGTGAGCCGAGATTGCACCACTGCTCTCTAGCCTGGGTGACAGAGCCAGGCTCCATCTCAAAAAAAATAAATAAATAAATAAATGAAAAATAGCACATGACGCAATAACATCCATCTCTGTAGCCTGTGTTCAAACTTTCCACTGCACACAGCTAGCTCCACGTTTATAAACATAAATAATACTGTATTAAACATGGCTTTTGCTGCTTTTGGTTTTTCAAATAGGGTCCAAATTTTAGCACTGTGTGGGTATTAAATTGTATTTAGTTTATTTTACTGTATTCAGAAGACTTCGCCCTGATAACTCTTGGCTTTTTCAAAAGCCAATCCTGCCTTCAAAACACAAATATATGGGTACAGAGAATATCCAAAAGAATAGGCCACAGGTTCTTCCAGCAATTCCTCACAAGATACTCTAAGGACACTGGTAGCAACAGAATAATGATCAGGAAAAGTGTAAATCCTTCCATGAAAAATCGAACACTTATTTGAATAAATATATTCTATTATGTTTGTATCTTAGTTTGTTGGGGCTGCTATAACCAAACACTATAGGGTAATTTATAAACAACAGAAATTTATTGCTTGCAATTCTAGAGGCTGGGAAGTCCAGGGTCAAGATGCCAGCAGATTCAGTGTCTGGTGAGGACTCACTCTTGCTATATTTTCACATGGCAGAAGGGGCAAACAAGCTCCCTCAGGTTTCTTTATAAGGATACTAATCCCATTCATAAGAACTCCATCCTCATGACTTAATCACCTCCAAAAGCCCCCATATTATTAATACTATTACATTGGGAATTAGGTTTCAACACATGCATTTTGGGAAGACATAAACATTCAGACTGTGCAGTTTGTTAAAAAAGAAAAAAAGAAAGAAATGTCAAGTCAGCATTGCATTGTAGTGTTAACTCATAGATGTTAGGAAACTCTTGTTTTCGTAGAAATAATGGATCTCACGAGTGCCCTAGATCATTAAAGTGAAGTTTTGGGGTTTTTTGCAACTTTTATTTTGAACTAATTATGGTCTCACAGAAGTGCAAAAATAGTACAAAGAAGTTTCATGTACTAACCACGTATCTTCCCCTAGTAGTGTCTTATAACAGACTGGTACATTATTGAAAGCCACAAATTAATGCAGGTACAATGCAGTCAATTAGTGTAGAGACTTTATTTGATTTTCACTAGTTTCTGCATATATTCTTTTTTCCTTATCTTTCTTATTTTCTCTCTCCTTTTTGGTAGTCTGTCTTTGTGCATGAAGGATGGAGGTACTTTTAGAGTGAGGAAGCGCGTGGCATGTGAAGTAAGCCTAAGTCTGAATCATAGCTCTACCACTTTCTTAATGTGGGACTTACAACCTCTTTGAGACTTTTTATCTCTCCCTGAAAGACATTTCTTTATGTTAAGGTATTTGGAAGGCATTAATAAGGCTATGAGTAAACATGGCATGCCTAATCACAGGTAAACCTCCTTGGCTAAACTGATGCTTCATGATATCTAGTCTATCCTATCCATTGGCTTGGAGATACAATGACATGTAGCTTACACGTACCTGGTACAGCCCATGAAATTCACTTACTTGAAAGATATTTACTGATGATTTATTAGAACAATGCAAGGTATCTATTATACCAAATGTAGCCCTCTTGTTATCTAAAATATGCTGTTCCTTGGGGAACCCCAAATTTATAATCTTATTTTCATTGAACTCTTTGATGGAAATCCTGTTGGGGCCTAAGCAAGATAGCATGAAACAGAAACAATAACCCAGCTGAACTCACAGACAAATGCTATGGGAACTGTGAGAACTTTTCATGTATCAATCAAATGTAGTTTTTCCATCTGTTTGTGAACATTGCAAATTGAAGTAAGATTTTTTTTTGAAGAAATATGTGGACAAAACAAGTCTTCATTTTGAAAAAGGTTTCTTTTTTTTGCAAAAATATTGTCTACAACATTTTTTATTAAGAGGCTCCTCTAGTAAGTTTTAAATTATTTGGTATGTTAAAGAAATGTGCTTTGCCAAGTTTTACCTGGAAAGTCATCCATAACTGTCCAGAAACACATACATAATGCACATTTACTTATTTCATTAGTGTCATTCATTCATAAAATCAAGGAAAGAAGAAATGAAAAGCTAGAATGACACAATCTCTGTATTCTTGGTGCTGCTTGAGAAACAGGCACGCTTTTGCATCAGTACATCTCCTTTTTTCTCTGAGCATTTTATTTGGGTAGAAAGCTCTCTGTAAATCACTTCAATAAAGACTAAATAACTCCCTCCAGCAGGATTCAGATTTCTATTACTTTATACGCTAGAATGCCGATGAGTTTTCCAAATCAATATCACAACAGAAATGTGGCAATTACAATATAAGTTACAGAGGAAGAACATATAACAAGTTGCTTTCTCATTCTATTCTTGGAAGAAAAGGTCAGGCAGGAATAACAAAGGAAGAAAACACATATGGAAGCAGAAGAGTTGCAGATAACTTGTGGCCCCTCATGCTGACGATTAAAACACAGCACTAAATAACCAACTATGTGAGACACACTATTATTTCATATTAGAAGAATGCCTACTTCATTTTTAGATGAAAAAAATAAAAACCATCACACCATACTGAAACAGAATATAAAATTCAGGAAAACATTAGTGAAAGCTTGGGCTTACGAAACAAATAAATGAAGAGCTCATTCTAACTGCATCATAAAATGAAAATTAAGTGATAAAATTGAAATTCTTTGGTTTCACATCTTTTCTAGTCCCTTATTTAAAAGAAATAAAGAAGAAGTTAGGATAAAATAGAGGGAGGGCTAGGGCGAGGGCAAATGACTTCTTTTTTTGTTTGTTTTCTTCCTAGAATTGGCCTTCTTGATGGGCTGCTTTGATTTCTAAATGCACCAGCATCGCAGAAAGCTTTGGAGCACCTCCAAAAGGAGTGGAAGAAACCCTCTGTGGCCTTCTTCAAGCATTCCAAGATACTCAAAGAAATACCTGTTCCTGGCAACATGTGCCAAGTTCTTTCAGTCTGCAGTAATTTACGTTGTTGTCACCCAGTCTTCCATTTGTAATGGTTCTGTAACTGCAAAAATGGTAGGAGGGAAGTACACCAATAAACACTGACTACATAGTCATTAAGCTTGGACAATGGAATAAATATAATTCATAATTTGGGGAATTATTCACAAGCACATATGTATTAAGACCATACCCCTTGATCACAAAATGCATATATTTACTTGACATTCATGGAGCCTATCATGTGTTTCACTGTAATTGGAGCAGGAGGTTGAAAAGATTAATTCACCAGTACTTATAGAGAGCCTACCTGATTGTAAGCAGCAGGGTTCAATACTGAACAAGTCATGGCAAGATTCCCTGCTGGAGAATATGAATAACTCAAAACCCTTGCTTTTGAGTAGCTCTCATCCCAATGGAGCAGGGTGAATGAAGACGCATATCTTTTGACAAATAATTAAAATACTGTGAAATTAGTATTTATGAGGGTTTATGCCATGAATCTCAGAGAAAGAAACAAAACCATCAGAGTAGCTGAGAGCAAAGACTCTGGAACCAGAATGCCTGAATTTTAACACCAGCTGTGCCACTTACTAGCCCGCTGAACAATGGCTAAGTTAATTAACTTGTCTGTGCCTCAGATTCTTCACCTGTGGTATGAGATTTGTACTAGTACCTTCCTCATGTGTTTAAATAAACTAATGCTTATAAAGTCCTTAAAACAGTGTCTGGAATATAGGAAATTTACATAAACAAGGTCTCGTCCCAAAGTGATATAGGAACATTGTGCATGCCAGAGTGGGTATGCAAGTTGGGGGAGGCATTAGAGAAAAAGAAAAAAACTTAATGACAAAGTGAAACTTCCTAGCTAATATTGAATTTTCAGCCATTATTACAGACACCATTAGGACAGAATTTCCTGATACTACTCATTCTACCTATTTTTAAGTCCAGATCTGCTTGTTCCCTTTTTACTGTGAGAAAACCTCACTGAAGCACAAAGAACTTTGGTAGAAATGATTCAACCATCAGGGCAGGAGGAACTCTAAGTAAAAGAGAGCTAATTAAAACATCTGACCACAACTCAAATTTGTCCATTTCATTGCATGAATCAGTTTTAACCCAATGTCTGATACCCCATAGAAAACCTGGTACCATGATGAAAAGCTCAAGAACCCGTAAATTATTTGGAATTAACATCACTGTCAAAACAGATTATTGGATCTCCATTATATTGAAGACAGTTCTTTCTTCTGGTTCATGCAGGACAGATAGAACATTCTTTCTCACAGTTCAGGCTGGAGCTGCTGGGATAAGATCAACTAGAATTCCAAGAGGGCTGCAGTGATGCTTGGAGGCTGGCAGAGAGAGGGAGAGAAGGCATCAATGCTGGGTCAAGGACAGACCAATAAGAGTAAACCTGTTGGTTTAGAAAGAAGGAAAAATATGAAAGAGGTTCACAGAATCATGAAGGGGAGATAAAGGAAGAGGCAGAAGATGAAAAAGGAGAATAGGGCTTCATTCCTGAAACCTCAGTCCATGAGCTACAAGTCCCTAAAAGTATGACTCCACGACCATTAGCACTTTGAGACAGTGGGTAAAACAATGAATTCTAGCTCCTCTGCGTACAGCAATGTGCCTTGGGGCAAGCCATTTATCCTTTAGCCAAACTGCCTAGAAAATATATACTAGATAAATGTTTATTTTCTTCCATCTTTCTGAGCTTGGTTTATTGACTGTAAAATAGCAATATGAAGATCTACTTCACAGGACTATTAATGTAATCAAATTCAATAATGTATTGGAAATGCTTCATCACAAGCTTCATAGGGTGGAATCAGAACTCATTCCTCTTGTTACCCCAAATCCTGAGTATCCACCCGTGGAGACTGTTGATTTTGAAAGCAGCCTGAACATGAAAACTCCCAAACATTCTAAGGAAATCCATCCTAATAACTCCACACAGAATGAGAATAAAGAAAAATAAGATTTAACCAGAGCCGAATGATTCTTTCCCTGTGCTCCATAACCCTTCTAAGGATCTGCAATCCCTACCTCAATTAATCTAGGCATTTCAACTACTTGAAAAACTACCAATACATTAAAATGTACAAAGTACTACCTTAATGAACAAAGGAAGTTAGACGTAGTGCTGGCGACTATTAAGGGGGGTGTTCTATTTTTATTTTCCTCTGCTCACATGTCTATGTTACTGGATAAAGAAGTGAAGAAAACAAGGACTTAAAAGGAACAGAAGATAAAACAACAGTTAAAGAACCATGTGAGATGATAAATGGAGCAGGGGATTTGTCAGACAGTATTTAGCAAGCCACAGTATGAAAAGATTTTCAGAAAAAGGTCAGAGATGGAGGCATAAACAGTCAAGTAAGCATCGCATCACAGCGCCAACTCCTAGGGAGTCAGGTAAAAGACGAGAAAGGCTGAGAGGGTTGGAAACAGGAACCATAGAATCTGGAATAATCAGTGTGCCGACTAAGTAGGGAGGAAAAATAGACTAATGATTTCAGAGCAGAGGTTAAACACTGCACTAGAAAATAAGCTATAAAAGATCAACGAGAAGCTAGAGTGGAGAGGGTAGGGATAGGGAATTCATAACAAGGTGGAACTGGGACTCCAAGACAAGAAAGAAACCGAATAGAGAAGACACCGTTGAGGATAACACCCAAAGAGTGCGTAGACTAATTCCTGGATGCTTGCAAACCATGTCCTAGTGTCTTTTCGACCAGGAATGCTGCTCTCAAGATTAATAGTGACTCTTTAGGCTGAGAAGTGATGACCCAGCAGCTCTTTATTCGTCAAAAAAAAAAAAAAAAAAAAAGAAAGAAAGAAAGAAGGAAAGGAAGGGAGAGAAAAATGAGATACATAAGAGAGATAGAAAATTGTACCTAGATGAAATCAGCATAAATGGAAAACCCAAATGTTTAATCCAGTCATGATTATTGCCCAAAATTGAATGAGTAAATGATGCTGCCTACAACAGATATAACTCAAGAAACAGAGGCTTAAAAAAGAATTAAAATGACCAATATCTATACAACCTCAAACTCAATCAGTATACCCTAGATAGAGACTCTATTTGCTGCTTTCAAGTCTTCCCGTATAAAGCAGTATGTTTCCAGGAAAAAAATAAATAAATTTGAAGCCAGAAGTTTCTAAGTTCAAATTTTAGCTTGGCCATATACCATCATCAACAGACTTAGAAAAGCAACTTCAGTAGCCTGAGACTCATTTTCTTCAACAACCAGACAAAATTAACCTGTGCAGAGTCCCACCTCCCGAGGTTGTTATCATAATGCCATGAGATCTTGTTTTTAAAAGTGCCTAGAATACAGCAGGAGTTCAATTAAAAGTGTTCATTCCCTAGACTTCTAAGGCAAGGCCCAAGGCACTGTACATAATCAAAGTAAGTTAACTGACTTTTAAATAACAATGAAAACATCACCAAACCTTTTATTGCCCAGTGAATGATGTCTTGCAAAGCAGATCCCCAGGGGGCTGAGCACAAAGCCCACTCAACCTGCCCTTGCTGACAACTTGCATAGCTGGAGCTCCCCTTCTAGAAATGCTGTAGGAGCCTGGGGCATATATCTTTGATTATCCACAAAAGTGGAAAATATCATTCTTCTGAGGGAGGATATACTTCTGGAAAAAGTCGACATTATTTGGTTCCAAGTCTAGCAATAAGATCTAGCTGAAGTGTGGCCACAAAGCAGTGAGACTGATTTTCTCCTGTGACTCATAATCTAGTTCAAAAGACTTTTTTTTTTTAAGTTTCGGATCCTAGCAAGATAAAAGCACCAGTACATGAACATAACAGTATAAGGACATTTATTGCACCACTGAATGTAGAGACAAAATAATTGCATGTATATTGTCAAACAAACAGAAACATTCAATGACACTAGTTAAGGCATGATAAGGCAGACTTTATTTAGGACCTTTGCAATAGTTATAGGAACCCTAGCAATGGGAATTTGCAGTTGGGGGTCAGTGTGAGCTGGTGGGGAGACGGCTTCATTCTGAATACAGCATGGGCAGCGGCAATTTATAGCTAAGGAGTAGGGAGGTGAGGGAGGTCAGTGGATGAAAAATTACTACGAGGTAACATCAGGGATAATGGGAACTCCAACATAACAGGATTCTTGTAAACAACGGGCCAGGGTGATCAGACATCATGTCAGGCATGGGGGAGGATAAGGAACTTCATCAGACAAGGAGGGTGATCAGATATTGAGGGTGGGTGGTTCTTACTAAACTGACTTAACAGGATTCTTTGTTAAAACTGGATTTTACAAGGAAATGCACAAATGGGAGTAGGAAAAGATTTAGGAGCCTGGCTAAAGTTAGGTAAAGCAAAGAATCTTTGTCAGAATCAGTAGTGGAATGACAGAAAAATTCATGCTGTATCTCTATCATTAAAGATTATGTAGCTATCTAAAAGAAGCGGTTAGAAAGTCTTCTCCCAAATTGTGTTCCTGGAACGGTAGAGTCAACATTGCCTGGGAATGTGTTATAAATGTGATATTGACAAAAAATTATTGGGCTCCACCCCAGATATACTGAATCAGAAACTTGGGGGATGAGATCCAACAATCTGTATTTTGGCAAGTCCTCCAGGTGATTCTGATGCATGCTAAAGTTTGAGAACCATTGAGTTAGAAGGATATCCTCCATTTATCTAGAATGGGAATGTACAAGATATTTTAAATAAGAAAAGCAAGTTGCAAACCAATAGGGAAGACTTACAGTTGAATTAAATTGTGTGCATGTGTGTGACTGTGTGTGTTGTGTAAAATACAAGATGTGGTAGGGTATTTGTAAGATTCATAAAATGAATACAACTAATGACAGCTGGGGTGAGGGTAGATGGACAGGGTGTGATAGGGAGGGAAAGAAGAAGCGGGAGAAAGAGGGAAATATACCTTGCATATAGTACATAAAGGGATAAGTTTACTAACTGCTTCTCCAGCTTTTTCTTAAAGCCTATGTCACATTCTTTTTGAATATCTTACTTTTCTTTGAGTGTTACAGTTTCTTTTTCTTCAGGATTCTTTGTGTTAAGATCTAAAAAGCACTGGAGTATGTGCATAAGAAATGAACAAGATATAGGCATGCTTAATATGTGCTATAATTCTCCAAAGACCATGCAAATGTCTGCTAGCTAAATGACTGTCACTCAAGATTAGGAACAACCTATGTCAGTTTCTACAGTTCCAAGCAAAGAAAGGCTATGGATTGAGAGCAGTTTTCCAGCAGGACCTGTGCACAAAGGCAATTTTTTTTCTTCTACGAACAAAATATAAAGAAGTAAACTATCCTCCTTAATGGGGTCATATCTGACTTATGTATAGAGTCTTAAGAGTTTAAATTTCAGGAGCATTAGTAACTTATTTTCAGAGCCCTGACATTTTCTTAAGTATCTGAGAAGTCAGGGGATTTCCCAAATAAACGCTGGGTAAAGGAAATTATTTTGAGTCTCAGTGCCCCCCACAGGTTTATCTGACCTGCCAGGAAATTGAACACTATGAGAATGCCCCAAGTCTCTGCCAGTCCAGCAGTCTCTCACACACTGGCCCACCTATGCTTACACCAAGCCTACAAAGACCTGAGTACCCTGGCAGGGGAATTGAGTGGCTTTTATGGGAATCCAAACAATGTGGCTGAGGGATGTCGGCACATCATCTCCAAGACAGATTTTGATGGTAGGAAAAGGAGATGATTGTCAGAAGTACAGAATAGCAGGAGGAAAAGGAAGCAAAATCAAGTGTATGTCTGTGTGGGGTGTCCTGGGACAGATTGGTATGTTCCAGGTTAGGAATTGGAGCACTGATCAAGGCAATGAGGGGAGGCTGCCACTTTCAACAGACTCCCTTAACTCTTCATCTTTTGACAAGGCATTTTTTCCCTGGCTTCTGCCTGGGCCCATGTTATCTGTGCAATCACCTTAAGATAAGCAGGATAAGAAAACTGCCCTTTTCTTGCTGAATTCAAAAATGTACATGGTGCCTTTATTATTTCAGATATGAATATCTTATGAATAGCTTTTAACCTCAATGTCAAGGTGAACTGTGGTCCTTCTGGTCTTCTACGTCCTCTCATCAGCACCTCAGCAGGTCAACTTGTATAGTGGTTTTTAGCCTGGAGGCACATTAAAAGCACGTAGGGAGCTTTTCTAATGTGAATGCCAAACTCCTCCCAGACCAATTAAATTCATGGATCACTGAGTAGGAATACCTTCTAAGAAATGCATCCTTAGGTGGTTTCATCATTGTGTAAACATGATAGCGTGTACTTACACAAACCTAGATGATGTATCCTACTACGTGCCTAGGCTATACGGTATAGCCTATTGTTCCTAGGTTATAAACCTGTAAAGCATGTTACTCTATTGAATACTGTAGGCAGTTGTAGCACAATGGTGAGTATTTGTGTATCTAAGCGTATCTAAACATAGAAAAGTTACCAGTAAAAATATGGTATAAAATATTTTTTTAATTGTACATCTGTATAGGGCAGCTTCATTATAATTTTATGGGACCACAATTGTGTACATCTATTCTAGACTGAAATGTCCTTATGTAGCCCATGACTATACATCAAAGTTGTTGGGAGGTAGAAGAGAGGGGGCTGATCATTTATAATTGTTTAAGTCTCTATAAGTTAATAATATAAACCCAGGATAGACAACCACTGAACTAGCTGTTATCTAAGCTGCTAGAGGGAAGATTAGAGCTTTTGGTGTGTGGTTGAACAAGCTGAACTTCAAGGTCCTTTCCAAACAGGAGAAGGGTCAGTGATTTTCAGAAAGCAGTCTGCTAAAAAAATGATTTTTCACAAATAACAGTGGAAAGGATTTTTCAAGGTTAAAGAGAAAGGTGTTTGCAAAATGAATTGGAAAATTGAACTTGCTATCTAGGTATTTCCAACCAGCCAAACACAAATATAAATACGTATTTTGTAGTATGTCAATAGTCTACATATTTTAGGGAATCTTAATTTGTTATTTTTTAACATAAATTTATTTACTTGTCAGGGATCCAGAAAATTAACCATATTATTTGACACACAGAAGCACAGTCTACTTCTTCTTTGAATAACTGAATAAATTAGGTTTTAGTAGTCCACATCTGATTAATACACAATAGGTCATATTAACTACAAAATACATCACTATATGAATAATTGAAACATCCAAGTTTTTTATATAGTCCCTCAGTTCTAACAGAGGTAACTTATCAACTGACCTAAATAGAATTACTCTAAATATTTCTAAAAAAAAATCGAAGGTTTATTTATTTCTTCAAAGACTTCAAAGGAAGTTAGACAAAATGTACAACTTATTTCTATAGCTGCTGTTAGTTAAGTCTCTTGGCACCTACACAAGGATTGAAAAATAGATACTCCTTCTTGCCCTCCTCATCTGCAGCCTAACTTCAGCTCTAGAAGGAAGCAGCAAGGGTGAAGGAAGGCACTAGAGGATAGTCTGTTCGATGAACTAAAATTTCAAGGAAGTCATTTTTCACATGTTCAAAAGTGAATCATCTCTTTCGATCTCCTCTGCAGGAGACAAGGGAGTTGGAAGGGTGTCTGACTTTTAAACAAGAGAAAAAAAACAAAATCTTAGAAAGCAGAAATACTAACTGAGGGAAACAAGGAGGAGGAGCATTAAAATCCCTGAAAGAATAAAATAAATTTTAGAGCATCAGTATATGAAGGTTCATTCTCAAGAGAAAAGAGAATGAAGAGAAATGTGAACCCATCCCTCAATATAGTGTTTACTCTAAATCTACTATGTGCTGAGTCTGAGAAGAGATACAAAGATGAGTTTGGAAAGAATTCTAGGAGCAAATACAATGGATCTTACGAAGCCTAGTAAGGAGTTTGTATATTTTTACATCAGTAATATTAATATTAATAATATAGACAGTGTATTGTATACTTATTATGTGTCAGCATTATACTAAAAAAACTTTCCATGAACATTTTTCTTTCTTTTTTTACTGATACATAATAATTGTACATATTTATGAGGTACAGTATGTTATCTCAATACATGTTATTTCAATATATATAATGTATAACGATCAGTCGGGCACAGTGACTCACGCCTGTAATCTCAGCAGTTTGGGAGGCCAAGGCGGGCAGAAAACCTGAGGTCAGGAGTTTGAAACCAGCCTTGCCAACACGGCGAAATCCCATCTCTACTAAAGATACAAAAATTAACTGGGTGCGGTGGTGGGCACCTGTAATCCCAGCTACTCGGGAGGCTGAGGCAGAAGAATCACTTGAACCCGGGAGGCAGAGGTTGCAGTGAGTCGAGATCACCGCCTGGGTGACAGAGCGAGACTCTGTCCAAAAAAAAACATGTAAAATTAAAAAAAAATGTATAATGATCAAATCAGGGCAATGGGCATATCAATCACCTCAAACAGTTATCATTCTTTCGTGTTGAAAACATTCCAAATACTTTCTTCAAGCTATTTTGAAATATGCAACAAATTATTGTTAACTATAGTCACCCCACTGTGCTATCAAGCGCTAGAACTTATTCCTTCTACCTAACTGTATTTTTGTACCTGTTAACCAACCTCTCTTTATTCCCTGCTTCCTCCAATCTTCCCTGCCTCTGATAACCACCTTCTACTCGACCTCCATGTGCATGTACCTTTTCTCATCTAATTCCCTCAGGTGCCCAATAAGGTATCTATTATGCTTCCCATTTTATAGCTAAGGAAACTGAAACTCGAAGTGTATAAGTACCTGTCTAAGGCCATGTAGCTAAAATGCATTGCCTGGGTTTTCAATGTGGGCCTAACTTGCACGAAGCCTTGAGCCCTTAAACACTAACTGCATTTAATTAGTTGTAAAACACTGAGAAACCCAAAGACAATTGTATGGTGGTGACATAATCTTTGAGAACTCATACAAGCTACATTCCAGTTGAATGTCATGCAAAGTGGCCTTGCTCTGGGATCTCACTATCCCGCCTGCTCCCTCCGCGTCCAATAGCACCCCAGTCCACCCAAATGTACTGAGACTACATCAGTTGCAGTATTGCTGGTGATTCCTGGAATGGCAGCAGGGCTGCACAACACACAGAAGCCACAGCAATACCAGATCATCCAAAGTGCAGGGGATACCAATGTGCAGGGGATATTAAAGTGGCCACACAGAAAGAAGAGGCTTCCAAGAAAAGCAAGTAACTTTTTATTACACATAGGAGCATTGGTCTACAACCCGGGTACTCCATGTCACCAATAGCTCAGGTGTCCAGCTTCTGGCTTAGTAATAGAGACCAGTAACTGAAGGAGATGCATTCAGCACATCCCACATCCGGCTCCAGGCATTAGGAGCCATATCTTCAACTCAAAATCCTCACAGACTTGAGTAAAATTATGGTACAAATAAGGAAAGTAACTTCTCACTGGCAAGCATTGAACAGTAAAAGGGACATTTTGTTTTAGAGCCATAGTGTGACTAAGTTTAGTTCCAAACTTCTCTTTCCAGCCATGTGACCTTCCTCAGGTGACATAACCACTCTGTGTCTCAGGTAATCACAGGCTTGTTTCGAAGATTAAATGGATCAGTGCACTGAGAACAAAATTATGCTCATAATATGCATCCAGACACACCATTCCTCCTCCCCTCATCTGACATTCTGCTGGTAGAGACTCCCTGCTCAATGGTAAGCAATGGCACTGGCCTTCTCTTAGAATCTCCTTTTAAAACTCAAAGGTCGCACGGACAGCACACATTAGTCACCACCATCTTGGTGTGAATTAATTTATCATATTATTTTCTTCACTTTAATGAGGAGAGGATTTGTGAGAGTACACTCCTCTCCAGAAAGATGTGGAAGAGGAATGAAGGTACAAAAGATAAGGTGATGAAGGCATGAAACACAAATTTCCACTAACTCGCAACTTCACGGAGACCTAATGCCGTGGAGACCCTAATGTCAGTCTCACATTCCTCTCCTCTACTCATGCCCACAAAAAAGAAACAAAAAGAATCTTGCTAAATCTGCTTCTGTTTCCCTCACTTTGGCTCCACAAAGTCCTGCCTTCTCAACCCTCCTGATAGAGAGATGACCTTTATACAAGCCCATTCAACCTGGCAATTACTAGCTGGGTAACAGTTTCTCTTTATGTCTTTCTTCCTGCCTCTGCCCAGTGGCTCTACGCCAGACTTATGTGACAAGCTTTCTTTCTTGACATAGGCCTACTGACTATATCATGGCACTTTAAAAATTTCATTTATAGGTACAAAAAGGCTGCTTCATAAACCCCTGACACCTCATTACCCCAACCTAACCATTTGCCATTTGTTTGCCAGCCCTGACAGTCAGTAAGCTGAAACAGGGCGATCACTAATCTGGAAGAAAGGGACTTGTCTTTTGGTCCAAGTTCTGCTGTCATGAGGGATGCAGCCTCCGCATATCATCTCCCTTTTCAGAGCCTCTGGCTCCTCAATTGTGAAAAGAAGGGACTGAGCTCTGATTCTCTGATATGATTTCACAGCTTCCTTGTTTTCCTTCTGACCTTTGGCTCTGGGCCTTCCCCGGGCTAGCCCATCATCAGAGAGGGAAGCACTGACTGCCCGCCTGCCAATCTGTGCTCAGGCCAAAGATTCTGCTGGGAGGCTGACAATGATCAAATGCCCAGGGCTGGCCCTGTGCCATATGTCAGCTCAACACGCTGTCTGAGAGGCTGCAGATGGAGACCTGGGGAGACCAAGTGTGCCGCATGCTGCCCGGCAGAACTAATAAGCAAGACCCAGTGCCCAGGGTACTTGCCCTCCGTCAGCCTCACTGAGTTCTGCTCATCCATCTCCTTATCTCCCTGGCAGAACCTAAGAATTCAATCTCTGAGCTGAATAGAGCTTTTTAAAAATCTAACATTTGAACACGTTCAAGGACAAGGGATTCATGAATAGTAGTATTAAATGGCTGATTATCACCAACAGCCAGGCACATATTGTCTCTTTGGGGATGGACTACAGTTTTCCCTGTTCTACACATGGGGAAGGTACAGAGCAGTTTGCGAAGTGCTAAGTCCCACCATGACAGTCTGAACCCAGAACTCCCGAGGTGAACTCTGCATCGTACTGCTTCCAGGGACCTTCCATAACAGCATATTTTCCCTTTAAAGGAAAGCTCTTCCTGCAATGAGACAAAAATCTATCTTTCTATAGTGTTCCTCTCAGCCCCTCCTTTTCTCTTATTTGATCCTTTCCAGACATAGATAAAGATGCTCAATACAATCAATTGTAATACTTTAAGATAAAGAATAATTAGAGCAGATAAGAGTAAACTATGTCGCTTTGCCTTTGTTCTCAGACAGCCTCCCTTGATAGTTGGAATGGGGCTCGAAATGTTTTTCTTTCTCCCTCTTTGCCCTTTCTTTTATTCTTTTCTTTTTTTTTCTTTTTCTCAAGCATCATGTTAATATAAGCCAGAGCTTTGACAATTGTGCAGCTAATTTCTAAATGATTGAAATAATTTATTGTTATTTCAGTCAAGGAGAGTTCCTACAGCAGCTAGGACAGCTGGTAATGGTACCCATAGAATGGGTATTTATTCATCACACAAAAAGCTTGACATTCAGTGGAAATTACCATCAAGAAAAACACGGGGGTGGAGAATAGAAACGTATCTTTTGATTTACAGTCAGGTCAAAGGACAAAATCATTCTGATTGAAACTACATTGTGTTATATAACCCTGTCTGTCCTCACATTCTCCTATGCAACTTTGTTTTGTGAGACCTTGTGATCCCCCGCAAACAGATATATGTTCTGTAGTGTTTCCTATTTAAGCACGTTGCTAGCTCAATTATGGTTTCTCTCTTCTGTCTTGTTTTTCTGTTTTATTTTGTTTGTTTTTTTAACAGCTTTCGTGGAGCTAAACAGAATTACGTGAGCGAATCACACACATGGAGAAATCACTAACCATGAAGCTGTTGCTAAAGCCAGCAGAGAATATCCATTTTGAATGCACCATATTAGAGTCTATCCACCCACTTGCTTCCATAGTGAAGTTCAGTACCAGTAACACAAACAGATGTGCTGTTCTTAGACTGACACTCTTAACACATTACTTTTCCATTGTGTTCTTCCAGGGTTAGGGTGGGGGTGGGTGCTTAGTCAGCCCCTATCCCTACCAACCTTGGCCATGCCCAACCATGGCCAGTAATGACCAGTACTCAGCCTGCTCAACCTTGCACAGACCCTGAGCAAGGCAAAGCTAGATGACGGTGTGTTAGGAGATTTGATTTCACCAGTGTTGAAATGGAAATCCACGTGATGCTCCCATGCTTGCTCTATGCTTGGATTTAGCTCCCAAAGTACCCTCAGGAACATCAGGTAGCAGCCCCTTAACAAATTCCCACTGGGTGTGGCCAGTCTGTCTCTTTGGCCTTCAAAGAGGTCCCAGGCTGTCAGGTTCAACCCCAGCTATACCTGGCCTAGAAGGCACCCCAGCCTTTCATCCTACTCTCTCCCACCATAACTTGGCCAACTAACTCTGAAATTTTTGCCTCATTCCATCAGATACCTTTCCAAAAACCTGGGAGGTCTTGCTGTATCCCAAGAATAAATCTCCTTGATCTAAATGATAGATCTTATCATACTGCAGGGATACCAGCTAACCAAGGTTCATTAATTTCAGCATCCCTTCTATCTCAAATTGAATCTTCTCTAGTCAAAGCTGATAGTTTGAATATTTCACCCTTTCCTAGATTTCTTTTTATCTAAGCTGGTTTTCCCCAACCCAACCTGCAAGAAGCCCCCAATGCCACCAGCATCCTTTCTTCTCCCTTGTAAGCTCCATGCATTTGTGAGGATGCCAGCCAGCATCAGGGGCTTGCCATATGGCTCAGAATCTGGTCAGTTTGTCAGCGGCGTTAGAACACCGACAGCTGCCCAGAGGACCTCTCCCATTTTGGCAATCAGCCCCATGAGACCTGACTGATTTAGGAAACAGATGGAATTTTATGGACCATTGGGTTAAAAACTATTGGGCACACAGCCGACTAGAATACAGCCACGTGTCTGTAAATGCATCAGAAGCAGGGATCACATCTGTGTTACTCATCCATGTTTATGGTACCTAGCACAATGCCTGTCAAATAGGAGACACAAAGAATATTTGTTGATTGAATAAATGGATGGATGAACTGAGATCCACAGTATATCACAACAGCTGTAAACAGGCTCTGAAGTTAAATAAACCTAGCTGTGAATCCTGATTGCATTATGTACTAGGTTCATGACCACAGGTAAGAAATGTAACAGGTTCAGCTGCCTCATCTGTAAAATGAAAATAATAGTATTTATAAATATCTTGTGGTATGGTTGCTAGGTTCTTGGTATAGTGCCAGGGACAAAAGAACCAAATATAGCTTAAATATTGTTATAATTAGTCATCTATTTAATATGCTTTGATATATAACTAGCCTCATGTTCTGGATTTAGGGATTTTTTTCTATGTCCAAATTCTATTTTTGCCCTCCTCTTTATGCTTATCTTAAACCTATTCTAGTATATGCTGATTTAAATATATGTAAAAATCTTTTTTTTCCGATAAAAAATAAATGTTGGACTGAGAAACTGACATCAGCATGAAGGAATCTGTAATTCTTGAATGTTGGATTGTAATAACTTCTGATTTTGGCTATATTTTCCTTAATTCCCAAATAAGACTCAAACATTTCCTCATCCCCCCAAAATTAAATAAAATATTTTACTCAAATCATATTTGAATTATTGCCTGATCTAAGAGAACAAATCTAAATTAAAGGGTTGACCCATATATTACATATCAAGTCCTGATGCAGTGATTCTCACAACTGTCTCTTGACATGAAGCTAGGTCTAGTCCAATGAAAACATGGAAGCATCTGCTATAGGATGTGCACATGAGGCCAGGGGTCAGTGTATTAGTCTGCTCTCACACTGCTATAAAGAACTCCTTGAGATTAGGTAATTTATAAAGGTTTAATTGACTTACAGTTCCACAGGGCTGGGGAGGCCTCAGGAAACTTACCATCATGGCAGAAGGGGAAACAAATATGCCCTTCTTCACATGGTGGCAAAAAGGAGAAGTGCCAAGCAAAGGGGGAAAAGCTCCTTATAAAACCATCAGATCTCATGAAAACTCACTCACTATCATGAGAATGGCATGAGGGTAACTGCCCTCATGATTCAATAACCTCCCAGTGGGTCCTTCCCAGGAGACATGGGGATTATGGGAAATACAATTCAAAATGAGATTTGGGTGGGGACACAGCCAAACCGTATCAGTCAGTATTATAAGACATGACTCTTAATCACCTACACACCGTGGCACAAAATCACATGGGAGGGGGAGAAGGCCACACAAAGGATAATGCACCAGATATTTTCAGAGAAAGGTAAGTGTATGTATATATTTCTTCCAAAATGAGACAGGGAAAAGTACTTTTTTTTTTTAAACAATGACACCTTAATGGTCAGGAGGTTATTAATGAAGACTTGGTTAAGACAAACAGACAAAAAGACTATGAAATAGAAATAGAATTGTTCCTCTCAAGTTCCACTGCTGAAAATTACCATCCAACCCTGTGATTCTATTGATTTGCCTGCACTATATCAAATTTTAATCACCATAAACCATAGACTAATACAGTTCTGCCATCAACAAGTGCTCTTAGAAGAAGACTTTGATTACTTTGGACACCTCTGAAAATCTTTTAAGACTGTCTAGCTTGGAAACTGGAGATTCAAGGAAGCATCTGAATGTCCCTCCTTTGGTTTTGTAAAAAAGGAGGTATCATATTCTGCTTTTTTAAAGTTAGGACTTTCAGAAGAGACACTAACACAAGAAAAAAGATAGACTTGGAGGGGTAAGGTAAGCAACTCCAGACAAGGGTAATTACTACAAGAATTCCTTGAGAAGAAATGACAAATCCACTTTTGTTCCCTGGGTTAAATTACAACAGGTTAACTTTATGCTCTCAGCACATCTTTGTCCTTTAGAAGATGTTCTCTGGATGTTCCCAAAACACAAAGCCTAACCAGATAAAACCAGCATGTTCTAAACTGGCTGAACAACCATACTAGTTGTTCAAGATGTAATAAATGGTCCTTTAAAAAGGAAAAAAAAAAAGCTATTATGGTTACAACAAGGAAATTTGCATACTTTGTCTCATACAGGGATTTACAATGCCCATAAGCTTATTGTAGACCCAGGATACTCCTATAATTATGAAAAATGTTTCTTTAATTTGACTTAATCCAGAGTTTTCTATGGAATATCTATTAACATCTTAAGAACTAGTGTTCTGTAAATCAAGGTTTGTGACATGTTGGGTTAAATATTATTGTTTCTGTGACTAATTTCTTTGGACATTCCTAACATCATAGCTTTGCATTAAGAGAAGAGGAGATATGTATAAACCAATGCACACCTTGAATAATCAATTTATTCTTCAAATTTTCCAGGAAATTCAACCACAATCACGTTATTTCACAGATCATGTCAAGAATATAGTCAACTCTCATTTCTCATTCTACTGTGTAGAACAACAGTAAATACTTTAAAAAGCATAATTTACCACTTGCAGACCCAGATTAAACTGACACCCTTGTACTTGGCTACACACCAAGCACATAGTGTGAGCTACAGAAAGGCACATGGCCCCCAGAACCTAGTGACCCTGGATTTTGTATTTATAGTTCTGTCACTGATTAGTTCTGTGTTAAGCTTTCTGAAACTCACATCCTTATTGATCACTGGATAATTCCACAGCCATTCTAATGTATGGAGTTCTAAGAAACTACAAGTTTTGAATTCAAAGGTACTAAGTTGGCTTAAAATCTTAAATGTTCCTGCCTTACAGAACATGTAGTCAGAGGCTCTGTTTTAACATGTACCAAGAGGAGGATCCATTAAAAATCATTTTAAGTATAGAAAGTTATTTGAAAACAGAGAAGGAGACACAAGGAAAGCCAGAGGCAACCCTAGCTATATTACAGGTGGTTTTTGGTTTGTTCTTTCTAACTTATCTACATTTTCTAATGTTTTTGCAATGAACAGATATTACTGCTACAATAACAAAATAGACCAAGAAGTGTATTTTATTTAGTGTATTTATTTATTTATTTATTTATTTATTTATTTATTTAATTTTAGAGACCAGGGTCTTGCTCTGTCATCCAGGCTGGAGTGCAGTGGCATGATTGATCATAGCTCACTACAACCTCAAACTCTTGGGCTCAACTGATCCTCCTGCCTCGGCCTCTCAGAGTCCTAGGATTACAGGCCTAAACCACTGCACCTGGCCTATTTTTGCTTCTTGGTCTTCTGATATCTTAAGCAGGCTGCTACTGATTGTGGGTAGCTAATCAAACATTTCAGACTACGTGTACAAACCCATATCATCAATGTCGGGATACATAGGACTATGCCTTAGAAAGCATGACCCCTAGCATCAGCTCTACAGGTAGCTAACCAAATATATGGCAGAAATTTGAGTGTGAATGCCTTAAGAATTGCCTTTCAAATTAATGGAGGAAAAGATAGAGAAAAAGGAGGAAAGGAAGGAGAGCTGGGGAAATGAAGGCAATATCGCTGCCCTGTCAAGCCACCATTTCACCATTATTATTTAGGTTCCAGGTTTTCTGAAGACCCTGCTAACATACAGGCTCCTGGGATACATGATATTTTATCAGCTCCTTGCCTACTAAGAGCATAACCCTGTAAAAAATCAGTCCTAAGATATTCAGGGTATAAATAAATAAATAAATGCTAACAAGAAAGGAGACTTATGCAAATAGTGCAGCTGGTGTTCTGAGCCCTGGCTGTACATTAGTATCACCTGGAGGACTTCAAATTAGTGACACCCAGGCCCCAGCCCAGACTGAATGAGCATCTCTAGGGGTGAGACCCAGGCTTGGAGTTTTTGAAGTTCCTCAGGTAATGCTAATGTGTAGTCAGGATTCAGAAACACACAGGCTAGGCGAAACAAAGGAATCAAAGTAAATCCTACTGACTTTTCAATTTTGCTGAATGCTCCTCAGAAACAAAAACAGTTTAATTTTTTTGAACTATTTGAAGATTTTGAGATTGTCGCTAAGAGTGAAACGGAGAACATATTAAATTCACCCTTATTGCTAAGCATCACCCTAAAATACCCACTCCTCCCTTGCTTAGTAAATCCAGGCTGCTGAATGAAATGGTTGTCTTTCTTTAGTAAGTGAAGACAATCTGGGATTTCACAAAGGATCTGAGGACAAAGATGGAGAAGGCGTCAGTGATTGGGCCAAATTAGAAAAGAGCCCAGGGCCTTCCTGGAAAGGTGTTATTAAAGCAAGAATCTGATACCAGTTACTTTGTTGTAATTGGACTCCTTCCAGAACTAAGTGCAGTAATAAAGGCTCTGATTTGTTGAGTTTAGTTATCGGAGACTTTACCACAAATATTCGGGAGAACATTCTATTGTTACATTGCTATCTGTCTAGTTCTTCTTTCAAAAAGGTAAGGATGAAAAGATTAGTTTCACCCTGGCCCTCTCCTTGGAAGAATGAGCAAGCTTCTGCGTTCTTTCTCAGCCATACCTCATCTTCATCCCTAAATATGCCCTCCACCCTCCCACCTTCCACATAAGTTAACAGCACATTTGGATTTCTAAGGGTGAACTAAAGAAAATTCCCACCCATGTGTTTGTTTGAAAGGTTGGGTACATCAAGGGATTATTAAACGGAAGTTATCCCAGCGTGGGAGAAGGATGAAGGGAAGGGCCTGACTGGGGAAGAACAGTGGGATTTCCCAAGATAAGAGGAAGGAAAGGAGGAATAATTCCACTAGGAGCTTTTCCCCCACTAGGCTTAATAAACATTCTCCTCTTGCAGCAGGAAGTATCAGAGCATCTGTGCATACAGGACATTCTGTTATAACCTATGCACAATTTTGTATGAATGGAGTGGCTGCTCACACACAGGCCTAGAGTAAGAGAAATAACACAACAACCCCATACCAAGAAGCTTGCTTCTAGACTTCCATAAGACGCCAGATCTTTTGGAAAGTGGCCAGCTATAATTATATACCTTATAAATATAAAAACAAGTGATATTCTTGCTCCTGAGTTTCATGGACCAAATGTACGCCCATTACACATATTACCCAAAAGATTTGCAATGGTAAAAGTAATAGATTGAAGGCATTGGAAAAAAATGTACTACAGCAGAAAAACTACATCAGAGAATCTCTAGCTCTTGCAGAAGAAAATCTGGACTACTAATCATTCCCTTCTAAAATATTCCACTATGTTACAATAAAAATGACACCAAGCACAGTGATAAGATCACCATTTAACTGAAGTAACACTTAAGTTCTACCTATTTTTGGCAATGTCTTTGATTTTGATAGTGAACATATTCATGGTGGTCATAATTCTCATCAAATTTATGGGGAAAAAAGCTGGAGAGTTTGGAGTGCACGTTAAGAAATGTTGGTGCAATCAGAATACATTTGCCTTCTTTTTTTAACAAGCAAAATCCATCTTTTTCCTCAAAAAAACCCTAAGGAGAAAATTATTTTCTGCTGAAAAAATTTTATTTTCACCAAAAAATAGGAATAAAGATGAAATGAAAATTTATACTGACAGGCCTTTAGTTTTCTACACTACTAGATTTTTTCCTTAATAGGAGTCTGTACTGCTTTAAGAATTTCCAAAAATTAATTTTCTCAAGTTCACAACCCAACTTGTTGAAACGTCCTGTTGAAAAGGGTTTTAAGTCTGGGTGACATCCTTTCTGAAGTGTCTTCTTCCTCCCTTTTTAAAAAAGCCTTACATGATTTTTTTTTCCAGAACACAATTTGGAAAGCTTCCAAGGATATCAAAGAAAACTAGAAGCTAAAGAGAATGCTTAAGTATCAAATATGAAAACAAGGAATTCATGCGATGTTTTGTAATCACCTCTATGTGGGATATTCAGTGGAGAACAGACTTAAAAGATTATATTCTAGCATATAGTCTATCACTTGAATAGATCAATGTAATAAGCAGGTCGAGTGTGCACATAACACAATCTATTTTCTTCAAGATAGTGTGTTTCTATGTGTGGTATCTGAGTTGGTTGCATCATACTCATCTGGATAGCTTTATAAACATGCAAGCCTAAACCTTACCTGGGGCATAATGAATTAGTCTCTCTTGAGTGGAGGAAGCTGGGAACATGCATTCTACAAACTTCCCAAGTCACTCATAGGAGCTCTGGAGTCAGAAAAATCCTGTGCTAAGTGCATTAAGAATTCTTAACAGAGTCAAGAATGCCCTTACAAGGCTGCTATGGCAACAGTCCACACTTATTTTTAATTAACCTTTGCCTCTACCACCATACATTTATTGAACACATTATGCAGGAACAATTACCAGAGTCTTGCCATGTATCCAGTCATACATAATGCCAATGTATGAGGCAGGCACTGACAATACTCCCCATTTTACAGGTAAGGAAGCCCAGGCATAGAAATGCTGAGTGATTCACCCAATGCTACACATCCTATAAGAGACGAAGCCAGGCTTTGAAACTAGGGCACCTGATCTTGACGGCTACATGCTTAGCCAGCTCACTTCATAATCCCAAGTAAATAAAAAATAAAGGATTAAATCCACAATTATTTGTTCCCAAGGCCACTGTCTTTCTACTATGCATGTAAGGTCAAGGTTGACACTGACTATAGCAACAATGTCAGTGCTTCTCAAAGTAGGGGTCCCTAGACTGTGTCAGAATCACCAGAGTTAGGAGCTTGTTAAAAATCAAATTTGTTGGTTCTAATGCAGACCACTACACCAAGTTTTTGGTGGACAGAAGACTAAATATCTGCATTTTACTATGTTCCCCTTGGTGACTCTTATACACAGGAAAGTTTGAGAACCATATTAGGCAAACATAAATTTAAAGCAGCAATATTAAGCTTGCAAATAACGGGGCCGAGCACAGTGGCACACACCTGTAATGTCAGCATTTTGAGGGAATAAGGTGGTGGATCACTTGAGCTCAGGAGTTAGAGACCAGCCTGGACAACACGGAAAAACCCCATCACTACAAAAAATACAAAACTTAGCCAGGCATGGTGGTGCACACCTAGAGTCCCAGCCACTCGGGAGGCTGAGGTGGGAAAATCGCTTGAGCCTGGGAGGTCGAGGCTGCAGTGAGCTATGATTGGGCCACTGCACTCCAGCCCGGATGACAGGACAGCACTCTGTCTCAAAAAAATAAATAAATAAATAAAAATTAAAAACAAACAAACAAACAAAAAAACACAAAGAGACAAACATAAAACCTAAACTTGCAGATAATGAGGTTCATGGCCTAAATTAGAATTAAGACAAGGTTAAGACAGTGGTTCCCAAGTGATCTTCTCAAATTGTGAACTTAAGAGAACTTGAGGTGATTTATCCCCAGGGGCACTGGGCAACGTGTGGATATATTTTTGGTTGTCATAACTGGGTGGATGCTACTGGTATCTAGTGAGGAGAGGCCAGGGATGCTGCTAAACAGCTTAGCCTGCTTGGGCTGCCATAACAAGTGTCATACTACAGTCTGGGTGGCTTAAACAACAGAACTTTATTTTCTCCCAGTTCTAGAGGCTGGAGGTCCAGGGTGCAAGCATGGTTGGGTTCTGGTGAGGGTCCTCTCAATCATTTCCATGGCAGTCTTCTTGCTATGTCCTCACAAGGTAGAGAGAAAATAAACTCTCTCCTGTCTCTTCCTATAAGGACGCTAATCACATCATAGGTGCCCCACCCTCATGACCTCATCTAAACCTTATTATCTCCCAAAGGCTCTATCTCCATGTATGATCATGCTGGGGGCTAAAACTTCAACATATGAATTAGATGGGAGCGGGGTACAATTCAGCCCTATCAACATCCCACAATTCATAGGACAGTCCCCAGGAGAAAGGGTTATCTGGCCTAAAATGTCAATGGTGCTGATATTGAGAAACTGCAGATTAAGGTATTAGGAAGGAAAACAGTCCTCTCTCCAACCTTTCCTCAGTAGCAGCCTCCTCTTGGTAGGGATAATTTTTTATATTGTCTTCCCTACCTATCATTCCCACCATTGTTCTAATATTTATGCCTAGCAGAAGTAGTCTCCTTTCATATAAACAAATTCTACTGGTTCTTCATGGCCTAATTAATACTTCTAAAAGCCTCTTGTGAATGCAGTGCTCCCATCCTTATTGCCCTTGATCTAAAATTCAGTTTTACTAGAAGATTGGATGACGTGGAATCCAAAAATTTAGAGCTGAACTCAGAGCCCATTTGATCTATCCCAATATTTTCTCACAGGGAAAACTGACATTCAGAGAGGCTATGGGAGAGTAGAAAGTGCACAGGATTTTGACTCAGATCAGAGTTTGAACTAAGCTTTGTCTCTTACCAAATAGCAGACCTTACAAAATTTTAACCTATTCATGTCATGATTTTAACCTATTCATGTCTCCCTAACCCACTTTACAAGGCATTAGTGGGGATGTATAAAAATGCATATGTGATGTGCCCCATTTGGTCTCTAGGGCACAGGAAATATATAACACAAGTCTGGTCTCTTTTCTGTCCCAGAGATTTTCAAAGGCTTGTCTGAAATATTAAATGAATGATATCTCATACTTAATGTGTCGTAAATATAATGCTAGCCAAGTTTTAACTTTAAGCTCTTGACAAGCGTTTGAGTTGGGCACTATTATTAACTTCTTTTATACAGATGAGAAAAATTGATGAGAGGTATAGGATTCTCTCAAGGTTTCACTGCTAATTAACGACAGTGCCTTATTTTATAGCTCTGAGAGCCCAATTCCAGGGCATTCTACACTTAACCACACACTATACTACTCAACCGACTGTGACAAGACCACAGATCTCCTGATTCCAGTTAAGTGTTCTTTCTATTAGGCCATGAATGTTAGCTTTGTCTCCCCCAAGGAAATGTTAAATGGTAAAAGCAGAGGTCATCTCTTGTGCTTATTCTGTTTCCCCTTCAATGCTGAGCTCATAGACAGTGCTCAATAAATATTTGCGATTGACTGATAAGAGAAAAGAAATAAATAGCAGCCTGAAAAATGGATTTCCTTGCTGTGTCAGTTTGAATTAATACTATTATGGGTTGAAAATCACACCTTGTTCTCCATTCTAAAGCTGGCCTACCTAAGTGGGGTGAAGAAGAGCTGTTTTACTTCCATCATTGTCTTACAATCTTATAAAAGCAAGCGATGCTTCCCTGAGTCAATGCTAAAGAACAGCATTTGTGTTCACCCAGGCCCAAGGCACGATTAAGTGAACTTTGGTTCCACAGGAAGGCTGCCTTTATTCAGTTTGGTTGTTAATACCTCAGGCCTACAAATTCATCTTTCCACCAATTGCAGATCCTAAAGGAAGGTTTAAAAAGGTGAAGGAAAAAGCATGAGCTTCAGTTCCTTATTGCAGGCCCCTCTCACTGCTAGACTCTGGTGGGTATTTAGGAGATGCATGGGAGAAACAGAAAGGAAAATTCTTGACTCCAGTCAGAGCTAAGGTCCCTTTGTTTTCTGCTCTGAGCTGTCTGGAGATTAATTAATAAGAGAAAAGAAGACGAGGATGATGGCAACAATGATGGGAGCCTTAGTCTAGGGCTTTCTCTGAGGCTGCTCATTCTGGTGTTTTGTTTGGCAGGGGAAGTGGTTTAAATATTTAAATTCATTCAATTATTCTCTTGTCTTCCAGAAGAGGGGAAGGTATTAGTATCTCCATTTAACATACAGGAAACAGAGAGGGGTAAAAAAGACAGAGACGGTATATTAATGGCCTAAAATTCTATCACCCAGTGGATCATCCTCTTGCTCAAGCCATGGCATTGGGAAGGCATGGTAGCTCCTTGGAAACAGAAGTGGTGCGTGTATTAAGGAACAAAAGCAAGATGGAGCCAGGTTCCACTGAGGATGGGGGTCACTGCATGTGTGTTGAAAGGGCATGAGATGTGAGCACTTGCTAAGTGGCTCATGGCTGGTTTGGAGTAATCAGTTTTTAGACTATGGTCCTGCGTTCCTGGCAGTGAATTCTCTAGAAGGTCCAGATGGCTGGGCAATACAACTAAGAAGACACTGGTCTATTGCTCCTGCCTTCTGGGCAACCCTGGAGCAGAACACATCAATTAACTGGGAGCTTTGAGAATAGACTCATGAATGCCCACTGACCACATCACCATACTGCCTCAAAAGGGTGGCCTAAAGGGGAATCACTTAGAAAGGCTGAGCTTGAGATATGGGCTAATCAGTGGAGGAGAATCACAAGGATGGCCCATGTGAAGACCTGCTGATATAGAAAAATAAATGAGGAGTTGTCATATGTGTGAACCTGTTACAAGAATATACAAACTTATTTTGCAGGCTACTAGTCCTCTTAGAGCCAGTCCTCTGCAAGTGCAGAAAGATGCAGAAGAAGGATAGTGCCACCTGCCCATGGAGGACTGCCTGAAAGACTGGTGTCTCCCTTTTGTTCTGGCTTCTGCCTTTTGACCTAGGAAAATGGCTCACCTCGGCATGTCTTGCTCCTCAGTGCTACTGACTGAGTTCCCCACCTCTTGCCTCTTCTGAATCAGGCCTTCGAGAACATCATGACCTCTCCTATTTTACCTAATCTTTGGGCTCAACTTATTTCTTGTGTGACCTTTGACATCTCCTTGGCCTCCCCATTCTGTCTCCATTTCTTTACTAAACACATTGCTTGCCTAACATATTATATTTTCAGACCTTTCTACACTCATGAGCTCTTCTCAGAAGCTATAGAACCTAATATCTTGGAGTTGCAAAACAGAAGTCACGGAGATCAAAAAACAATGGTGTTGCCTGTGGTATAAGAATTATAATTTTTAAAATTTCCTCTGTGGAAGATAAGGCTGCTTTTATATATTTTTTTGCAACCCAACATGAGCTTCTGAGAAAAATGACTTCATTATAAAAGGATATTGAGTATACTGTCAACAAAACTAACAACAAAACTGTCATATGTTGACCTTAAACTGCATCTCTTCAACTTCAAATCGTTGCACAAATTGGTCCTGCCCTACTCCTTCCTGAAAAATGAAGAACTACACAAGAGGAATCAAATATCCAGTCTGAACAGCAAAAGGACACCTCATCAAATAGCAAAAAGCAACTTCACCAATAATTTTTTTTGAAGTCTCAGGGTAGACAGAAACCTCAAAATTTTACCCACTGCGTGAATCCCTACACAGTTCACAAATATCCTGGCTCTTTCTCCTTCCACCCACCATGTAGGATTTACTTCCACAAGTACTTGAACGTAATTCTATCCAGGTAAACTTTCTTTAGTCCATGGATGTTAGGGGAAGCATGTGCCATTTTCCAATGAAAGCTTTAGAAGCTAGTGCATGTTTGGCCACATTGTTTGCCTCAGCCACAAATACTGGCATATTCCAGATAGTGGCCGCTTCATCAGTCTTGCAGAGAGGATGGTGGAGAGAAACCGGTGCTTCCAAGTAACCCTGGGACTCTCAATGGAAAGTTATGAAGAAAAATTAAGTCTATGCTATCTTAAGCCATTGAGGGTCAGGGTTGTCTATTACAAGATTACTTAGTCTATTCTGCCCCACTTACTTGGAATAATTTCAGATCATGGGGTGGAATTTTATGTCACAGGATAAAGAATCCCCCTAAGAGATGTCAAATATGCTTTCATAGCATTTAGATCACAAATTCCCGTAATGCCTTTTTTTCACTGCTCAACTGAACACCTGATTCTCCCTATAAAGTTCTATCTTCCTTCTTTATCCTTCATCAACTTTATCCAGTAAGGAGCTGGATCTGCAATGATCTATAACAAAGCCTGTAAGGAACATTCTTAGGGACAAACAGAAGTCTAACTTCGTCTCAATGTGTGAGCAGTCCTATGCCCAAATATGCAGATGGGCATCTTAGAAGGCATACTGATTAGCCCATGATAGCCAAGAACTCAGCAGAAACACCATTTACTTATTTAATTCTAAGATTTTCTTAAAACTGTGGAACTCATTTGTCCTAAAAAGGTATTGCAATTTTCTGCTTACCAAGACTCAAGGTAGACTACTCCTAGTTCACATTGTCATTTTTTTTTAGAAGTCCAGGCCAATGTCCATTGTTCTTTCTAATCACCCCATGGTTGTTAAGATTTCTGAGCAAATACTTGCAGGTCTTTTGGGTGATTATGCTATAACCAATAAACAGGTGGCAGAGAGACAGTGAGCAAATTACTAAACACCAAAATCAATCCTTTCCAGACTTTGCTTAAATGCTACTTTCTCAATATAACCTCTTCTGACCACCCTACTTAAAACTGTGACCCTATATGTCAGCCTCCCTTACTGCTCTACTTTTCCTGTTTCCATAGCACTTGTCATCTTCTATTACATAAGTTATATATTTATTTTGTCTATTGTTTATTATCTGCCTTCTATAATTAGAATTAAGCTCCCCAAGAGTAGAGATCTCTGTTTTGTTCATTGACACATCTCACATATTCAGAATACTATTGGCACATAGTAGATGCTCAGTTAATTTGGACTCTAGACTCATGTCTGTTACCAACTGCTAATGTCACATTTCTTAGAAAAGAAACTTGCCTTAGCTTCCTCACTGAGGTGTTCCAAGGACCAAGTATATATTGAGGAAAGTGTTTTCAAATAATATAAAACCATACAATACAAACGTATAAAAATACCTTATAAGATAAGGCCTGGCGTGGTGGCTCATGCCTGTAATCCCAGCATTTCGGGAGGCCAAGGCAGGCAGATTCCCTGAGGCCAGGAATTCAAGACCAGCCCGGCCAACGTGGCAAAACCTCTTCTCTACTAAAAAAATACAAAAATTAGCCAGGTGTGGTGGTTTGCGCCTGTAATCCCAGCTACTCAGGAGGCTGAGACAGGAGAATTGCTTGAACCCAGGAGGCAGAGGTTGCAGTGAGCTGAGATCACGCCACTGCACTCCAGCCTGCAGCCTGGGAGACAGAGTGAGACTCTGTCTCAAAAACAAAACAAAACAAAAAAACCTTATAAACACTAGATGTTATTGTCAAGTGCAGCTATAACCAATGCTTCATTTATTCATATAACCGCCAACTTTTTTGCAAATATCCTAACATTAAAATGCAGCAGGGGAAGTGAGAAATAAATTGATGATGAATTTTTCCCGACGGTCTTTGTCGACAGGGTAAATTGCTGTATGTAATAGATGACCTGGCTGTAGTTGATGCAGCAGGCAAAAGACCCGAAAGTAGTCAAAAAATTATTTAGACTGGGGAAAGTCTAGCTCATAATTACGTGATATATTCAATATCATTATTGTCCTCACTTCCCACTCCTACTTTATTTACTCATATAATTTTCAGTGAATATTTTATTATCAAAAAGAGAAAGGGATTTTAAAAATAGCTATTCCCTCAGCAGCAGTGGCAACAGGCTGCTTCAGAGAATGGCAGCTGCTCAGGCTAGGAAATGAAATTTCTCAGACAGAGCATAAAAAGGAGTGGTCGATGTAATACTCATCCTTCATTCTCTATGAGCCCTTTTAGCAAACAAGGTCTCCTGTGATTTTTCACATCCTGGAGGGGAATGCTATAGACTTTGGTGAATAAATCACAGCAGAGGGAAAACCTTGCACAACTCTGCATCCACTACCTAAAGGAACAGATGGAATGAGGAGTATCACTAGTTGGATCTCGACTCACTGCAACAGCCTGGACCAGACTCTAGAGTTCAAGGAACTCCCTGATGAAGTCAGGTTTATTTTATGTAATACAATTGAAAAGTTTGAAGATATTTTTAAATAAGGTGAAAGAATCTGTATCAGAAACAAAATAATTAGTGATGACCTAGACCATCATAAAATTCATCTCTGGGGTGTGCAATAATTGGCATAAATAATGAGTAAAAATTAAATGTAAAGCCTTCAAAACAAATGAAAGTATTTCTGCTTCCCTTCTCTCAAAAACAAAACAAAACAAAACAAAAAAACTAACAAACAAACGGAAAAAAAAAAACATTTGGCATCGTTATGGGTGAAATTGTGTTCTCCCAGAATTCATATGTTGAAGCCCTAACTCCATAATTGTATTAGGAGATAGGGTCTTTAAACAGGTGATTAAGTTCAAAGGAGCTATGAGGATGGGCCCTAATCCAATCTGATTTGTGTCCTTATAAAAGAAAAACTGGACGCAGGAGGAGACTCTAGGGATGTGCGAGCATAGAGGAAAGACCATGCGAGGGCGCCGTGAGATGGCATCTGTAAGCCAAGAGAGGCCTCAGGAGAAACCAAACTTGCTGACACTTTGGTCTTGGATCCCTTGTTTCCAGAGCCATGAGAAAATCAACTTCTGTTGTTTAAGCCACTCAGTGTGTGTTGTTTTGTTTGTTTGTTTGTTTGTTTGAGACAGAGTTTTGCTCTTGTTGCCCAGTCTGGAGTGCAATGGCTGCAATGCAGCCCAGTCTCGGCTGACTGCAACTTCTGCCTCCCAGGTTCAAGAGATTCTCCTGCCTCAGCCTCCCAAGTAGCTGGGATTAAGGCACCCACCACTATGCCCAGCTAATTTTTGTATTTTTCGTAGAGAAGGGATTTTACCAAGTTGGTCAGGCTGGTCTCGAACTCCTGACCTCAGGTGATCTGCCTGTCTTGGCCTCCCAAAGTGCCGGGATTACAGGCGAAAGCCACTGCACCCGGTCAGTGTGTGGTATGTTTTAATGGCAGCTCTAGCAAATGAATACTGTACCTATACTTTAGAACTGTCCATATTTTACCAAATAGCTTTAGAACTAATGCCAGAAAGAACAATAACTGCCAACAAAATAAATAATTAGACTCGGTAAATAAGCATTGACTCAATAGTAATTATGCATTTCTGGATTGCCTTTGACAGGATCACTTGGAAGCTAATGGTATTTAGCAAGCTGACTACCATGACATATGACAATGTATCCATTTTTTGACATTAAAAAATAATAAAGTTGATCCAAAGTAATCACCTTTCACTTTTATCATGTTAAACCCTTGTTTTCCATAACCAAATTTTACTTAGAAATGTCTAGAATTCAAGCCTCCCCCATCCCTAAGGCCTGATCTTATAAACTGGAATTTCCTAAAGTATGTTTCTCAGTGACTAAGTACGTTGCGAATCTCCAAAAAGTGGCTGTCTTAGTGTGTTCAGGCAGCTATAGCAAAATATCTTAGCCTGGGTAATTTATCAACGACAGAAATTTATGGCTCACAGTTCCACAGGCTGCAAAGTCCAAGATCAAGGGACCAGCAGATTCAGTGCCCAGTGAGGGCCTTTTCCTCATAGATGGTGCCTTCTAAGTGTCCTCACAGAAGGTGCCTAAGAGACAAGGCAGCCTCTTTTATAAGGGCATTAATATCATTTATGAGGATGAAGCCCTCATTACCCAGTCACTTCCTAAAAGCCCCACCTCTTAATACTATCACTCTGGGAATTAGGTTTCAACATAAGAATTTTGAGGAGTGCTATTGTCTGACTGTTTTTCTCTCCAAAATTTACATATTGAAATCCAATCCTCAAAGTGGAGGTATTAAGAGGTGAGGTCTTTGGGAGGCGAGGAGGTCCTGAAGGTGGAGTCCTTGTGAATGGGATTGGTGCGCTTATAAAAGAGGACTGACAGAGCTTGTTTGCCTCTTCCATCATATGAGGAGACAGCAAGAAGCCTCCATCTTTGAAGCAGAGAGCAAGCCCTCACCAGACACTAAATCTGCTGGTGCCTCGATCTTGGACCTCCCAGCCTCTGGAACTGTGAGCAATAAGTTTCTTCTGTTTATAAATTGCCCAGTCTAAGGTATTTTGTTCCAGCACCATGAATAGACCAAAACAGAGGGTCACAAACATTGAGACCATAGCAGCGGCTGTAGCATGAGGAGATTCCCACATATATATGTATTTGAACCCATGCTTCCCCAAACCCCCGTTGTTGTTTCCCCCACCACCCCCCAGAGCATCTCATGAGAAGATATTCTGGAAAATGTTTCTTATGCCAGAGCTTCACAAACTTGAACATTACAGAAATGACCTGTGAATCCTGTTAAAATGCAGACCCAAGAGTCTATATTTCCAACAAGCTCCCAGGTAAGACCAATGCTGCCTGGGGGCACACATAGAACAATGAGACCTTTTGCTTTCTGTAACCAGCATGCTCATGCCCTGGGTAGCAGTGTCTGTCCCTTGATATACTTGAACACACTCATCTGCAAACACTGACCTGCCTTCAGAGGTTGGGAGCGAAGCCACTAATGTCGATGACCGTGACTCTAGGGATAAACATGATCTTCCTGCCTCTGTATATTGTCCTCACTTTGGATGGGGCTTATTTACTACAGCACATGGTTTCCAGTAACTGCTTAGAAATATCCTGCATTCTTACTATCTTTTCATTTAAAAAATTAAGCAGGAGATCACTAGGCAGAGAATTGGGAGAGAAATTCCTGGCTCAATGTATTGCAGGAGTTAAGGCTCAGAGGTAGCAAGTGTGCAATATGTCAGGGCACTATGGAAAGATGCTAACTGTATGAAAGATTTATTTTCCTTTCTTAAAAGGGATTAATGGAAAGTAAAACTAAAGGTAGATTGATCATAGGCCTATCCAGAGAATTCCAACAAGAATTTAACCCTCAGCTATTAAGCGCTTATGGAGTATGAACTATGTCCGCTCTGTGGTTGCATTTAATAACTGGTCCTCAACTTTATGGGTGATATGAATGGAATGGGCCTTGCCATCTTCCAGTGTCTTCTTTATACACATCTTCTCCAGCATATTCTCTACCTACCTGTTCCTGTCCTCTTTCATTAGAGGCTTATTTTAAGCTAGCTGCCTTAGTTAAAAAGAAATCAGTGGGAGAATCCTAATTAGGTATTACTATTTGAACAACAGTAAAATGTCCCCTTCTGGAAGTAGTTTCAGAATACTAGGGCATCTTTTTAAATAGTGAGATTATAAGCAGCAGTAAGATCACAGAGAAAAAAAAAATTGTGACAAGAGGTTTTTACCAAATTACTGTGGGGAGAGAAACTGTTGAGAATTTTGAGTAATGGTAATTTCAGAGATAAATTCAGTTAAGAAACAAACCTTCACCTATTTCTTGTGTTATCTGCTGACTGCATTCATATCAAATAATGTGTGTTCCAAATGAACTGATGTAGGTATAGGGCACTGAGTGTGCATATGCATATTTATTTAAAGATTATAGAGAAGTGATTCTCAACCAGGGATGATTTTGTCCCCCAGGAAATATCTGGATCATTTTTGGTTGTTGCAATTAGAGGGAAGTGCTCCTGGCTTCTAGTGGGTAGAGGCCAGAGATGCTACTAAACATCCTATAACACACAAGACAACCCTTCACAACAAAGAATTATCAGGACTAAAATGTCAGTAGTGAGGAGGTTGAGAAACCCTGATACACAATAATCTTATTTTACTCCTTAAGTACTTTGATTTCCATAATCTCTACCCAAGGAAAAAAAACTCATTCAAAGTAGAGGAAATGAGGCCGGGCCAGTTAGCATCTCTCCATAGTGCCCTGACATATTGCACACTTGCTACCTGTGAGCCTTAACTCCTGCAATACATTGAGCCAGGAATTTCTTTCCCAATTCTCTGCCTAGTGATCTCCTGCTTAATTTTTTAAATGAGTGTTAGTATTCTAACACTTTGGGAGGCTAAGGTGGGCAGATCACTTGACCCCAGGAGTTCCAGACCAGCCTAGGCATCATGGCAAAACCCTGTCTCTACAAAAAACACAACAAATTAGCCATGCAGTCCCAGCTACCCAGAAGGGATCACCTGAGCCCAGAAGGTCAATGCTGCAGTGAGCCATGATCATGCCACACCACTGTATGTTAGCCTGAGTGACAGGGTGAAACCCTGGCTCAAAAAAAAAAAAAAAAAAAAAAAGAGACACAGAAAGAAAGACAGACAACAATGACAACAATCGAAGTAGCGATCATCAGCTCCTTCGAAGTCATGATCATCAAGCATAGTTTTCCAGAATGAAAAGCAATTAAAAGTACACCACCAGAATAGCTACAAGTACATTAAGTTTCTGCAAAATTATACATGTTTTTGAACAAAACAGAACATTCACTGCTTTGAAAGTTGTTGTAGAAGCGATAAGTAGAAAATTATGAGCAACTACATGAAAATGAAAACCTCTCTTCATTTCTAAGACAACTTGTCATGGAAATTGTCATTTCACGCTAAAGTTCTCCAAGATAGGCTAAAGAAATATTAGCTTTGATGCTTTTCGTTGTGGATGTACACTTGGACTCTATCAGGCAAGAAAATCACTTGCACACATGTCATTAGTATTTTTTGACCGTGAGAAACTCTTCAGAATTCTGAGGCAGTCATTTATTAACAGTATTTGAGCAAAAGCCTTTCTTCCACAATTCTAGTTAAGCAATTGGGACAAAGGTTGAATTGTTTTCATCTTGAGAAAAGTAATTGTTACTCTCAAATTTCCAGGCAAAAATCAAACCAAGAGAATTCATTGGACATCAGCAGTTTTTCCCCTGAAAACTATCAGGAGAAATAATGGTCAATAATATAACCTATATTTGTAGCAAGGCACTAGAATCTACAAGCATATAGAATAACCGTTTGAAAGGTTTCTGGTGACAGGAGGACCATGGGGAGAAATAAGAAAGGTCAGACAGAGTCTGTGAAGTCAGTGAGAGAGGAAAATGGTCCTCAAGGCAAAATTCAAGGGCAGAAAAACAAGAGTTTAACTTATGAATTAGAGCTGCATCAGGAAGAGCTGTGAGCAGAGGCAACCAGGTTCCCTGCTTTCCCTTTCTTTTCCCACTTTCCTCCAACATATGAACTCTCCAGTCTTCCTTGTTCTGCTTGTCTGAACTTTTGACCCTGCGGCGACAGCCTGAATCTCTCCTCCTGCACTGTATCTAGCTGTATTCCCCGTGTCCTCTGCAAGAATGGGGCCCGCTTTAATTCCTTATTGCCCCATTATTTGTGTGTTTGGCTTTGGCTTTTTCAGCTGTGAACCTTACCTGGAGGGGTATGATTCACCCTCCACAGTGGTCACTGAGATGGCGGGGTTCCCACCTGAGCCCCTTCCCCAGACGGGGATGAGGCTAAGACGTTGGCCAGCCAGGATGGACACAAACACCTGGCTGGCATGGTGTTTACAGAATAGGCACAGGAAAAGTGTGCCAATTTGGATGTAAATTGCAAATTAGGTTTTTTTAAGCTCTACGTAACAGAGATACTTGAAGTCACCTACTTGAAAAGACTTGACTTTTTGAGATACTTGATTGTGGGGATGAAAACAGCCTCTTTAGCTGAGTGTTGTGTTGGGATAGGTCCCATCACAGGCTATTTTTAGTTTGCAAAACTATTGATCCATAAAGTACTCTACTGCCCCACTGCCGTTAACATTCTCCAAGTCTCCAGTCTCTGTGCAGAAACTGTCATGACATTTTACAGAAAAGCTGAGCACCTTTTCTCATACAGGCAGCCTGAAATCCATTTTTAAAGATACATTACAGGCTTTACCATCCAACTACCTTGTATTCTAAAATTAAGTTATAAACCACTCTTTTCAAAAAAAAAATTAAGTAATAAAATAATAAGAAAATGTGTGTGGGTAAGGGAAGGTGATAGAGCTCATGTGTCTTGGATTCCCCTCCTATCAACTTGGTAAGAGAATCATTTGGTTGGGATACTTTACAGATTTGGAAGGGCAGGTTTGTTCTTTTGATCTTCCAAGAAAAGGTTTAGAAAAGATAAATAATGAGGGTCCTATTGTTTTAAGAGAAAAAATAACAATCTGTCAGTCTAAGTAAGTAACTATATTTTGGTGGCCACCGGTATTATGTGAAAATATTGACTCAATTCCCAGGCACCTTGGATGTGTGATATTCACACTTTGTGGCAGCTCCAGAATGTCTAAATAGGAGCAGCCAAAGGCAGCAATCTGGTGGGAAGTGGTAGTGGGGAAATTTTCAAAAGGTGCATTTGTATTACAAACAGTATTTACTTAGATTTTTACATTAAGGTCAATTAAAACATCAATTTTTTCCCCAAAAGATGCTCATGTTGTATTTTACATATGATTAAAAAAATCTGTTCTTTAGATCAAAGAACATGTGTATGTGTCTAACACACATACTCGCACATACTGGAGTGGCTTTGAGGGACAGAGAATGTTTCTGGAGACTGGAAAAGGATGTGCTAATAAGCAAAACGATGTTATTCAAGGGCCTGGTGTACTGTAAGCAAAAAATACACTCTAGAATTTAAAGATTGAGTGTGAAAAAAGAATGTAAAATATCTAGTAATTTTTATATTAATTTCATGTTGAAGTAATATTTTGGTTATACTGTGTTAAATATATTATTAAAACTAAAAAATAAAAAGAATGCCACACCACCTGCCAACCCTGGGCACTGTGGCCACTCACAATTACTGGCTTTTACCAACAGGCACTAATGTGCCTACAGAAAAAGAAAAAGAAAAAAAAAACCAAAAAGTTGAAGCTTTTAATTTTTATAAACCGATGGTCTCAGTTAATAACAGAATGTCATTTAGCTAAGGTGTAGGTTTTGGTATGTGACAGGCACAGACCTATATTCCCTCTTTGGCTTCTACTTACATAATGACCAAGCTGATTAAGAGTTATTCAAACCTGTGTTTCAGACATCGGATCAGTCACAGACCTAAGTTATGGGAGTACAATAAGGAGTGATGGGTTCCATATTGCCGATCAGTTCACGATTTAGAACAGCTCAACTACCAGCTGTACTCCAAGCTTCAGTTCCTTGTTCACCTGAGTGTGAGGCCACCTGGGAAACCACTGTAATGACATGTTTTCCTTGTAACCCACAAATTCAAGATTCAACCACAAATGCACCCTAGAACATGTCTTCCCTTTTCCTAGAATCTGAAATTGGGAAAGGTCCTGAGAATTGTAAAATATCAAAGATAGGCGGCACCTAAATAGTGACAAGCCAGATGCAAAATCTGAGGGTCAGAGGATTAAAGTGATCTGTCCACACACACAGCAGTAGGGGTAAATCATTACACATCAAAGAAACTCCAGTCATCAGGTCCAAAGGACCCAATGTTGTCTGTTAAGGTAAGGGTTGAAAGTACATACCCACTGAGCCTTGGGCAGGCTTTGTGAAGTTGAACTCCACCTCCTTCTAAAACTAACGGAGTCAAAGAAACCTGAAAACTCATTTTTGGTTCTAAAAAGCAATGTCCCAATACACAATCCCTCTCCAACTATGGCTTCAGGCTGGCTAGAAGGCTTTGTGACATTAAAAATCCCTCAGAGTTAGAAGAAATTGAACTTCTAACATCGAAGAATTTTTTTCCTGGGCAATTAAAACACTTCTTGCTCTTACATACCACATCATTTTTACTGGGGGTGACTTTTTTATTTTTGCATTGAAGGTGTCTGATCTTAACAATATAAGGTTATAACTTTTCTGAGGTAGCTGCATAATATATACACACCTTTCAACAGTTGCAGAAAACACAAAATACAAGAGAAAACATACATATATATGTATATACATACATGCAGAGAATAGACACTCCCTACTTAGATGATGAAACACCAAAACTAATTAGTATAACAAAAGACCAAATATTTTCTACCTGTCTGCAGAAGCAACATGAAATGTAACCTTCTAATGTCTAATGTGGCAACACTACTATTAAAGTCCAGATGCCAGTTTCCTGGGAATCTTTCTAATCCATCACACCACTCTTCCTCAACTTTGGAGAGTATACTAAGCAATATTACCAGTATGCTGGCTTATGATTTTATTATGGTGAGGGTAGGCAGGTAAGGAATGTACAAGGTTAATATTTATAAATATGAATCTATACAGGTAGAGCAAGCATATGGAACAGGAGAAAGAACATGGACCCCAGGGAACTTGAATTCATTTGGTTCTGTCACTCATCCATCATCTAGTGACTTTGGTCAGGCTACTTTTAGTTTCCTTGAGCCTCAGGTTTCTCATCTGCAAAATTATGATATTAACTATTAAAGCACTTCCTTAGAGGATTAGAAGAGATAATGTGTGAACATTACCATGGTATCTAGCATAGGGAACAAGCTAAGTGTTGATTCTCTTTCTCCTCCTTAGGTAGGGACAACATAGTTAATTGCCCTCTATTTTCTGGATATTTCTTTGTAAGGGTACTTAATTCACCTATTGGAATATAATTTGGAGGTTTACATACGGTATGGTTAGTTTTTATCTAAATGTCAGTGAAAAATTACAGAGACAAAATTGAGGGCTGGGTATAAAGATTTTGTATTTTATTTAGATATTTGAGTCCATTGGAAGGTTTTCATGGAAACTAATAGTTGGTTTCTCTTACATATGAAAAAAATTGATTTCATAATCATGGCTCTACGCTTTATAGTTTGCCTATGGTATAAATATTGAAATGTTACCTGGTAGTATTTACATTATGTGCATAGTTAATTCAAGCACTGCAACAGACCTTTGACATAAAAATACTAAATGTCCTTGGACTCCACCAACTTGCAAGCAAGCTTGAAAGTCTGCGGCATTTAGTAATTTGAACAGATATGAACGATGCAAACTGTGCAGGTGAAGACTCGTGAAGCTGGTGGGTGAGCTTAGTTCACTGCCCAATATCAGTACCTGAAAGCAGTTTGCATGATCTGTTCCACTAGTATATAAGAATTCTTCTGCAGTAATATGTATTACTTTCAGGGTATGTGCAGTAAAATAAAGCTGTTCTCTAAAATGTGATTTCAGAGATATGAAATTTAATGCCTATACAATTACGCCAACATCAGCAGCTAACATTTTTAAACAATTACTTTGGGGACAGAAACTGTACTAAATAATTACATGAAGGATCAGACTTTAGGCTGTACAGATACCTTGAATAAGAGCCTGGGGGCAGTGTGGCACAGTGGCTAAGAATGTGGTCTCTGGAGTCTGGGATACTCGGGCTTATGCATGGATTCTGCCTCTTTCTAGCTATGTGACATTGGGTCAATTATTAAACTTCTTAAAACCTCAGGTTTCTCATCTGTAATTTGAAGTAAAAAATAATGGCTACTTCATAAGGTTGTCAGAAGCATTAAATAAGGTTATAAATAGTTAATTTTAAAACCCTAGCTTTATATCTAAATAGTTATTAAGAGTCTAAGGGGGGGCCTTGAACTTTTCTGCAATGCTTTATTGTGTATTATAGAAAACCTTACAAAATATGGTAGGGTTTAAGAATTGGGGAATTCTTAAATTACGGAGGAGAATAGTACTGGAATATATACTTCTTAAATGACAAAATTTACTGTAAGTTTAACATAAGTGAGCTGAACAAAATAGCTCTTATAGAGTATTATTATTTACAGAATTGCTATGGCTCAATTGATTAGAGAAACTTCAGTAACTCAGTTGTAGTTCAAATATTATTAGCTGTATTGAGGAAGGCAGCAAGGAGAAAAAGGGGTATGAAAATATTGGGTTTGTCTTAAAAAAATGCATGGAGGTCCAATTCCATCAATGTAGTTTTTTGTTGTTGTTTTGTTTTGTTTTTGAGATAGCGTCTCACTCTGTCACCCAGGCTGAAGTGCAGTGGCATGATCATCATCAATATAGTTGTTGATGCAATTTTTCTAGATTTTCTTTTTAGTTCATGGTTTGAAACAAGGCCCTGGAACATACAAAACTCTTACATTTATTTAAACCCAGGACATTTGTGTAGGGGTTTTAGGACCACATCTATCAGACAACTGAAGCCAGAGCCAACTGAGAAACAGTCTGGGATTGTAGGCTATGTTTTATTAAAGTTTCAACTGATTATGTCACTGCAGCTTATCAAAATATGGATTCATCCCAGACTCTTCTCTGTCTCACACATCCCAACATCCAATATCTCAGCTCAACCTTCAAAATACAGGAAAATTGAGCCGCATCTTCCCACTGACCTTGCCTCTCTTCTAGTCATAGTACTAATCACTTGCTGGACTATTGCAATATCATTGGACATATTCTTCTTTCTTTGCTTTTTATTACTCTATATTTTCCATCAAGCAGCACTGTGAACTTTTAAAAATGGAAGTCAGATTATGTCATGCCTTTGTTCAAAACCTTCCAATGAACTCAATATCTGAGTAAACTACAAAATCTTTATACCCAGCTCTCAATTTAATCTCTGTAATTTTTCCTCTCATTCTCGGCTCCAGTCACACTGGTCTCTTTGTTTTCTACCAAACTTGCAAAGCACACTGCTGCCCTGGGGTCTTTGGACTTGTTTTTTTCACAGTCTGGAATGTTCTTCCACTCCCTTCACATCTCCATTTAATAGTCATCTTAGAAGGGAAGACTTTCCCGACCTCACATGCCCTCCTCCTTCATTCTTTATCATCCTACTCTGTTTAATTTTGTGCTACAGCACATAGTTCTGCCTTACATAGTATACACTTACCTCTCCCTTTCTTATCTTTCCCAAGAGAATGCATGTCCCATGAGAGCAGGAACTTCCTCTGATTTGTTCATGGTTATGTTGCCAGCAACTAGACCAGCATCAGCACATGGGCCTCTCAGGAAATATTGCTGAATGCAGCATTGTGCAAGGGGAAGGATTAATTGAGAAGAGCAATTTACTCAAGGGTGAAAGGAAGGCACTCTGGTGCTGAACTGATGGATGATCACATTAGTGATTCTGAGTATTAGGGTTTGACTCTGACTTCCAAGCCCTGAATTTCCAGTAGATACAGCTTCTCATCCTTCATGGGGCACTGCTATCAGGAGTAACTAAGTCAAGAAGATGAAGCAAAGAATTGAGATTCCCTTGTCTAACTCATCATTGCTATGGCTTCAGTGCTGTACTTTACTTTGTCAGATAGAGCCAGCTCCCTCTCTCACATCCACTAGCTGAGGATGAGAACCCAAAGCATGCTTGTCAGGCAGAGGACAGGAAAGGAATGATAGTGGAGTTAGGGACACAACTTTGGGAGCCTCTTGAGAGAGTTAATTCAACTCAGGGAGCCTCGTAGCAAACAGCAGGTGTTTTCTACTTGGTACAAATAGTATTTCTTCACATTAGTTCTTCACAGATTTGAAATTTCTTCTTGGTAATAAATTAGACAATTAAAAAAGTACAATGCCTCTTTACTGCTGATCTCCAAGGTGACCTTTAGGATCCTACAACTGTGCTATAGAAATATATTCCCTCAGGGGCCCAAAAGCTGGCAACATCACTGGCTACATTTATTATTTTATTCTCTTTTAAGCACCATCTCTTTCTTGAATACCTGCTATATGCTAGGTGCTTGGCTAGGAGCTGGGTTGTAGTTAGGATTCAATTAGACCTGATCTCTTTCCTAAAGGAATTGGTAAACTAAGCAGAAGAACTAGCATACAGTTGTAGAGCTGAATGGTTACAATCCTAAAGTAAAAGGGATGTCATGAAGTGAAAGACGTAAGGAACTGATCCCACCTGGGGCCATGATATTCAGGCTGAAAGCTGAACAATGCCTAGAAACTAGAGGAAAGGATAGAGTGGGGAATGCATCAGGAAACAAACAACACAAGCATAGGTCTAGGATGGGAGGGAGTATGACACATTTAACAAGCAAAAGATGGCAAGTGTGGCTGATTCCTTGTTGGGGGTGGTGGAGGAAGGAGGGGACAGGACGGTGAGCCTGAAGACTGAAGAGAAGGTCAAATCCTGAAAGCCACGTAAGCTTCTTTACAATGTTGGTCTTTAACCTGATAAGAAGAGGAAGTCTCTGAATGGCCTCAGGCAGGGAAATTATATGATTTTATTTGCATTATTAGAAATTCACTCTGACTGCTCTGTGCAGAAGGGACTGTAGAGGGCCAGGCAGATAAAAGAGGCCTGTGGGGAGGCCACTGCAGTTGCCTGCACAATAGAATGTGTGGCTTGCACTCAGGTGTGCATGGTAGAGATGGGAGGAGAAGGGAAAGCAGGCAGGTTGACTGAGCAGGCAAGCAATGGAAGGAATAAAACAAGTTCAGAGGCCCAAAATAGCTATGTTGATCTTGCATCTCATTTTCAAGATTAGCTTTTATTTTCATTGTGGCGATGCATATTTTGTACCCAAATTACACCCACTCCACCCCAGCCCTGACCGAACTGCTTTGCTGCTGAGTTGCCATAATTTGTATTCCATTTCTCCAGAAGGCTTAGACGTGAGGTACCACAGGTGTTTCTGGATCAGCTCGGCATACCCTCAGGGTCGGCCCCACCCTGAAGTCCTTAGCTAATCTTTAGAAGGGCATGATTCTGAAGATGAGAGGAAATTACTAATAATTATTTTATCTAGTTCTACAGATGATACTTCCTATAGTGACTTTACATCATAGTTGACCTGTTAAATTCTAATCAACACACCCCAGTGGAAGTTTCCCCAAATTTTATTAAATGTTTTAAATATTGTGGAGAAAACAACAACAACAACAACAAAAGCTTCTCAAAATTTCACTTGTTAAAGCAATTATGAGAACCCATATTATTTTTCCTATGAACATTTTACTAATATTTTATATATACTAAAACTGTCCTTGCTGAGGACTTTTCTAAGGTTCTCAAGTTCTGTAGGTTGTAAAAGGGCCCAATCACTTCATAGACTCTATTTTTATGAATGTCAAACTTGGAAAAAATGGCACACAAATACAAGGGAAAAAAAACCCATAAAATAGATAGCAAACTGAATATACTATCATTAAACTCAAGAAAAATGTTGAAGGACTAAAACCATCATCACTGATTCATAGATTGATTATTTCACATATTTATGAATGATTCTTATGTGATTAATGGAAATGTAGAGATTCATCAGAGGTTTTCAAACAGAGATCAAAGGCGCCCTGGGAAGGATTGGAAGGTTGTGCTTAATGGGGAGAAGAGGCATTAAGTGAGGGAATTGTAGGAAGTAGACCTCCAAGCTTGTTATTTCAGTTCAGTCAGAACTGTTTTTATTGATTTATTCATTTATTTTTTTGAGGTATGTAAGTCGCAAAATTTCCACTGGATAAAAAGATGTCTGACTAAAAATACTAACAACAAAAACAACAACAACAAAACACCATAAACTTATCTAAATGAGCCCTCTCAGGAATTTGCGCTTCTTGACATGACGGAGTAGCCTACAAGAGACCCACTTGCCTGCTGAGAACCACTAGAAATACACAATAAAAGCAATTTGCTTGAAAGCAAAGGAGAGCTGCCAAAGATGTCAAAACTTAAACTACATCAAAAAGAGAGGCTCATTGAGGGGAGCCTAACCTTCCGCCTGTCACTCCAGTCACCCTCGCCGGGATTTGCTAATTCTTAGTGTTGAAGGAGAATCTGAGAAGTCAGAAAGAAGGTCGCTGCTGAGAGGAAGAGAATTCCTTGGAGTTTTCAGCAATCTCATAGGGCTGAGGAGGCAGAAAATGGAGCTGAGCACAGCCCCGCTGAGGCAGCCAACTTGGACTTAAGATCCCATAGAGAAGAGAGGTTCAAAGAAGCGAGCTTGGAGCTTCATCCCCAGTTTTTCCCCAAGGCGTTTGACAGTCAGTTAAGTTGCAAATAGCAACAGGCAAGAAGCAAATTGAGACCATCCAAAAAGCAAGGCAAAGCAAACTCAGTCTCGTGGTGTTAAAAAACAAAAATTGGGGTTTGTGATTTCACAAATAAGGTGACACATCTGATCCTCAGTTGGCCACCCTGGAAGATTATTCTTCAGGACTGTGGTGAAAGAAGGGTAAGCTAAACTTTAGAAGTGCTACAACCTAGGTTCAAGTCACTTTGATCTTTGATTGTAATGAAATGGTCTGCCTCTCTGCTGCCCAACAGAAAATAGGGTGAATCCTCTCTGGAAGGAGAACACATTATCCAGACCCTCTATATCTGTCCACACACATGTTTGCCATTCAATCCAATATCACCCAGCATATCAAAAAACACAATCACAAGAAAAATTAATAAAAACAGACAAGCAATAAAGTCTGTCTCCATTTTCAAAGCCTCATAGAGTCCCATAATAGTTCACTTAAACATGTCTAAATTCAATAATATGAAACATGGCACATTCCAGTCATCAGTCAGACAATAAGGGTGAACTGTAATGAACAGTGCTAGTCTATTTTGAATGTTTGCTGGGCCGGGCACGGTGGCTCACGCCTGTAATCCCAGCACTTTGGGAGGCCAAGGAGGGCAGATCACAAAGTCAGGAGTTTGAGACCAGCCTGGCCAACATAGTGAAACCCCGTCTCTACTAAAAATACAAAAATTAGCTGGGCCTGCTGGCGGGTGCCTGTAATCCAAGCTACTTGGGAGGCTGAGGCAGGAGAATTGCTGGAACCCGGGAGGTGGAGGTTGCAGTGAGCAGAGATTGCGCCACTGCACTCCAGCCCAGGCGACAGTGCGAGACTCCATCTCAAAAAAAAAAAGAACGTTTGCTGACAGTTTTTAAGTCAGTCCTACCCTTCCCCCATTTCCCTTTTGTCCCCAAAATGGGCAAACTGATAAGAGGGGCCACCTTTTTATTGCTATTGGGAAATACAAACCACTCAAATCCTGGCTGTCACATAGAAATCCTGATCCCAGCCACATGCCCTAACATGATAAAAACTAAACCCACTTATTCTTCTCTTTGTTTGAACCATTATGAACTGGCATGGTTGCCTGCTCTGCTGTCCCTGAAGTCCCATTACATGAGCAATAAACCTGTCTGGACCCTCTTGGTGGGTGTGTTGCATCATCAATATTAACATCCCAGTGGATTTTGGATGTGTTGGGGGCTGCCATCTGTGGAGCCGCCCCAAAACAAAAACAAAATTGATCCAAACATTGGAGTTCTTTGACTTAGGCTTTTGAAATAACTGTGATTAATATTTTTTTAAAGGAGATGACCTGATAATAAATTTTACTAGAGAATTGGAGTCCCTTTAAAAAAGAATCAACTAGAAATTTAAAAAAAAATTGAACTCAATATATAAGTTTTGAGTATATTGGACCCACATGGATAAGTGAACTTAAAATTAGAGCAGTAGAAAATAACCAGACTTAAGCATAGATTAGAGGGAAATTTATATCCTTAAATGAGTACAGCACTAAAATAAGAAAGGCAAGAAATTAATGACATGATTATCCATTCCAATAAGTTAGAAAAGAAGAAGTAAGTTTTACTGGAAGAAAGCAGGAAAAAACCAAAAAGAACTATAAAGAGAGCAGAGATAAATAAAATAGAATACAAACAAATCTATAAAGCTGAAAGCTTATTTTTAAAATTGATAAACTATCTGCAAAACTAATCAAGGAAAAAAGAGAGCATACTAATTAGCTAAATGAGGAGTGGGGAAAAAAGAAACCGTACTGCAGATCCTTATACATCTAACAAAAAATACAAATGTATTATGGACAATTTTATGCCAGTAAATTAGAAAATTAAATGACAAATTCCTAGAAGGCAAATTAACAAAACTGACCTTAAAAGAAATTTAAAAAAATTAAATAGTCATATGATTTTAAACCTTTCCACACTCACATTGTTTTATCAGTGAATTCTACCAAACATTTAAAAAATAAATGAGGCTCATCTTATACATTCACTTCCAAAAAATAGAAGGAAGAAAAAATTTTCAATTCATTTTTTAAGGGAAAGCATAACTTTGATATCAATTCCTCTGAAAGAGAATAAAGGAGACGAGAAAATCATCTCAACATCTGCAGAGAAAGCATTTGATACAATTCTATAGTTATTCATAGTTTTTTAAAAGTATTTTGGCAAATGGGTACTAGAACTAGCTTGACCTAATTAAAGTATCTGAAAGAAACATAGAGCAAGCAATATAATTAATGGGAAAGAACTGAAATTTCCCCACTGAGATCCAGAAATCACAAAAATATTTATCACCACAATATTGTACTGTAGGTCCTAGCTAGTACTATAATGCAAGGAAAAAAAAAAAAACAAACTATAAGTATTGGGAAAGAAGAAATACACTTATATGGTTTGGCTGTGTTCCTATTCAATCTCACCTTGAGTCGTAATAATCTTCATGTGTCAAGGGTGGTGCCAGGTGGAGATAACTGAATCGTGGAGGTGGTTTTCCCCATACTGTTCTCCTGGTAGTGAATAAGTCTCATGAGATCTGATGGTTTTATAAAGGGGACTTCCCCTGTACAAGTTCTCTTGCCTGCTGCCATGTAAGATGTGTCTTTCCTCTTCCTTTGCCTTCCGCCACGATTGTGAGGCCTCCCCACATATGTGTAACTGTGAGTCAATTAAACTTCTTTCATTTATAAATTACCCAGTCTTGCATATGATATGTCTTTATTAGCAGCATGAGAACAGACTAATACAACAGTCATAATTTGCAGGCACATGACTATGTACATAGAAAATCCAAAAGGAAATTATCAAAATTTTAGAATTAGTAACTGAATTTATCAAGTTCAATGGATATAAAATCAATATACAAACCGACTTTTTCATATTACAGACACAGAAACTAAGAAAGGTGCCCATATCCACACACTTTTCAAAACTAGAAAAAGGCTAACACTCAGCTCGGTGGTTCAAGTTTGGGTTTTTTTTTTTTTTTTTTGTATATATGCAAACTTGTAGATTTCAGTTACTCCCTAGTCACACAGAGGCCAGACCACACACTAGCCCCTGTATCTCCTAGGCATCAAGACATTAAAATGCTGCTGGCCACAGTGACCATCCATGGGAAATGAAGGGAATACCTGATGGAGGCAAAGTGCAGTTTTCTGAAATGTGGAGCTGCAAGTAATCTAAGCTTTCAGCTTGTCACAAGTTGAGGATCAAGAATCACATGTAGTGAACAGATTTACCTACAATGGAACCTAAAGACAGAATAAGGGGAGAGGGTGGATGTGTCCAGCGCCTGTCACAGGAGAAAGGAGAATGAGTGGAAAAAGCTGGGTCTTTGGCCCCAGTCTCATATTTACACAAGATGTTAAGTTTGAAATTCAAATATGTCCTGCAAATGAAGTAAAGGCACTAATAGGACTGAAAGTAGATGTTTATCACACAACTTGAAATCCATGTCCCATTCTTCATCCAGAGTGTCTACAACACACCATCAATGAATATTTTCAGTAAACTCTGCAGTTATCTTGTAAATGTTGTAATTATACAGATGGGATGGTATATTTATATGCTAACATTATTTTATTACATGTGAATATTTAAAGCTTTGTAGCACCCATCAGCATTATTTTTTTTTCCTCCTCCTCTTTCTTCCCTTCCTTCTGTACCCATATCCTCCTCCTTCTCCGCCTTCCCCTTCTCAAAATACGAAAGTGATCAGAGCTTCCAAGGTCAACCTTGGAAAGACTCTGGATCCCTAAATAGCTAAGTGAACTCTCCGAGCATGTAGGTGGAATGTGAAGGGTGATAGAAGGCTTGCCTGATATGAGAGAACAGAGCCAGAAAAACTGCTTTGATATTGTATTACCCTAGTTTTAGCTCTAGGCTGGTATTTTCTCAAGACATTGGGGTTACAGCAGGAAGTTCAAAGCTTCCATTATTGTGGCCAAGGCTTTTGCACATAGAACCTGCTGACTGCTGTCATGGATGATGGCTCAGCCTGTATCCTAGAGAAGCAGAGGCTTGATGTAGGACTTCCTGTTGGCTGGGTGACTTCAGCCCGAGGCACCTGCAGTGCTGGATTAACCAAGGCGCAAACTAAGCAGGTGCTTAGCATGCAACTAAATCGAACACCACCCCCATCACCCACTCCAGGAAAAGCAGAGAGGATTTCACATTTAAAGAACTTTCTGAGGATTTTGATTTTTCCATCCAAATGAAAAAAAAAAGAACTTATTTTCCTTTCAGCTTGCATTTAAGTTTTCTGTCATTTTAAGTGATTTTATTTTATTATGAATTAAAGTGGGAATGCATCACAGTGGTGGTGGTGGTGGTGGTAGGATTAAGTGCTCAGAGCCTGTAAAAGTTTAACCTGGCCCTAATAACCATTCCCTAAATTTTCCAGGATCCATCCTCATCCCTCCTGGGCTCTTGTTCTCTAGCACACATATTTTGTTGTGCAACAACTCTATTTTCTATTGTATTTAGCCCCACATCACTAATCCTACCTTTGCCAGGCTGTTCGTTTTCAGCTCCTAAATTTAGGCAGCCTAGTTGTCATTTACTTTGTACAATATTTTTTTTCAATATTACCCCATAAAATTTTGCATTTATAAAACAACTCCCACAGATTCCTCTAACACATAAAATATACTTACAATGCTTAACTTACCCTAGTACTGCCCCAAGATCTTCCACCAAAAGTTCAAACATCTCTTTGGGGAAGGTGGGTTTTTTTTTTTTTTTTTTTTTTTTTTTTTCACAAGTTCCCAGTGTGGACAGCATCTAGGCACCACTGGGTGGAGTGGACAGGGGTTTGAGGTGGGAAAAAAGGGAGAAGTGTCCTAGGCCTCCATTCAGAAATTTTAATTTACTCCCTCAAATCAAAACTGGTATTCAGCACTCCAGAGTTCCCTTCCACTTCTTTTGTTTCAGCTCCTGCTTGTTGTTCAGGAAAAATGGCAGATATGTTTCAGAGCATGCTTAGAATTGTGAGACAGATAAAAGAAAGATGATTCGTAGCTTGATTCCTTCGAAAGGGGGTACAGTAATCAGAAAGTAAAGGAAAGAATGATTCCAGGACTTTATTTCTCCAAAAATACAATAGAATATCTCTCTAGTGAAATTCTAAGAGCCATATGCAGAGATTGAACCCATCGGTAAACTCTAGTCTTCAGGCCCCTCCACACTTACCTCTACCAGTTTGTTGGCATGCTCACGGAAAACTTGGGCATATTCTTTCACTTCCTTTTCATTTCCGCTCTTTGCAGCCTCAATGAGAACTAGCAAAGGAACATTGGTTTCCAGGAAAGAGTCAGATATGTGATCCATCACTGCTTTCCGAAGCTACAGTTGAAACAAAAACAAAAAATGACATACAATTAAGAAATAGTATAATTGCCCATTTTTTTTCTAAACTGTTTTTGAGCTCTCATTACCCATGGAGATAATATTCCTATTTTCTTTTTAAAATTTTCCCAGTGCTTACATTATTAAAGGAAAACCAATGACTGATGGAAGCATGTGAATTAAACATATTATATGTCAACTTGAAAGTTACATAATGGCCTGTTGCTCAATACACACTATGGGTCCTCTCCCATCAAAGGCCTTCTCTCATCCTTCATTGACCCGAACCTTCTGGATGTTTTGAATCATGACACAGTTGAAGAATTCAGGCTCTTTGAAAAGGAAAAATCTAGGCATCAACCAACAAGTCGGGAGAACTTTAGATAAAGATCTAAACTTTGAAGCCAACCGTGAAACTTGGCCACTGTGCAGTCTCCTGCCCATTCTAGATCCATTGTTTGTGTTAGATAGAAGCAGAAACATGAAACATCTAACAATCTCAAAACTGTTTGTGCCCAGGTGCTATGATGACATAGTTGCTATGTTCCAGAAATACTTATAATTATTCTTCAAGATAAATGAGAATAAACAAGCCCAAATCTTCTAACAATGCATAATTATACATCATTCCCACATTGTTAAAATAGAAAACAGGGCAGCTGCTTGAAAATAAAATGAAACTGTCCCTGAAAAATTACCTTGGTGCTGTTTTGTTCATAATTATCTGAATGTATATGGGATATACATAAAAATAAACAGAAGAGAAGATGATAAACACTCTGCATGTTTTCCAAACAAATATACCTATCCAGGAGCATTCAAGTGAATCTCTTGATAGGATGACACCCACACGTTCGTTATTGGTCAGAACAAGGAAAATTAAGAACAAATCTCAATTCCTTTTTGCACGAATTACTATAACGTATGCAATGAAAGTATGTATAACTTAGTTTGGTTTAACTCTGAATTGTGTCTGACATTTTACCTTATAAAATGTAATAAAGTCTATGTAAAGTTGACATCTCCCACATACTCATTTGACAAAGTGTATTAAATTACTGCCTGGGATAATGTTGGTTATTAGTGAGCTCATGTATAATGTGTCATTTACTGAGCTAAAATCTTTGCATATTACATCATTTCATTCCTATTACACACTATTAGATAGGAATGATTCTTATACTAGTTCTTCAAATGAAGAAGCTGGGACTTTAAAAAGTTAAATAATTTGTCTGCAGTCATAAGTTAACAAATGGCAGCGCCTAGGGTAAGAAGGTCTGAAGGAGATCCTACAGTGAACACTTGAAATTGACCTGCCGTGGCTCTCTTCCAGAACAGGCCCACAATGGAGGAAAAGATATTTAGAGTGGAATCAAAATTGAACTTGACAGGGACAACAGAGACAAAAGGAAGAGAAGGTTGAGATAAAGTAGGGGAGATAAGAAGATTCAGGTTATCTCAACAATTAGACAAACATATTTGTTAATACCACACAAAAATAACAGAAGTGAGAGCTCTGGGAAGCTTGAAAAGCTGTCTGCATCAAGCCTCTTTCTAAGCCTTCAGGAAGATAATGTGCACAAAAATGAGCAACTTAAAATTATCAAGGCCAAATCTCATCCAAAGTTATAAGAAAAATTAGATTAAGAAACATAATACCATCATCCCTAGGCACACTGAAAGCATGCCAGAAAGATATGCTTATAAAATAGATTAAAACTGCAACCTACCATTTCAAATAAATTAAAAACATCATAAAAATAATATAAAATATGGAAGAACATGATAAATTAGAATAAGAAAAACTAAAGAATTAGGTC